>NC_000015.10:54526874-55151874 GCF_000001405.40 Homo sapiens
TAAATAAGAAAGACAAAAGACTCTGAAAGCATCATATTTTTCTTCTTAGATGTAGGAATAAAGCAGAGTGAAGAATAATCTCCCACTTAGCCTTCTCTTCATTATCAGAGGTGTGTCTGTAACTTCCTTAAGCAAGGTGGCCTTGTCTTCATGGAACTCACCTTCAGGGCTCAGCTGCTGAGCCAGAGCAGCCTTGCTGTGTTGAGCCAAGGGTAGTCATTCTGCCTCTGCAGTGTTGTTAGCTGATTGGATGATCCTGCCTACTTCACCGGGATGTTAGTCAGCAATTTCAAGGTTCTGTTTACCTGAAGTTGGAGAAACATAGATTGTTCCAGAGATGTAGGGTTCATTGGCTCTGACTTGGGGTGACACTGAGAGATGAAGAGGCCTTTGCTGAGCCATTTCAGGTGTGTCTCTCTTTGTTCTAGTTGCAAATTAACATGGGGTTAGCAGAAAGACTGTTGCCTTCAGTCACAGAGGCAACATTAGAGACTATTTAGCAAAGTTAGGGGGAGGAAAAAAAAGAGGTCAGGAATAGCTAGAGTTGTTCAGAACTTTATGGAAAATAAGATGACTAAACAGAGTAGAAACTAGAATATAAGTAAAGTATATTTAAATTATTTTCTGTAAAATATCTAAATCATTCTGATGATAAGTGCTTTTTGTTTTGTTTGGGGAGGTGGAATATTCAGGTTATAAAGGCTAGAATATGTTTTCTGATTCGAAAGATATCTGGATAAACCACAGTTATGAAAGAAGGAGTAGTATCCTTAGGAGGACACTTGAAGAGCTTTATTTGTATGAAGCCAGCTATTTTAGCCTAAACAGTAAAACCTGCGGCTACCCAGAATCCATTTATTATTGATTTTTTAAATATAGGAAAGAATTTAGTACTCTGTTCAATTAGGGTTTATTAGGACTATTGGAATAAATGGGCTACATGTCATGCTTTCCTAATAAAAAATATAATTATTATATCCTTGTTGCTATGTTGCTGTGGCTTTATTCCTCACACTACCAATCAGGTCTATATTATACTGTCAGGGTAGAAAAGTCTACAGTAATCAATGTGATCATGCTGTGAAGTCACAATGCACAATTTTAGTCTGAACCTACTCTTCTTAAGGTCTAAATTGGCAGTGTAGAGTTTTAGAATTAAGTGCATAATTAATTGTAAAAAATCCACTTGATTTTATGTTATTAAAACTCATAATTAAATAATTCTACTATATGCAGCTGTTAGGATGTCTTTGCTGTAAAGTCAGAGCTGAGCCAAACCACACATTTGTGGAATCCTGACATGCTCACAGGGCACCTACCTGGGAACTGAGACTAAGTGATATAACCTCAACAATAACTTGAAGATGGTCTTAAAACTTTCAAAAGGTGTGCCACTAGGGTTTCTGCTTACACATGTTTTGCAGTTTGGTTTTTGGTTTGCTCCTTTTTTTTTTTTTTTCTTATTAACCAACACCTTTAGTACTAGAGGCTGGCTAGATTAAGTAAACAAAAAAATTCAGGAATATTTCGTAGGCATTATTTTGTGAGTGTGTGGCTCCTTGGGTGCTCCGAAAATCTTTAATTATTTACTGGCACTACTTTTATTCAAACCAGTTAATACAGGCTTTTTTTAAACCTTTTCTTTTTCTATTTTTCTTTTTCTAGTCTATTCTTTTTCTATTTTTTCACGTAATAGGAGCATAAATAAATTTCACATAATAGGAACATAACTGTCACACCCCTTGTCCAGTCTGTCCCCCCACCCCAATGCTCTAATTTGAAAATTAGTGCAAAAGAAAATCAGTGCAAAATCAGTCTATCTCCCCACCCCAATGCACTGATTCGAAAATCAGTGCAAAAGAAAGTAGTCATTTCAAAGGTGATTTTGACTACAGCCAGCAGGATCATGGATGACCCCGTGGTAAATCAACTAGTTCAAAATATTTTCAGCATGATTTGCCTTCCTCTTCTATTGCCCCAAGTATCTACTACCTTTACTTTGATTCAATACACACTCCACCACAAACAACATCCCCTTCATCATTTTCCCCACCATCTCTTGCAACCTCTACCTGACAAAAGTGCAAAGGCAGCTTCAGCCAGATAAAAGTGAAATAATCAAGGATTTAGACTCTCTTGGATGACAGCTTGGAAGAGAATGTTCCTTTAAAGCAGATAAATATGCAGAGAGCCAAGAAATGAGACAAATTCAAAGGGGCCAGCTGAGATGCAAGGATCAAGGAACCAAATGTAAATGCCAAGCCCAGAGGGGCAAGAATGGTGTTGTCAACAGTAAAGAAATCCAAGAATTCAGGAGCCAAAAATGGAGACAGATCAAACCTGATGGTAGAAGTGGAATCAGGCCTTAAATATGTACACAAAATTATGAACAAGTGTATGTATAACCCTGCTATTAAAGGCCCAGAAGCAAGAAAAACATCCAAGTTGTGATAATTTAACATTTATTAAAATTTTTCCATATTAAGCATGGAAATATGTATATGGAAAACCAAATATGGAAAACCAAAAACTAGAAAAATGAAATACTTAACAAGATGTCAACTAAAATATTTCCATAATGTAAATGCTAAAATACAAGTTCTCATATTTGCTCTAAGAACAAAACACTGTGCCTGTTCTGTTCATTGATATATCTTCAGCACCTAGAACAGTGATTGGCACATAATAGTTTAGTAAATATGTGGAGAATGTATGCATGAATAAATAAATGTGTATACTTTATTTAATAAAAGCATTATATAGTGAACATTCCTAAACTTCTACTTAAAATCTGAGGAATTTATGCACTTAGATACTTCTCAAATACTAACTGTATCATCATTGTGTGTGGAGGAGGAGAGGAGTGGGAATGACTTGACTGCAATACTAAAATGAATTCCCTCCTTCTCCTCATTACCATTCCAATCATTTGACCATTTTCCAAGCTTTCATTGATCTTCATTCTCCTAAGTAGTTTTTCTTGCCTGCCCACACATTTGTTATTATTACTCCTATTGCTGGAAACATGAGAATAGCAGACAATATAGAGGAATGGTGGTGATGCTAACAGTCTCCAAGATTTGAATATCTTACTACTTGCCATGCTTACTTAGGTAAGAACCATCAAAACTGGTGTAGGGGATATACAGAATGAAAAAAGCAATACGAAATATTGCTCTTCGTGACATTTAAATCCTTAGAGTGGGTGAGGCAATAGAGGTAGGTGGAAGGAGATGGTCCATTGATGCATTCAACACATATTTCCTTTTTAATAGCTTTATTGAGCTATAATTACCATGTAAAAATTATGTATATTTAAGGTATACAACTTTGTTTTGATATACATATCCATTATAAAATGATGGCCACATTCCAGATAATTGACGTATCTATCACCTTCATGGAGTTGCCATTTGTGTGTTTGTCTGTGTGCATGTGTGTGTACTGAGAACATTAAGATCTGTCCTCTTAGCAAATTTCAAGTATATAATGCAGCAGTTTTAACTACTGTCCCAATATTTCCTGCATAACCTCTTTGTGCCAAGCATGGCATCCTGTGCCATGGTATGGGCATGCAGCACTAAACAAAACAAAATTCCTGCTCTCATGGGGCTTACATTATAGGGAGGGAAACAGGCAATAAGCAAATAAATTAAATTATGCAGTGCGTCATATAATGAAGAATGCCATTGAGAAAAAAAGAACAATAAGGGAACAGAGATGGATAGGAATGCCATTTCAGCTTGAGTGAACAAGGAAGATTTCTCTGAAGTGATATTTGATATATGCCTGAAATTAACGAGGGACCAAGAGAGCCATGAGAATTTCCTTCCATGGCAGAGGGAATATAACAGTGGCCATGAGATAAGAGTGTCCTCAGAGAATTCTAAGAACACCAGGAGGTCTATTGTGGCTGGTGCAATGAAACAGAAGGAAGAGTGGCAAGAAATGAGATCAGTGAGATTGCCAGCGCCAGATTATGCTGGGCTTTCAGTCTGTCAAATACAACTAGAGTTTTTTCTAAGTGGAGTTGGAAGCTATTGAAGATTTTTAGCAAAGGAGGAACATGATCTGGTTTTTATTTTAAAAGGCTATCTGTAGAGGGTTGAACAGAAGCAATTTAGGAAATTATTGCACAGGTTCAAGTGGGAGGATGGTAAAGGGGTCTATAGTGGCATTTTCGGAAGTAATAATAAATCCTCAGATTTAGGATACATTTCGCTGACAGGTTGGATGTTGAGTATGAGAAACTCATCAGACTTTGAAGTGGAAAGATTGCATGGGCAGTTAAATAAAATAGTCTGGAGTTTGGGTTAGAAGTCAGGTCTGCAGATGTGAATTTGAGAACCACCAGTATATAGATGCTATGGAAGCCATGGGACTAGATGTGATTGCCAAGAAAGTGACTGCTGATGGAGAAGTGAAGTGGTCCAAGGATGAAGCCCAGAGGATCACAGTGTAGGATTTCCAAACAAAATACAGAACACCCTCAGTTAAACTTGAATTTTAGATACATAAGGAATAATTTTTAGTATAATTGTGTTACAGATATTACATGGCCATGTTTGTACTAAAACTATTCACTGTCTGAAATTCAAATTTAACTCAGTGTCCAGTGCTTTCATTTGATAAATATGGCAACCTTACTCCAATGGTTAGAGGTCAGGCAGTTGAGAAGGAGCAGCCTGTGAGGTCAGAGGAAAGCCGAGAAGGTGTGGAGTCACAGAATCCAAATGAAGAAGGTGTATCCAGATGCCAAGAGTGTTTCTTTTTTTTTTTTTAACAACAAATTTTATTGAAATATAATTCACATACCATAAAATTCTCCCATTTCAAATACGCAGGTGAGTGGTTTCTAGCATATTCACGGAATTGTGCAACTCTCAGCAAAATCTAACTTTAGAACACTGATATCACCACAAAAAAGAAACCCTATACCCATTAGCAATAAGTCCCATTCCACTCTCCTTTCCAGCCCTAGGAAACCACTAATCTCCTTTCTGTCTCTATGGATTTGCTTATTCTGGATATTTTATATAAATTGAGTCATACAATATGTGGTCTTTTGTGACTGGCTTCTTTACTTAACACAATGCTTTTAAGCATATGGTTGATTTATATGGTGGCAGTGGCAGTACTTCATTTTTCTTGTAAATTTATGTTATGTTCAGGGGTATATGTGCAGGTTTGTTACATAGGTAAACTTGTGTCACAGGGGTTTGTTATACACATTATAATACATCATCCAGGTATTAAGCCTACTACCCATTAGTTGTTTTTCCTGATCCTCTCCCTCTTCCCACCCTCTGCCCTCCAATAGACCCCACTGTGAGTTGTTCCCCTCCACGTGTCCATGCGTTCTCATCATTTAGCTCCATTGTGGAAGACAGTGTGGCAATTCCTCAAAGACCTAAAGACAGAAATACCATTTGACCCAGGAATCCCATTACTGGGTATATACTCAAAGGAATATAAATCATTCTACCATAAAGACACATGCATGCATATGCTCATTGCAACACTATTCACAATAGCAAAGTAAGGCATCAACCTAAATGCCCATCAACCCTAGACTGGATAAAGAAACTATGGTACATATACACCATGAAATACTATTCAGCCAAAAAAAGGAACAACATCATGTCCTTTGCAGGGACATGGATGGAGTTGGAGGCCGTTATCATTAGCAAACTAACACATGAACAGAAAACCAAATACTGCAAGAGTCTTTTTAGAGCAGTCATTTTCCCAAACCGTGCTCAGAGGAACATCTCAACTGTGACTATCAGAGGTGGGGACTGAATGAACCTCCACTCAAATTAATTCAACCTGAAGAACAGCACTTTTATCTGCCTTACTTATAAGTATTACACGTAAGCTTTCATTGGAACAAAAATTTTTGCAGTTAAACATTGAATTCGAAAACTCATGAGCAGGGGAATTCACACCAGTTGAAACAGATCAAAATCCTCAGGGTGAAATTGGAACAGGCTCAGGCAAAATGTATTCTTATATTTTAGAATTTATATTCTTTATTTTTAGTTTCCAGGTTATAATTGAAGAGTGTATAAAACAGATGAGTTTCGAACTAAATCAAATGAGAGCAAATGGAAACACCACATCTAATAAGAACAGTGCAGCAATGGATGCAGAGATTGTGTTAAGATCTCTTATGGATTTTTTGGACAAAACGTAAGTTTTTTTGCCCAGTTTTCTCTTTACTTATTGCCCTAAATTTGACCTTTAAGGCTTTAAGAAAAACATTGTTTTCCTCTGTGTAAG
Organism: Homo sapiens; assembly: GCF_000001405.40. Taxonomy (NCBI): domain Eukaryota; kingdom Metazoa; phylum Chordata; class Mammalia; order Primates; family Hominidae; genus Homo; species Homo sapiens. Next base: position 54,533,157 of record NC_000015.10, read on the forward strand.
GTAGCATTAAAAGTCTTTCTATAGAAATAAATGAATTCAAAGATAAATAAATAAATTCATTAAAAAGCAACATACCTTTAATTGATTACTAGATAAAAATAAATTAGGAATGACTTTGTACAAGAAAGGAAAGAAAGAGGGGAAATAAATTTTATAACTAAGGAGGTTGCTGTTCTGAGGCAGAGAAAGATTTAGAACTTCATGTTCCTTGGATACCATATTGTTTTCAATCCTCCTGGACATAGAGAAAGACTGAGCTGAGTCCAGAATAGCTGATTTCATGTCAGAAACCTGATGAAAAAGAGAATAGCACAAATATGACTAGAATTAACTTAGCTCAGAGGCAAGCAGATAGCTGCCTGACCCAACCTTCAATAACGATTTATTGAGTGCTCACCTGTATCAAACCATATTTTACACACTGGACAGTGAAGAAAAAGAAAGCCGAAGTCCCTGATACCATGGAGATTACAGTTTAATAGTGGTGGGAGTGCATGGGAATGCAGGCCATTATGACTGACTAAGACAAATTCTTAACCTGAAAGTTTGGTTGGTTGCTCTGTTTGTTTTTAAGGTTTTTGTTCTGTTCCTACTCTTAGAAGTTCTAATTTAGTAAGTTTGAGGCAGGGTCAGAGCACCTACAATTTGTAATGTGTCCACAGTTGGGATTGGGAATCATTGATCTAAAGCAACCAGAAACATGATTTCGTAAACAGTGATACTCAAAACCAGAACTGAATGTACAAGAGAAAAGTGAATAATAATTTTGAATGCCTACCAAGGGACCAGTGTCATATATGTTAGTTTACATAATCTCATTTATTATTGTTGTGGCAAACTAATATCAAAAGGACCAAGATTTAAATAAAAGAAAAATTACAATGTCTTTCCTTAAAGACAAGGACAACAGTCACCCCACTGTGCTGCTGCTGCCACCAGCACACGTAAACACCACTGCATCGCTGCCACCAGCCATTGCCCCAGCAAAGTGCTTTGGCCAGCACTCTCCATCAGACTGTTGTTACCAGAAGACCAGGAACACCTTCGCCCCTCCAGTGCAGCAGGTGCTTGTCCTTGAGGAGACAGAAAACAAAGTAATGGGCCTGGTACCAGGCCCCAGGGTTAGGACATGCAATCCAGGAATGCCAAGTTAAGCCTTGGCCCCCTGAAATCTTCCAGAAATGAAGCCAGTTGACTTTGACTGAACCCAATATATACCACAGTCAAATCCTCAAAGCCTCAAAGGCATGAAAGAATATAAAAGCAAAAAAACACTATTCGAACAACAGCAACTTAAAAGATTAAAGGAACATTAGCCCATGCAGATGAGAAAGAACCAGCATGAGAACTCTGGCAACTCAAAAAGCCAGAGTGTCTTACTACCTCCAAACAACCACACTAGCTACCCAGCAATAGTTCTTAACCAGGCAGATGTGGCTGAAATGACAGATAAAGAATTTGGCATCTGGATAGGAAAAAAGATGAAAATTCAGGAGAAAGTCAAAAGCCAATCCAAGGAACCCAAGGAATCTAATGATACAAGGGCTAAAAGACAAAATAGCCATTTTAAGAAAGAATCAAAGTGGTCTGATGGAGCTGCAAAACTCACTATAAGAATTTCCTAATATAATCAGCAGTCTTAGTATCCAAGCTAAGTTTTATAAGCATAGGAGAAATTATATCCTTTTCAGACAAGCAAATGCTAAGGAAATTTGTTACCCTAGACCTGCCTCTCAAGATGTCCCTAAGGGAGTGCTAAACATGAAAATGAAAGATCAATACCTGCCAACACAAAAATACGCTTAAGTATATCAACTATAGGCACTATAAAGTAACTACACAATCAAGTCTGCATAACAACCAGCTAAAGACGCAACAACAGGATAAAATCGCACATATCAATATCAACCTTGAATATAAATGGACTAAATGTCCCACTTAAAAGGCAGGAAGCTGTCTTTAAGAGACTCATCTCACATGCAATGACACCCATAGTCTCAAAGTAAAGGGATGGAGAAAAATCTACCTAAAAAATGGAAAACAAAAAAGAGCAGGGGTTGCTATTGTAACTTCAGACAAAATAGGCTTTTAACAAACAATGATCCAAAAAAACCCAATATCATTATATAATGATAAAGGGTTCAATTCAACAAGACTTAGCTATCCTACACATATATCCACCTAACACTGGAGTATCTGGATTTATAAAGCAATTTCTTAGAGACCTATGAAAAGACATAGATAAATACACAATAATATCACCATCCCACTGAGACAGATCACTGAGGCAGAAAACTAACAAAGATATTCAGGACCTAAACTCTACACTTGACCAAAAGGATCTAACAGACATCTACAGGATACTCAACCCAACAAAAACAGAATATACATTCTCCTCATCTGCACTTGGCACACACTCTAAAATCAATCACACAATCAGCCACAAAACAATTGTCAATGAATTCAAAAAATTTGAAATCATACCAACCATACTCTCAAACAACAGTACAATAAAATTAGAAATTAATACTAAGATGATCTCTCAAAACTATACAATTACATGGAAATTAAGCATTCTGCTCCTGAATGACTTTTGACAATGAATTTAAGACAGAAATCAAGTAATCCTTTGAAAATTGTAAAAGAAAAGGTATAACATACCAGAATCTCTGGGACATAGCTAAAGCAGTGTTAAGAAAAAAGTATATAGTGCTCAACATCCAGATCAAAAAGTTAGAAATTATCAATTTAACAACCTAGAAAAGCTAGGAAAACAAGAGTAAATCATAAACCAACCGAAAAGCCAGCAGAAGAAAAATCACCAGAATCAGTTGAACTGAATCAAATTGAGAGATGAGAAACCATACAAAAGATCAGTGAAACAGAGTTTGTTTTTTGAAAGCATAAATAAGATTGGTAGACCACTAGCTAGACTAATAAGGGAAAAAGTGAGAAGATTCAAATAAACACAATCAGAAATGACAAAGTGAGCATTACCACCGACCCCACAGAAATCCAGATAACCCTCAGAGACTATTACAGAGACCTCTATGCACACAAACTGGAAAACCTAAAAGAAATGAATAAATTCCCAGAAACATACAAACTACCAAGATTGAACCAGGAAGAAATTGAAACCCTGAACAGACCAATAATGAGTTCTGAAATGGAATCAGTAATAATAAAAGCCTACCAACCAGAAAAGGCCCTGGAGCAGATGGATTCACAGCCAAATTTTATGAGATGCGTAAAAAAGAGCTAGTACCAATCCTATTGAAACTATTCCAAAAATTGAGGAGGAGGTACTACTCCACAACTCATTCAATGAGGCCAGCATCATTCTGATACTAAAAGCTGGCAAAGACACAACAAAAAAGGAAAACTTCAGGTCAATATCTTGATGAACATAGATGCAAAAACCCTCAACAAAATACTAACAGATCAAACCAAGCAGCATATCAAAAAGCTATCTCAGGATTATCATGTAGGATTTATTCCTAGGATGCAAGGTGGTTTAACAGATGCAAATCAATAAATGTGATTCACCATATAAACAGAACTAAATACAAAACCCACATGATCATCTCAATAGATGCAGAAAAGGCTTTCAATAAAATTCAACATCGCCTCATGTTAAAAACCCTCAACAAACTAGGCATTAAGGGAACACACTTCAAAATAATAAGAACCATCTATGACAAACCCACAACCAACATCATACTGAATGGGCAAAAGCTGGAAGCATTCCCCTTGAGAACCAGAACAAGACAAGGATGCTCACTCTCACTACTCCTATTCAACATAGTACTAGAAGTCCTAACCAAAGCAATCAGGCAAGAGAAATAAATAAAAGGCATCCAAATAGGAAGAGAGAAAGTCAATCTCTGTTCACATATGATGTGATCGTATACATACAAAACCCTATAGTCTCTGCCCAAAAGATTCTAGATCTGATAAACAACTTTAGCAAAGTTTCAGGATACAAAATTAATATACAAAAATCAGTAGTATTTCTATGCACCAACAGCATCCAAACTGAGAGCCAAATCGAGAACACAGTTCCATTCACAATAGCCACATACACACATACAAGAAAATCCCTAGAAATACAGCTAATGAGAGAGGTGAAAGATCTCTAGAACAAGAATTACAAAATATTGCTGAAAGAAATCAGAGATGACACAAACAAATGGAAAAATATTCCATGCTCATGGATAGGAAGACTCAATATTGTTAAAATGGCTATACTACCAAAGCAACTTACAGTTTGAATCCTATTCCTATCAAACTACCAGCAATATTTTTCACAGAATTAGAAAAAAAAAATTTCAAAATTCATTTAGAACCAAAAAAGAGTCTGAATAGTCAAAGTAATCCTAAGCAAAAAGAACAAAGCCAGAGGCCTCACAGGACCTGACTTCAAACTATACCATAAAGCTACAGTAATCAAAACAGCATGGTACTGGTACAAAAACAGACACATAGACCAATGAAACAGATTAGAGAACCCAGAAATAAAGCCACACACCTACAACCATCTGATCTTCAACAAAGTCAACAAAAACAAGCAGGAAGGGAAAGAACTTCCTAGTCAACAAATGGTGTTGTTAGAATAACTGGCTAGCCATATGCAGAAGATTAAAACTGGACCCTTTCCTTTCACTGTATACAAAAATCAACTCAAGATGGATTAAAGATTTAAATGTAAAACCTAAAACTATAAAACCCTAGAAGAAACCTAGGAAAAACCATTCTGGACATAGGCCCTGGCAGTTTTTATGATGAAGATTCCAAAAGCAATTGCAACAAAAACTAAAAACAAAAAATAGGACTAATTAAAGAGCTTCTACAGAGCAAAAGAAACTATTGTCAGAGTAAACAGACATCTTACAGAATAGGAGAAAATATTTGCAAACTATGTATCTGACAATGGTCTAATATCCAGACTCTATAAGGAGCTTAAATACATTAACAAGCAAAAAAAAAAAAAAAAAAAAAAAAAAAAAAACCCATTAAAAATGAGCAAAGCATATGAGTAGACACTTCTCAAAAGAAGACATACAAGCAGCTAACAAGCATAAAGAAAAATGCTGAACGTCACTAATCATTGAAGAAATGAAAATCAAAGCCACAATGAGATACCATCTCACACCAATCAGGATGACTATTAGTAAAAAGTTAAAAAATAACAGATCCTGATGAGGTTGTGTAGAAAAGGGAATGCTTATACACTGCTGGTAGGAATGTAAGTTAATTCATCCACTGTGGAAAACAGCTTGGAGAGTTCTCAACTAACTTAAAACAGAACCTCCATTCAACCCAGCAATTCCATTACTGGGCATATATCCAAAGAATATAAATTGTTCTACCGTAAAGACACATGCATGCGTATGTTCATTGCAGCACTGTTCACAATAGCAAAGACAAGGAATCAACCTAAATAGCCCATCAATGGTAGACTGGATAAAGAAAATGTGGTACATATACATCATGGAATACTACACAGCCATAAAAATGAATGAGATCATGACCTCTGCGGCAACATGGATGGAACTGGAGGCCATTATCCTTTGTGAACTAACACGGGAACAGGAAACCAAATACTGCATGTTCTCACTTATAAGTGAGAGCTAAACACTGAGTACAAATAGGCACAAAGAAGGGAACAATAGACACTAGAGCCTACTTAAGAGTGGAGGGCGGGAGGAGGGTGAGAATCAAAAACTACGTATTGGGTACTATACTTGTTACCTGGGTGACAAAATAATCTGTACACCAAACACCCACAGCATGCAATTTTCCCATGTAACAAATTTGCACACGTGCCTTCTGAATTTAAATAAGAGTTGGAAAGGAAAAAAAAGTTGGATATTCTTCCAGGTAATTAAACTTATTTAGTGCATTTCTTTTTCTTTCCATCTAAATTTTCCCACAGTCATAATTATAAAATATTTAAATAGGTAAGGATAAAAAAGAAATAACTCATAGGAAAATATCTTCTGTATACTATGACTTCTGTTTTAATTCCATTTACCTTTGGTTGCCTTCTTACTACATAAGTCTAATGTTGTTATTTATTTAATGTCAATATTTGGTAGGAAAATTAAGCCTTATGTTTTGTTCTCTGTGGGGAAATATCTAGAAGATAGGTATATAGGTAAGTAGATAATAGGATGTAGGTAGGGAAGTAGGTGCAGAAGAAAAGCAGAAGAAAGGAGAGAGGAAAGGGAAGAAGTAAAGAAAGAGAGAAGGAGAATTACTTTTCCTCATTTCTTTAGTTAGTTAATGTAGACTTTCACTTTTACAACATAATTTTCTATACATTCTCTGGACATTTTTATCTTAGTATACGACTCTTTTCTATGGACAACACAGAAATGGATCACTATAAACACCCCAACATTGGTTGTGAATGTGATGGTGATGAATAGCAGGCCCAAGCGATCCCAATTCACTTCAACCTCTCACTGGAATGCCTTCTGTTTTTTAGAAGTCCAATCAGTAGTTTGGAGAAGTATTATTTATTATTAGCAAAACTATTTGCTTTCTATGTCCTGTGGCCAAGGTTGTGGAACATAACAGAAAGTTTTAAGTAATCTTGGTACTTCCAACTATTAGCTGAGTGACTTTGAATCCATTTCACCATCTATAAAACGGGGCTAATAGATAAAATGGGTTGACTCTTATTTTCAGTACATTTTGATTCTTATTTTTACTCAGTCTTACTAAAGTATAATTAGAAAATTATGTCACCATATGTGTCATATCTTTTAATTATTGGTGGAAAGAGATAACGTATAAAGTTAGGAAATAATCTATGAGCTTTAAGCATTTGTAAAAGACATTTAAAACTTTTGAAAGAAATATGTCATGGAGAATTGCAGAAATCCTCAGGGCTAATTCAGAATGCATAACTTAAAAGCCACTGCATAGGGGAGATGCTTAAAAGCCAGATATTGATTCTGTTTTCAAGGAGCTAATAGTTTAGGAGGAGAAATAAGAAAGGAATACAAATAAACGTAAGATGTAAAGTGATAATGAGTACAATATTTATTTCTACTTCAAAGAATGAATAAAAATTTGATTTGGATTGGGTATTTAAAGGTGGATAAAGTTTAGATATATGAAAATGAGGGACAGGCATTCCAAGGGGAGGGAAAACAACTAGGTAAATTTTCATGAAAATGCGATTAATTATATGACAGGAAATCTTTATTGCCAACCAATACACATGGCATTTGAAAATTGTCTGATTAATTAGTTTTGTATTCAGCCAATCTAGATAGCTCAGGTTCTAAAATATATGCTTTTCAGCTTACATTATCAAGTTGATTAATTCAGACTGAATTAAAGAGGCATTTGCTAGTTTGCCATTATTTTCTATTATTTAAAATAAACAATAGAGGTTTGAAAGTCTTCAAGGTGGTTTGAGAAAATTCCCTTAGAAATCATGTTATATTGCGAATGTATAAGCTCTTTTTGTCTTTGTGCAGCCTCTCTAAATAAAACATCTTCCTTCTTTATGTTGCACTTTCTCCACTAAGACCTTACCCCTTCACAAATTGAGGTGTAAACTGCATTTTTAACTAAAAGAAATCCTACGAGCTGCGCACGTGACAATGATTTTATTCCTATTTTTTTAGTTCCGGTCTAAGCAGGGTTAGTCAGCATGCCAAGTATGTGAGCTGACCGTAAACACAAGATTAATTCTTAGACTTGGATCTTTGGAAAGTGGAAATTGTACATCTGCAGCAAAATTGGCAGAGTTGTTGTGTCTCCAATCATACCAGGAATTTTTCTGTGGATAGCCTTTGTTATTCTGCCATGACACATCTGCTGTTTTGTACCCTATGTCCATGCCAAATACTCACCAGCAAGCTAAAAATGGTACCCCTGAAAAACAGTTTTCAAATTACAGGAGCCGGAGTTCCACATACATGCCTCAGGGGTCCCCAACCTTCCTCTTTATCCAGAGAAGGTTGCTTTCACATATTTTTATATATTGGGCTTTTACATACACAGTGTTAGGATAAATACTTTAACATAAAAATGTGTCTTGAAAATCTCTGTATATGCCTCTCACATGTCACATGCCTTTCAATGTTATCCACTGTAATTATATAAATACAATTATGTATATCTTTAAATATTAAAAACAGCCAAATGTGTCTGTCATGACTAGAGCCCAGGTTATAATTTCCGAGTCCAAAAGCATACAGAGTAGCATTATAGGGAGTCAATGAGGCTGCCCTGAAATATATGACCCATCTTTGGCTCTCTGTGAAACAGGTTTAATTCACTTAGAGACTCAAAGAGGCCAGGGTCATATGATAGTATATTTAATAGATACTTAGGCAGCACTGTGTCTTCAAATAGGCTGGAACATCCTGCATAAGCACATTCATCAGAGGTAGTATGGGACATTGGAAGACAGGCTGGATTTAGAAGAGTCAAACTTTGAATCTAACTTACTAGCTTCACTTCCGTGGACAAGTACCCAAGCCTCTGTGCCTGTTTTTGAGTTGTAATATGGGTATACTAGTAAATGAGAAATATATACAGAAGAAGTTTCTAAAGAATAGCTTGTATAGGTATTATACAAATGCTAGATAATGTTACATCATTATGTCACCATGAGAAGAATTTGTAAGGAATACCTTACACCTATTAAAATAGGTAAATTTTTATTCTTGATTGAAATTATATACACCTTTGCCATGTTGTTATGTTGGTCCAGTGCCCAGTAGTGCTGAAAATGTATTTCCTTGGTGTTCCTAGACCATGAACATTGGCGTATACTAAATACACATCGGGGTGAGGGTGAAAATCGTGTGCTTTGGGAGACTGACTCCACTGTGGAGAATGGTCTGCCTTCTGCTGCTGTAACATGGGTGAAAAATATGGGTTCCGTTGTCCTTTTCTCAACTGTCATGCCAAACCTAGGTGACCGATATCAGAAATTGCTCTAGGTTTAATAAGTCTTAAATATGAATAAAAAGGGATCATTTGCCTTTAAAGATATTTTACTTTGTGTGCTTTAAAAGTTATTTTTCATTGTTTTCAAAGAACTTATTTATTTCTGCCTTGATTTCGTTATTTACCCAGGAGTCATTTAGGAGCAGGTTGTTCAGCTTCCATGTAGTCATGCGGTTTTGAGTGAGTTTCTTAATCCTGAGTTCTAATTTGATTGCACTGTGGTCTGAGAGACTCTTTGTTATGATTTCTGTTCTTTTGCACTTGCTGAGGAGTGTTTTACTTCCAATTATGTGGTCAATTTTAGAATAAGTGCAATGTGGTGCTGAGAAGAATGTATATTCTGTTGATATGTGGTGGAGAGTTCTGTAGAAGTCTATTAGGTCCACTTGGTCCAGAGCTGAGTTCAAGTCCGGAATATCCTTGTTAATTTTCTGTCTCATTGATCTGTCTAATATTGACAGTAGGGTGTTAAAGTCTCCCACTATTATTGTATGGGAGACTAAGTCTCTTTGTAGGTCTCTAAGAACTTGCTTTATGAATCTGGGTGCTCCTGTATTGCGTGCATATATATTTATATTAGTTAGCTCTTCTTGTTGCATTGATCCCTTTACCATTTTGTAATCCCCTTCTTTGTCTTTTTCGATCTTTGTTGGTTTAAAGTCTGTTTTATCAGAGACTAGGTTTGCAACCCTTGCTTTTTTTGCTTTTGATGTGCTTGGTTAATATTCCTCCATTCCTTTATTTTGAGCCTATGTGTGTCTTAGCACATGAGATGGGTCTCCTGAATACAGCACACTGATGGGTCTTGACTCTTTATCCAGTTTACCAGTCTGTGTCTTTTAATTGGGGTATTTAGTCCATTTACATTTAAGATTAATATTGTTATGTGTGAATTTGGTCCTGTCGCTATGATGCTACCTGGTTATTTTGCCCATTAGTTGATGCAGTTTCTTCATAGTGTCAATGGTCTTTAGAATTTGGCATGTTTTTGCAGTGGCTGATACCAGGTTTTCCTTTCCACATTTACTGGTTCCTTTGGGAGCTCTTGTAAGGCAGACCTGGTGGTGACAAAATATCTCAGCATTTGCTTGTCTGTAAAGGATTTTATGTCTCCTTCACTAACGAAGACACAACATACCAGAATCTCTGGGACACAGCTAAAGCAGTGTTGAGAGGGAAATTTATAGCACTAAATGCCCACAGGAAAAAGAGGGAAAGATCTAAAATCAACACACTAACATCAAAATTAAAAGAACTAGAGAAGCAAGAAAAACAAATTCAAAAGCTAGGAGAAAAGAAGTAACTAAGATCAGAGCAGAACTGAAGGAGATAGAGAAATGAAAAACCCTTCAAAAAATCAGTGAATCTAGGAGCTGGTTTTTTGAAAAGATTAATAAAAATTGATAGACTACTAGCAAGACTAATAAAGAAAAAAAGAGAGAAGAATCAAATAGATACAATAAAAAATGATAAAGGTGATATCACCACTGATCCCACAGAAATACAAACTACCTTCTGAGAATACTATAAACACCTGTATGCAAATAAACTAGAAAATCTAGAACAAATGGATAAATTCCTGGACACATATACCCTCCCCAGACAAACCCAGGAAGAAGTCAAATCCCTGAATAGACCAATAACAAGTTCTGAAACTGAGGCAGTAATTAATAATGTACCAACCAAAAAAAGCCCAGGACCAGATAGATTCACAGCCGAATTCTACCAGAGGTACAAAGAGGAGCTGATACTATTCCTTCTGAAACTATTCCAAACAATAGAAAAAGAGGGACTCATCCTTAACTGATTTTATGAAGCCAGCATCATCCTGATAACAAAACCTGGCAGAGATACAACAAAAAAAGAGAATTTCAGGCCAATATCCCTGATGAACATCGATGCAAAAATCCTCAATAAAATACTGGAAAACCAAATCCAGCAGCACATCAAAAAGCTTATCTACCATGATCAAATCGGATTCACCCCAGGATCCAAGGCTGGTTCAACATACACAAATCAGTAAATGTAATCCATCACATAAACAGAACCAGCAACTTAAAACACATGATTATCTCAATGGATGCAGAAAAGGCCTTTGATAAAATTCAACAGCCCTTGATGCTAAAAAAACTCTCAATAAAATAGGTATTGATGGAACGTATCTCAAAATAATAAGAGCTATTTATGACAAACCCACAGCCAATATCATACTGAATGGGCAAAAGCTGGAAGCATTCCCTTCGAAAACCAGCACAAGACAAGGATGCCCTCTCTCACCACTCCTGTTTAACATAGTATTGGAAGTTCTGGCCAGGGCAATGAGGCAAGAGAAAGAAATAAAGGATATTCAAATAGGAAAAGAGGAAGTCAAATTGTCTCTGTTTGCAGATGACATGATTGTATATTTGGAAAACCCCATCGCCTCAGCCCAAAATCTCCTGAAGCTGATAAGAACCTTAAGCAAAGTCTCAGGATACAAAATCAATGTGCAAAAATCACTAGCATTCCTATACACCAATAATAGAAAAACAGAGAGCCAAATCATGAGTGAACTCCCATTCACAATTGCTACAAAGAGAATAAAATACCAAGGAATACAACTTACAAGGGAAGTGAAGGACCTCTCCAAGGAGAACTACAAACCACTACTCAAGGAAATAAGAGAGGACACAAACAAATGGAAATAAATTTCATGTTCATGGATAGGAAGAATCAATATTGTGAAAATGGCCATACTGCCCAAAGTAATTTATCAATTCAATGCTATCCCCATCAAGCTACCATTAACTTTCTTCACATAATTGGAAAAAACTACTTTAACTTTCATATGGAATCAAAAAAGAGCCTGTATAGCCAAGACAATCCTAAGCAAAAAGAACACAGCTGGAGGCATCATGCTACCTGACTTCAAACTAAACTGCAAGGCTACAGTAACCAAAACAGCATGGTACTGGTACCAGAACAGATATATAGACCAATGGAACAGAACAGTGGACTCAGAAATAACACCACACATCCACAACCACCTGATATTGAACAAACCTGACAAAAACAAGCAATGGGGAAACGATTCCCTATTTAACAAATGATGTTGGGAAAACTGGCTAGCCATATGCAGAAAACTGAAAGTGGACCCCTTCCTTACACCTTATACAAAAATTAACTCAAGGTGGACTAAAGACTTAAACCTAAGACCTAAAACCATAACATCCCTAGAAGAAAACCTAGGCAATACCATTTAGGACATAGACATGGGCAAAAACTTCATGACTAAAACACCAAAACCAATGGCAACAAAAGCCGAAACTGACAAATGGGATCTAATTAAACTAAAGAGCTTCTGCACAGCAAAAGAAACCATCATCAGAGTGAACAGGCAATCTACAGAATGGGAGAAAATGTTTGCAATATATCCATCTGGGCTAATATCCTACAAGGAACTTAAATCTTAGTCTACTTAATCTATAAGGAACTTAAACAAATTTACAAGAAAAAAATATCAAAAAGTGGACAAGGATATGAACAGACACTTCTCAAAAGAAGACATTTATGCGGCTAACAAACATGAAAAAAAGCTCATTATTACTGGTCATTATTACTGGTCATTTGCATTAGAAATGCAAATCAAAACCACAGTGAGATACCATCTCACGCCAGTTAGAGTGATCACTAAAAAGTCAGGAAATCACGGATGCTGGAGAGAATGTGGAGAAATAGGAACACTTTTAAACTGTTGGTGGGAGTGTAAATTAGTTCGACCATTTTGAAAGACAGTGTGGCGATTCCTCAAGGATCTAGAACTAGAAATACCATTTGACCCAGCAATCCCATTACTGACTATATACCCAAAGGATTATAAATCATTCTTCTGTAAAGACACATGCACACATAAGTTTATTGCAGCACTATTGACAATATCAAAACTTGGAACCAACCCAAATGTCCATCAATGATAGACTGGATAAAGAAAATGTGGCACATATACACCATGGAATACCATGCAGCCATGAAAAGGGATGAGTTCATGTCCTTTGCAGGGACATGGATGAAGCTGGAAACCATCATTCTCAGCAAACTAACACAGGAACAGAAAATGAAACACCGCATGTTCTCACTCATAAGTGGGAGTTGAACAATGAGAACACGTGGACACAGGGAGGGGAACATCACACACCAGGGCCTGTCGCCGGGTGGAGGGCTGGGTGAGGGATAGCATTAGGAGAAATACCTAATGTAGATGTCGGCTTGATGGGTGCATCAAACCACCATGGCATGTGTATACCTATGTAACAAACCTGCACATTCTGCACACGTATCCCAAAACTTAAAGTATAATGGGAAAAAAGTTATTTATCTTTCCAAAGCCTGTTGATTTAGAAAACAACGTAAGAAAAGAAGTATGCTGATTTCATTTTCCATCAAATATAGAGAATTATCTAATGTACAGAATCATGAAATAGTTTTTTGAGATTATACATTTTGTATAATAATTTAGTAAATGGAATTTAGCATTTGAAAATCGTAAAGGCCTAAATTGATACCTTGATCTGAAATTTAAAAGTGAATATATATATATATTTTTTTTTCAGATTAAGTCTCTCAGCAAAAATCTGTGAGAAAACAGTCCTAAAGCGAGTTTTAAAAGAGTTATGGAAGCTAGTTCTCAACAAAATAGAAAAACAAATTGTTCTTCCTCCTCTGACAGATCAAACAGTAAGTATATAAAGTTTAGTTATGCTTTCATTAACCCATCTGTTTTTGGTTTAAGTGAATGGTTTTCATCCAGATGAAATACTAATTAAATCCCTTTGGGGAAAAAGTGTTTGGTATCCAGTTTCTTAACAATGATCATTCAAATGATAGTTTCCTATCCAAGTCAATTTTAAATAATGGCAATAGCAGTCAGACTTCACGTTGCTTGACAGTCAGAACTTAACCTCTTAAAACATGTATCAAAGTTCTATTTATAGTGTTATCTGGTTTACACATACAATTTTTATTTAATTTTACCGACCTCAAGAAAATAGAATTAAGATACAATGTATCCCTGTGCTTCTTTCTTAAATTTTACAGTTTAAGGAGATAGTTACACCACTGCTATTTGGATTTTTTTTTCACCTTTCTATTATGCTTTCATCTCTTACCTCCCCACTTGGAAGTTAATAGAGGAGGCATCTTTTAGTGAATCTGAAAAATGTGATTGTATCACACAAAGAAAAAGGAAAAGAACCAGAAAGATCAATTGGCTGCAAAATTAGACACTGGTCAAGTGGATACACAGAGCCAGGTATCTCTGTTCACATATCCTGAGCCAAACAAGGGAAAAATAACACTAACAAGCACCTGTTACGGGGCAATGTATTTTTTTCTCCGTGACTGAGGAAGATAAATTGATGCAAATAATGAGTAAGTATAAATGGAAATAAAATATGCATTATTATACATTAGTTATACACACTCAGTCCATGTTTATTCAGTGAAAGCATATGCCTAGAAAACACTTTCTTATAAAGTGTTCCGAGATGCAAATATGCCTGTGTTTTTGTTGATTTACTGCCAGACAGTGAGTGATAAAATATAAATTACTTTGAGTTTCGCTTAATGCCATGAATGTGTGCTTTAATCATTTTATAGCCTACATATATATAGGTTCTAAGTCACATTTATAAATACACACACACATACACATTCTACTTCAATACATAATATATTTCCATAACACCAGTTAGCACTCATGTAGTTGTTCAATAGAGGAATGTCAGTATAATCTGGAAGTTGGGTTGGTTTATATATAAATTTCCCTAGGTCAGAGGCTCTCGAATGTAATAGAAAAACTATAACTTCAGCCGAAAAAGAAAAAGCTCTCACCTTGGCTACTTCACAGACCTGTTTTAAAAAGGAAAAAAGAGGAGAGTAACTGTACATCATGGGTTCCCTCTCTGGAAAACTGAAGCTTGCATGACTGTCACAGATTGCAGGCTACCTTTTCCCGTCTGCTGGTAGCTCCACTTGCGTGAGCATTGTCTCAGCCCACTTTTGAACTCTTGTTTTGTTGTTGTTGTTTTGTTTCTTTTGCTTTTTTTTTTTTTTTTTTTTTTTTTTTTTTGGAGACAGAATCTCGCTCTTTCGCCCAGGCTGGAGTGCAGTGGCGCGATCTCGGCTCACTGCAAGCTCCACCTCCCAGGTTCACGCCATTCTCCTGCCTCAGCCTCCCAAGTAGCTGGGACTACAGGCGCCTGCCACCATGCCCGGCTAATTTTTTTGTATTTTTAGTAGAGACGGGGTTTCACCGTGTTAGCCAGGATATTTTGCATTTTTAATATTCCTTGAGGCAACCATTAGCTTCACTGAGTTCCCTGCTAGCTGTCCAAGCCATATCCCAAAGTAGCAGTTATGGTTTTGATTGTTCTTCAAAGTAGCAATTATGGTTTTGATTGTTCTTTAGTAACAGAATTGCAAGGGCTTGGACTGTTCTGCCCATTGCTGTTTTTCCCATAAGCCCTATTATTTTTAGTGTGCAATTTTGTAGAATGTGAGGTTTTTCAAGAATGTATATATTATGTTACAGTAGAAATGCTATCTATGACATTTCATTTTCTGTATAAGGTTTTCCCTAGGAAAGCTTACCATCACCTAAAATTTCTCTAGCATTGAGATATCCAAGTATGAATACATATCATTTATTCATTCATTAAATAAATATTCTTTGAGCTCCTACTATGTACTAGGCACTGTGCTAGGTGACGGGGCAAAATATGAGCAAAATTAACCACGGTCACTATTCTCAAACTTATAGTCTTTAATTCTCCAATAAAATACACACTCCGATAAAACATCTAGATAACATTTGTTCAGAATAGCTAATTTTCCTTCCTGTGACAATATTTCAAGCTCTAATGAACTTGGCCAAATTTAGTACTTTTCCAGTCACATACACCAACAGACATGCCTCTAGTTTTTCATTCTAGTAAAGCATTGGATAGTTTATTCCAGTGTTTTTCAAATTCATTTCCCCAGGGCCTTGGGGTTCTAGAGAAAGCCTCTGGCTGAGGGAGGGGTTAAGAGGGTAGTCGCTAATAGACTGGACAGCATTTTAGAAGGAGCAATTCCACCTTCTTTAGCCCCGTATCTTCAGATTTTGCATACATTTATTTTTGCAGGGAGTAGAATGAGGAAGTTGCCTCTGCTAAAAATAAATGAATAAAAGTTAAAGATCACTGATTTAATCCATATACTACATTAAACTGGCTACATTAGTAGCAACCTAGTCATTAACCTAAACTTAAGACTTTGAAAAGTGGGACACCTATGAGGACTGTTATACTGCCAGCGGTACTAGATATATTTGACCCAATCTTTATAATAGACCAATTAAGGGCATCTGGCATAAGCCATAAGTCTTATAAGGGAAATAAAGAAATTATCTGTTGACTGCATTTCTATTGTGACTAATACTGAATATCTTAAGACTGAGTCTTCTCTCACTTTTTCTTTGTTTCTAGGGACCCCAGATGATTTTCATTGCAGCTAAAGATCTTGGACAATTATCCAAACTGAAGGTAATAAAAATAAGGAAATTACTTATTCATGGAAAGTAGTGAGTTAACTACAGTTCTGCAAGCATCCTCCTCCTAGTAATAGTATCTAGCATGGCAGGATTAAGAAGATGTGTGTGTGATTTCACAATCTGCTTTAGGAATTTTTAACTTTGTATTGCAGCATTTAGCATTATTGCTTCTGGATTAAATTAGAGAGCATATTTTCTTTCATATATTAAACTGGCTTGATGTGAACAAAGACAAAATGGAACACTGCATAGAAATCCAGTGAAGTCTAGAGAAGTCTTCAAACCAAGAAACACAGTACGGGAAAATGAAACTCATCAAAGCAGGCACTGAACTTGTCAACATGTTCAATACCATTACAAGTGGGAGATGTTCTGACTAAATGACCTTGTGCTTAGTTATAATTTGAGATTCCCAAAACACTGGATTTAGGCAGGAAACTTCAGTCCCTGTTCCTCTAGCATAGGAACTTGACTGGCTAAAATACATGCTATTTTTATTCCATTTCTACCTACTAGAATGTAGTTAAGGGATGAGTTCCAGACACAGGTAACCTTGTTTCAAATTCTTCCTCAAATGCTTCCTACTATGTGACATGGGCCAAAGTATTTAACCTCCCTAATCTTCAGATGTGGCTCTTGTAAAATGCAAAAAAAGAATAATATCAGTTATAAGGATTGTTGTGAGTGTAAATGAGACAAGACATACATTATCTTTGCTTGGTAACTGCAAAGTGTATGTCACCTCCCACTTGCAGTTGGAGCTATCTTCATTCCTCCCCCAGCTGGTAGCTCAAAGTTAGGTGCCATTGAGTATTGGATTGTTTCATATGTACAGCACAGGGGAAAAACAAAATGTATAATTATTTACTGAGGTAAAATATGTGCCTTATAATTTCAGTATTCTATTTTATCATCCACATTATCCCATTCCTAACACAAAAATTAAAACCAGTAATCCATCTGGAAGATATAACTATCACCTAAAATTGTCACCCACACATGTTCAGTGCTGTTGATGGTTGGAAGGAAAGATAAAAGGTAGATGTCACTGCCAAACTATTATTTTGAATCTTGGATCTTTATCCCTTTCTGTATCCCTTTTATTACCTCCCTGGGATTTCTGGAGCCTACTTTGAAAAGTGGATTTATACACTGCGGAAGTTTCTCACATAAAACCATGAAGGTGAAATAACATAGGTCTTACTACAAAAGAAATGGCCCTGGCCATGCATCTAATATCTGTGTGATGTTAGTAAGCACACTGCATCTCCCCAGGCTTCAGTTTCCTGAGTTGAGTGTTCTATCAGCTAGAACTATTTCATTTTCAAGTGATGGAAAGCCAAACATAAGCAAACAGGGAATTTACTGCTACATGAAATTTTATAGTCCAGGGG
Source organism: Homo sapiens (assembly GCF_000001405.40). Classification (NCBI taxonomy): domain Eukaryota; kingdom Metazoa; phylum Chordata; class Mammalia; order Primates; family Hominidae; genus Homo; species Homo sapiens. The sequence continues at coordinate 54,551,094 of NC_000015.10, forward strand.
TAACTCTGGTTTCTGTTACTGCTTGATTAGGGATTCAAACAATTTTACAGGACCCAGATACTCACTGCCTCTCAACTCTGCCCTTCTCCTTGTTTGATACGTTGCCATAACAGACCTTCATTTCTGTGTGTAAGTTGGTTGTCTCTGCTCTCACATCCTTTGATGTTACATCTTTTGAACTTCAAATCTTGTAGAGAAAAACACCCATCTCAGTGCAAGGAATCACAGCAAAGTCTCCTGGAATATCAGTAGCTCTGAGGAAGTATGATCACCATTCCCAAACCAGTCACCATGGTCTGAGAAGTGACATGTGCCAATTGGCTTAACTGACATACTCACCCTGAGGTTTGGGTACAACCCAATCCAAATCCTATGAACTCTGATCGAGATAGAGACTGGTTCCCTAGAGGGTATATACATGCTCTGTGGGAAAAATCAGGGTCCACAGAAAACATAACACTTTAGCATGCTTTGTGGTCCCATTATTTTCTCAATTCACTGAATTCTTTTTTAATTCTAATAACCTAAAAGCACACTATAAATACAATGACCTAACAGGATTATTTCAACAACACTGAAATAACATGAAGGACTAAAGATAGTCTTTGTGTCTATTGATGATGAGAAAAATAACTTCGTTCTGTATCATATTCCATTATTGGCTTTTGAGTTTTTTATTTTTAAATTATCAGTCCATTTAGTTATTACTATTTGAATTACAGAGCAATAAATCTCCTACAGTATTATGCAAAAACCTGAAACTCCAGCTGGCATGAAGAACTTCAAATTGTATAAAACTATTTCCTCTTATTTTATTAGAATGTCACTCCCATTTAAAAAAAATGTTAAACTATGGGTCTTTAAATTTTTAATATATTAATTTGAAAGCAGATATGATGTGCTGAAAAGGTGCTATTTGAAATAATTGTACTGATAGAAAATTTCAGAACTCCTATTTAGGAGTATTGATAGATAACTGCCTAAAGGAACACAAGATCAAGAAAAATGAAACAATGTGGGGAACTAATTGGTTTTCTGTGTTTGGCTATGATTTGGGATTATTCCATTAAACATGTATTTATTCAACAATTTGACATTTTCTATTACTTCATAATCTGGAATTTCATTAGGTGTAATATATATTATATATAATTATATTATATATTACAATATATAATATAAAATTATGTATTATATATAATTATATTGTACAATATATAATGTAATATATAATTATATATTATATACAATTATATTATATATTACAATGTATATTATATATTACAGCATATAATATAATATATAATTATATAATTATATATTACAATATATAATATAATTATATATTACAATATATAATATAATTATATATTACAATATATAATATAATTATATATTATATTATATATAATTATATATTATATATTATATATAATAATATAATTATATATTATATTGTATATAATTATATATTATATATAATTATATTATATTGTACAATATATAATATATAATTATATAATTATATTATATATTGTACAATATAATATAATTATATAATTATATTATATTGTACTATATAATATAATTATATAATTATATATTATATATAATTATATTATATTGTACAATATATAATATAATATATATTATATAGTACAATATATAATATATAGTACAATATATAATATAATATATAATATATTATATAGTACAATATAATATAATATATAATTATATTATATAGTACAATATATAATATATATTAATATATAATATATATTGTATTCTATATTACTATATATATATTAATATATAATATATATTGTATTCTATATTACATTATATAATATATATTGTATTCTATATTACAATATATATTATATATTGTATTCTATATTACAATATATAATATATATTGTATTCTATATTACAATATATAATATATATTGTATTCTATATTACAATATATAATATATATTGTATTCTATATTACAATATATAATATATATTGTATTCTATATTACAATATATAATATATAGTATTCTATATTACAATATATATTATATACTGTATTCTATATTACAATATATATTATATACTGTATTCTATATTACAATATATATTATATATTGTATTCTATATTACAATATATATTATATATTGTATTCTATATTACAATATAGAATATTATATATTGTATTCTATATTACAATATAGAATATTATATATAATATATAATTGAATATATTGTAATATATAATATAATATATAATTATATTATATTATGTATTAGTATATTATATTATATATTGTAATATATAATATTATATATAATATATAATATAATTATAATATATAATATATATTACAGAAAACATTTATAATGTGTATTACATATAATATATATTAAATATATGCTATATATAACATATATTTGCCTCAAAATATTTCATATAATCAGATTTATTTGACATAAAAAAATGCATAAATCTTCAGGAACTGGTGATATAATATTAAAACCAATTGATGAAAATACACCTGAGACTCTGAGTTTACTGCATGCTTTTTACTTGGGCAATAACTCATTGCTGGCCTCTTTCAGAGATCCCCTTACTTGAATGATCTGTTGCTAAATTCTAAAAAATTATTTCTAGTAAGAATTATATTTCTAGCACCAGCGTATATCACTTATTAGCATCTGTTAGAAAATAATGTGACCACATTGTTAAACCAGTCAAGATTGATGAAGCCAGATAAATTTATTTAATAGAAAATATTTTTAATTACTTGTCTGAAAGCATTTTCCCCTATAATTCAGCAAACATTTCTATTACTCTTTGAGTCTCAATGGGTATATAATATTGCTATTTAAAAACTGTGAAATGAACTCATATGATTAACTTGAAATCCCCGTATCAGAGAAAGATTCAGTAAGATGTATAAATATATATCATGGATCCATGAAACATTATACCATGTTGTTAGCAGTATCCAAAGACAATGATTCTATTGGAGCATATAAAATCTGTGACACACATTGAAGGAAGTACAATCCAATTACCAAAAATTTACTGAGTGCCTAGCAGATAACAACTGCCAAAATAGACACGGAAAAGCTGAAGGAGTGAGCGAGACATAGATAGATTATTATCTTCAGGAAGTCGTGGCAACTACCAAATAAAACAGTAAGATAAAGGCCAAAATAGAAGGACAAGCCACTGGGTGTGATTGCGTGGTTTGTGCATTATGCAAAAATGCATACCTAAAGGAGCAAGTGACAGCCAAAATTGAGCCCATGTTCCACTTGCCAAGCCGTATGTGTTAACTTGAAGCTGTCCTCTTATAAAAAATAAGACACCTTTTATTATTTACCAAAGGCACTGCTTTACTCTTCATTCCATACCTGCTCAGAGCTATGTTCCCCCACGTGGGACTTTTCTTCTAATTCACAAAGTCACCTACATAAGTTTAAGCTCCAGAAGGACAAACGTTTTCCCTGTATTAAACAATATATCTCATTCTCTGCGAACAGTGCTGGCACAAAATAAACACTCAATAAATATTTGTTGAGTGTTGTCGAATAGAATAATGGCAGCCCTGGGATGATTGTATCAGTTTTGGGGGATCAGACATTTTTAAATTTTTCCCTTAGTTTTTATTTCCTTTATTATTTTCTTTTTCTGCCATCATTTCCCTAAATAAGCTTTGTATGATGGGTTGAAACAGACCACAGTGAACAACGAAGAAATTCCATTGTAAAATAATGAAATAAGTTTTAAAATCAGTTCTAAAATACTTAAAATGATTATAAAATATTTAAAATATTCACAGCCAAATTTAGTTAATTCCTTGGGGCTTTTCCCAGGAATGAGTAAGAATTGAGGGCATCTAAGAAGAAGAATAAAGTGGAGGCATTATATTTAAAATAGACTTTATCAGTAATAATTGGGAGAGGCTTAAATTTGCTCCTTAAATCCTTTTCATGATTGATAGTCCTCAACGTGACAGACATAAACCAAGGAAGTCAGGTGACAAAATTTCATCACGCATTTTCCAGGTTTCTCTCTTTTTTCCCTAACATTAGTTTGCAAGTGAAAATAAAGCCACACCTCTATCAAAGCACTTCTTTTTAAGTAAATATTGAACATTTCTTCCTTTGACAGAGAGGAGATTTATAAAATATATGACAATCATTTTATTTTAAATGCATTCAGGTGCAGAAGATATTTCAAATAGGAAGTTTGGCATATGGGGATAATACAGATTATGTTTTCAAGTAGTTGTTGAATACATGAACTGGTTGTTTTATAAGCAATTCTTCACCTGTTTTCCAGGAGCACATGATTCGAGAGGATGCCAGGGGTCTGACGCCAAGACAATGCGCTATAATGGAGGTAGTCCTGGCTACCATCAAGGTGAGATTATAATGCTCCTATATATACATCGAGAGAGGCCCCCATTTACCTCCAGAGATAGGTAGCCCTGATCTTAGCCATGTATCAGTAGAGCTGCGCCATTCAAAGAGATAGTAGATAGTTGAATAGATATAGGTTGGTGCAATAGTAATTGTGGTTTTTGCCATTAATACTATTGCACCAACCTAATACATTCCTGGAGGATGCCAGATTTACCCCTGTCTATCTCCTTATGACATCCACAATAGACTGTCCTTATACTTGCTTCTTTTGTCTCTCTCTAAAGCATAAGTGAAACCTATGTTTTAACACATGTTCTCAAAGACATGTACCCTAAAACCCAGATAAACAGATGCTTTGAGAATATTTTGGGTAGACAGAATTTGTTTTTATATGTTTTCTATGCATGTTGAAATTATTTTTAAAATATCAACCCTCCCTTCTCGCTTAGTAAGTACAATAATTTCATTTCATTTTCTGCTGAATACCCAAAGATGTCGTTTGTACGCATCAGCTGTTTTCATAGCCAAAGATTAAAAGTTATTGTAGTGTATGCTAAATATGTGCAGATCTCAAAATGTAACCTAGAAGTTATTTTCAAATAATTTCTTTTATATTTATATCCATATATATTTATATGTGAAAGTTTATTAAAGAGTTTGAAAGATGAGTTTGTCTTCTAAATTCAAATGATGTCCAAAGTTTTTACTCTTCACTGGGGGAAACATCTACTATCCAAGATATGTGAATAGCATAGCTACTAACTATACTGTAACTGTTAGCTACCATGACCCATTTGTAGAGCATAGAACAGTTCTACTGGATAGAAACAATGGTATTCATTTCAACAGAGTTCTATCTGAATAACAGTCACATACTTTCACAAAACTGTCACCTCGTGGCTTTTGTTTTGCAGTTTCAGCATTTAATATGAGGCAGTCTTTTGCTGCTGCAGTGGTAAAAACTGCCACATTAAAGTTGGGAGGTGAGAGTTTTGTGACACCTGGAGGCACCTGGATCACAGAAATGGAGTTTCTAAAGAGGTAGCCAAAATGTTGTCTGGAAATATGGAAAATTTGCAAAATAATTTTTAGGAAAAAATGAACAACATGAAAAAGAAATACAATAAAAAACTTTAAAAGTTTTTTTAAATTATTTTCAAAAATTTGAGGAAGAAATAACTAATCTTTGGAGTTATAGTAGCACTAATAGCTTTATAAAAGGACATGCTAGTAGAAAAAAAATAAGCTCTAGCATGCACCATGAAGAGGAAGAAAAGAAAAAAATTTGGCATCTGAATTCAACTCTTCATGCATTTTATTAGGTCAATGCATGGCTTTAGGAAAGGAAGGAAAATGTGTCCTGTGGAAATAGGGAATGGTATTCACTGTGTTCACAGATCTGGCTTCTGTCTCTAACTTCAACATTTCTCTAATTTTTATTGATGGGGCCAGATGATCACCACCTGCTGGCTGAGTTCTTCTCAGAGTCTAAGATAATGTTGATCCTCAAGCAAATTCCTTTTATCTTGACAGCTCAACTATCCTATCTTCCTGTTTATATCATCTATACTAATATTTTAATTCAGTCTCAGACACCAGACACCGGCCTTGTTCTTTGTGGACAAAACTACTATTTGGTGTCCTAGGTCCAGTAAATGGGTCCATGCCATTTGTCTTGTTTCTCCAGGACTGGAGTCTGACTCTGGTCCTCCTGAGCCCCAAAGCGTGTGTCAGTTCTCCAGTTCCCCTCTTCCCTAACTTCTGTGATGCCAACTCTTTCTCTAGGCACCTCCATGCTAGGCCTGCTGTGCCTGCTATTAGACTCTCTTGACCCTGTGCCCTGCCCATCTGCCAAGGTATTCACCTGATATCTGATTTTCAATGACTGTCATCAGTTTGCCAAAGCTGAGACTCCCTTTATCTTGTCTGTCTGTGAGATTTGCACCAACTTACTGTCCTACCAAACATTAATTGTGAGATTGACTACAAAGGAATTCAAGAGAAGGAAGAGTACAACTTAAAAGAGTTTTAACTCCAAGAACTAAAGATTCAATGTCTCCCCGGAGCCCAGCCAAAGGAGCACTATAATGCAAGCAGAGACCTTATGAGAAAGATGACCTTAGACCAAAGGAGCAGACGCTACCCATGCTAATTTCCAACGGCTGCTAAAGAGATAATCTTTAATTCCTCTTCAGCTCAATTTAATTGAATAAGCTAGAAATGAGAAAACAAAGAAGGAAAATGCTATGAAGTTTTTAGAATATAGGCTGAAATAATGTTTTACATTTTCAAATTTCTCTTATGTACGTGCATCATTTCACCTGCCTTGTAAATATCCTGGGTGTTAGATAGGTCAAGAATGATTAAGAAAATGTGGCACATATACACCATGGAATACTATGCAGCCATAAAAAATGATGAGTTCATGTCCTTTGTAGGGACATGGATGAAATTGGAAATCATCATTCTCAGTAAACTATCGCAAGAACGAAAAACCAAACACCACATATTCTCACTCACAGGTGGGAATTGAATAATGAGAACACATGGACACAAGAAGGGGAACATCACGCTCTGGGGACTGTTGTGGGGTGGGGAGAGGTGGGAGGGATAGCATTGGGAGATATACCTAATGCTAGATGACGAGTTAGTGGGTGCAGCACACCAGCATGTCACATGTATACATATGTAACTAACCTGCACATTGTGCACATGTACCCTAAAACTTAAAGTATAATAATAAAAAAAGAATGATTATTCACCTTTGATAATAGAGAAAATTAAAAGTGAAGAGATTTCAGTTGTTTTTCCGAGGCCATAGCTCTGCTAGTAATTGGCAGAGCTGAGAAAGGACTCCAAATTCTAAAGCCAGTGTCCTTGCTTCTATGTCACATTTTTTCAATCAGTATGTACGAAGTTTAAGTAAAATGTAGCAGGCTAAAAGGGATACTTCTTCAAAGAGATTACTTCTTGCTATATTAAAATACCACGTCAATTACTTAGATTATTTTCTAATTATTTTAAAATAATGTAAAACCTTTCAGCCTCTATACAATATTGATGAAAATATTAACTTTTCTAAATATTAAAACTTTAATTGGACTGGAACTATTTTATAACACCAGTCACATGTAGCTTCTATTATAAGTCAAGAGTGTCAAATATGGCAGGAGTAACAAAAATTATGATCATCTGCTGCAGGTAGGATGGTTGGGCTTTGAGACATTCCATTTACCCGGAAAAGCAACCAAATCAACAATGTTTGAAAGTAAAAGTAGAAAAGTGGCAGCTATGAGACAGATAATCAGTCACCCAATCTATATGTGCAAACTAATAGGGAGGCCAATAGGGAAACTTTAAAGGCGTTCTAGCTGGACTTTGAGTTCCAACCCCATATCTCAAGAAGACTCAGGACTGACATGAGATTCCCCTAAATGTAGATTTCTTTCAAAGAGAAATAGCAGTTACACTTTGACCTGAAAAAATGCTGAATGATTTAATTTTTAAATTCCCCCAGAACCCCTGTTATATGGGCCTGAACATGACACTACATTATATGTTGCAAATATATTTGGCTTCATGCAGTGGCAATACTGAGGTTTCTCCAAAAACAATAAACATGTGAATCAGGACCCTCTAGAAATCTGCATTTCTTGGTATAAGGAAAGGAATTTAACTATAAATTCAAATATAGCTTTGGAACTTATTACTTTCTTATTTAATCCTAGATAATACCATTTCTTATGTTCAGGACTCCAGGCAAACATAAGAGCATGGTGATGAACCACATTTTATTCCTCTGTGTTTCTTACCCTCGCAGAGGTTCTGCCCTATCCTGCTATCTCCATTGTCCATGGGGTGATTCCAAGGGCTTTTTCTCAGCATCTTCTTTTCACCATTACAAGTATAGCTTTTGCCTTGGTTAAAATCCAGCTACTCATGAGAAGAACAAAATAACCTACCTAGTTTAGAGGATTGCAATTCAAATATCATTATTTGAGAGCTTACTGTAGGTAGAAAATATGGTGAGCAATGAGGAGGTGGTTGGAGATGAGAGCACCTGCCTTTGACTTGGGAACAAAAACATCTATAGTCAGCAAAATAATTGTGATCAAAGGATGGGGGAGGGCAGAGAGGGTGATGAATTTTCTCTGAATTTCCAGGGAAAAGCTTCCCAGAGAAGGACATTTGGGGATGTAGAGGATAAAGAGGGAAAAAACAATGGGAGAAAGACATTGCAGGCCTATAGAAAACACAGCATGAGTGACCGAAGAGAAGGCATTGGCCGGCATGAAAACTTTAAATAGTCTAGTGTAGAAGAACTGATCATGACTGGCTGAGTATCACAGGGAATGAAAGAGGAACATTGGATTGGAGCCAGCATGCTGCGGCTTAAACACCAAAGTAAAGAATCTCAACTTTAGTTTGTCAGCAAAAGAGAAACACTGAAATATTTTATGGGCGGGAAGAACATATTATGATGTGTAAAAGAGGACTCCAGTTGTGGTAGAAAATAATTTTTTAAAATATCTGTCAAATAATTTCTAAAAAAAGAAAACTTTAGTGGCTAACCTCTAAAATTATAAAGTTAAGGTGGGTTATGATTATATCTAAGTCTGCAAAATGAGCTGTCTGCCTGGATTTGCCGAAAATATGATACAGGTGTTGGAAAGAACAAAGTAATGATGGAAAATTGCTACCAAAATAGTATATTTAACAAAAAAAGGGAATTCTTCTTATAATCTTGTAAGGAAACAATAGCATGTTCCCATGAGTCAGTAAAAATATTATATTGTGCAAGATCTTCAATCTTGAAAAGTTTGAAGAGTTAGAAGAATTCAGAGAGTTTTATTGGGATTATAAAAAAATAGCTTGCCAAGCATGCAGGCAATATTTTTCCTGATTTTTTAAAATTTAGCAGTACTATTTTTTTTTTGCCTCTCAAATCACAACCAGGTCTCAAGTGCTTTATTTTCTGAAAAGTCATGAAGAAAAAGAAAATCTAGTTATTTTTCAAGATAGAGAAAATGATACTTCATATATAGCTCCTTCCTACCCCCGCGGTGATAATAGTGCTCCTTATCACACATCCTGACATTTGTGACACCAATGTATTAATGTATCTAGGGTGGAAGCCTTTACAAATGTCATAAGGTGGCTATGAATTACAAAAGTAAATAAAATACTGGAAACTACATGGGAAATTATACCACTAACAAGTATAATATCAGGATAGGAGGTGATTAAGAGAGAGAGAGAGAAAGACACCAATGTGCAAATTATTCTCCTCTCCTATGGAAATAATACTACTACTTAAAAGATTATTGAAAGAAAATTACATGAGTCATCACATACAAAGCAATTAAAGCAGGCATATAGAAAACGCTTCACAAATATTAAGTTGTCACTTATATTGCCTGATGATTGGTTCATTTTGGAGGCTTCTCTTTCTACTCTTAAGCCCAAGACCCCACATACTCTACTGCAACCAGTGTGTTTCTTTTTTCCTCCTTTCCCAATAAACCCTTAATTCCCTCTCAAAGGAGCTGACTATTAAATCTGACTCTTTTCCCCAAGCAATAGTTCAAATCCTTAAGGCTTTGTTCTCTGGCCTTTTGGATTCCTGGGCCCAGCACTTTTTCCCTATAAGAGCACAGCCCTGGTTAGATTCTTTAACACCTGAGACTCCCCTTTGAGAAGCAGTGCTGTTCATTCTCTCCGGGAGTTTCTAGTCCAGATTAAAAGCTGAGAGAGGTACATTGAAAATGAAATAATGATACATGTTAACTTATAACAGTGTAAGAGATGGAACAGGTGATCCAAATACTAATTGAGGGAAACAGATTAAAAATATCATAAAGTTTTAGAGGATGTGATCAACCAGTATGGACTCGAGATCAGGAAAAGCTGCAATGGTCTTGAAAGACAGATGGGCGTTTACAGGCTGGATAGAAAGTTTTTTTTTGGAGGAAGACTCATGACATGAACATCAACAGGAAAAAGGAATTTCACCAGGGAAAGGCACAAGACAAGAAGGCTTGGAGGCAGTGAGTAGACTACTCTGTGGACTGGCCTGGACTTAACTAGGTGTTTGCATAATGAAGCAGTGTAAAATGAGGTTGATGGGAAATGTTTAGGTTGAAAATACAGAGGTCCTTTTGTGCCCTCAGTATATTTCATAAAAGAGGATTCATCGATGATTTTAAAAGGTTATGCTAAAGTCATTTCACCAATAGGGAATCTTAAGGAAATGCACAAATTAGATTGCATAGTTCAAGATTGTAGCCAGAGATTTGAGTTCCAGTTATTTAGTTCATAAGATGATGAGAGCTATCAGCAAGGTGGTGGCTTTAGGAGGAGAAAGGGAAAGATGGATATGAGTGACACAAGCCAGGGAGAGTTGTTGGAACTTGGCAACTGAATATGGGGCAAAAAGGAAAAGGAGCCCAAAATGCCTCAGAGATTTCAGCCCCAGCGACTGAGAAAGCATGGTTCCACCAAGAAAAATGGGAGACAGCCAGGAAGGCTATTTTCCTAGTGCCATGTTGGAGTTAGATGCAATGGCAGGAATGTGGAAATCAATATTTAAGAACCTGCTTGAGATAGGGGCTGATGCTTAAAACCCAATGCTGAGTTCTATTTGAGTTCTATGTTATTCTGCCAATTAAATATATTTCTTACAATTGGAAAGAACTCCAGCATTCACATAGCTCTTCCAGTTAGAGTAATCACCATTTGACAACACCAAAGGTAGAATGGATATTTCTGCTACCATTCTATAAATGAATTAACTGATAGCCTAAGAGGTTAAATAAATTATGCAAAAGTCTGACTGTATAGGGGACAGATGAAGAATTATATTTTCTAGCATATTATAAGGATCAGAGAATCAAAGAGGTTAAGAGGATTCTAGACTCTCAGAATTGGAAACATGACTGAGCATCTCCCACTCTTGCCACGTCATCTACAATGTTGTCCGCACATGGTCTTCCGGCCACCACTTAATAGCAGCCAGTGACGGGACCTCACTAACTTACAAGTGGAAGTTTTGATTTTTAAGATGCATTATTATTGGAAATTTTTGATGAATGTGTCAAAGAAAAATCTGCTCTCCTGCTATGTATTGGTGCTCCTTCTGTTCTTTGGAACTACTATAAAATTATTCTGTTCCCTTTTCTGTGTGATAGACTTTCAGATATCGAAGAAAACTATCATGCCATCCTATATCATCTGAAGCTGTTTATTGAATAACATGCCTTGTAGACCTTATGAAATTCTGGTCATCTATTTTTAAAAGGCCTCCACTTTTCATATTTCTTATAAATGATGAAGCCCAAGAATGAACTTAATATACCAGATGTGTTCTAACCAATGAAGAATGTTCCTGCCTTACCAAACCCTTATACTTGACCTGTCTACCTCTGTTGATGCATGGTCAGATTTCACTTGCTTTAATAGCTGCCTTCTCACTTATGAAATCATGTTGAATTTGAAAGCAAATAAATCTTTATGACTTTTAAAAATTTTCTGTTGTTAAGCCACATCACCCCTATTCTGTACTTTGTGGTAAACATGAATATTGATATGTATTATGAATTCTGGCTTTTTACTTTCCTCTTTGCCATCTCATTCTAGAAATGTAGACCCAGCATTCCAGACTACCGGGACCCTTCTAAAGCCAAATTTTGTCATCCAATGTAACAACTTTAAGCTTCAGCTCAATTGCATATCTGTCAAACATGCTTTCTGCCTTTGTTTTTTTAAGTCCATAGCAAAAATATCAGCCATGATAGAGAGGAAGAGAGAATGTCATCCAGCTAATGTCTTTATCCTTCTTTGCACTAAATGACCAACTCCTCCATAGTCCTTCAACTGAGAGGTTACAAATTCTTTTCTTCAATAAGGAGGAAATGACCTGTCCTAACTGTTTTTTGCCCATTTTTTCCTGCTACATTAGGCCAGTCTAAGTAAAACATCTGAACAAATCAAACTGAAGTTTCTTACATTATACTGCAGGCCATAGAGGAATTACAAGAAACCAAGTCTTGGTCTTTTGTTTAGAATCAATGGAAAATAATGCACTTTTCACATATTTAATGTTTTCATTTTACTGGGCTTTAAACCCCACATTTACAAATTCCTTTCTAGCATGTTATCCCCCAACAAAATGCCCATTATAATGAGTAGTAATCAACTATACTGCACTGAGCTATGGATAGTGGGTTTTGTCTAATAATTAAGATATTTACTTCCATACATCACCCTCACATTTATATCCTTCAAACCCAAGCCTCAGCAAAATGCAGATTCTACTCTCCAGTTCCTTCAGAGTCATGGGCACAGAGTCAAATTTGAATGTAAAATCTCTGAATGCCAAGGTCCATGTAATAACTGCAGCCCCCTTTCTCCTGATTATCTGTGCCAGTAAGGTAACCAGACTGGTGCTCTTATATGCTGTCATTCCAGGTTTTGAACACTGTGTGAAAGGTTTTCATAAAGTAGAATTCTCGTCAAGTTTGCATTTGCATAACCATAGAAATCACCTTCTTCACTGTTGAAGTGAGGAGCCTATGGCGTATGTTATTTGTCTGTGTCCATTGAATGGGATATTTTCATTCTTACCACCTGGCAATTTGTTTTCTCTTCTGACATAGCTACCCTCTGTCCTGGGTTTCTGTCTCGGGACATTTCATATTGTAAAATGCACTCAAAAGACAAAGACATTAGTTTCTGCCCTTAAAAAACTTCTGTTCAGTAAATATCCTGCTAGAGACTTTAACGGAATAACAAGTAAAACTCTATGGCTAAAAAAGAGGAAGTCAGTTGAGTATCGTAATCTAAAACTTTAGGGACCTTTGGGTTTTCCTCATGTACAAGCACACACCTTATTTATGATTTCATTTCCTGATTAGTCCCCAAAGTCCCAGAGTTCTACAAAATAATGCCTTAGGATTAAAAACATGCCTTTCTATAAAACTATTTTAAAAGATTCAAGCACAAATACAGTTTATGCTTTCATAGCTTAACTCTTTTTACCTTCTCCTATGAAGCTTTCTAGGCCCTCAACAATATCTCAATTATATGAAGTTCAGTGACATTCTTCTGTTCTTGGGTTTCCCAAATCATATTTCATGGAACACTTGTATTCCCAAAAGTATTAGCCCAGTGATATAGGTGTCCTATGGCCTAATAATTTTAGCAACAAGGTATATTAATAAACGATCACACAGATCTCTTTACCACAGTATGCCTCAGAGCCTCTACCATGTTAATAAGCGTTGGGAATTTTTAGGAGTGCAGTGTCATCTCTTAACTTCCATAGGCCCTCTACTACCTAGAGGCAGCACAAGTTTAGTGATGGGTATAGAATAACAGTGGAAAACAGTATTTTTAAAACTATGTCTGAATTATACTTGGAGAACTACAAACACTTTAGTTCTCCTTAGATAGTGCCGAGACTCCCAGGGTTTGTCTTGGTTACTTGGTGGGATTGTCCTCTGTCTCTAGTTCATGAGGGTGAATTACCTACTGGCTGCTAAAGTTAAAAACAACAGTACTTAAAAACTCATAACCACCAAAGATGTCACTTCTTTGGAAGCCTTTGCTGGCTCCTTAGATAACAGAATTGCATGCCTCCCCCATTATCTGTATTTTCAAATCATTTTTCTAACACCTGCAATGTATTGTTGAAGTCATTTGTTTAAATGTTGGTTACATTTCCTACTAGATCATAATCCCTTTTGGAGCAACCACTGTGTCTCTTTTGCTTTATAATGTTAGCATCCAGCACAAGGTCTGGCTCATGATACAGATTTAATAAATATTTATTAAAGAAAAGAGGGAGAAAACAGGTGGCACAGCAGACACTACCACAGATGCTGTCAAGTATTAAGGTGACTGAAGAATCCACAGTGCAATCTTACAAATTAGACAGTAAATCCTGTGGTCATCCTTATAAATGCTGTCACTCATACTACTTTATATACACTGTTAAAGAACAGTTTTTAAAAGAGAGTATAATTGTGATATCCATGCAGTTATAAAATGTGTCAAAATGTTATTCATCAATTAGTGAGAGAACCAGGTAAGATGTTACTACTGTCTCAAAGGAGAATTCCAGAAACCAAGCATATACAAGCAATAAGAAAAGCTGGAATAGAGGCAAGACAGATTTATCCGCAAAGCAATATTCAGTTTTATTCCACCCAAAATAATTAATTTGTATTACTAGGGACAAAAATCATCTATACTATTATTATTAATTTTCTACAATTTATAGAGTTTTAAAGTAGCCCAAGGACAATGAAAAGTGAAAATAACGCAAATGTGTATCATAGACAGAATATCCACTAATCTTTTCTGCTCCTTTTTCCCCAGAAGTGGCAAATTTTCATTTTATCAGTTTTGGTTTTCCTTCCCTCTCTTCCTCCTCCTCTTCCTGCTCCTCCTCGTCCTCTTTTATTATAATCATCTATCACTTTTGCTCAGGTTTTATAAGACTGGGGCTTACCTGAGAAATATTAAGAGAGAAAGTGCCTTCCTTTCCAGAGTTCCCCCCCTACTCTTGGCTCAGTTTCTAGCATTGCTCTTTACTCTCAGGCACAGTTATTTCTTTGGATGGCTCCTTGATTCATTATGTAAACAGTCCTCCAGAGAGCACCCCACCACCCTTCTAGGTGATACAGAGTCAAGACCAATCTATATTTATGTGTATCCCCCTCAATACATCCATGAAATCTTTTTTCCATCCTTAAATACTGTGTTTCTCAAAGAAAGGAATTGTCATATTTTTTCATCCATTAAGGCACCTGAAACAGTTCTGGACTAATAGTCCTCTAAATACTTTCTTCATGTGAAAATGTTTTAACATTCTTTATAAGATCCAGGTGTAGAACAATTTAAAACTTATGTTTTGTCTTTTACTAAAGAGAAGACATTTTTTCTGTGCCTCCTTTTCATAGCATATGTAGTTTTTGCCAAAGCCTGTGTTTTCACAGAGCACCTAGCTAGAATCAGTAAATGGAATTTCAAAGGACCATAGGTTTCTTTCTGCCTGGGGAGGGTATCTATAATTGTACCAGTGTTTCTTAAGTTTAAATCCCATTTGCCTAATTTCTCTGGCCTACACCCTGAATCTCCTCTACAGTATACTCTCGGAAAGTACAACCAGATGCTAGCTAATACCCATAAAATTTTTCTGCATCTCCCCTTGAATAGGGAAAAAAAAACTGAGAAAATCAGCTCATTGAAATGTCTTGCCTGAGAAATTCTTAAGGAGTGGGAAAGAAGAATGACACATACCCATTTAGGAGAGCGTCTCTGAATAATTTCTTGAGCTTCTTTGACATATTTCGTTCTGTGCTAATTATAGATCACAGTGAGCCACAGTTACTAGTGAGTGCTTTGTTTCCTCTAGCATTGTTGGTACGGGAAGAGAGAAAGAGAACCGTTTATCTAAACTTAATAGAATGTTATAAATCTATTATCATTTATAAACAGGTAGAAAAAAACATCCTTAGTTCTATCATATATCTCTAGACAGTCTGCATTTCCAAGAGATGTCTGTCTGTGCATAACACTTGTAGTATGAAAAATGCTAACATCCCTCAGTGACCATATTTATTGTCAATTACCATATATCTTCTCTATTATCTTATTTATAAATATTGGAAAATTTTGAGTTTGGTTGAATAAAAATAGCAAAAAAAAGTATTATTATATTTATCAGACACAAAGTTCAAGGGGTGTTGGATTTCCAAGGACCACTCTGCTTCGTCAGGTTGGCCTATATCTGCACCACTGTGTGATTAGAGGATGGGGCAGATGGAGTGGCAGACACCTGACCTAGAATCTCAAACTGGTATCTGGAAAATATGTGGCCGGAAGCTACCTTCCCTGTGAAATTTTGACAACCCTTGGTATTTTTCTCATATTCAAGAAACAGAAGTCAATAACCAGGTTGATAATTGTTACCTAAACCTGTCATTCTATAAGGATTCTGACTGCTACATCAGCATGATCTCATTTGTTTAAAATCTTGCATAAGAGATAAAGGCTTAGGCCTTCTGGGATATGAGGTCTGTGATGTTGAGTGTCATTTCAGAGATGTCTAGGGACCTGAATTAGACGTTAATAACTTAGCAATGGGAAAATGATGGAACCATTTTTTTGTATCTTGCATTGATCAAATTGTATTATTCCATTTGAGCTTCTCTATTAGAGTAATAAATTCTGTCTTCCAATACTTCTCTCTAAATGCCTCGGCTTATTTTTTTTTCTTTGTAGCAATACTTTCATGCAGGAGGAAATGGCCTGAAAAAGAATTTCTTGGAGAAAAGCCCAGATCTTCAGTCTCTGAGATATGCTCTCAGTCTTTATACCCAAACTACTGATGCCTTGATAAAGAAATTCATAGATACTCAAACCTCACAGAGTAAGTAACACATAGGACCTGAGAATAAGGTAAACTGAATACTAAAATAAAATTTAACATCAGAATTATTATACATAGTCCCAATAATTTTTTGCTGTTGTGAATTGAAGTATCATTAAAAATGGAGAGTTATGGTTAATAGAGAATACCAATTTTTTTAGTGTTCATGAATTATAATTTTATAAATAATTTTAATAACACTAAGATGTATTTAATACTAAAGCTCTATGGAATGGCTGACTTGTTGGTGATTTTAACTTCCATAAAACTACTTTAAGTAAAATCTACTTTTTAATATTTATGACCAAGATATTTTCTTCAATTCAGTATAAAAGACTCAGTGGATTTCTGGTCTTGGTATCTTCCAAAAAATGATAATAATTCCCTAAATCCTAATTTCGAATGTAAAATCCCTGTGCTCTGGGGTTTCCATAAGGGAAATCTCATTTTATGCTCATTTCATATGAAAAAAATTACAAGATTTCTTTGAAACAGGCCAAGAGGCAGGCTTGTTTCATGTGTTTCATATCTTTGAAACTCAGATATGTTTCATGTGTCAAAGTTTCCACCTCATAAGCTTCTAGGATATTACTGTTCAAAAATTTTTCTTTCAAGTTGCTTTGTGATTTATTATATTTTGGTGATTATATGCATTTAAGATCTGGCATTTCTAAGAGATTATTGAAAATGTCAGTACGAGTCAAAAGAGCCAAATGCAGGCTCAAACTTCAGAACCTAATAAAAGTTATACTACAGAAATAATAAAAGTAAGTAAGAAGACACTAACTTCATTCATGAAAGATCCTTGGAAAAGGGAACATACAGATAAGTTTTTAACTGTGATGAAAATACCCTGGACTCATCATTGTTTCCTCTTGGATACATTAATTTTTCTACCTATATCAAAGATAAAGCTAAATGTGCTAGGTAGGTAGTCTGCCTATAACACTCTGTGCTTTTTGATACTGTCCAATTAAAAACTACAATTATCCCTTTTCATATATCCCAGGTTATACTGTGGGATATTTCCAGAAAGGGAAAAGTCGAGCTCATGAGAGATTGTCAAGAGATGCAGAAATATTCAAAACATTATTCCCTGAATGCATGCTCATGCTCCCTCAAGGTTTTCTAAACTTTATAAATACGAATACAATTCTAATATATCAAATAAATAGTGTTGTAGCTTTACTCCAAGAAAGAAATGAGTATATAAAACTTTTGCTTCATCTTTATAGGTTTACATTTATGTGTACACCCCCCCCTCCAACACACACTCATATACATATACAGACAGTCATCCCTCGGTATCCCTGGGTAATTGGTTCCAGGACGTCCCACGGATAACAAAATTTATGGATGCTCAAGTCCCGGATATAAAAATGTATAGGAGTTGCATATAACATATGCACATCCTCCCATATATTTTAAATCATCTCTAGAGTATGTAGAATATGAAAAATGTAAATGATTGTTATATAGTATTGTTTATGGAATAATAACAAGAAAAAAAGCCTATACATGTTCAGTACAGATGCAATTTTTAAAAATATTTTCCATCCGCAGTTGGTTGAATCTATGGATGCAGAATCCATGGATATCAAGGGCCGACTGTGTGTGTGTGTGTGCATACATCTATGTATGTTTGTTTGTGTGTGTGTGTGTGTGTATAATCAACTATGGTATATGGAATTTGGCATAATTACCTTTTTATTACATGTATTATATGAAAACATTAAAAACATATGGGAAGAGGAGAGGATTCTTAATTCTAATAACTCACTGACAATATAATTGGTTTTACTCTTAGTTTATTTCCTGTTCCCTCATTTTCTGTTTTTTTTCTGAGTATTCAATTTTTTTTTCAGATAACTGAAATTGGTAGGATATAGATACGAAATGGTTTTTAATTTTCTCCGTTAGCTACCTGTAAATATGCCTTGTGGAAACTTATTTCCACCTCCTCCAGCCCTCCTATCCACCCTCGCCCAGCTGCCCTCACCAGACATGTTCAGGCCCAAAGGACTTAGTGTATAAAAGGGAGCCTGATGTGCCACTTACTCCTCCTTCCCCATCCACTTACAGGTCCCTCTATTCCTCAGTGTTTTGGGGAATGGAAACTAAAGGGGAAGAAGAAGAGGCCCTCAATGCTTCCTATATGGTTGCATCCAAACGCTGGTCTCTCGTGTGTGTTTCTGGGGACCCTCCTATCTGTACATTTCCTTGAGGAGTGAAATCTATTTCATATCAATTCCTGTCAGTGTCTCCTGTGACTGCCTACTGCAGCATATGCCATAGATTCTTGCTACTTGAAAATCCATTCCTTGTGGCTAGCCCTCTGGAATGGGATTCCAGCAAGTAAGCTAAAGCCCACCTTCCTCTTGTGAGGTTCACTTGAGCCATACAAAACTCATACATTTTTTTCAAATTGTTGGTGGTAATGGAGACTTCTCCACTACTACCCACTTTCTCCACCCTGCCATTTCTCTAAAATTCTCTTCTCTACCTGTACATAAGCATTTATACTTCCACATTAGGGGAGGGACAATGCTATGGCTTGTTGTAACATGACCATGTTCAATAAAAAATGGAGGCAAGCTAAAAAGTCTTCTCAGTTAGTGAATCCAGGATTTCTGAGTAATATTCATTCCCTCTCTTTTTTTGATTCTATCACAATCCCATCTCAATATTCATGACCATAGACTGAGTAATAAAGTTAGCCAACAATACACCCTTTGGAAAATTGTGATGGGCAAGAGAGATCGATGAAAATTAGCTGCATTTTAGAATTATTTATAAAACCATAAAAATGAAAATATAGTAGAAGATACAATACTTATTTCTGTAACAAATCCTAAAGTTATAGTTTGTACTTATGACTTCCAAATTCTTCTGTCCAGTCCATGTTCTCTTTGGCGCCAAAGGAAACTCAGCTTCCAAGATCCCTTAAGTGACAGAGAAATATAGAAAAGTTTAATTATTGGAGTCTTATTTATATAAAGTGCTATACAATTCTTTGAACATTTGACACTGGACATGCTGAAATAGAGGCATTTGGGTTCCACCCTTTGTATTCCATTGGTGCTCTTCCTGCAGATGATCATTTCCAATCAATGGTAGGATCCATTATCCTGTACCTGTTTTATTCTGGTGGCATGGTGTCAAAAATGACCAAATGAAGTCTCAGTTTCCAGTGTATATTAGTCCATTCTCATGCTGCTAATAAAGACATATCCAAGAGTGGGTAATTTATAAAGGAAAGAGGTTTAATGGACTCACAGTTCAGCATGGCTGTGGAGGCCTCACAATCATGGCAGAAGACAAAGGAGGGGCAAAGGCATGTCTTACATGGTGGCAGGCAAGAGAGTGTGTGCAGGGGAACTGCCGTTTATAAAACCATCAGATCTCATGAGACTTAATCACTAGCATGATAGCAACACAGGAAAAACCCACCCCTGTGATTCAATTACCTCTCACCAGGTCCATCCCATGACGTGTGGGAATTATGGGAGCTACAATTCCAGATGAGATTTGGGTGGGGCACAGCCAAACCATGTCACGGTGTAAATATTGTTGCAATTATCCAAATAACTGTCTAGGACTTAGCACAATACCAAATACCCATGAATAGTCATTGTATTTCATTTTTGTTATTTTAACTTAGATTTTGTTATATGATTTAGGAAGATCATACTGGTGTTATAGTATCAGTCAAATATAAAGTAGTAATAGCTGACACTGCTTACTGCAAACACCTGCCACTCTGCCTGAGGAGCCACAGGCACAGGCTCGGTCCTATGCAGGACCAGCTGGAGTGCCAGAGGGTTAATGCCTCAGGGAGCAGCCCCCTACCAGTGAAATACAGGAAGTTGGTGGGTAAGAAAGGAAGAAGAGAAAATCTCTATCTTCCTCATTTGTGACCAACTCTGATGTGTATTCTACATATACAGCACTCCAGAGTTTCCCTATGAGATGGGATCCAGTTTCCCTCAGAAGGCTGGCTTGACACACACTTACTTACTTTTTACTTACTTATTTTTTTAGCTTATTTACTTTTTTTTCTTTTCTCACCTCCTGGCTCCTTTCCCAGTGTTTCCTGGGATCCCTCCCCAGGCAGACCACTTACCTTTTGATGCTTGTCTCAGGTTTACTTCTGGGAGAACCCAAACCTAATGTCAGGTGGCTAAAAAGCAGGGTGCCAGATCCCGGGTCAACATGTATCTAAACTCTGTGCCCTGACCTCTATGTACACCTCTCCTTGAGGACAAGTAAAAAGGCTCACTACCTTGAATGAATGTTTCCCTATTACTTGGGCTTTTTCTCTCATGTGTTCTTAATTTAGAAATACAGAACTAATTAATGAAATACAACTTTTAAATGAGTATTATCTGGGAAAAAAATTTGTATTTTTTTCCAAATAATAAGCATAATCATTTACCTTATGATCATAAAACCCAAAGTGATTTTTTTGTCTCTTTAATTTTTTTTTTTTTTTTTTTGAGATGGAGTCTTGCTCTGTCACCCAAGCTAGAGTGCAGTGGCACGATCTCGGCTCACTGCGGCCTCTGCCTCCTGGGTTCCAGCGATTCTTCTGCCTCAGCCTCCTGGGTAGCTGGGATTATAGGTGCACGCCACCATGCCCGGCATTTTTGTATTTTTTTTAGTAGAGATGGATTTCACCATGTTGGCCAGGCTGGTCTCAAACTCCTGACCCCAGGTGATCTGCCCACGTCAGCCTCCCAAAGTGCTGGGATTACAGGTGTGAGCTACCGTGCCCGGCCTGTCTCTTTAATTTTTAATTCATGTTCTGTGGGGGAAATTACTGTTTCAAACTGCATTGAATCATTATTTAAGTGTTATTTAATCAAAATGTGTGTTGTATAAAAAGTCTTGTGATTCTTTAGAAATCTAAGTGCACTTTTAAAAGCATTTGTGTTTTACTTTTCTTATTCTCATATAATTTCCCCTTACTCCATTTTCTTCTTTTCCTTTCTCATCTCCTTCTCTTTTTTCTGTTTTTCTCCCTTGCTTGTGTTAGAAAAGTAACTATTGCATTTAATATAAGGAAAAAGCCAATAACTTATAATCAATTTTTTTCACTATTTTCAGGCTTTAAGACATACTTCCCTTTAAAAATATGTTTAATTGAATTCAACTTTTTAATAAATGGGTTTATAATAAATGGTTTAATAAATGGGTTTCTAAGTATGGAAATGCCTCTTGTATCTTGCTCGTTTATTCTTTTTTCCTTCTTCACCTCTTTCTTGCTCTTTTCTCTCCTATTTTTGTACTCCTTTCCTCCTTCATTATTCTCTTTTGGAAGAGATTTGGATGTCATCTTTCTGTAGTAGTTAGACAAAAAGAAAAAAATACAAGGAATTGAATCCCATTAGAAATTTATGAGCCAAATAATTCAAATATGATCTATCATATTGGAAAAACAGTCTTCTCTCTCTGTTCCAAACATGGAAAATAAACAAATCCAAAATGGATGTAGAAGTATTCTTAAGTTTTTAAGTGGAACTGAGAATTTAATATATAAGAGTCACATGTTTATTATTCTAGAAATGTACTGCAATATTAAAACACCATCTTATTCTGCATCCATTTAACAAACATTTACTGAGTGTCCCCTCTGGGCTAAGTTTCATACAGTGAGAAATATGTTCAAAGGTGGATATGATGTTATGTATGCAAGTTGCTCTAATATGGTGCTTCTCAAGTAGGGGTGGTTTTCCCCCTCAGGAGACATATGGCAATATCTGCAGAGCTTTGGTTGTCACATCCTGGAGTGGTGGTCATGTTACTGGCATCTAGTACAGAGGCCAGGAATGCTGCTAAACATCCTACAGTGCACAGGACAGCCTTCCCTGTAATAAAAATTCATCTGGCTCTAAATAGTAATAGTGCTCAGTCTAGGACACCCTAATCTAACACAGGCTGAAAAGTGAGAAGTGAAATTTTGGTCTGAGGAGACAGAAAAGGCAGAGAGGTAGGTGAGTATATTGGGTCATGAGAAGGTAGAAGAAGAAATGTATTCTGGATAAAGAAACTCTCCAGGAAAGTACGTACTTGCGCTCTTATTTTAAAATCCCAATATAGCAAGCATGTCCACAGTATATTTTTACTGGTGAAGAAACATAATTTTTTTTAAAACAAAATTCACCACATAACCCCCTATTTTAATCAATAGATATTATTAAAAGTATCTTAAATTTCCTTGCACCATTAAAATATGTAGAAATACTGTGGTAGGTTTAATGTAACATTAGCAGAAATTTTAATATATGTTGGAATTACGACATGTTATTTCTCCAAAATTTGACTCAGTGGTTTAAAATTGATAGTTAGCTTGAAATATTACATTTCTTATTGCTGTTTTTTCTCAAGAATGCATTACTTACAGTTTTAGAAGCTGGTAGAAAATTCATTTCTTGCATCTTGATTACAATGTTACTAAAAAAAAGGTTTTTCTCTAACAACTATTTCATGATACCAAGGGCTCTTTGAATATTTCATGCAGGAGCAGACAGTGAAAAATGAATAAAACTTGAACATATTAAATACAGTTTTTTCAATGAATAACACAATTTGAAACAAGGCACAGGATGATTAATTGCTGAGCCATCCTCTGTTTCCTTCTCTGAGTTTTATTGCAGCTTGAGTGACCTGAATCACAAAAGCTTTACACAGAAAAGGGATATTTTATATAGAAGTTACAACAGTTCCATAAAAATATTAATAGTTAATGCCTATGTGAATTAAAATACAAGAGCTGAAGTGTTTGTACTCTATGATCTGTCCTATTTTTTCATTTTTAATGAGTGAAGTCTTTGAGTCTCTGCTTATTTTAAGTTTCTTAACATTAAATTAGATCATTTTGATCATTTTAATAACCTGTATCCTGCTGAAGTAGAGTATAATGTATTTTAATTTGAGATGGAAAGCAGATAGTTACTGATTCCCATCCTGGAATCTATTAATATACTTCAGTATGCCTAGTATATTGCATTAATGTCATGTGGAGATTTCTCACTCTTCTTTTTATTGGTCATTTTTATAATTTAAGTGGAAGAAATATGTCATTTATTTATTTGTTTATTTATTTTGAGATGGAGTCTGTCTCTGTCACCCAAGCTTGAGTGCAGTGGCATAATCTCGACTCACTGCAACCTCCACCTCCTGGGTTCAAGTGATTCTCCTGCCTGAGCCTCCTGAATAGCTGGGATTACAGGTGCCCGCCACCACACCCAGCTAATTTTTGTAATTTTAGTAGAGACGGTGTTTCACCATGTTGGCCAGGCTGGCCTCGAACTCCTGACCTCAGGTGATCTGCCCACCTTGTATCCAGAATATAGGATGAAAAGTTTAAATACCAGATTATATATCCAAGCACACTTTTATTGTCAGGTGTAAAATTTGGAAGCATCTCACACATAGTTATTTGGGATCATACCACCTAATGAAAGCATTATCTCTAATTATATTCCTCAAACTATATTCCAGAAGTAGAAAATAAACCCTTTTCTGAAATGGTTCACTGTGGAAAGAGTGAACCATTTTCTTATCAGTAATGCAGAAGAACTTAATATTTCATTGGCAGAAAAACTGTTCTCAAATTAAAAAAAAAAAAAAATGAGCTTTTTGGCCAAGGGCCACCGCTGAAATTTCAACTGGATAGCCACCTCTGGAAAAAATGCTGAGAAATGTCTTCAGTTCCTATGCTTGGCCATTTTCAACTTAATACTGATTTTAAAACATAGAAGTTATTTCTCATATTGGCTAAGCTTGTCAGAGATAATCAGAGATCTGGAATCCTATCCAGCAGGTCTATGTCACTCTCTGCCCCTTAGGCACCATTGGACTATCTAGAATTTCCTTCTAAGACAAGAGGTTAGCATTTCTCTAGAGTCTTAAGTGTAAAACTGAGGAGAATCTGTGAAATATGGCTCTTCAAACATTGCAGTCTTTCTGATGACATTCACTTCACCAAGGTGGATGAGGGTCTTCAGAGCAGTCAAAGAGCTATGCACAAATACCTTTAATAAGAGGGGTACTGTGATATGATTCTAAGGATGTTGACTCCAAAAGTAGAAATGGCAAATATTAAATAAGGTTACAGTGAAGATAAGCAAACATCTTGTGCACTAACCAAGTTGTCTACCTCTGTGCTGTTCCTCCCTCAAATCCTGCAAGACCAGTAACATTCTCCACACTTCTCACATTAAGACACGATGTGTAAAGATTTTACTCACAAATAGATTTTTAAAACTTGCTAAGGTAGTTGGTCAAGTAGGTAAGTGACAGGGACAATGCCCCTCCCACTGTCTCACACTCGTTTTCATCCGAAAGAAATCAGTCTATCATTATTCCTTCCCACAGCCTATGCTTTCTTCTCCCTAGCTTTAAATAATTGGGTGTAGTTCCTTCTCCGTACTCTACATGTTAGTATCACTGAATCTCTCTTCTGTTCAGGAGATGATCTTTAAGCTGATACTTAGTTTTCATGTTGGCAATAAATCCCCGCCGCAAACTTCTAACTTCTTCCTCTGCTCCCCAGTTTCACTTCATTCTGGCTGCAGTTACTGGGTAAGCTCAGTAGCCAGGACACCTTTTAAGTAATAAACAGAGGAACTGACGTTGTAGAAATCCAAGCTAAATGTAAGAAAATACATCCTGCTTCCAGGACACTCTTTCTAATATAGCCTGGAGTCTACTATACACCTGTAGGACATTGCTGCATTGCTCTGTCCTCCCTGTCTCCCTCTTCTCCCCTCTTGTCCCCCACCAGCACATGGATTCATCTTGTGACAGTTCCCTAGCACAGTGAGTCATTTTGTGATTGATAATTGGCAACCCTCTCTTCTTACAATGTAAGCCCTAGTAGGACAGGCAGTTTGCATATTCATCTTTGAAATCTAAGTGCCCAGTAGAGTACTGGATGCAAAGCAGGTGCTTAGTGAGTTATAGAACAAATGAATGCTATAAAATTCAATGCAGAAAATCTCAAATTGTGTAATATAACATAGTTCTCATATTTGAATGTATGTGATTACAGACTTTTATTGTAGCAACTATGTTTGTGGTCCTGTTCTAGACACTGGAACATCCAAAGTGTGTATGAGTATGTGTGCATCCTTAGAAAAAAGCTTGTAATTTTACAACTGATACTATTCACTAATTATCATACAAGATAAAAGTAAGTGCCATTGGAGAAATACAAAGGGGCATATAAAATTAGAAAGAGAGAAAAAGACTACTTTTTTTTGGCAAACTCTTGAAATCATGATGTTTTATTCAGTCTGTTACATGAAACTCAAAAACCGACCAGGAAAAAATGAAGTATGCCACTGTGCACAGTTTAGGTCACTGAAAGATCCATTTATCCTTTCATGTGACTTAGTTTTAGGAGCATTTGTCATATGCCAGGCTTTGTGCTAGGTAAATTACCATGAAAGTCTATGCCAAATATCTCCATTTGCCCCTCCTAATCTACTTTCCCCCACTCCGCAGGAGGCTGAGCTGTGTGGGTCACAGTCTTGAGCAGGCTTACTCCCTGTTTCCCAAGTGGTTCAGAGAGCAGGGAGCCCCTCCTAAAAGGGAAGACTACGTTCAGATATTCCTTCTCCAGGCTCCCTCTGGACAAGGTCCTCTCAGCCTGGCTCTGTCCTTTGACTGTAAGCTTCTCAATGTCTTTCCTAGAAAACTCTCTCTTTCCAGGTTCCAGTAACTCCTTCCTCCCCTCATGGTTTACCGATGAGGGCAGTTAGCAGTTCCACTTTCCCTTGTCATTTCCCTAGAGCCCAGCGAAACCCTCATAAAAAGTCTCTTCTCAAACCATCCTAAAATTCCTCAAATTCTGGTTTCCATCTGTTCACTATTTATACTCTGATACTTGAAAAATCTTTAGAGTTTTGCCAGGTTTTCTTCCATGGCAACTCCTTCATATGGGTCAAAGATTAACATGTTGAAATAAGCATTTCAAGTATCAGAATAATCCTCTTTGGAGTGAGAGAAAACATCAAATTTTGATGACTCCTTTGTCCAGAATGAACAAAAGAGCTTTCCACAGAAATATTTCCATTATAGTCTGGGCAGGACATCAAAATCCCGAATCCCACTTTCTCAGAATACAGTTTATTTGGCCCAGCATTTTATCTTTTCTGGAAATCTGAAATCAGATTAAGACAACTGGGAATCATTTGTAAAGTCACTTGTAAAGTTTAAGAGTTCTCACAGCATAGAATAAGCACATGTTTATTGCATGTGATGCTGTGGGGAAATTATCACTTTTAATGTACTGGCAGACTAAAATGTACATATTTTTAGCTCGGAATAGGTGTACTTCTAGTGTTTCTTTCATTTTTTGTCATGAATACTTGAAAGATTACATTTTTTTATCGCACTCACATTTTTAATCAACAACTGTATATATGATGCATTTCTTTATTTCTCAATTTGGTGAGAGCCAGATCTTATTCCAAGGTTATGCTGAATATCAGTGATTAGAATCCCTGTTTCCTGACTTCAAGTGTTCCCTGTTACTTGCCTCTCAAATACTAAGATTGGTTTAAATAATTATGAAGGTAACATACATATATTTTCAAAAGAAACAAAAGCACTTGACATTTGTTTACATCTAAAGTTACGTATAAAGTTTACCTATAAATAACCACTCACACTGCAGTTTACTACCATTTATAAGCACCTTCATGTATTTTCGTCACTTGAGTCTCAGAACAGCCCTCTAAAGTCAGACAGAGGGCCAGCACCATGGCTCACGCCTGTAATCCTAACACTTTGGGAGACCAAGGTGAAAACTGCTTGAGCAGGGAGAACTGCTTGAGGTCAGCAGTTCGAGACCAGCCTGGCCAACGTGGTGAAACTCCGTCTCTACTAAAATTACAAGAATTAGCCGAGCATGGTGAAGCTGGGACTACATGCCTGGCTCCTGGGTGCCCGTTTGTGACAGTCATCTCACCCAAGAGCAATGGATGTCACTGAAGTGATTTAAGCAAGAGTGCAACATGGGTAATAGACTGAAGGGAGACAAGACAGGAGCAGACAGACAAGTTCCAGCCTCCAGTAAAAATCCAGGTGAGACATGGCATGGGGCTTGGATGGTGGAATAGTGACAAAGAAATATGGGCAGACTCATGATGTAGTTCGGCAGTAAAATAGGCAAGTGTTAGTGAAATAAATCTTAAGTTAATAAAAGTTAGGATATAAAATTTCTTCTACAGGATTCCAAAATAAAGCAACAATTACTTCTGTGTGATGAAAGTGTGGTTGATTTTTTTTCTCTGCCTGCTTATGGTTTTCTGTACTTTCAAATGATCCCAACATGTCTAGATATTTATTTTTGAATTATAATTTTATTTAAAAATATAAAAAATATACTTTCTTATGCAAAGTACAATAGTTTAATTGATTGCCAAGGTGCAGTTTATTCAAAGTGGTAGATTTTGAAGTCTTTTAAGGCCTTGGATTTAAATCTGAGCTGGAATAAACAGCCCAGTTAAACTTTCTCTTGGCCGGGCATGGTGGCTCATGCCTGTAATCCCAGCACTGTAGGAGGCCGAGGCAGGCAGATCACGAGGTCAGGAGATCGAGACCTTCCAGCTAACACAGTGAAACCTCGTCTCTACTAAAAATACAAAAAAAATTAGCCAGGCATGGTGGCACGCACCTGCAGTCCCAGCTACTTGGGATGCTAAGGCAGAAGAATGGCTTGAACCTGGAAGGCAGAGGTTGCAGTGAGCCGAGATCACGCCACTGCACTCCAGCCTGGGCGACAGAGCAAGACTCTGTCTCAAAAAAGAAAAAAACAAGAAAAACTTTAGGATTTAAAGAATCTTATAATTGCTTTGTGAGTAGCACAATCGCCTGGAGTGGGACCCACATGTTATTGTATAATGCACCGATTAAAATTAAGTGCCGAGTTAATGATAAAGCAGGTATTTTGAAAATTGTGTAATACCTTTTTGTTAGGGGTAGCTATGATACTTTTTAATATTTTTGTTACTGCTGTTTGTTTTGTTTTAGGTCTGGTTAGAAAGTAAAACAGAGGTTAGAATAAGTTGTCTGGGAATCTTGTGGAAATACTGACATGTCAGAAAATTACTCTTCAAATCACTGAGTCAAGAAAGCAAAATGCAATACAATTTCTCTGGACCCACTGAGCCACCACGCCTGTTTTTGTTCACTGAGAACAGGTTTGGTGACCAATGGGGTCAGTGGCGTTAATTGGAAACTGCAGACTACTGCCTCACAACCTGCACGTGTCCTTCACAGCTGATTTCTGAGCGAAGATGGGACATTTTCTCCTACAGTTATCCTTTGGCACTGGAAGTTAAGCCTTGTTATTACGTGTTTAATCTATCTTAGAATAAGGAATATAAGGTATGTTAAATGGCATAAAAATAGTAAACCTAAATCTTTAAAGGTTGGAAGCCAACCTTGTACAAACCTCTGGTGTAAAACTCTCTGCTTATTTATGGAAGAAAGGCAAGAAATGCGAAAACAGGTGAATGGAGAGCTATACAGGCATGGCCCAAGCATGTGCTCTGGTTCTGCCTGGCTGCAAGACCTGGGATAAGTCACTTATCCTCTCTAAGCCTCAATTTTGTCATCTGTAAAAATGGAAAGCATAATAATTCATACCGTGTGGAGTTGCTGGGAGAACTACAAGTGATAATACCCATGAAACACTTTGCACATAGAAATCCCCATAAATGTTCATCATTCTTATGGCATCCTCATCATCATTAGATGTGCTCTGTCTCAGAGGTGACTCTTTCGTTTACAAAACATTAAGAGAGACCCCTCAGGATGCAGCTCCCTAAGCAAGTAAGCCAGTAATCACGTGTTCCTCTGTGAGCTGTACCTCCACATTCCTAAGAGGCTCTTGGAGTGACTGAGAGATCTGTGACACCTGAATGATTCACACCTGCAGTTTCTAGGAACCCCTTCTCCATACACTCCATGGTTGTCAAATAATCATATATTTATTGAACCTGTACTGTGCACAAAGCACTGTGCTAGGTATGTGACACCAGGGATAGATTCTTTGCTCCAAGAAGCTCATGATGAAGATAAAACAACTGTATGAAGAGAAAAAAGAATCATCCAGGGTAGTTTATGCTAGATGCCAGATGAATCTAAAGATAAAGAGTAGAGGCTTTCAGAAGGGGAGAGATGACTGTGATGGGAGAGTTGGGAGCCTTCGGGGAAGATGTATGGTTCAAAGTGGGTTTTCAAGAAGATGTGGGTCTCAAGTAAAGAAAGGAGAAAAGTAGGCATGTCAGAAAGACACAGAGATCAAAGCGACAAGAAGACCAATCAGAGTGGAGTAGAAAGGTGCTCTCAAAGTATAGTCCCAGAACAGCAGCCTCAGGATTACCTGCTCAGGCTGTCATAACAAAATACAAAGACTGAGTGGCTTAAACACAAAAACTTATTTTCCAGTTCTGAAGGCTGGGAAGTCCAAGATCAATGTGCCACCAATTCCATTTCTGATGAGGGCTCTCCTCCTGGCTTGCAGACAGCCTTCTACTTGCTGTGTCTTCACATGGCTGAGAGAGAGATCCTAAGTTCTCTGGTGTCTCATTTTATAAGGACACTAATCCCATCAGGCCAGGGCCCCACCCTATTACCTCATTTAACCTTAGTTATTTCCTTAGAGGCTTCATCTCTAAATACAGCCACACTGGGGATTAGGACTTCAACAAACGAATTTGGGGGAGATACCAACATTCTATCTATAGCACATGGAAACTTTTCAGAAGTGCTAAATTTTGGGCTTTACCCTGAAACTACTGAGTCAGAAACTCTAGGAGTCGGGCTCAAATATCTCTTTTAATCAGCCTTTTTGGTGCTGCTGAGTTTGAGAACCACTAAAGAGTCAATAGGGCAAGTGAATGGAGGGGAGATGAAAGAAGTAGATTGTCATCAGAACTTGGAGAATTTTGAGGCTCAAGAATGTGGAGGCTGGTCTTAGTCAGTGGGAGACCTAGAAGGAGAGGAGGTCATACAGGTTAGTGTAAACCATTTATTTTGCCATCTGTTTGTGGGAGAAAGGGGAGGAAGGAAAGGAGGAGAGAAGGAAAGAAGGAAGGAATTAAGAGAAAGGGAAGGAAGGAGAGAGGGAGGGAATGAGGACGGGAAAGAAGAAGGCCTTTTGGAAAACAGTTTCATAGTTCAGGTGTTCACATTCTAAGTATAGTAATAGCAGGAATGGAGAAAAGGGATGAAGATGATAAATATTATTAAAATCTACAGGTCATGCCAGGGTCAAGCAAGCAAAGGAGAAAGGGGAATTAGGTAACTTGTAGATCTGTGCAACCTACCACTGACGAAAGTGTGGAAGCTTAGACAGGGAGCTGATTTGAGGCACAAATTCAGTTTTATTTATTTGTGCTGATATTAACAGGAGGACATCTAAGTGACTATGTCTACTAAGATATGAGATATAGTTAAGAGAGTAGTCAGTTCTGCAGCTAAATTCAGGAGGTGATTCTTGAATCCTGTGCAGCCTTTGCAAGTTCTGAGGAAGGGCGCACAGTGAGAGAGGATAAACGAAGTCACAGAGAAAGCCACTATTTCAAGGAAAGCAAAGGCCCAGAATGAGGGTGAAGATGAGGGCAGAGTAAATATCAATGATATTTAAACATTTTTGCTGGTTAGCTCCTCAAAAGGCCTCTCAGTCTGAGCTCTGCAGAAGGGACGTGTTTGCAAGTCACTGTGAGTCCCCTGGGTAAATCAGTGTGCCTATGAACTGGGCCAACTAGCCAAAACTGTGAATTATGACGACCACCACTACTGTTAGCCTGACTCCTTGTTAAACAGGATAATGGTTTTCAGTACCAGCTGAAACAATTTTAAAATGTTGACCATTTATATTACTTAAGTAATGTGCTACCATTTATAAGTAATATAAATGTTGGCCATTTATATTACTTAAGTAATGTGCTACTGAAACTCTAAGGGGGTTTCTGTAACGGTAAACTGACAGTTCTCTAATGCAGTTCAGCATCACCTGTCGGGCTTGTTTGACCACAGATTGCTCGGTTACACTCAGAGTTTCTTATTCAGTGGGTCTGGGTGGGGTCTGAGAATTTGCATTTATAATAAGCTCTCAGGCACAACTGATGGTGCTGGTTTAGGAACCACAATTTGAGAACCGTTGTTAAGCCTCACGCCACACCATTCCTATCATGAGAGCCACCTGTAGCTAATTCAGGGTAACTTGTTGACTGCAAACTATAACCATAGGCAGTTTCTTTAGCAATATAAACCTCTAGATAAAAGAAACACTCAAAAATCAGAATAGGAACATATAGAGTCAATGAAAACTATTTTTTTTCCAAATGAGAGCATGTGTTTTACAGCCTCAAAAGAATATTTTCATGTAGACTGCACTAAAATAACAAGATAAACCTGAAACTAAAGCTTAAAAAGGCCTTTATGAAACAAAAACAGTTTCACACCTGAGGTAAAGGGCTACATATGTCCCTCGATTTTTTCTCATATCTTAGCTTTCATTTAAATGACATTGCCATTTTACATATAATAGAAGAACCTAGAAATTTGATTCCTGCTTATTAGGGCAAACCAAAGGGGTTATTTCCAATTATTTTCAGTTCAGTTTTTCTTCACGTATAATAGAAATGATTTAAAAGCCAGGTTTTGTTGGAAACTGCCATAAATGTGGTTAATAGTTGCTGCCTCAGCATCCATTTTCAGGCCTGACCTAAGTTGTCTGAAGCCCAGTCTCACTGTATCACCTCTGGTCTGGGTAACACTTCCCCTCCCTGAGTGGTTGTTTGTAATGCGGCCCATTTGCTCTTCATCGCACTGACCCAGAACCCACACATCACACAGCTGCTGACCATGATCAAACCTAACGGCCAACACCAGAGTCCTGTGAATAAGTCCTGCTTCCTACTTGTTCTCTTAAATCAGCCTAAGCCACACCCCCACGGGAAAGCCCCAGGACAAAGCTCCAGGCCCTAACTGTGCTCTCTGGCTCCCCGTGGCCTCCAGACTTCCCCTCGGGCTCCTGCCGCTCTCTGGACCTCTCTGGGATGTGTAAGTAAGAGATTTCTTCTGTTCCTGCGTTTTGGTTTCACCTCCTCCTTGTGCCTCACCTGACTGACACCCTAGAACCTACCTTTCCCCTTGGCCAGGGCTCTCCTGGAGATTGGCTGGTTTCTGGCCCCCTCCAAAGAGAGACCTGAAGACCAAATTAGGAACCTAAATATATAAATCGCAACAGAAAGTTTGGTTGTTTACTGACAATATATATTTATACTGTAAAATGTGTTTATGATTTAGAACACACTAGACCTATTCTAGCTCTAAATTGCATTGCTATCTTGTAGTATGCAGTTATGCCTCGTTTCATTTCATTTTCCAACTGAAGTCATTTTATTCCCTCAGTTTATAAATACCTCGAATTCTTTAGCCGAAAAGGCAAGGTAACTTGATAGAGCATCCCCCTTTGTGACCATAACCTCCAGTGCAGAACAAATTAAACGTGCAAAACTGTGAGTGCCATGTCCTACATTGTTAAAGAAAATGATGTTGAAAGGCAGTGAAAGTCCTTATGAAGAAATTCAAAAGAGTAAAAGAATAGACAGATGAACTGGAAATGGAAGAAGTCAGTTTTTCTTTCCTTTAGGAGTAAGCCAATTTGGAAACTAGCTGGTAAGTGTTACAGTCCATTTACATGACAGGCATTCTTCGTATTCACTAAGAAAACATTATGGTACAAATGTTCACTGTGCAGAGCACACCTGTAATATTTCATCTGGTCCTCTCAGTGACCCTATAAGGAAAATGAAACATTTTCAGATGAGACCGGGCTTCAGGGTGAAATTAGGTGACGGGTGAGACTTATATAGAGAGTAAGTGGTGGAACTGGATTCAAATCCAAATTCTTCCAACTGTAAGCACAGGGCATTTTCCACTAATCAGCCCACTAACCAAAGAAACCTAATTTTTCCAAACATTTAAAGTGATGCTATGGCCATTTGAGTAAAACCAATTTTGGCCTATACTTTTGATTCCCCATCACCAGACTACCATTGGTTATCCGATATGGGCAGCAGAATTAAGAGGTAATGAAGTCTAATAGAACCTCTCATTATTTGTGTGGATGCAGTAGTAACAGAGATGGTGATATAGTTTGAACGTTTGGCCCCTCCAAATCTCATGTTGAAATGTGATCCTCAGTGTTGGAGGTAGGGCCTGCTGGCAGGTGTTTGGGTCACGGGGCAGATCCTTCATGAATGGCTTGGTACCCTCCTCATGGTAATGGCTGAGTTCTTGATGTATTCATTCACTGAGATCTGGTTGTTAAAGAGTGTGGTACTGCCCCCGTGTCTCTCTTGCTTCCTCTCTCACCATGTTAGGTGCCAGCTCCCCCTTTGCTTTCTGCCATGATTGTAATCTACCTTAGGCCTCAAAAGAAGCAGATGCTGGTGCTGTGCTTCTTGGGCAGTCTGCACAACTATGAGTCAAATAACCCTCTTTTCTTTATAAATTACCCAGCCTCAGGTATTCGTTTATAGCAATCCAAAATGGACTAATACAGATGGGGACATGTAGGTATTAATTTAACAGATGCTTATATATTGCCTGTATTCTCACTGGGACTGGGAAGTGTTAGAGAAATATAAATGAAAACATAATCTCCTCCTAACCCGGAAAACTTCTCCACAAAGGTAGAAGAGAAAGAACACAGTTTTATTGAGTAAGCATTAAACCAGAGTGAGATGCACGTCTCAGGAAATCAGCTAAGAAATTGCAAAGACAGAAAAAAATCTCACCTCTTAATATAACAAGCAGATATAACCTTTTATATACAAATTCTCAAGGTAAACAATAACTTGTCCTCAAGGGGACTTTACAGCACCATTTGTCAAACAACTTTCATCCTAAATTCCCTTAGTAATTGGGGTAACCGTCTGTGTTAGACAATTGGCTTTATCCAAAGCAAAAATAAATTTCTCATATCTTTATAAAAGGGGGTTGTCTTGCAACTTGGAGTAAGATACCTGCTGAAATTACCCTCCTAGCCTCCTACAGAACCTGATAAATAGAGCTGTTATCTTCCTTGATAATTTTCAAAGTGATGATTCCCTGGTCTTTGAGAACAGTATCCTTGGGTCTTAAAACTAGCAAAAGACTAAGTTAGCTTTTAAAAATTTTTGTATATGTTTCAAAATGACAAAGAGGTACAAGCTTTCTAAAGTAAATACCCTAAGAAAAGGATGTTTCTTTCCTTACTTTTAACATGGAGAACATATTAGTCATATATTCCTTATAGGCTTCTTAACAAAATACTACAGATTGGGTAACTTAAACAAGAGATATTTATTCCCTCACAGTTTTCAAGGCTGAAAGCCCAAGATGAAGGTGCCAGTGGGCTTGGTTTTTGGTGAGATTGCTCTTCCTATCTTGCAGACAGTTACCTTTTCATTCTGTTCTCATGGCCTTTTCCCCGTGCACAGGGAAAGAGATCTCTGGTATCTCTTCCTCCTCTTAAAAGGACACCAGTTCTATCATATTGGAGCCCCATCCTTGTCACCTCATCTAACCTTAATTAACTTTTTAAAGGCCCTTTCTTCCAATAAAGTCACATTGGAGGGTGGGGCTTTTACAAACAAATTTAGGGGGAGACAAAATTCAGTCCATAACAAAGAGTTGAGCTTCTTATTTTTAGTTGGCATTTGCCCTTACAGGAATAACAAGCCAGGCTAAGTCCTTGTCATCATGCAGATGCAAGTAATGCAAGTTGCAAGTAATAATCAAGGAAATAAACAGTGATGAGTGAAGGCCCTTGGCTTAAGGATAAGAAGAAACCAGCCAGCTCCTGGTTAGCCAGGGAGTAAATCGTTGCATTCCTGATAATTTGGAAAGGAAAGAGCTAGAAAAGTAAATTTATGGAAGCAGGATCATCCAGATAATCAATGATATAACTAAGCTGTACAGACTGTTAGGCCATCAATCAATATTTACCAAATTCCACTTACACATTCATTTATTCATATACTCAACATTTAATCACCCCTAGATTCATTTTATGTACCAATATGGCTGAAAACTACCCAGATAATGTTTTTCCTTCCATCACTTACTACCACCATAGATTTTATGAAATTATTAATTAGGTTTCAACTTAGATTTCAATTTCAAACTGTTGTGTCATGTTGATTTTACACAAATACTTATAAGGTGAAATGACAGAATTTTATGAAATTATTAGGTTTCAACTTAGATTTCAATTTCAAACTGTTGTGTCATGTTGATTTTACACAAATACGAGGTGAAATGACAGAATTCTCCTCCTACCAGGACAGTTCACAAAACCCGTGAAACATTTATATGACTGAAGCTTCTTCATATGTGCTCAGAGTCTATTGTAAGGAAACAGTTATCTGCATGTCTTCCCAGTTTTTAAAAACCACCACCAACTAATTCATATAATAGAACTCACTCAAAATAACTCAAAGACAGTCTGGACAAAATAGAGATATGATAGTTTAAAAGATAATGTAGTCGTATAACTTCCACATATAGATAGTAAACTCACAACTAAGGAGTTTGGGACCAGCCTTCAGGACCTCAGTACTCCACTCTTCTAATGTATGGTCATTCTGTTGGTAGAGTGGATTTTCATCACTGGAGGCAGATGTTACACTGCTCCTCCCCTCTGGCAATCAGACTTGGAGGAAGGCAAGTGAAGGCCAGGTGAGAATGAGCCTCCACCCACCTCCCCATGCCCAGCCAACTCTCTGATTCTCTACCTTGTGCATCTCCTCTCTACACAAACAGCAAACATCTTTTTACTTTATTCAGTCAAATAAAAGGTAGACCTCTTCATGTAAGATACTGACATGTTCAATAATAAAATATTTGAAGTTAAGTTAGATACATTTTAATGACTAATTGAGTCATATTTTTAAGAAATAATTATTCACTGTGCATTTGTTATGCCAAGTTTCAGATGAGACTAACATTGGCCCTGGGCACAATGCATGGGTGAATCATTTTAGTCTCAGGAAGATGGGTTTTGTATGGTGTTCTGTATTAGGCATAATCACAAGGTAGATTGGAGAGTCCTAGATAAGATGATAGAGAATGGGTAGGACACCCTTCCCCTGACCAGCAGACTGCTGGTTGCATGGTGAAGCTCTTTGTTAACCTTGGCTTCTGCCTCTCTAGCTTCCCATATGGTTCATTAATAGCAATGGGGCACAACCCATTATCTGCTGAAATGCAACAGAAATGCTGATACATTTTCAATTTATTTCCTGAAGTAAATTGAACTTTCCCCTTAAATATGGTCACATTATTAATTACTTTAAATCTCAGCTCTGCCACTTACTACGTGTAACATTAAGTAATTTAACTTATCTATGTCTCATTCCCTCATCTGTAAAATGAGGTTGACAGTAGTGTCCCCTAAATGTGGTTGGTGAGAAGATTAAATAAATCAATATATGTAAACCTCCTAGAACAATGCCTAGTGCATAACAAATACTTCATAGTAAATTCTTTTTTTTCCATAAGTTATTGGTATACAGGTGGTATTTGGTTACATGAGTAAATTCTTTAGTGATTTGTGAGTGTATACTCACCCAAGGAGTATACACTGCGCCATATTTCTTGTCTTTTATCCCTACCCCCTTCCCCTCTTCCTCCCAAGTTCCCGAAGTCCATTGTACATTCTTATGCATTTGCATCCTTATAGCTTAGCTCCCATATATCATTGAGAACATGCAATGTTTGATTTTCCATTCCTGAGTTGCTTCACTTAGAATAATAGTCACCAATCTCATCTAGGTCATTGCAAACGCTGTTAATTCATTCCTTTTTATGGCTCAGTAGTATTCCATTGTATATATATACGAGTTTCTTTATCCACTCGTTGATTGATGGGCATTTGGGTTGGTTCCACAGTTTTGCAATTGTGAATTGTGTTGCTATAAACATGCATGTGCAAGTATCTTTTTCAAATAATGACTTCTTTGCCTTTGGGTAGATACCCAGTAGTGAGATTGCTGGATCAAATGGTAATTCTACTTTTAGTTCTTTCAGGAATCTCCACACTATTTTCCATAGCAGCTGTACTAGTTTACATTCCCACCAACAGTGTAGAAGTGTTCCCTGATCACCGCAATGACACCAACATCTACTGTTTTTTTATTTGATTATGGCCATTCTTGCAAGAGTAAGGTGGTATCGCATTGTGGTTTTGATTTGCATTTCGTTGATCATTAGTAATGTTGAGCATTTTGTCATATGCTTGTTAGCCATTTGTATATCTTCTTCTTCTTCTTTTTTTTTTTTTTTTTTTTTTTTTTTGAGACTGAGTCTCACTCTGTCACCCAGGCTGGAGTGCAGTGGCACAATCTTGGCTGACTGCAGCCTCCGCCTCCTGGGTTCAAGTGATTCTCCTGCCTCAGCCTCCCGAATAGCTGGGATTACAGGCACATGCCACCATGCCCAGTTAATTTTTGTATTTTTAGTAGAGACAGGATTTCACCATGTTGACCAGGCTGGTCTTGAACTCCTGACCTAGCAATCCACCTGCCTCAGCCTCCCAAAGTGCTGGGATTACAGGCATGAGCCACCGCGCCCAGCCAGCCATTTGTGTATCTTCTTTTGAGAATTGTCTAGTTATGTCTTTAGCCCACTTTTTCATCAGATTTTTTTTTTCTTACTGATTTGAGTTTGTTGTAGATTCTGGATATTAGTCCTTTGTCAGAAGTATAGATTGTGAACATTTTCTCCCACTCTGTGGATTGACTGCTGACTGTTCTTTTTGCCATGCAGAAGCTCTTTATTTTAGTTAGGTCCCAGCTATTTATCTTTGTTTTCATTGTAATTGCTTTTGAGTTTTTAGTCATGAAATCCTATATATAGGAGGGTTTTTCCAATGTTATCGTCTAGAATTTTTATAGTTTCAGGTCTTAGGTTTAAGTCCTTAATCCATCTTGAGTTGATTTTTGTATAAGATGAGAGATGAGGATCCAGTTTCATTCTCCTACATGTGGCTAGCCAATTATCCCAGCACCATTTCTTGCAAACGGTGTCCTTTTCCCACTTTATGTTTTTGTTTGCTTTGTTGAAGATCAATTGGCTGTAAGTATTTGGGTTTATTTCTGGGTTCTCTATTCTGTTCCATTGGTATATGTGCCTATTTTTATACCAGTACCACTCTGTTTTGGTGACTATGGCCTTATAGTATAGTTTAAAATCAGGAAGTGGGATGCCTCCAGATTTGTTCTTTTTCCTTAGTCTTGCTTTGGCTATGTGGGCTCTTATTTAGTTCCATATGAATTTTAGAATTCTTTTTTCTAGCTCTGAAGAATGATGGTGGTATTTTCATGGGAATTGCATTGTATTTGTAGATGGCTTTTGGCAGTATGCTCATTTTCACAAAATTGATTCTAACATCCAGGAGCATGGGATGTGTTTCCATTTGTTTGTGTCATCTGTGTTTTCTTTCACCGGTGTTAAGTAGTTTTCCTTGCAGAGGTCTTCTGACTCTTTTGTTAGGTATATTCCTAAGGGTTTGTTTGTTTGTTTGTTTGCAGCAATTGTAAAAGGGGTTGAGTTCTTGATTTGATTCTCTATTTTGTTGCTGTTGGCGTATAGAAGAGCTACTGATTTGTGTACATTAATCACATATCCACAAACTTTGCTGAATTCCTTTACCAGTTGTATGCGCTTTCTGGAGGAGTCCTTAGGGTTTTTAAGGTAGACGATCATATCATCAGCAAACAAGGACAGGTTGACTTCCTCTTTAACTATTTAGATGTCCTTTATTTCTTTCTCTTGTCTGATTGCTCTGGCTAGGATTTCCAGTACTGTGTTGAAGAGGAGTGCTGAGAGTGGCCATCCCTGTCTTGTTCTAGTTCTCAGAGGGAATACTTTCAACTTTTCCCCATTCAGAATTATGCTGGCTGTGGGTTTGTCATAGATGGCTTTTATTACATTAAGGTATTTCCCTTGTATACCAATTTTGTGAGGGTTTTAATCATAAAGGGATGCTGGATTTTGTTGAATGCTTTTTCTGCATCTATTGAGATGATCATGTGATTTGTGTCTTTAATTCTGTTTATGTCATGTATCACATTTTTTGACTTGTGTATGTTACACTATCCCTGCATCCCTGGTATGAAACCCACTTGGATCATGGTGGATTATCTTTTTGATAGGTTGTTGGATTCGGTTAGCAAGTATTTTGTTAAGGATTTTAGCATGTATATTCATCAAGGATATAGGTCTGTAGTTTTCTTTTTTGTGTCCTTTCCTGGTTTTGGTATTAGGGTGATGCTGGCTTCACAGAATGAATTAAGGAGGGTGCCTTCTTTCTCTGTCTTGTGGAATAGTGTCAAAAGGATTGGTACCAATTCTTCCTTGAATGTCTGGTAGAATTCTGCTGTGAATCCATCTGGTCCTGGACTTTTTTTGTTGGTAACGTTCTAATTATCATTTCAATCTCACTACTTGTTATTAGTCTGTTCAGGGTATCTAATTTTTCCTGATTTAGGCTAGGAGGGTTGTATTTTGCCAGGAATTTATCCATCTCTTCTAGATTTTCTAGTTTATGTACATAAAGTTGTTCATAGTAGCCTTGAATGATCTTTTGTACTTCAGTCATGTCAGTTGTAATATTTCCTGTTTTGTATCTCAGTGAGGTTATTTGGATTTTCTCTTTTTTTCTTGGTTAATCTTGCTAATAGTCCATCAATTTTATTTATCTTTCCAAATAACCAGCTTTTTTTTTCATTTATCTTTTGTATTTTTGTTTGTATATTTGTTTCAATTGCATTTAGTACTGCTCTGATGTTGGTTATTTCCTTTCTTCTGCTGGGTTTGGGTTTGGTTTGTTCTTGTTTTTTAGTTCCTTGATGCCTGACCTTAGATTGTCTGTGTGTGCTCTTTCAATGTTTTTGTTACAGGTGTTTAGGGTTATGAACTTTCCTGTTAACACCACCTTAGCTGTATCCCAGAGGTTTTGATAGGTTGTATAATTATTATTGTCATTGAGTTTGATGAATTTCTTAATTTTTATCTCAATTTCATTTTTGACCCAATGCTCATTCAGGAGCAGGTTATTTAATTTCCATGTATTTGTGTGGTTTTGAAAGTTCCTTTTGGAGTTTAGTTCCAGTTTTATTCCACTGTGGTCTGAGAGTGCTTGATATAATTTCAGTTTTCTTAAATGTATTGAGGCTCATTTTATGGCCTATCATATGGTCTATCTTGGAGAAAGTTCCATGCACTGCTGAATAGAACGTGTATTCTGTGGTTGTTGGATGAAATCTTCTGTATGTATCTGTTAAGTCCATTAGTTCCAAGGTACAGTTTAAATCCATTGTTTCTTTGTCGACTTTCTGTCTTGATGACCTGTCTAGTGCTGTCAGTGGAGTATTGAAGTCCCCCACTATTATTGTGTTGCTGTCTACCTCATTTCCTAGGTCAATTAGTAATTGACTTATAAAATTGGGAGCTCCAGTGTTAGCTGTATATATGTTTAGGATTGTGATATTTTCCTGTTGGACAAGGCCTTTTACCATTCTATACTGTCCCTTTTTGTCTCTTTTAACCGCTGTTGCTTTAAAGTTTGTTTTGTCGGATATAAGAATAGCTACCCCTGCTTGCTTTTGGTGTCTTTTTGCATGAAATGCCTTTTTCTACCCCTTTAAGTTTATGTGAGCCCTTATGTGTTAGGTGAGCCTCCTGAAGGCAGCAGATAGTTGGTTTGTGAGTTCTTATCCGTTCTGTGGTTCTGTATCTTTTAAACTTAGCATTTAGGCCATTTACATTTAATGTTAGTATTGAAATGTGAGGTACTATTGCATTCATCATGCTCGTTGTTGCCTGTGTACTTTGTTTTTTGTTTTTTTTTTTTTTTTACTTGTATTTTTGTTGTATAGGTCTTGTGTAATTTATGCTTTAAAGAGATTTGGTTTTGATGTGTTTCCAGGATTTGTTTCAAGAGTTAGAGCTCCTTTTAGCAGTTCTTGTAGTGATGGCTTGGTAATGGTGAACTCTCTCAGCATTTGTTTGTCTGAAAATAACTATCTCTCCTTCATATATGATGCTTGGTTTCACTGGATACAAAATTCTTGGCTAATAATTGTTTTATTTGAGGAGGCTGAAGATAAGGGCCCAATCCCTTTTAGCTTGTAGGGTTTCTGTTGCTAAATCTCCTGTTAATCTGATAGGTTTTCTTTTATAGGTTACCTGGTGCTTCTGTCTCATAGCTCTTAAGATTCTTTCCTTTGTCTTAACATTGGATAACTTGATGGCCATGTGCCTAGGCAAAGATCTTCTTGTGATGAATTTCCCAGGTGTTCTTTGTGCTTCTTGTATTTGCATCTGTCCAGGTTTCTATCAAGGCCAGAGAAGTTTTCCTCGATTATTTCTCCAAATATGTTTTCCAAGCTTTTAGAATTGAATTATTCCTCAAGAACACCAATTATTTTTAGGTTTGGTCATTTAACATAATCCCAGGATTTGTTCATATTTTCTTACTTGTAGAGGCTTTGTTCACATTTTCTTATTCTTTTTGTCTTTGTCTTTGTTGGATTGGGTTTATTCAAAGACCTTATCTTTGAGCTCTGAATTTCTTTCTTCTACTTGTTCAATTCTATTGCTGAGACTTTTCAGGGCATTTCATGCTTCTAAAAGTGTGTCTAAAGTTTCCTGAATTTCTTATTGTTTTTTCTTTGAGATGTCTATTTCCTTTAATATTTTTCCCTTCACTTCTTATATCATTTTTTGGATTTCCTTGCACCAGGCTTTGCCTTTCTCTGGTCCCTCCCTGAGTAGCTTAACTAACCTCCTGAATTCTTTTTCAGGTGAATCAGGGATTTCTTCTTGGTTTAGATCCATTGCTGGTGAACTAGGTGATTTTGGGGGCATGTTGACCAGTCTTGTTTTGTCATATTACCAGGGTTGGTTTTCTGGTTCCTTCTCATTGGCATAGGCTCTATCAGAGGGAAGGTCTAGGGCTGAAGGCTGTTCTGATTTTTTTGTGCCACAGGGTTTTCCCTTG
This sequence comes from Homo sapiens, assembly GCF_000001405.40. Taxonomy (NCBI): domain Eukaryota; kingdom Metazoa; phylum Chordata; class Mammalia; order Primates; family Hominidae; genus Homo; species Homo sapiens. The sequence goes on from NC_000015.10 coordinate 54,594,025, forward strand.
ATGTAGTACTCTCCCCATTTTCCTGTGGATGTGGCTTCCTGTGAGCCATACTGCAGGGATTGTTGTCTCTCTTCTGGGTCTAGCCACCCAGTGAGTCTACCCTGTTATGGGCTGGTACTGGGGGTTGTCTGCACAGAGTCTTGTGGTGTGAACCATCTATGGGTCTCTCAGCCATGGATACCAGCGCCTGTTCCAGTGGAGGTGCCAGAGGGTGCAGTGGACTCCATGGGGGCTCTTAGCTTTGGTGGCTGAAAGCTCTTTTTTTGTGCGGGTTGACCTCCTGCCAGGAGGTGGCGCTTTCCAGAAAGCATCAGCTGTAGTAGTGTGGAGAAGGACCATTGGTGGGCGATGCCTTAGAACTCCCAAGATTGTACTCCCTTTGGCTTCCTGCTACCAGGGTGGGTAGGGAAGGATCATCAGGTGGGGGCAGGGCTAGGTGTGTCTGAGCTCAAGACTCTCCTTGGGCAGGTCTTGCTGTGGCTGCTGTGGGGGATGGGGGTGAGAGTCCCAGGTCACTGAAGTTGTATACCTAGGAGGATTATAGCTGCCTCTGCTGAGTCATGCAGGTTGTCAGGGAAGTGGGGGAAAGTCGACCGTCACAGGCCTCACCCAGCTCCCGCACAAACTGTAGGGCCGGTCTCACTTCCATCATGCCCCCTGCAACATCCCCAAGTCTATTTCTAGGCAGAGGGCAAGTTGGGCTTGAAAACTTGCCTGAGGCTTTCCATCTTCCAGGTTCAGCTTCCACAGTAGGGATGTGTGTTCGGGAAAGGATGTTGGGGAAACCAGCCCCACACCACCCAGTGGGTACCCCGAGTCCAGAAGAGACAAAGGAGTTAGAGACAGAATAAGTATCCAAAAGGCGGGTCCAGGGGACCGGAGCATCGGAGGCTTGCTCACGGCCCAGAGCTCTTGGGCTCTGCCCAATTTATTGGTTTACAAGCTCTTTGTTCTTAGGGCAGATGGAAGGAGGAGGAAGGGATGAGGAAAAGGATTAAACAGTGAAGGAGAATTTGTGAGTCATTCGATAAGATGTATAGCAGTGGTGGTTTCTGTGAATTTCCTTGAGCAAAGGCATGTGTCTAAACTACTTAAGATCTTTAACTTATCGGGACTGATACAGGTGGGAGTGGGTTTCAGGAGGAGCCTAGATGTTTGATTATACTCCACTGCTTCAAGGGAGTGTTATCTCCCTGAGCAACCTGTGGAATGCCGTTATGCTCTCGGGGCCTAAGGACATGAAGGCAATAAGGAGACTTTTCTCCTCAGAGGCCACCCATGGCTTCCCATGGGTGTCTCACACAGGGAAGACCAACTCAACTGGCACCCCAGAAACTCTCTTTCCCACAAAGGAGGGTCTCCTTTTTCTACTCCCAAAGATGCAGCACTCAAAGTATTTGGGGTGTCGCCCGGTCCCTGCAGCCGCCTTCCTTCAGGGGGTCTGTGGTTCCTCTCAGGATTGCTGGTTTGTTCTTGCAGTTCATCTGGAGCTAAAATTCACAGTGCAAGCCTCCACAGGCTGCTGTGTCTGTGGCTGCAATCTAGTCCTGCCTCTCGTTTGTCTTGATCCATAAGTAGATTCTTAATTATGGAATTTGTGATTATTTTGTTTAAGTTATCTAAGGCAATTGTGTTCAGATCTTATTTTGCCACTAAAACTACATTGGAAACACATTCCCTACCACTTGTGCTAAGAGTGGTTTTAGTGATGCAATTGCATGAAAGTTTCTCCAGAAATAATTCAGAATTCTTGGACAGCTTCTATTTGTTTAATTCTTTGGCTTATCTGGACAGATTCGATTTTCCAATGAATTAGACTTGATCTTTTATAGAAATGTAGCCAAATAATTGAAAAGTAATTTTCCATTCATTATACTAGTTACTCAATCTCTTAAATGATTACATGAAGTAGATAACATATTTCTTCAAAGCATAAGAAATATTACATATGAAAATGCCTTTAAGAATTTGAAGAAAAAAAAAAGTCTTCAATAGGAGTTTTGGTTGTCTGCTTGGGCTTGGTTTGAATGTTTTAACGAAGCTTATTGGTATTTTTGGTCCAAAACCCAGCATGACTGAGTCAAGTTGAATTGGACAGGGTTTGAGCTACTGAATCTGGAGGTTCAAACCAGAAATGTGTTAAGTTCCATCTCAGAGGTTATCTTTATCAGAAAGTTGTATTTTTTTCATGGCATATAAATACGCTTATCCCAACTGTGGGTGTTTTTTCTACCAAAAGTGCTACATTAAAAAGAATATTTTCTATATCACATGCCAAACATGCCTCCCTGTGAATTTTAGATAACTAATTTCCCGCAAGGAAGGTGACTATGGAGGCCAGCTTTGTTGTTTTTACTTTTGTGGGATTTTCATCTAGGAATTGGAATATAAAGAGTATAGCCATGATGCAAATTGAAATGACTGTAAGTCCCAGGCTTGCTTTGAGGAGTTACCCTCTGATAAGCATATGCACACACACGTACAACAATAACTCAAGAGGCCAAATGAGAGCACCACTAGGGTCAAATAAGACCATAATGGGAGGCATTGCACAGGCAGGAGGACTGGGGATATCATTTGAATATTTTGTCTTTTCCAACTCGCATGTTGACACGTGATCCCCCAGTGTTGGAGGTGGGATCTAGTGGGAGGTGTTTGGGTTATGGGGGCAGATCTCTCATGAATGGTTTGCTGCCCTCCCCATGGAAATGAGTGATTTATTGCTCTATTAGTTCACATCAGAGCTGGTTAAGAGCATGGGACCTCCCTTTTCTTTTGCAATGTGACACAGCTACTTCCCCTTTGCCTTCTACCATGAATAAAAACTCCCAGAGGTCTCACCAGTAGCTGAGCAGCTAGTGGTGCCATGCTTGTATAGCCTGCAGAACTGTGAGCCAAATAAACCTCTTTTCTTAACAAGTTACCCAGTATCAGGTATTCCTTTACAGCAATACAAAATGGACTAACACAACTGGGAAGTCCCATCTTCAGGAAGAGCTGTTCCCAATCTTTTTGGCGCCAGAGACTGGTTTCATCTTGGGCAGTTTCATCCCAAAACTCATAAGGAGTGCACAACCCAGATCCCTCACATGCGCAATTCACAATAGGGTTCATGTTCCTGTGAGAATCTAATGCTGGCTGTTGTGACAGGAGGTGGAGCTCAGGTGGTAATGCTCACTTGCCTGCCGCTTATCTCCTGCTGTGCAGCCCAGTTCCTAACAGGCCACAGACCGGTATCATTCCACAGCCTGGGGGTTAGGGACCACTGCTCAGGAAGGTAAGAGCCAAGGGCAATAGCAGCGTGCCAGCGAAGAATCCTACCAGGTACGTTAGGAGATAGCTTAACACCTTTGGAATCCAGGGTCCTCTGGTAGGAAGATATTCCACCGAACCTACAGGCCAAAGTTTCTGTGCATGTAAGGGGTTTATTTTACTTAGCCCAGGGTCTGTGGTCCTCTGCTTATGAACTCCAGATACGTCTGGGGTAAGACATGGAAGGAGAGGGAAGAATGTTGGGCATGGAGAATCATCCCTGAGACACCGCAAAAGGGGCAAGAGAGTACCCGCTGTGTAAAACATAATAATTACATAAGAATTAAATTTTGATCTTTTTCATAGACTGGTAACCTACACGACACATACTAAGAACTTAAAATATTTGAGTAAATAAATTAGTGAATAATGTATTAACACATAGTATCAGAGATCAGAGGAGACTACTAACATTAATGATGATTTCAGGTGTTAAAGCAATCACATTATGTACAATTTTTATTGAGTGTCTAAAAATACATCATATCCAGCTAATAATATAAACAATTTTCCAGTTATACCTAATACTCATGGAGCACAGTAATGACTTTTTCAAAATTGAGGCATTAAATGTATTCCAGGGATACAAACTTTGTCTTAATATTTTATGAGCAAAATAATTATTGGAGCTACCTAGCAAAGGAATATGATGCCTATTTTAGATGTTTACATGATAGAAAGCAGTCAAGCTTTAAGACTGGTAAAAACTTTCCAGGCATATTGTAGAAGACTCCTACAATGAGTGAAAGATTTTAACCTCTAAGGTCCTTTATTTTGTTTTTGAGATGGAGTCTCGCTTTGTCGCCCACGCTGGAATACCATCTTGGCTCACTGCAACCTTCACCTCCCTAGTTGAAACAATTCCCCTGCCTCAGCCTCCCGAGTAGCTGGGATTACAGGTGCATGCCACCACACCCGGCTAATTTTTGTGTATTTTTAGTAGACACAGGGTTTCACCATGTTGGCCAGACTGGCCTCCAACTGCTGACCTCAGGCAATCTGCCCACCTCGGCCTCCCAAAGTGCTGGGATTACCGGCATGAGCCACCGCGCCCAGCCTGAAGGTCCTTTTTTTAATTCTAAAATTCCATGACACTGCTTTGGGATTTAAAAAATTGAGTGAAAACCTGTCCATATACAGAGATAGTTCGATGCTCTCCAGAGGCACATCCAGGCACAGCACATAGGATCTGGGTGGAATAAACTTCTGTTGAATCAACCTGAAGGAAGCAGCACTGGCATGTGTTGAGGTTTCCTAAAAGAATGCAATTTGTATTGATTTAGTTCAAGCACTGTAAAGTTTAAGTTGTAAAATTGGAGTCAATTTCTATTAATTTGATGATATAACTTTTACTAAGCATTCTCAATTTTCCCTCTTTTTAAAAGAAAAATTGGCTGTTTCCATGTCAGAAAATACTTGAAGCAAAAAGATTAAGCTCTGAGAGTTTATATAAAAACATTCATGCACTTGTCATTTAGCAGACACTCAGAAAATGTTAGCTGTATTGTACTGAGGCACAAATACGTATTTGACAAGAGTTTGTTTTCCTTCAATAACAGTAGGAGTATTTGTTTTGTTTATTTCTGTAACCTTGGCATCTGATGCTCAACAAATATTAAATGAAAAATCAATTGTGCTATGGTAAAATAATATAATAAAAAGCTATTCTAATCATATTCTACTTTTCCCTACTTAATTTCTCATAATAATCAAACATTTCAGTAATAGCTCATTTTATTTTAGTAAATATATCCATATTCATGATATTATCTGGTCACACATATATAGGTAGAGAAATATCATCATTCCCATCTGGTCACACATATATAGGTAGAGAAATATTATCATTCCCATCTTACCAATGAAGAGAAACAGAGGTTCAGAGAGGTTAAATAATCACATTAGTAACTAGAATACAAATCCCTGCTTCAAGATTCCACGTTCAGGACATTTTCTAATAAACATGAGGGTTTATGCCAGCTTCAGAGGTACAGATCAAGAAAAGAGAAAGCCTGAACAATTTCTTCTGCATTTGATGCCTTTTTGCTTTCTTTTCCTTTGAGTTTGTGTCTTGTACAAGCCTGCAGTGTAATCTCTATTTCTTCAGTATCTGCTTGCAATCATTGTTACATTTTTATGCTATTTGTGGATAAAAATGGTAAGATCTATTTCTTTCACTCCAGTAAGACTATCCAAGTTTCCGAAAGTAAGATTTTTCCAACGATATTTGTTCATTATGGATCTAGGGCACTGGAGGAGCCTCAAGAGAGCCATTGTTCCTGTAGTAGTGAAATGTTCCAACTACCCGAAACACATGGTTGTCTAGACTGTTTTTAGGAATTTCCTTTAAGTAGCCTACTTCAGTGGTTAGTTGTACAGTGAAAAATTCCTCCCCACATACAGACAAATTTTCTCTGGGTCTGTGTGAAGCCTATTATGTTTCTGTCTTCTATGGAAATGAAGGACATCTGCTTCTTTTCTTCTTGAGTAGTACTTATAACATAAAATAGTTAATGGTCTCCTCACTCTTCTTTCTCTCGCACCTCTTCCTAACCATTGAAAGTAAACTTGAAGAGAATGATAATTACCTAGGCACTTAAGTTAGAGGCATTGGAAAGATTAACTTCTTCTCTTGCTTTTGTAGTAATTGTTTTGAATACTTTTGTTTTTTTAGGAAGAAATTTCCTAGGTCTAATATAGCAGGCATATGACCATTTATTAACCTCTTATATGACCAGGTAATTTGGAACAGAGAGAATAATGAACACCATTCCTACTCTCCAGAGTAGTTTATGATCTAATTTGTCAGGGCATAATAAATAAGTATGGGACAGTGAGAGAGTGATTTCATGGTAGCACATATTTGTGTCAGAACGTGGTAGGCCCTGGACTGTGCCTTGATCTTATCAAAGTGAGACCTCTCTAAATTCCTCAAGAGTAGTGTTATCTAGGGAACACTGTGTAGAAAAGGGCTATCTAGGGAGGGATTTTAATGGAGGCATATGATTTCGGGATGAGAGCATTTTTCCATGAACAGAAAATGGTATCACCAAAGGCAAAGATGTAGGAATGAGCAAGCTGTATTCAGAGTATAGGGGAGCAGGCCAGATAAGCTGGAGCAGAAGGTCCAATTTGAGAACAAGATGAGCTCAGCTAGATTAAGTTAGATTATAGGGGGCCTTTTAGATTCCTTTGTCCCTATGGTACTGACCTATTGCTAAATGCACAATAATTGTCAGATGTGAATACACATTATAATTCACTTTTTTGGTACCTTATTTTTCAGGTATTTATTGATCAATAACGTGTCTGAATTATGGATTATTCTCACCAATCAGTGTTTGTTTTTTATCTTTCTTATACAAAATAAATATTTTATCTTTGAAAACAAAGCTTTCATACCTTAAGAAAACCCCATACATAGATCATTTATTCATTCATAGGACTAATGTTAACTGAGTGTCCATCATGGACCAAGCACCAATCTAGATGTGGATGATATAGCATTGGATACGTAAGCCCATACTCTCAGGTAATCTATAGTCTAATGCATGGGTGTCCAATCTTTTGACTTCCCTGGGCCACATTGGAAGAATAAGAATTGTCTTAGGTCACACATGAAATACACTAACACTAATGATAGCTGATGAGCCAAAAAAATTGCAAAAAAAAAATCATTGTTTTAAGAAAGTTTACAAATTTGAGTTAGGCTGTATTCAAAGCCATCCTGTGCCACATGCAGCCTGTGGCTTGAGGGTTGGACAAGCTTGATCTAATGGGTTAAGCTAGAGTAAACCCCTACATTCTCACAATTCTTTAGTTCCAAAGAACATTCAACATGGCATGCAATGAATATGAGTAAAATAAGCTAAATAAGCAACAAACATGTTTTGGTGACCTATATACCAGGAACTCTTTGGGATGCCGCAGGGAATCCAGAGGGTAATAGGGTCTTTAATGTCAATGAGAAGATAATCTCCTGGTGCAAGAGGCCACAAACAAAATGACTTAAAACCTAAGCCAGACCTACAAGAATATTACAGGAAAGTGCTGTGGTTTAGAGGAGAAGGAGAGCACTTGATGGTAGGACTGAGAAGACCCTAGGGGAACAGGTTAGGGAGCTTTGGTAGGATCTGAATAGTTACCAATACACAGAAGAAAAGACAGACACAAAATGTGGGCAAAGTGGTGTAGAAATTGTCTTACTTGAATCAGAATCTTGCATAGGCTAATAAAAATTAACTTTGACTCTGTCAGCAGGAAAAAGTATGCAAGTTCTGATGATCACAGAGAGTACAAGACTTTCTCTGTTCCTTATCCATATGCTTTTTTCCCTTTGGGGACCTGGTTGACTGGTTCGGACATCCATCTCCCTTTCCCTGTCCCCCATTCCAAAGGAGTTTTTTCACTAAATTTAGCAACAGGAAGAAAGAAGTAAAATCATCCAGGTGCCATCCTTAGGGTGACTGCCATTCACTTAAGAACATGTTTCTCCTCAAAGTGGAAATGCAGAAGCAGGCAAAGGTAAGGAAGTACTGGGGAAGAGCATGGCCTGGTCTCTGCAATCTGTCGTAGTGATTTCCAGTCTCTCCCACCCACTGCCCCATCTGAGAACAATGGGAGGATTGACTTGCACTCCCCTCTTACTTCCCTCCCTCTGTGAGCCCACAGCCAGCAACCCAGTCCTCCTGTCTTGCCCTCGCTAGCTCCTCCCTTGGCCATTTTATTCTGGCATAGACTGAACAGGCAAATATTTCTTCATCAATTAGCAGCTGTTGAAAAGGAATGAGCTCCTGAAGGGCCTCTGAGGACCAAGAAAGCATCCAAAGAAAGCAAACCTGTAGTGGTTTCCATGGAGTTGTGCAGCCTGGAGGTAGAAGGGGATAACTTTATTTCGGAAACAATTTAATTACCCTAGTAGCTTGTTTACACACTACGCAGAGTAACTAACACAATTGTTTCTAATTCTTGGAGAACAATAGATGAATTTCACTGGGCTGACAGTGGGACAGAGTGAGAACAAGAATAGGAAGAAAATCCTCTCTCACACATACCTGTGCCCTCCTTACTTTCATGGAAGTGAGAAACAGCCTTTCAGTGGCCACCATAGTTCTAACATCAAGGAGCTAGAATATTTTAATATTTAGAGATGATCAGTAGATTATATGCTTTTAAATATTCTATTTTCATTTTAAAAGCATGAGCATATTTTAGAGGATGCTCTAAGTTTTCTTTTTATTTTGAGATTATTAATAGATCTTATGTTTAAGTATTTTAACCTTTATTGTAACATATAGCACAGAACAAAGAGCCACATAGAACAAGTGTAAGGACCACAAAAGTCATCAAAGAAAACTTTGCCAGTCACCCCAGAAGTTCCTCCATACGTCTCATCAGTCACAGCCCCCACCCTCCCTCCAAAGTGACTTTTCATTGTAATCAATTCTTTGCATTTCTTGATAGTTTTTCATGCCCAAGATTGGATCCTTGGACATCAGTTTCACTTGTTCATTTTCTTTTAAACGTGATGTCTTTTAAAGTCCCTTTCAGTGTGATTCCACATATCCTTCTGTGTTCCTGCAAGTTGGCCTCTGTGTCTGGAGACTGGACTCAGGTTTCATCCTTGAGGCAAGATAATAGGTAGGATCAGTGGGGAGATTTCACAAAGGCTCTGGTGCATCTGTTTAGTCCTTCCTCCATTCCCATGTGCCTCTTCCACATAGACACCAGTCACACAAAGAACTCTTAGCTGTTTGTGGCATCTCTGGCATAATCCTGTTTTGGGAATCAAGGAGTTACCTTGACACCTGTCTCATGGTAAATGTTTTCCTTGGGTTTCTGGCCTCAATAAGTAATTGCTTTGTTTGTCTCTGTGTGGATTTGGGAGGATCCAAAAATTAGGCTGCCATCTCTCACACATCTTCCTAGAATTCTGTGAAGTATGACTCTCTTTTAATCATATTGAATGCATTTTGAAGGTATTGATTCCTCAATTATTGATGAGAAAAACACTTGACACAAATCACTTTACTGGCAGCTTTTGAAGAACACACCCTGTATAGTGAAAGATGCTTATCTGGTTGTTCATTATTCCACAGTTAAATTGCTGCCAGAACTGTTGGTAGCACTGCATTCATTCTTAGATATATATAGAAAATCACTTGTTTAATACTCCAGTGTGGATCTATAAGCACTCCCACCCCTGAAACCATTCACATGTGGATAGGAAAAATATGAAGAACTGGCCAGGCACAGTGGCTCACACCTGTAATCCCAACACTTTAGGAGGCCAAGGCAGGCAGATCACTTGAGGCCAGGAGTTTGAGACTATCCTGGGCAACATGGTGAAACCCCCATCTCTACAGAAAAATACAAAAATTAGCCAGGTGTAGTGGCAGGTACCTGGAATGCCAGCTACTTGGGAGGCTGAGGCAGGAGAATCACTTGAAACGGGAGGCAGATATTGCAGTGAGCTGAGGTCGCAGCACTGCACTCCAGTCTGGGAGACAGAGGGAGACTCCAAAAAACAAAACTTCTGTCTAGATAGACTTTATTGAAAGCTTACACCTGAGCACGGCTTTTCTTTTTTTTTCCTCCTACCTGACTGAGTGCAGCCTTCCCACTCTTTGTTACCAATATCTAAATGTTCTTTCCCACTTATTCAGAGCCTGTGATATCCTCTGGTTTCACATGCCTGGTACACGGTTTTCCAGGCCTTGATCTGCCTCTGACGCTTTCACCCTCAGCTTGTTGATGTGAGAGCTGAACTCATGCCCATTTCTTTTTGGAGGTGGCCTTTTCTTCACCCTACAGTGGACTGGTTGGTTTCTGTTGTCATCCATGTCCTAGCATTGTGTATATCACAATGTGGTCTGATGACACTGTCACATGTCATCTAAAATTTCCAAAAGTATGAGTTAAAGAATGTATAATTTCCCACCACATAGATGAACTAAAATATGTTTAGTTGTGCATCTAATACCTGTAGTTTACTTTCAGTTTTTCCGTTAAGAAACACAACGAAGTTTGAAATTACTTTTTTCCTTAAACCAGGAAAGAAAGAAAGAAAACAAAAGAAAAACAGCTGTAACACCTCTGAGTTTAGGTGCATAATTTATTGTAAACACTTTATTTTGAGAGGGGCAGTTGCAGTTTTGGGGGATCACTGATACCTCTTTCCTCAAGGGGCTAACTTTCCTGGGGAACTCCCTGCTTCCAGTAAAAGCTCCAATTCTAAATATTGATTCCAGAAAATAAGAGGCCACCTCTGTGAGGCCAGAATCCCCACTGGTCTTGTCACCTTTACAGTCAGCAATTCCTCTAAGACCTCTTTATTTCTGGTGGGATAATATTTCCACTTGAACACCTCTTTCCAGTGCCAGCACAGGGCAATACTGTGTCAGCAGTGTTCTGGAGGACTCTGAGTTGTTCAGATGTTGTTACTCTGACAGGGCATTGAAAAGGAATGCTGTCATAATAGAGAGCATGAGAAATCAAACAAAATGGAGTTCTCCTCATGCTTAAAATGTAGAGTCTAAAACCTAATGAATGGTCTGGACCCAGACCTACCTAATTAACAAATCTGCACTTCCGGCACATGTACCCTGCAACTTAAAAAATAAAGTACAACTGGGGGAAAAAAACAGCTCTGTTCTGTGTTGAGATGGGTAATTTCCTCATCTCCAAAGGATGCTGCATCAGCAGGGGAACTCACTGGGAGTTTATTCCCAGCTTGGAGTTAGGATTCACTGCCTGAGACGAGAAACAAGACCTGCTGGGTAGTAAAGCTGGAGGGAGAAGTGATCAGTGGGAAGCTCACAAACTGGTAAACAGTGGCCCCAGGGGAGGGTCAAACAATCAGCAACCAATTTGTCTGAATGGCCCGTTAATCAGTCCTAGCTGGATCAGACAGCTGAGTTCTAAGAGGGGCCACAGTGCCATGTAGAATCACTGAAACTGCTTTTAAGCTTAGCACTCTGAGCCAATCCCCAGTCTTAATGAGGTGCTCTTCCTGTGTGCTTCCAGTGCCCCTTATATTTCCTATCATAGCACAGATGCCACTGGATTTTGTTTACTTATCCTTCCACAAGCTTAGAAGCTCTCAAAAATACTCTTTTGTCTTGCTTTGGAGCCCCCATACTTGTAGGTCTTAACCTTGGCTGCATATCAAAACTACCTACAGCCCTTTTTTAAAAAAAATGTAGCTGCTGGAGCTCCACTTCCAAAATTCTAATGTAATTGTCCTGGCATGGAGCCCACCCTTGTTTTAAAGTTCCTCAGGTGTTTCCAGTATACAGAGAGGGTGAGGAATCATCCTAACCAAGTTTTAATGCTTGAAATGCAGGTGCCCAGTGAATGTTTGATGGATGATGACTGAGTCAGTCCTGGATTCAGTCAACCAGGATGCAGCTAGAAGACAGCAGGATCTGGTCAAACCTGTATTGCTCGATCGCTTAAATGCTTTGCGAGCAATATGCCATGAAGGCAAACTTCATAACATTTTCTCTCCGTATAAACATCATTCATGGACATTAGGCCAGTGCTACTTGCAACTATGGATGACAAGCCTTTGCAAACAGGGAAAATAAACTAGAGCCAAGTGTTATACCCTGGGCAGAGCACTGTCTGCCTCTGCCTTCTTTAAGAAGCCAAAGGCATCCGTGTGTAAAACCATTATATGACATTGCTAGGCTACTCCTGTTTCCCACTTCTGGTGAGAAAGACTTTGCAAAATACAACAAATCTGTCTTTGGCTATTGGTTTGTTATTGTTATTAAAGTATAAAAGAAAAGTACAATTAGTGAGCAAACATTCTATTACTTGTCGTTGTAGCAAGTCATCTTAGATTCTATATTACATTTCTCTGAAGTTGAATCAATATTTTGCTTTTCAGCACAGATTTCTAGCAAGGGCCTAAGACTTGGAATCTTATTGAAAATGACAGAATATGATATGACAAACTTTGCAAAGCTTTGCAAGATTTCACAAAACAAATTTATAACTTGAAGGAATTTATTTTAAAACAAATTTAAGATGCATGTGTTCCATATTTAATCAGTAGATAACTTCAAAGGTCATGATGATCCTATAAATCATTTGTGGGTTTCTTAGGGGAACCTAGGGAGTCAAACTTACTTTGTCATTTAGTTAGCCTTAATTTTTAAAAAGAAAGAAACTTGAGCTATGCAAGTGCATTACACAAACCCAGAGTTTCAGAGCAAGTACGCATTAGAGATGTTAACCACCAGTGTTTGACGATTTGCGTGCGGTGAACTAAGTGCTTTACATTGTTCAATCCTCGTAGTACCATAAAAGGAAAAAACTATTTCATTTTTCCAATGAGGAACTAAGAGTTAAAGAGATTAAGGAATTGCTCAAAGTCATGCTGAGTTAGGAGCTAAATCTCAGTCTTGAGCATCTGACCCTACAGCCTGTGGTGTCAAACCCTCTGCTGTGCTCTCTTTCTACTGGGACCAAATTGAGTTGAAGGTGCTGCGTTAGCCATAGGAATTACATGGATGAATGTGGCACATACTCTGTCCTTAGAGAGCTTACAATTTACCGAATTGGAAATATATGTATTTTGTATGCAAATGACTATAATCAAAATAGAAAATACTAAGCTTTAAATGAATTATACACAGTCATGGTTTATAAAGAGACTATTTCCTGTGGAGAAATCAGGGAAGGTTTTGTGGGAAAAAAAATTGGCATTTTCATCAGCTTCAAATCTTAAATTTAGTTTTTTAAAACTTTTTAAAAAATTATGTAATAAATTTGACTTAAATGAGTTGGTATCTAGTTCTATGTCAAATCCTGTGTTATGAATGCAAGTAATGGTTGGTAGTGACAGATGTATGATACCAAATAGTTGAAGAGTAGAATGAATTTTAAGAATGCGAGAGAATCTTGGTTTGCCAGTGAGAACCAAGCCACAGATCACAGGGATATACTAGGCCACAGAAATTACTAGAAGCCAGTATTTTAACTTCAGAACACTGTTTCTTATCTCTGTTTCTCCATGCTTGTTTGTCCTTTTTCAGAGTCAGTTCAATACATTCTTTAGAAAGAAAAAATATTATTAATCCTATCTTCTACCTGGGAGTTCCTCAGCACAGTTTGAATTTAGGAGATTGTTAGAGTGACCGTTCTTGTAGAGAATACAGTCTTTGGAAATTGAGATCTATTTTTTATTTTTTAAATGTTTCAGACAAGGTATTAGTCCATTCTCACACTGCTATAAAGAACTACCTGAGACCATGAGGTAATTTATGAAGAAAAGAGGGTTAATTGACTCAGTTATGCAGGCTGTACATGAAGCATGGCTGGGAGACCTCAGGAAACTTAGAATTATGGCAAAAGGCAGAGGGGAAGCAAGAGCATCTTTCCATGGCAGACAGGAGAGACAAAGGGAAGGGGGAGGTGCTACACACTTTTAAACAAGCAGATCTCTTGAGAACCCATTCACTGTCACAAGAAAGGCAAGGGGGAAATTTGCTCCCATGATCCAATCACCTCCCACCCGTTCCCTCCCCCAACACTGGGGATTACAATTCAACATAAGATTTGGGTGGGGACACAGAACCAAACCATATCAGACAAACAGTAGTTTTTATTTTTGTGTGTTTATTTCATAACTTCTCCTCAAAAGGAACATGCTCTCCTTGCATTTATTTGAAAAAACAAAAAGCCAGTTTCTCTCCACTAAACAGATGAAGTTCAAGATTTTTAGAAGACAATAGCATTACGGGATAAGTCAGAAAACTGAAATCATGTCTATGTATTCCAGGTCTTTTTCCAAAAAAAAACACTTATATTTAAGTTTACTATAAACATTAAATGAGTTGTTAAAACTAATGTAACAGAAATTAAATAGATCATCTTACTCAAATAAAAACAAAAAGACGTAAAGGAATTAACATTTATAAGCACCAAATATGTGTTAGACTGTAATTTCAACCAGTGTCACCTCATTTTGTCCTCATGATCTTGTGAAGGGAGTGTGACTATTTCCAAAGATAATAAAACATGAATCTCAGGAATGCTAAAATGATTGCCCAGAGCACAGGTATGTGGTACAGCCAGAATTCAAATGCAAATCTTTCAGATCACAAAAATATCTTCCAGTAGAGTTATTTATGTATATATTTTATTCACTTCTCTGAAGGTACAGGATGTGATGCACTCATTTTTATTTTTGCTTTCTCGTTTATATTTCTCATCACCTAGCAAAGTGGCAGGTTTAATGTGTTAACAAACAAATGAAGAAATCATGTTTGTTTTTAGTCTATATTTTTTATATATTTCAGATTCCAGATTCTTATTCAGCACTGTGTCACGATAAAAAACAAAATACACTAAGGAAGAAAAGGAAACACTGAGGGTTTATTGCATTATACCCTCTGTTTATTGTATCTGCTGGGAAATGAAACCATATATATTCTCTATTTCTCTTCTGACAAATGTTATTCATTCTGTTCATTACAGTTCCTTATCTTGCTATACTGTCCTTGCTGAATTATGTTAGATTAGACCAATTATTGATTTAAAAGATCAGAGCAGTACATTACCACCCTCTTGCCTTTTCTGTAGGATAGTTAAATTTGTGTATGCCTGCTTCTTGCAGAGTGGCTGCTTCAAAGTGATGGTGAGAGTTACATTTTACTATTTCAACATTAGCTTCTAATGTTTCTGAAGTCTCTGGTATTAAATGAGTTCTCAGCCAAATGTTCTGAACCCTGGGAACTACTGCTGTTAATTGTGGTCATCTCTTGGATGTGTTTGCATTGTTGTCCATAACTAAGCTGATTTCTTTTCATTTCATTTTTTAATGGCTTTTTACTGCTGCTGCTTGAGTATTTTCCTGGGTGAGCATTCTTGATTGATTACTGGAATGAAGTCAGTTCTGTCTTCTGCTGTCACCCAGGTACCAATTATTGGATCACTGTGGACACTGCTCCATCTACCCATTGATGTGCATTACCAATTTTCCTCTCAACACTGTTCAGTGACTCACTCACATGCTCACAAATTCAGCAATTTGTTCATGATAGCTGCTTGGCGGGGTGGATAATATCCTGGTCAAAATGACTGAGCCACATCAGTGATGTATGTATTCTCCAGACAGGGAAACCACAGGGTTTTAAATCAATGAACTGAACTTGTCATCTATATTTTCCTGCTCTAGTTTTCTGGTTCTTTTTTTATATGTTTAAACATTTTAATTAAGTGCTAGATGTTTGTTAAACAATTCAGATAATATGAGAGTGTATGATAGCAAAGCTAATACACTCAGCCAACACCATCTGTGTGTATTGTTTATTCTCCCAGACCTTCAATCATACATGTACAAATACTTCTTTCTTCCCCCTAAAATTGAGTAATATGCATGTAATTGTCCAGTCTCATGCTGCTAATAAAGACATATCCAAGACTGGGTAATTTCTAAAGAAAAAAGGTTTAATTGACTTACAGTTCAGCATGGCTGGGGAGGCCTCAGGAAACTTACAATCATGGCAGAAAGGGAAGAAAACGTGCTTCTTCACATGGTGACAGGAAAGAGAAATGCTGAGCAAAGGGGAAAAAGCTCCTTATAAAACCATCAGATCTCATGATAACTCACTCACTGTCATGAGAAGAGCATGGGGGAAGTGCCCCATGATTCAATTACTTCCTACCAGGTCCCTCCAATGACATGGGGAGATTATGGGAACCGCAATTCAAGATGAGATTTGGGTGGGGACACAGCCAAACCATATCAGTGCATATTGTAGTTTTTTTTTAAATAGATCTTATCTTATATACAAAAGAGTTCCTTCACTGTTTAGTGTGCATTCACAGTATGTCATATGATATATGATGATGTACTCACTAGTTTACTACTTATAGACATATCGGTTGTCTTTAGCTTTTTTTTTGAGATGGAGTCTTGCTCTGTCGCCCAGGCAGGAGCACAGTGGCGCGATCTCGGCTCACTTCAGCCTCCGCCTTCCGGGTTCAGCAATTCTCCTGTCTCCGCCTCCCTAGTATCTGGAATTACAGGCACACACCAACATGCCTAGCTAATTTTTTGTATTTTTAGTAGAGGCAGGGTTTCACGATGTTGTCCAGGCTGGTCTCAAACTGATGACCTCAAGTGATCCACCCACCTCTAAAAATGTTAGTCATATGTGTCTTTGTGTATTTGTGCAAGTGTTTCTGTAAGGCAGGTTTATAGAAATTGCTAGGTAAACAGGGATGAATAATATTTTAATAACCACCAAAATAATAGCTAGCAACTAGACTTTACATATGCCAGGTATTTTAAGTTCTTTTCAAGTGGTAACTCATTTAATCTTTACAACAATTGAAATAGGTAAGAACTATTACTCCTATTTTACAGATGTGAGATTTGAGATTAAGTAACTTACTCAAGGTCATCTAGCTGATACTTAGCGAAGCCTGGATTCAAACCCAGGCAGTATGGCCCAGAGACCATCACGTACCTTTTACATACACTGCATCACTATTAGGTTTCATCTCCAAAATTTGTGTTTCAATGACCAGTTTTTGTTTTTGTATCAGTTATTCCATCAATCTGACCAATAGTAGTAAGTATTAAAAAAATTTTAGACAACTATACTTTTTTAAATTTAGCATTAAAACTGTTTTAATCTTGGCATAACTTCGTGATGTAATAGGTTTGATCTGTAGAAAATCACAGGGATACACGATGAGGTGGCATATTAAGTGACAAAATGGATGGTATGGGGAGAATACAGTAGCTACAAGTGGCCATCAGTAGTGTTGGTCAGAGTGATTGGGGAAGCTATGTGGAGGTGGCAGAGCTGGGAAGTGGAGTAGTATTTGCATATGTGCAAGGAAGGATTGTAAAAAGGGATATTGCTGAGTGTGATAAGAGGTAAATTTGTTTACAATTGATAGAACAATTTCTAAAGCTTAGGATTGAATTTAAAATTTCCACTCAAATCAGCAAGAGCCCTTGGGTTTAGAAGGGGTTAACAGGATGCAATTGGTTAACAGGATGCAATCTGAAAAAACACATATAGCTGGCTAAAAAAAAGGTCACTGGAGACTCCCAATTTTCAGCAAAATTATGCTTGAAGAGAAAAGTAAGCAGAGATGGACAGTATATTCAAGAAATCTGATTAAGATAACACCTAAAGAAGAGAAGGTCCATCCATAGGTTGGCTGAGTTCTTATTTCTGAAATAATCTCTGGAGGAACTTTTAAGAATCCTGAAAGATTCAACTATTTTAAACTCTTCTGGAAAAGTATATGCATATACTCCTTTGAAACCGCTATGATTGTAAGTAAGTAAGTTATAAATCCCTCTTTCTTGATAACTGTTATGCTTTAGCCAGTATTAAATCAAGCTCTCTTAATACACGTTTTGAAATGTTCCAACTACATTTATTTTATTTTTATTTAAAAAGTAACATGGAATTGGAAAACAATAGAAAATACAGAGTATAAAGATATTACTCAAAAAATTAAGCTTGTGTTATATTTTTTGTAATTTAATCTTATTTTAAATGCTTCATCAGGCTTACACACAATTATGTATCCATTTACATGACCTTGCAACATAAGTATTTTACATGATATTAACTCTGAACTGTCAAGTTTACAACTGTTGCACTGATCACATGGATATCTCATTTAATGATTTACTCAGCAATTACAAAATAAGTTTATTTCTCATTTTCAACCAGAATTTTATAAAACACCATCTGTCACATATATTTTGAATAGTTTCATAATTGAAATTACTAAACTCAAATATGCAGAAAGCATGTAATACCCAAGTTGCTTTCCACCTGGAATCATTGTTTTAATTTCTCTTCCCATCATCAATAGTGGACTCGAGTAGTTATATTTTTCACAAAATCTCTAGCATTAGGTGGTTGTATTTGTTTAAAATATATGCTAATGTGATAAGCAATGCTAGATACCTTAAAGGTGTGGAAAGGTTACACATTTTCCACATGAACCAGTTAAATTTCTTTTTGTGAATTGTCTATTTCTTTCTTCATTTAGAGTTTATTTATTTATATGACTTCTTTATACATTAGGGATAGTAACCGTCTCTCTGTAACATCTGTTACAAAACATTTTCCCAGTTGACAGATGGATTTACAAATGTTTTTTGTTTTTAAGTTTGTGATTTGATTTCAAGTTCCAAAAGATTTTCCACATACAGATATCAAATGATTCCTGTTTAACTTTTTCCCCAATAGTAAAAACTCCTCCTAGAACATTCAATTGAATAATCGTGCTCTTTCTCATTGACTCCATTCATTTACTCTAATTTCGCACAGTCTTATTTTGTTTGCTTTAAAAGGCAATTTTTAATGACTTACATGTGTTATTGTTGCAAACGAAGTGGATATTTTTGAAAAATCACATTTTAAAGCTACCCTCCAAATATGAATGAGGTTTGAATAGGAATGAGCATTGAATTTTATCACACCTTATTAGACTTTGAGATATTTATTAGGGTAATAGTTGAAACCAATCTTTTCTTGTTACTATAAGTTTTAATAAGCTTTATTTGGTCAAAGGCTTGCATTTTGTCAGTATTTCACTTAGAATTTTTATACTTATATGAATTAATTCAGTGGGGTCCTAATTTTGTGCTTGCCATGTCACTATTATTTAGAGGTTATATTCACATAAAATTAGGAGATTATTATTTGTCTCTCAAGAACAAGAGACTTCTAAACAATTTTAGAAGCAGACAACATAATTACCTACATAGAAAGCATAAATAGATCTATATAAAAACAATTAGAAGATTTACTCACTACAAAATCAATAGCTTTTTTACATAATAGCCAATTAGTATATAAAATTAAAATATCCTGTTTAAAATAATAAAACAGTATACATACAAATGTAGCAAAATATGTATAAAACCTCCAAAAGATTTTGAAATTCAGAGCAAGCAATCTATAAATACAATGATCAAAATCCCAATAGTTGACATATTAAAAAATGTCTATTAAAATTGTGTTGCTATTATTTACTAAATATTAATAGGAGAATGCATGAATCATAAAATATTCATGAATGGTATACTATACAGTAGTTTAAAATAAGTGAATTACAATGCTGTCTATTTAACATGGATAAACCTCAAACAATACCTAGTGAAATAAAACTGTACAATGATACTCATAATAGTGTTTTCAAATATTAACGAATAAATATTTATGGATCCATAAACCGAGTATAAAGACATTCAAATGTAAGTTTCTGAATTCATGATAATGGAGAAAGAGACCAGGGAGGAGAACTCATGGGGCCTTAACTATTTGTGTAATATCTTCTTTTTTAAAAAGCTAAAAATCAAAATAGAGATATAAATCATGATAAAATGCCAGGCTTATAACCTCGGTTTATCATGTTTAATTTACAATTTATCTTTTAAATAATATTCTCAACTTTTCTAATTGTGTCACTGTGTATTTGGCAAATATTTATCTAGTACGTACTAGGAACTGTTTTAGGTAGTAATTAAGCATTTGTGACCAGGGCAAAGATCTTTCCGTTATGGAGCTTATATTTTGGTGGGAGAAACTATTATACATTGCAACATCAGAAGTGCTTGAAGAAAAATAAAACAGGGTAAGAACTCCAGCCCCATTTCCTGTTGCCCCAGCTACTTTAATTAATAGCACAAGTAGTTCCCCAGAGGGACTTGGTGGAGAGAGGTTGCTGATTGTCATACTGCTTTCCTTTTTAACTCTTAATCAGATACAATAATGTTCGTGTTCTTCTCTTTCCTTTTATGAAACTCAGGTCAATTGACTTATTTTTTTAGACTCTGGCTATAATTGAAAAGCTTTCTTTCTAGTGTTAATATTTTTCTCTCATTATTGCTAGTGTCTTATTCTGTTTTAACACCATATTGCATAGAACTTGGGTCGTTGCTAATACCCACATCCCCAAACTCCCAAGACTTTCATAATTAAAGGGTTGTCATGAGCATCTCTGAGCTGGCACAAAGCAAATTTTCGACTCTATAGGCATCTATTCAAAGAATTTGAATCTCTTTGAATCTTTTTGAATCCATAATTTCCCTGAAAATATGTAACTTTCCCCTGTAGCTGTTATATTACAAGAAAGAATACTTTTGTGTGGTAGTCAGGTAGTCAATACCAACACTCACTACAACCCAACAGCTCCGGTCTTAGGCTCTATTGGCTGAAATATGTATTAATTTTTCTGGGCTTTTGAAGTTTTGAAAATTACTTTTTATTTACACATGAGGAAAAACTGGCTGGATTAAAATTCTAGGATCATATACTGTCTCCCTCATAACTAGGTATTGTGTAATTTTTTCCTGAATTTTAGGAGGAAAAATACAGGGCTGCCAGAATCTTCTTCCTTTTCTTCTTGGATATTTATTATATACTTAGACATTTTGCCCTTTATCTGTAAACATTTCATCCAGATATATGCTGGTATAGTTTATACTTTTCTAATTTTTCTGAAATGCAATTCTTCTAAAAATTAAACTTTTAGCTCAAGAAATTTTGTTGTGACTAATTTTAAAAATCCTGATTTATTTAGGAATACTGTTTTCAGAGAGAAGCTATCTCCAGTGAGTTCTGAAGATAGTATCTTTTTCTTGTTCTATAGAATTTTTGTTTCAGATGCCCTTTATTGGGTTTTATATGTTCACTCATCATCAAATGAGATGTATTTAGACATAGATTTTTCAATGTGTATGTGACCTGGATTAACCTTAGCCACTTTTTAAATTTTTCGTGGGTACATGAGATGTTTTGATACAGGCATGCAATGTGAAATAAGCACATCCTGGGGAAGGGGACATCTATCTCCTCAAGCATTTATCCTTTTACTTACAATCCAGTTATACTCTTCAAGTTATTTAAAAATGTACCATTCAGTTGTTATTGACTATAGTCACCCTATTGTACTACCAAAAAGAGGGTCTGTCTTCTTAACTTCCTTTGGTTACTGATAGATGCAGTGGTCTGAAGCCAGGGCTGTGGGGATGCATAGTCCCATGACTGACTGACTTCATCTGAACTAACTTGGCTCCCATTACTATATTTATTTACCTCAGTGATCACCAAGAAGAAGACATCCTGATGCTCTCATCCTTCAAGATGTATTATTCCCTAGTCTCTTCCTGCTTATAATGCCTGGTGGGAATACACACTGCCATATGGAGAATCTTTTTTTACCTCCACCTCTCTCTGCTCGATAGTCATGTTTGCTAGTAATTGTGGTGCATGAATAGATTTGAGAGATGCTGATAGGTCAAGTCAAATAGATAATGACTGTCTACATCTGAAACAGTTATCAGGCATTAGTTGGGGTTGAAAGTTGTTTTGTTTATTTTTCCCCAACTGCTGTGTGTTTCCAGGTGGAAACAAGTAATGGTGACTGGCCAAATCCACATGCTACCTACTGCCCAAGTTCTTCTCTTGTTTGACAATCTAACCAATTCTGTGGATTCCAAAAGACAAGCTAGTTTGTCAGTGGAAAGAATCCAGAACTGAAAAATAAGACCTACCACTAATATTGCCCCCTTTATTGAAATGTGTTCAAAATACTAAGCCTCAACTTCTTTATGTCTAAAACAAAAAGACTGGACCAAATGATTTCCAAGGCTCCCTTTAGCCCTAAAATTCTTCCATCTAAATATGTTTCAATCCTAAAATATTTAAAGTTAGGATACCTAAATTCCCAAGGCAATTCTAAAAGATAATTAACCAACATGGTGACTTACCTCATGGATTTCTTACTAACCTCTCATCAATTTCTCAGCAACACACTTCAGCAAACTGTAGCCATGGAGACTCACTTAATATAAAGTAGTAGATATAAGCTTTTTCAATCAATCAGCAGTAAGTTTAAAGTCCAGAAAGCCATGAAAATAGGGAGTCCTAGGAAACAAAGTTAATTTAAGTATGTCTACATAATTCCTGTGGAGTTTGTGACATATACCAATGTTACAGTCAGTGATACACTGCATTTCAACAGTGGTCCCATAAGATTATAATAACATAACACCACACATGTTTGTGGTAATGATGGTGTAAATAAGCCTGCTGTACTCCCAGTCATAAAAAGTATAGCAATATAATTATGTACAGTTAGAAAAGACTCAAGTTAAAAATTTTAAAAAATGATGTTGAGGATTCTGACCCTGTGTAGGCCTGGGCTAATAGTTTATTAACAACAACAGCAACAAAAGCTTTTAAGTAAAAAAAAGTCTTTAAAATAGAAAAAATTTTACAGAATAAGGTTATAAAGAAAGATGATGTTTTTATACAGCTTGAGCTATGTGTTACTATGAAAGAGTCAAAAGGTTAAAAAATAGTTTACAAAGTAAAAGGTTACAGAAAGTTTACTTTATTATTGAAGAAAATCTTTTATAATGTAGCCTAAGTGTTTAGAGAGTCTGCAGGGGGTACAATAATGTCTTAGGCCTTCATATTCACTCATCACTCACGCATTGACTCAGCCAGGGCAACTTTCAATCCCACAAGCTCCATTCATGGTAAGGGCCCAATATAGGTGTCTTGTTTTTATGTTTTATACTATATCTTCTCTATGTTTAGCTATGTTTAGATACACAAATACAGGTGTTACAACTGCTTACACTATTCAGTACAGTAACATACTGTAAAGGTTTGTAGCCTAGGAACAATAAACTATACCCTACCACTTAGAAGTGTCATAGGCTATACCACCTAGGTTTGTGTAAGTACACTTGATGATGTTCGCACAATGAAGAAATCACCTAACACATTTTTCAGAATTTATGCCCGTCATTAAGTGACATGTGACTGTAGAGTTTAGTGAAGTGAAAATGCAAAATAAATGTCAGAAAATCTTAAGATAGCTAGGTCCTATATAAAAGTAATTTTTTAATCTTTTGTTTCATATCCTGTCTTTTAGTGTAGCCATATTTTAAATGCCATTAAAACTAAACCAGGTCAAAATTTGCTTTTTCCTCTTTGATGTAAAAAAGAAAAAAGTGGAGGGGCAGGGAGGAGGGATATGGGGAGAAGCTGTTCAATGAGCATCAGAGCACAGTATATACTATATCTTATAAGTTAGAGATCTGAAGTCAAATCTCAGCTTTGCTCTTTATTGACTTAAACAGGCAACTAACATCTGAATCCCAGTCTTACCATCTGTAAAATGTAAACAATACCTTACAAGATCTTATACCTGAAGCACTTAGCACAATGCCTGGCATACATAGGTAATAAAAAATTGTAGCCATTATTGTTATCACTGCCATGAATTCTTCCAAATATATATTAAATAACATGGAAATAATGAGCAAAGACCAGGGAAGAAAGCACTGGAATGGATGAGAGAGTAAAAAAAGCTTAAGTCATTGTCCATTTATTCATCATCTACCATCTTGGATGATGCCTAATGACTTACAGAACTGAATGTGGAGGTAGGTCATTCCAATCCAGAGTCCTGGACCTGAAGATGGAGGAGCTATGGGGCAGATGAGCTTGATATTTAATGGTGATATTGCCAGAGTGGTTGACCTTCATAAATAATCTACCTCCTTGTTTTGTGGGGCCCAGCAAAGGTGCATGGGGCCAGATTCAAATTTGTCAGAAACCTAAGCAATTGGTTAACTTATAGGGGTCATTTGAGAAGCTGTAATGTGTTTTCTATATCATGTTTCATATAGGTCATTACCAATTAAAAGCATTATATGAGTAGTCATTATTAAATGTGTGAGACTGTTCATTCCCTCACATAGCATACTAAAATTATGGTAGGTGAGAGATTCCAGTAAGGTGCTTATTAATCCCGTGTTATAACGACAGTAAGCAGGAATTTTTAATCCTCAAAAGCTGCTCTTCTGAAGAGAAGTTCAAATAAAGCAGACAATGAGCTCTTTGAGCTTCCTGCCCTCTGTCAGTGTATGCTCACAAGGGCACTACTCATTCTTGAAGTATTCATGACCCAATAATGTTAGTGACAAAGGGCATGTTGTAGACACACAGATGGTGATTTCACATGTAGGCTAATCCCTATGGATTTACAATAAGCAAGACTATATAACAGGCAAAGCCTCTCATTAAATTTTTCTGAATTGCTCACTAAAACTTTGTTGAATAAAGAATATGATGTTAGATTATTTCCATATTCAAATCCATAGGAAATGGAAATATAGGCTGCCTTTTTGAGCAAATAACTAGTCAATTGAGATATCCTGTGTTCAAAGTGCTTTGGTTCAATTTCATTTTTACCCTGGGATAGACAATTGACAAATTTCACTGTACACATCATATTCAAGGACATAGTAAAGCAAATCTTCCGAATGTGAGGTAAAATATGTGGCACAATATAACACACATGTAACTCACATGTGACTGAATTAAGCAGCTTTTAGAGTTTCAGTACCAAAAGCATTAAATGAATCAACGGAAGTATATGTATAGTTCTTTTCACAGTAATACAGGACTATGAAAATAACGGGAGCCAAACTGTGCAAAGTAATCTGGATAACTTACGGAAAAAGTTAAAATTCCACTGTGACTTTTAAAGACATTTTGTCAAAAAACAAAACAAAAAACCTCTTACTGTCAATTATAAACATACAGGGAAATTTAAAATACAGTAAAAATATTTGTCTAATGAGTTTTAATGTAAAAGTCTTTTTAAGAGTAGTTTGAACAGTGTTTGCCTCTTTCTTCTCATGGTATAGTAAGGGGCAAGCAGCTTTTCTATGCCTTGGAAATGGATCCAAACTTAGGACTACGACAATCCACCAGCATTGTAATCCTTTCAGCTTTTTATGTCATCACCTACCTGAGAGTTCCTTAAATGTGAGCCTTTCTCCATGTAAATTTTGCTAAGATATCTGTATCTTTCTCCTCACTTACGTTAATAAGCCCAACTTCAGTAACCTCCTTGGATGCTTATCTAGAATCTCTCCAATGGCAGCAGTGTCAACAATCCAAGGGTCAGTAATTGCTTAGATTAACTCATTTGCACTCTACGCATGTTTCACTCTAGCATTATCCCTTATCCTTTCTTTGCTGCACTTTGATCTTTCCTGGCCAAGTCCATCTTTTGATTATCCAGGTTTGTAAAATAATCACATGGGTTTGTAACTGCGAAACAAAGTGGCCACACTTTGTTGTCTGTGTGTGAACAGGAACACAGTGACCATTCACCTGCTTTGAAAGAAGAGACTGGTCACTAATGACATGTATCTGCTATCCACACAGTGATTACTGGACTACAGAATTAGCTTGTGAAGTTTGCCCTTCATGCAATTACACACATTTAATATACCATGGTAACTGAAATTTGAAATGGTCAGAGGACACTAATGTTGTTTAAACTGTGGAAGCAACTACTGTCAGCCTATTTAATCAACAAATATTTAATTGTCCACGTAATGCACATCAAAGCATTGTATTGTATGAATGAGAAGTATGGATTACTAATAATAAAGGCATTCTGTTAAGGAGAAAAATCTGCATAATTAACTGTAATACTAGCTATAGCATGAGTACTAGAGAGTGGTATAAACATAGGGCCATGAAAGCAGAATCATTCAGTTTCAAAGTGAAAATTCTAAATAGCATGACTATTAAGCAATAACAGCAATGATAATCAATACTTTCTAGCCCATTGTTTCTAACCCACAATTGTCAGAAAATTTATGTTCCTCATTGCACTTTAGGGTTGTACTACCTTACACAGCCAGTTCTCAAGACTATGTTTGACCTAATTGAAGAGTAAATTTTGTCTTAGAAAAGGAAATATGTATTTTGAGAGTCTAGTAAATGTTTCCACCCAGGAGGTTTCAGAAAAGTGTTCAGGCACTGCTGAGTACATAAGCAAGATTTTTAAAGCCTCTGCCCCTGACGTCAATATAACCCTCAATAACTGATTGAAAAACACACACACAGGTAGGGTGTATAAATGGAAGACCGCCGACAAGCAATTTGAGAAAGGAAAAACTTACATTGTATACGTTTAGAGTCCCTTCTTAAAGGTTTTAGGCACATTTCCTTAGACGTTACTTGTTTTAAAACAGCATAAGTCTTCCTTCATAACTAAGGACATCAAAACTCACATATTGCCCTACTTAGAATGTTATGGCCAGGTGCAGTACTTTGGGATCTCCCAATCCAGGTTCATACTGTATTAGTTACTCGTGCTGCGAGAAAATTACTCATTTCTTAAAGTTTCATTCTGCTCACATTAAAGCTTTGGCTCTATTCTCGGCTGGGCATGGCAGCTCACACCCATAATTCCAGCACTTTGGGAGGCCCAGGCATGGCGGTCCATACTTCTAGTCCCAGGTACTTGGGAAGCTGAGGTGGGAGAATCACCTGAGCCCTACAAGTCGAGCCTAGAGTGAGCTGTGATTGCACCACTGCACTCCAGCTTGAGCAACAGAGCAAGACCCTGTCTCAAAAAAAAAAAAAAAACCTCTCTCCCAAAAGCAGGCTATAATCATGCCTTCAGTAGTACAAAGAGTAAAAGATAAAGGTATGACCTCCTCTCATGACTTCTTTCTCCTGGTGGTAGTCTCCCTGGTGTTGGGGGGAGGAAGGAAAGAAAAAAGATGACTCCATCTGTACTTCAGTGGTGAGGGGTCATTGTCTATTTCGTTAGTGTGAAGGGTTGTTCTAAAATTCTTATGTCCAAAGTGACCACTTTCTGTCTTCCAGTCCTTTTATCATCAAATGGCTGTGCCAAGGAGAGAGGCCCTTGTGGTGAATTGCCTCATCTCAGCAGGTTCTCTTGAAAGGTTTTGGCCCAAATCTTGATGATTCTCTCAAGATAGAAACTGAAAGTCTTTCAGAATCTTTTGTTCCGGGCTTTCAGCATTTGCCTTCATTTTTATGAAAATAAGATCTTTATTAATCTAATACATTGCAAATGAGATTGCAAAAGTTACAGTCTCTGTGGTAGAAATTAAAACGCCACATAACTTTGACAAAAATACTATGCTTTTAAAAACTATACTGTAAACTTTTGTAGCATAATAATTCATTATAGTTTATAATAGCAAGGAATTAAACAATTGAAATATGGTTAAATTATATATTCATATAATGGATTAAATGTCAAACATTAATGTTTTATTTTCCAAGCCTGTAGTCGTTGATGTAGTGACAGCTTTATCTACACTGAACTGGAATGACCTCCATGATACATTTTTAGGTGAAAAGATAAAGGCCTGGTAACAAATAGCTAGAGCATGTGCTTCAGTTTGGGGAAAAATGTGTATGTTCATAAAAGATATGTTAATGTGAATATAGTAAGAGGTTGGTGTTATCCTCATTTCACAAATAAGAAAACAGAAGCTTAAGAAAATAGAATCATAGAATCAGTGGTGACATACTGTGATTTGAATTCATGTTTATCTGAACCGAAATCACAGGCCCTTTCCAACACAATAAGTTTAACCCCTGACTAATCTTTTCCAGGAGACAGTTGACTTTTTAAAATGCTATCGGTACACCTTATAAATAAATTGTTGTAATATATTTGCATGTGGGGCTCCCCTGGCCAACTATGAGTTTCATGAAGGCAGGGACCCTAACAAAGCTACCTTTCTGTTCCCAGTGCTCCGGTATGGCACATTGTGGAAAAGCTCTTAAAGTAATAAAAAGCAATGGTGCATCCTTGTGTGCAAGAAATGAATATAACTTCATTAAGTGGCTAGTAAATCAACCCTAGTTCTTTAAACTATCATAATAGTAACAGAATGTCTTAGGATTTCTGCAGGCCCAATGACATTTTAGTTCAATGGGGTAATTATTACATCCAAGCTTCAAACTTGCATTTCATACTTAAGTGAATATTTATCATCACCTATTACGCACTATTAATGGAAAGAACTATTCATTTCCAATAATACATTTTATGTTTTTTATGCATAGAATGAAATTGTCCATTATTAATGAGTCTGAAAGCTCAGGCCAGTAAGCCTCTGCTTATTTTCAGGTCGTTCCTCCAAAGATGCCGTGGGTCAGATATCTGTTCATGTGGACATCACTGCCACCCCAGGAACGGGAGATCATAAAGTCACTGTAAAAGGTATACTTCTGGTCTAGATAAATCAAAACAGCCTTCTAAACTTCTGCAGCAGTACTGATATCAGCAATGTAACTTTTCTTGCATTTAAAAAAACTGCACAATTATTTTAGGGCATGCACAAAATTTCCTAATGAAACCCAAACTTTTGATTAAAAATAGAAAAATATCAATGGCACTAATGTTTAGCATGCATTATTCAAAATATATAAATACACTGATTAAATATCCAAACTTACTTTATCAGATATTTATTTTGTGGTTGGTGCCATGATATTCATTGAACACTTGCACTTTAAATATTAAGTCAGTATGTTCTTACTATTCACAAAACCTACTGCTTTTTCTATATGATTTCCAACAACTGGCTTAGAGTTCTTTACAATGAGTGGCTCAATTTGTTGGTTTTACATTGTAAAAACAGCCTGAATGCAGGGGTAATTTCAAAGATGAAATTAAAGGATTAGCATTTTGTTAACAATACGCTCGTTCTATTTTTATATTAGTCACTTCAATACCCACTTTGAGCAAAACTAGGGCTGCCCAATATATTTCAGAATTACATTACATATTGTATCTTTACATCATAAAAGTAAAATAGCTATATTTTAGAATAGATTATATACAGTAGTATATACTGTCAATTTCCTTAAATATTTTTGAAAAATGTTGCCAACGTGTGAAAGTTTAATGAATATTTTGCAGTAGTGATTTTAATTATAAGACACTTCGCTTGAGGATGAGCAAAGATATTTACACATGAGAATCTTCATTTAGTATTTTTTTTATGACGACTGAAATTTAAAAACAGCTATAATATCTAACAAGTGACTGGCTAAATATAGGATGAAATAGCCACAGAGCAAAATATTATTAGCAGTTGACAAAATATATAATGAATTAGAAAATTAGCCATGATAGACTTAAAAAAATAAAGCTATTTATAAGATTGCAACACATTATAATATCATTTTGTATATAAAGTAACTAAATATTGAAAGCATACAATCCAAAATATTGTCATTGACTGGTAAATTTATAGATTTTATCTATTTCCTGATGAGCATATCTTCATGTTCAATACGAACAACACCATGTTTTTACCAAGAGGAGGAGAGTGCTAACTTTTCATTAGTAACAGATATCATTTTAATTGCAGCTAACTAACTTTTCACCAAAGCTACACAGCTTAAAGCTGAAAGCTCCATCAGGTGTGCCTTCCAGAAAGAAAATTGTATTTTATTGTCTTGGAGTACAGTGTCTTGTCAGTGGAGTTAGGGCACTATTATTAAGTTTTGGCTTCATAAATCACTTTTAAAATTTCACTCTAAATTTCCACACATCTGTTTGCTAAAATGTGATATTTCCTTTTTTTTAGTGATTGCTATTAATGACCTAAACTGGCAGACCACAGCAATGTTCCGCCCCTTTGTGGAAGTTTGTATACTGGGACCCAACCTTGGAGACAAGAAGAGAAAACAAGGCACAAAAACAAAAAGCAACACATGGTCACCAAAGTACAATGAAACATTTCAGTTGTAAGTCATAAACCCACCTTACTTATTCTACCAGGCAATAGTTACTGTACAGCTGACCTTACTGAGGGATTTGGAGTGTGAAGGGCTAAGGAAAATGAAGAAGGCTCTGTTTTTAGTTCCCTTCCATTCATTCAATATCTGTTCAGTGCCTGCCATGTATCAGCCAATGTTATAGTCATTAGGTGTATATATCATAGGAGGTGTCTGAATCAATCTTTTGCAGTGCACTCATATAAGTTACTTTCTACAGATGAGGAGTGTATGATAAAGTCACAAATATTTGTCATATGGCATTAAATACAATATGCAGAACTATGTGGTAAGTGCTATGACTAGCTGCTTTGCCTGGGAGGTCAGGGAAGCCTCTCTGAGCATGTGACTTTTAAACTGAAACCTGTCCAAATAAAAAGCCAGGCATGGAAGAGCAGAACATTTCAGACAAAGTGAAATAAATAGCTAGTACAAGGACTCTAAGGCGAGAGCAAGTCTGGGATATTTAAGAAGCAGCACATCATAGATAAAGGAGTGAGATCCAAGTGAGGCCAAGGTACAGATAGTGTGTCACATAGGGCTTTTCAATTCTAAGTTCAATAGGTGGTCCACTGAAGGGTTTTCAAATGAACAGATGAGATTTACATCTTTATTTTGTTTGCTGTGTACAGAAATAATTATACGGTGGCAAGACCAAATATGTAAAGATCAGTTAGAAGGCTATTGCAATAGTCCAGGCAATAGCTATTAGTGACTAACCGGATCCTAGTAGGGAGATAGATGGAGAAGATTCTGTATCATGTGTGGAAAGTAGATTCTTGCCATAGGCTGGAGGTAGAACATGAAAGAGTAATTCCCGAAAACACTCAGTTTAGAGTAATTCAAAATGAGCTTACTTACAAAGGAATTTACAAAGTGGTTAAGAGTAGAGAAATTTGAGTAATCATGGGAACTGGGGCTAATAGTAACCAGGCTATTACCATACTTATGCCTGAAAAGAGGAGAGAAAGAGTCATTACTAAAATTAGGAAAGTGAAAACTTGATGTATGCTTGAAATGTATTATTGAAATACACTATTAATGGAAAGAACTATTCATTTCTTTTCAGTTTGATGTATACATTTCAAGTATACATCAAGTTTGAAATGTATACTTGAATGTATACTTACTTGCCTTGAAAGCAGCAGTGACATTCCATGAAGGGCAACAGCCTACTGGAGGCAGCCCCACAGGCAAAGAGCCAGGGAAATAAAGACTCTGACCTCACTCTCCTCACTGCCAACCTCTTGATGGGGTTCCCTTTTGGCCAAAATCTACCGGAAGCAAGAAGAAACCCTACTGAGATATAGTCCCAACAGATGAGTTTTCTATTGCAAACAGCATTCTATTGCAAACAGCAAAAAGGAGGGTGGATCCACAGGGGGAAACTGGGCGATACCTGGCACTGAATAAAATCAAAGATGATCCCTAAGTTTTTGGCATGAGGAGTTGGGAAGATAGCAATTTACCAAGATGGAAGAAGAAATGATAAAAATGTTTTAAATCTATTAATTTGGTGATGCCTGTCAGACTCTCAAGAGATGTCATTTAATTCAACAAATATAAATAATCTAACCTAGGAATGGATACATGGAGAGGTTAAGAGGCCTAGGACAAAGCCCTAAGGATTTACACGCCAATACACTCTCTTACAGGTTTTTTGTTCATGATTTCCTATAGTCGTTTCAGCACTCTGCTCTGAATATTTCACCCTCTTATCACGTATTAAAACTGAAGTATCCTACTCTATCAAAAGGGTCCTAATAGATCACATTCCCTGCCAATAAACCAGCTTACAACATTTCACTATCTACTTCAACTTACTCAAAAACCTGGACCCAACTAAAGTTTCTTGTTAGATATAACACAGTGAGCTACTTAAAGGCAGCATTTTTAATTCATGAGATCTGATTCCCATCATATTTTGCTCTTCTACTCTTATCCCCTAGACTTCCATTTTCTTTCACATTATTTCAGATTCTCCCTAAAGTACAAAGTTTAGTTACCAGTGTTTCCTGGAAATCAAAATGTTTCATCAGAAAAAAATCACCTGTAAAAGGAAGGAATTTGGAAGCTGGTACTGCTGAGGGCTAGATGTACATTCATTAGAAAATCAAGAATATGAGAATGAACAAAAATAAGGGGTGGAGGAAGACAGACTGTATCTACCATATCACCACTTGGCCTTCTTTATTATGTTGACACTAACAAGCTGTCTTAGGTGGTTGTTAGGAGAGGCCACACACTTGACAGGTCTAACTGTTACCATAGGAAAGAATCGGCATTGAATCACCAGGCTCTGCTGGAATTGATTTACTCTGGATGGAGATTTGTATCCAATTTAGCATATTGTGAATAGTGCTTGATGGGCTGTGCAGTGTATTCCCCTGAGAAAAGACTCCTAGATATAATAGCTTATTCAAGATTTGGAGGTAAAGTGCGAGGAGTAGTAACTGATATTGAAATGGGGAGGTAAAGTGCGAGTAGTAACTGATATTGAAATGGCATATAAATTCTACCAAGAGGTACCCATTACCCTGGCCTAGCCCCCATGACCCCTTTCCAACTCCACCGCACCCGCAATCAGGAGATTCTGCCTCGACTGATTAAGTGTAACATAGTATCTTAATTCCCATTTTTTTCTGTCTTTTCTATCTAGGGAAAAAGTCATTTTAACATTCGCTTTCTAAGCCAAATTTAAAGGGTTAAAATACACTGATATCCTATTTGCCAACATAATAATCAGATCCAATGTATACAGTTTTCAGCAGTATTTGAGAACCATAATGATGCCTAGTGGAAGTAAAGTTTTTGCTCAAAATTTGTATTTTTAATCCACACAGCATTCTCGGAAAGGAAAATCGACCAGGGGCTTATGAACTTCATCTCTCAGTTAAGGATTACTGCTTTGCCAGAGAAGATCGAATTATCGGAATGACAGTCATTCAGCTACAGAACATAGCAGAAAAGGGAAGCTATGGGGCATGGTATCCTCTTCTGAAAAATATCTCTATGGATGAAACTGGTTTGACTATCCTTAGAATACTCTCTCAGAGGACCAGTGATGATGTGGCTAAAGAATTTGTAAGACTTAAATCTGAAACAAGATCTACTGAAGAGAGTGCTTGAAACAAACACTGCAAGCTAAATACATAACTATAATTGTTTGACTACTGCATGCATGTGCAAATACATGGGAATGTTTAGTTCACTACATTTCAATGTTTGCCAGTACTCATGTACGATGTCTACAAGGTATGTAAAAAACCTGCTGAACTTTTATACCAATTCTGGTCTTTGGGAAATCAGTGTTCCATGAAGTGCCAAAATTATGATGTAAAGTGAAATATCAAGAACACCTTTTAACATGTTTATTTTGTTTCTTTACCCATTTCACATTCATTAAACATAATTTTTAAAAACTAGTCTTTTGAGTTTGCCCATCAGTTGTCTTTGTTAAATGAGATTATATTGCCCATAGATCAGAAAACATTTATTACTCAATTTCCATTTTATTTACTTACCTCATTATAGATGTCTTACAAATACCCTTTTCTACCATAACTAGAAATGCAGTCACTTCTAGAAAGCATTTGTAATTTTATAGTCGCAGATATTGTGATTTTTGCATACACATTAAAATAGAAAAGGTGGGAAATATTTTCTGCTGACCAGTTTCCAACCTTTCTGAAATATCACTGTGAAGAAATGCTGTTAAAGCAAACTTACATAAAGCAATGCTAGAGTTTGTTAACAATGTTTGATATATATTGACAAAACTTTGTTCTCTAAAACTGCCAAGATCACATCACATTTGTAAAAATGGTAAGTTAATGCATTTGTCATATAGTGTTATGTCTTGGCTTTACCATATTTCATTCTTTAAAAAGTCATTAATGGTTTAGAAATGGGATGGAAAGTTTACTGAAAATACCTGTAAGTAACTATATTGTTAATATCTTCCCTCTGACAGTTATGACTCTATAATCAGTTCAATGCTTTATTTTTAAAAATATTCAATGATTAGTATTGAATGCAGCATTACTATATATTGTACTGATGCCAAAAGTCATGTTTTCATCCACTTAGTGAAAAAATAGTAAAATTAAGTCGGAAGAAATTGCTTAAAATTTTGTAATTTGTATTTATAAGCCCCAAATGCATCAAATGCAGTAGGAGAACAATGTAATACAGCTTGGTACCTAAAAATATAGCTAAGTTGGTTTTTGAATATAAAACAGTTTATGAATATGTGCATTTTCTGTATTGTTATGATTTGACTTTTTAGAGTCTATGCCAAAATATATGGCTGTAAAACAGTACTTTGTAATTATAACTTATGGTCATAACTGTTAGTGGACTACTTACAGAAGCAGAAACAAGAGCCTGTTATGATTGTGCTTTGTGAACAAGCTGATCTAATACGTTAAGTACAGAAGTGCTTAGTATCATGACTGTCAGAACCATTCTGCAACTGAGTATGAAATCACAGACCAGTGAGGTGAGCTAATTCATGTTAAACTGTTAGGCCACTGCTTTGTTAATGACTCCTCTAAATGCATAGTGTGATGCGATCCTCTGGCATATGCTTTAATAAATGGATGTATATTGAGCACATGCAGCATTGTATTGTATCTTCTGCCTTTTTATTTCATTTATGCAATATCATCTCATTTAGGAATAAAAACTCCAGGCTCTTTTGACCATATGTAATAGTCTTCATATTATTTGGTTCTAACATCTCATTAAAAGTTTAGATGTCAGAATGGTTATTATTAAAAAGTCAAAAAATAACAGATGCTGGCGAGGTTGTGAAGAAAAATGTTTGTTTGTTTATACACTGCTGGTGGGAGTGTAAATTACTTCAATTATTGTAGAAAGCAGTGTGGTGATTCCTCAAAGACCTACAAACAGAATTACCATTCGACTAAGCAATCCCATTACTGAGTACACAGCCAAAGGAATATCAAACAAACATTCTACCATAAACACATATGCACGTATATGTCCACTGCAGCACTATTCACAATAGCAAACACATGGAACCATCCTAAATGCCCATCAACAGTAGACCAGATAAAGAAAATGTGGTACATATACACCGTGGAATACTATGCAGGCATAAAAAGAATGAGACCATGTCCTTCACAGTGACATGGATGGAGCTGGAGGCCATTACCTGAAGCAAACTAACACAGGAATAGAAAACGAAATACTACATGTTTGTTATCACAAGTGGAAGCTAAACGATGAGGACACATGGACACTAAGGGGGCAACAACAGACACTGTGGCCTACTTGAGGGTAGGAGGAGGGAAAAGATAAGAAAAAGTATCTGTCACGCTACGAAGCTTACTACCTGGGTGACAAAATAATCTACACCAAAACCCCCGTGACACACAATTTACCTACGTAATAAACCTGGACATGAACCCCTGAATCTAAAATAAAAGTTTTTAAAAAAAAGTTCAGATGTTAAAATTCATTCCACAGGTGGTGTGTTCATGGAAACCACTGTATATTGTAATGACGAGGAAAATAAGGATGAACTAATGTATCTACCTATATATTGCTAAATACCGTTTAGTCCCATGAACAAAATTCAACATGCAACATGGTTAAAAATCTCACATGATAAAAGTTTTCATCAATTACTTGAAAAATTCATTCTAGATTTATGTTATAAATATTTTACAGAACATTGACTTAAGCTCTTTAGGAGCACATATTAATGTCATAATACATGATACATTTGAGTAAAAGGCAGTTAGGATTTGCATTGATCACTTTAAATTGAGCAAGGTATTTTTTCCCTGACATGTTTAATTGCATCCAATTATTCTGTCTTTTACAATGTATACAATATATATCAAAGCCTAATAGTGGCAGGGTGAATTAAGTCTATTTATGACTATCATAAAGTACAGGTACTAATTTTGAAATGATTATAAATTCTGTAGACTCTGTTTTCCTCTCAAAGCACAAGTATTCCCGTTGTCTTCAGAACAAAGCCTGTTATATTTACTTACCCAAATTAGTAGTCACTCTAAGGTTCCCAGTGATCTCTGTCAATTGAGTGTTGCACTAATGTGTGTAGCAATTTATTCATCTTATTCTAGATAAAACACACAAAGGCAAAGCTCTGTTGCTTGTCTATGGATAAACCTCACATTACAGGTCTTTAAAGATACACGTGTAAATCAAATTTAGCAAACACAAAGTATTTAAACCCAGAGTGGAGTATTTGCTATTCGAAGGAATTTGAATGCATTAAGTAATCAGATGTCCCCACTACAACCTGCGCTAATTTATCTACTTCTAGGATAATTTATAACTTGAATTTATCTTAAATGAGGCACATTTATAAATGACAATTCTAACTTAATGTCTTTTATTTGGTCTTTTTTAAAAACAATGCGTGAAACAAGATTTTCTCCTTTTAATTTCTCTACATTACATAAAGATATGACTATACTAGCTAGCCCCTTTATGGACTACTATAGCAGCTTTAATCTTTATGCTCAAATAATAAATGATCATACTTATACATGACTCAGGGAATATCCTTGAATAAATGTCTAATTCCACCTACTTAGAAAAATTCTTGGGCACACAGGCAAGAGACTGCCCTCCCCTGTGGAATGAATTTTAACTCCCCTGATGTTACCTGTGTTTATACTCAAGTCCTTTGTTTGAAATAGTTGCCCCTTTGCTCTTTTGACTCCCCAGGCCTCCACTGATCACTCTTCTCTGTGGTTCAGGCTTCTGCAGTGTGATTTTTAGAATAAAAAACTAGGATATGTGATATGAAGGAGAATCAATTCCAATTTGCGAATGTTAAATAATATATATTTAAAAGTGCTCATGTTTTTTCACATCATGACAACTTTGAAATCAGGATACATATATAATCCTTTGGCATGTTATGGTTTAATTGGTGATTTTTTTCTCCCTTATTAGTACATGTTTCTTCTTATAATGAATGACTTCCAGGCATCAATAAGCATATTTATTAAAAAGTATATATAAATCGATGAAAATAAAGTAATGCTTAGTTGTCTATTTTAAAACATAGTTTGGCTAGGCACAGTGGCTCACAACTGTAATCCCAGCACACTGAGAGGCCGAGACAGGCAGGTTGCTTTGAGCTTAGAAGTTCGAGACCAGCCTAGTCAACGTGGCAAAGCCCCATCTCTACAAAAAAATACAAAAATGAGTCAGGCCTGGTGGCATGTGACTGTAGTCCCAGCTACTTGAGAGGCTGAGGCAGGAGAATCACTTGAGCCTGGGAAGCAGAGGTTCCAGTGAGCCAAGATGCATCACTGCACTCCAGCCTGGGCAACAGAATGAGACCCTGTCTCAAAAAATATGCATATTTTTTAATTTGCATATACTAAAATTCTCTCTTTTGGCATACATTTCTGTGTTATGACAAATGCGTAGTCATGTATTAATCACAACAGTCAAGATATGGGACAATTCCCTCATACCTCAAAATTCCACGTTACCACTTTATAGACAAACACTTTTCCTACTATCAACCCTCTGCAGCACTGGTTCATTTTAGTCCCTCACGTTTTGTGTATTCCAGAATGTCATATAAACGGAACTATACAGTATATATTCTTTTGAGCCTGTATAATTTCACTTAGCACAATGCACCAGAGATTCATCTACATTGTGGCATGTATAAATTATTACCTAGTTTTTTTTGTTGAATAGTACTGCACTGTATGAACATTAAAAAGATTTCATTCACCACTTACTACACTTACCTTGTTTGGCAATATTATGAACAAAGCTTTTATAAACATTCACATACAGGATTTTGTGTATACTTGTTTTTATTTTTCTTGGGTGATTATCTATTAGAGTGTGATTTCTAGGTCTTATGATAAGTATATCTTTAACTTCATAAGGAACTTTCAAACTTTTTTGAAAGTAGTTGTAAAATTTTACATTTCCAGAAGCAATGTATGAGAGTTTCAGTTGCTCTGCATCTTTGCAAGCACTGGGTATCGTCAGTTCTTTATTTTAGTTCTTCTTCTGATATACACAAAATAGCATCTCAACATGCCTTTAATTTGTATTCATCTGAGGACTAATAACATTGAGTATCTCTGTGTGTGCTTATTTGACATCCATATATTTTGTTTAGTGAAGTATCTGCAAATCTTTTGCCCATTTATTTAATGAGTTGTTTATTGTTGAGTTTGGGGACATATTTTCATATTCCATATACAAACCCTTTGTCAGATATGAAATGTGCAACTATTTCATCCCAGTCCGTGGCTAGTCTTTTCATTTTTATAACAACCTCTTTAAGAGAACAAAAGGTTTTCACTTCCATCAAGTCGAATTTGATGAAATCATTTTTTCTCTTTTATAGATCATAGCTTTGCTACCATAAGAATTACTTGCCTCACTCAAGGCCAAAAAGATTTTTTTCTCCTATGTTTTCATATGGAAATTTTATACTTTGGGGTATTACAATTTGGCCTATGAACCGTTTTGAGGTTAATAGAGGGTGTAAAGTTTGAGTTAAGGTTCATCTATAATTATTAAATTACAATTGAGTAATTAATTAGAAACTAATTTTCATAGGCATGTCCAATTGTTCCAGCACCACACAATTCATTGAAAATACTACAGTTATCACTTGGAATTACCTTTGTACCTTCATCATAAATCAATTGACCAAATGTGTGTGAGTCCATTTCTGACATCTCTAGTCTGTTCCATTGATCTGACTCTATACCTTATCACCAATGTGACACTGTAGCAATTACTGTAGCTTTATACTGTCTTGAACTCAGGTAGTAAGAGTTCTCCATGTTCTTCTCTTCAAAACAGTGGAGTATTCTACTACTTCTCACTCTCTATAAAAATTTTAACAGCCAGCCAGGCACGGTGGCTCACGCCTGTAGTCCCAGCACTTTGGGAGGTCAAGGCAGGCAGATCACCTGAGGTCAGGAGTTCAAGACCAGCCTAACCAACATGGAGAAACCCCGACTCTACTAAAAATACAAAATTAGCCAGACATGGTGGCGCATGCCTGTAATCCCAGCTACTCTGGAGGCTGAGGCAGGGGAATCACTTGAACCCAGGAGACGGAGGCTGCAGTGAGACGAGATCACGCCATTGCACTCCAACCTGGGCAACAAGAGCAAAACTCTGTCTCAAAAAAAAAAATAACAGCCTACTGGGATTTTGACTGAGAACTTATTAAATCCATACACCAATTTACAAACAACCGATGTCTTAACAATATTGAATCTTCAATTCGTGGGCACAGTATATGTCTCCACTTATTTACATCTTCATTGATTTATTACTGTCTTATGGTTTTCAGCATACAAATCCTACCAAGGATTTCTTCTGTATGTGTACAAGAGTATAAATGTTACTTTGAGAATAAAATTCAAAATCCAATTGTTTATTTCCTGTACAAAGAAAGATTTTTGTATATTGACTTGGTATCCTGGAACCTCACTAACCTCATTTTATTAGTTTTAGCTTTTTTTTTTTTTGATTCCTTGGGATTTTGTACATTGACAATTATTAAAGAGAGGCAATTATTTTTCTTCCTTTCCACTCTGTACACATATTTCTTTTTCTTTCCTCAGTACACTTGCTAAGGCTACCAGTCTGATTTTGTATAGGAGTGGTGAGCACAGATATGCTTGCTTTGTTCTCAATCTTAGGGAGAATCTATTGAGTCTGTCACCATTAAATATGTTAGCTGGAGGTTTCATTCATGACTTTTATAAGCTTAAGGAAGTTGCCTCCTACTCCTACTCTTCAAAAGTTTCTATCATAAATGACTTTTGAATTTTGTCTAATGCTTTTTCTCATCAATTAGGACGAAATTTTTCTGCTGTAGTCTATGTGGTAAATTACTTTGGTTCATTTTTGATTGTTGAAATAACTTTACATTTCAATAGTAAATCCTATTTTGTCAAAATATATGCTCTTCATATATATATATATATTCAGGTGTGTAACATTTTGTTGAAGATATACTATATAGACTGTATATACATATATACACATATATACATATATTTTATGTATGTGTATATATATATATATATATATATATATATAGTGCCTCTTATGGTCTATAAATCATGTAGAATATGGACTATATATGGCCTCCAAAAGTGTATGGGGAATTCTCTTCTTTACTCTCTCAAAGAGATTGTGATGAAATGGTATTAATTCATTCTTAAATATTTGGTAGAATTTAACAGTGAAGATGCGTGGGCCTACATTTCTTCTTTATTGGGAGGTGTTAAAACACCAATTCAACTAATCTAATAGGTATTAAATGAAGAGCCAATGTCAAAACAACATATGCTTTAGATGAAATAAATAGTACATATTGTAATGATGAAGACAGCAAAAAGAAACAAATAATAAGAAAAAA
The DNA here is from genome assembly GCF_000001405.40 of Homo sapiens. NCBI lineage: Eukaryota > Metazoa > Chordata > Mammalia > Primates > Hominidae > Homo > Homo sapiens. Next base: position 54,634,414 of record NC_000015.10, read on the forward strand.
TATTACACGTGGGACAAGATGACCCTTTATTGTGGAAGCCTGCCCTGTGCATTGTAAGATGTTCAGTTAGCATCTCTGGACTCTACCCACCTTATGCCAGGAGCACATCCCAAGTCCCTCAATTATCATAACCAAAGTGTCTCCAGACATTGCCAAGTGTCACTTAGGGTGGTAGGCAAAAGTAATCCAGTTCAGAGCCATTACTGTAGAGGCTTTAGATTCAGACTGATCGGAGTTTAAGTTTTGATTTCATGAATAGCTTCAAGACATTGTACAAGTTATTTAACCCTTCTAAGCCACAATTTTTCTCATCTGTTCAATGATGATTACTATTCTTATAAAAGTATTGTAAAGATTAAATAAGTTAATGGATATAATATTTAGAATAGTAATTGATAAGCACTCAAATAATGGTAGCAATTAACTATTAAGCAATGAGACAAAACACAAAGGACAACTGAATAAAAGAACTGACTGCTCATGGAAGAAAGGCTGATAAGGGAAACACAAGTAATAATTAAAACATGTTTGGAAAATAGTTTTACCTTGAAAAATTGCATTTCTAAATGAAAGAATTCATTGCTCCAGAATAAACTGATAAAGTATAGGGAAAGTTAGGGAACCAGATCAAAAAATAAGAAATAAATGTGCTCTATTTCTTAACTCATAATTTGAAACAAAAGTCATGCTATGGGTGTTTTATCAATGACCATATATAAACATTTTTGGAAAACTTTAATTCACCACTTATGGAGTTAAAAATAAGATTTCTTTCTTCTAAATCAATGTAGAAGAATAATAAAGACCAACAAAATCATCCAAATAACAACAGAATATTGAATAGAAATGCAGGAGACAAGAAAAATCAGAAAGCATAAAATAAGAGAGAACACTTTCCAAGTGTGACAAATGTGACAATAAATTACAGATGATACAGGATTAAAGTAAAAGTATCAATGACCATATATAAACATTTTTGGAAAACTTTAATTCACCACTTATGGAGTTAAAAATAAGATTTCTTTCTTCTAAATCAATGTAGAAGAATAATAAAGACCAACAAAATCATCCAAATAACAACAGAAAATTGAATAGAAATGCAGGAGACAAGAAAAATCAGAAAGCATAAAATAAGAGAGAACACTTTCCAAGTGTGACAAATGTGACAATAAATTACAGATGATACAGGATTAAAGTAACAGGGTTAAATTAAAGCTTTTTACAATAACCATACAAGTACAAACTAGAAAACTGAGGTAGAGGGGCACATTAGCTAAATAGATGGCTAGATAGAGAAGTGACATCACCACGATACTGGAGTAGGAAATACCAGCCTTCATCTTCCCTGCCAAAAATAAAATATAGGCAGCAATTTACAAATCAAAATAGCCCTAGCAGGGCTCAAGGGCCTATTAAAGAATCTGCAGCAACACAATGAAGTAAAAAAAAAGATAATATCTAAATAGAAAGGATCACTGGTGAGATTAACATACCTGACACACCAGGAGATGGCTAGGAACAAAGAAAAAAAGCAGAGGTTGCCGGTATCAGCCATGCAGCAGAAACTATCATGGTCCCCAGTGGCCTGCTCCACAGAGGACACTAGAATGTTGTGCCACTGAGGTAACCAACCAGTTATTGCCAGGGAATCACAGAAAGAGAGATGCAGCTGCATTCCCCATAACCTCACTATTAAGCCACTATGATAAAGGAGCTGCCATTTCTCCCAAACCTACATGTGTCTTGAAGTGTGAGCAGCGGCTTTCCAGTGAGTGTCCACAATCCAGACCCAGGCTATGTAACTACACCCACCCATGTCTCAGACACCACAGCCATCCTTGTAGTGAGTTAGTTCACACTCTGGGCCTAGACCCAGGCTCTCACTGTGCATGTCTGTGTTCCAGGATTCAGCTAAGCTACCATAGAGAAGTAGGCCCCGCCTTGACCCCAGAACCGGTGTAACCGCAAACACCTATTCTCTCATTCTTGGTTCTCTGGCTGCTTCAAAAAACCCTGTTTGTCACATACTATTGCCAACATGGTAGGGGAATTGACTGTGCCCCACACAGCTGTGCCATTTCCAACCTGGATCTCTGAGCTGAAGTCCTTCAATGCATGCCTGTACTTTAGACCTCACTCAGCTCCATGGCTGCTTCATGGGTGCCACTCATTGGACATAGGTACCACTGCAACCATGAGCAGGCCCACAAACCAGACCCACTGCCAACAAGAATCCGCTTAGCTACAACTTCCCCAGAGAGAGAAAAAGAGATCAGGAGAATCTTAGCAGTCATTGCCACTGAAGATTCCAACAACCCTTGCAGCCAATGCAGACATTCAGGCCACTGAGGATCTTGTAAATATTTAGGGATATCAACTTCAGTTGTCAAAGCCACACAGCAACTATAAAGATGCACCCTTGCTACTGCCAGAACTGTTGCACCTCACCCAGCAAGCACCCATGCACTCTACCATAGGAAAAAGTTTTTCCACCAGGAAACCAGCCTATAAAGTCTGAAAGAGGTGACTCCTCCACCAAATATTCAAATATCAGCATGAGGCAACAAGAAACATAAAAAAAAAAAAAACAAGGAGAAATATCTCCAAAAGAACGCAAGAATTTTCCAACAGCTGACCTTAATAAGATGGAGACACACAAAGTGCCTGACATATAGTTCAAAATAACTATTTTAGAGAAGATCACTGAGCTTCAGGAATACAGAGAAACAATTCATTAAGATCAAATACGCAACAAAAATGAAAAATTTAACAGGAAAATTGAAATTATTGTTTCTTTAAAGACAGAGTCTTACTATGCTGCTCAGGCTGGATTTGACCTTCTGTTCTCAAGTTATCATCCCACCTCAGCCTCTTAAGCAGCTGGCACTATAGGCACGTGCCACCACACTTGGATTGATTTTTTAAAATCTCCACAGCTAAAAAATAAAAGATACAATGAGAAATGCAATACAGAACATCAACAGAAGAGTGGATGAAGCAGAAGAAAGAATCTGTGAAATTAAAAACAGGTTATTTGAAAATACACAGTCAGAGGACAACAAAACAATATAAAATAAAGAAACCTAACAGGATTCATGAGACAGCATCAAAAGAGCATATTTTTGAACATGAGAATTTAGGAAGGAGAAGGTCAAAAAACTTAATGAAATAATACAAGAAAATTTTCCAAATCTTGAGAAATATATAAATATGCAGGTATGGGAAGGTCAAAGACCTCCAATCAGATTCTATTCAAATAAGACTACACCAAGACAAATTGTAATGAAATTGTCAAGAATCAAAAGGAAAAAGAGGATCCTGAAAACAGAGAAAAGCAGCATATCATTTAAGGGAGTTCCAATAAAGCTAGCAGTGGACTTGTTAGTAGACACCTTACAAACTGGGAGAAAGTGGTATAATATATTCAAAGTGCTTAAGGAAAAATAATATGCCAACCAAGGATACTTGATCCAGAAAACTGCATCTTAGAAATGAAGAAGAGGTAAAGACTTTCCAAGACAAACAAAAGTTGGGAGAGTTCCTCACCACCAGATATATCTTATATAAAATGCTAAAGGGAATTCTTCATGATGAAATAAAATGATACTAATAAGTAACAAACTCATAAGATGTCATAAAGCTCACCAGAAAAGTAAGTACACAAATTCAGATTACTATAATGCTATAATGGTGATGTGGGAGAACTTACATTTGTAGTGTGAAGGTTAACAGGAAAAACCATTAAACATATTAATAGCTACAATAATTTGTTAAGGGAAAACAATACAAGATGTAAATTGTGACACCAAAAAAAAAAAATGTGGGAGAAGGGGGATATGGAGTAATAGTATAGTTTTTTATTTAATAAAAATTACTAGCTTAAAATTGCATTTTGTAACTATAAGATGTTCTATGTAAGACTCATGGTAACTACAAAACAAAAACCTATGGTAGACACACAAAATATATAAAATAAGGAATCAAAGCATACCACTAGAAAAAATCACCAAATCATAAAGACAACCATAAAAGAAGAAAGGAAAAAAGGATCTTCAAAACCACCAGAAAACAATGTTTAAAGTGGCAGTGGTAAGTTCTTACCAATCAATAATTACCATGAATACAAGCAGATTAATTTCTCTAATCAAAACACAGAGTCCCTGCATGGATAGAAAGACCCGCCTATACTGTATAGTTGCATAGCTGCCTTTAAAATACCCAATTTACCTTTAAGAAAACAAAGATTGAAAGTAAAAGGGTGGGAAAAGATATTTCATGCAAACAGAAATCACAGGAAAGCTAGGGTAGCTATATTTACATCTGATAAAATAGATTCTTGATATGGTTTGGTTATGTCCCCACCCACATCTCATCTTGAATTGTAGTTCCTGTAATCCCCACATGTTGTGGGAGGGACCTAGTGGGAGGTAACTGAATCATGGGGGCAGATTTTTCCTGTGCTATTCTCATGACAGTGAGTAAGTCTCATGAGATCTGTGAGGCCTCCCCAGCCATGTGGAACTGTGAGTCCATTAAACCTCTTTTTCTTTATAAATTACCCTATCTTGGGTATGTCTTCATTAGCAGTGTAAGAACAGACTAATACAATACCTTAAGTAAAAGACTATAAGATGAGACAAAGAAGGTTATTCATTCGTGATAAAGTGGTCAACTGATCAAGAAGATATAACAATTATAAACATATATGCACCCAACATTGGAACGGTTAATATATAAAACAAATATTAAGATATCTGATGGAGAGACTGACTGAAATAAAAAAATAAGGAGGGAAATTCAAAACCCCACTTTGAACTATGGACAGATCATCCAGACAGAAAGTCAACAAGGAAACACTGGACTTGAATTACACTTCAGACAAAATAGACCTAGCAGACATATATGGATCATTCCATCCAACAGAAGAGAGAACAGAATAGGGAGCCCAGAAATAAATCCATACATTTACAGTCAACTGATTTTCTGTAAAGATGCCAAAAACACACAATGGAGAAAGTAAGATCTGTTTAATGAATGGTGATGGGAAAACTGGAAATCAACATGGAAAACAAAATAGAACCTCACCTCACACTACATACAAAAATCAAGTCAACATGGGTCGAATATTTATCTGTAAGACCTGAAACTATAAAACATAGTGAAAAATCTTCATGACACTTGTCTAGGCAAAGAATTTTTGGATAGGACCCCAAAAGCACCAGAAACAAGAGCAAAATTAGACAAGTGAGATGACATCAAACCAAAAGTTTCTACACATCAAAGGAAACAATCAACAGAGTAAAGTGACTGCACAGAAGAAAATATTTTAAAACCATATATCTGATTAGAAATTAATATCCAAAATATATGAGGAACTCAACACCAAAAACAAACAATAAAAAAACCACCTAATTTAAAAATTGGGAAAAAACTAGAATTGACTTTTTGCCTAAGACATATACGTGGCCAACAAGGATATTTCTAAATGCTCAACATCACTAATCATTTGAGAAATGTGAATCAAAACCATAATGAGATATCACCTCACACCTGTTAGAATGGCAATTACCAAAAAAACAAAAAAACAAACAAAAAAGACAGAAAGGATTGGGAAGGATGTGGAGATAGGGAAACCTTGGACACTGTTAGTGAGAATGTAAATTACTACAGACCTTATGGAAAACAGCATGGAAAGTCCTAAAAATAAAAATAAAGCTGCCATCTAATCTGTATTCCCACTACTAAGTATATATTCAAAGAACATAAAGTCAGTATACTGAAGATATATTTGCCCTCCCATGTTCTCTGCAGCATTAGTCACAATAGCCAAGATATGGAATTCACTGAAGTGTCCATCAAATGGGTGAAAAAATAAAACTTGGCATATATATACAATAGAATACTACTAAGCCTTAAAAAAATGCTGTCATATGTGACAACATAAGTAAACCTGGAGATAATTATATATTAAGTGAAATAACCCAGGAAAAAAAAGATAAATACTGCATGATCCCAATTACGTGAAATCTGAAAAAGCTGAACTCACAGAAACAGAGAATAAAATGGTGATTACCAGAGGCTGGGGTATAGAGGGATTCAGGAGACAGTGGCCAAAGGAAATAACATTCCATTTAAACAGGAGGAATAAGTTCAAGAGATCTATTATACATCCTGGTGACTACAGTTAATAATAATATATTGTATAACTAAAAATTGCTTTAAACATTATATTTAGTGTTTTCATTACAAAAAAAAAAGAATGTGATGTATTATGTATGTTAAATAGCTTGATTTTTTCATTCCATGATATATGTATATATACCAAAACGCTGATATAGAAGTGAAAAAGAAACTATTTAGCGGATAGTGAGGGTAAGGAAGTCCTTGATAAGGTTTTTCCTTTACTAAAAAGCAGGCCCAAAATCATTTTCTAACAGAGCAGCCTGTAAAATTGAGCTGCAGACATAGACAAGCAAGCTGGAAGCTTGCACAGGCAAATGCCAGCAGTTGTGCCAACAGAAAAATACTACCTTGGATTAGGCATGTTAAGAATGGTGGCTCCATCGTCCCTTCTTTGCCAGCCATGTCTACAGTAAAAAGCAGACAAGAAGGGGCTGGCCAGGTGGAAAGTCTATTTGCACAATAAGATTAGGGTGGGGCAACCAGCCTTCCCCATGTGCTTTGCAAAGGTCACACCTGATAGAAGCAATCTGTGAGCCCTACATAAATCAGATACCTCCTCCTCAAGCCTGCCTATAAAATCTGCTGCAGTCTGCCACTTTTCTCATTTTTGGATGCCTCTGTCTCTCTTGCAAGGAGCTGCTCTCTTCTCTCCTTTCTTCCGCCTATTAAACTTTCCACTCCTTAACCCACTCACATGTGTTTGTGTCCTTAATTTTCTTGGTGCAAGTAAATGAACCCTGGGTATTTACCCCAGACAATGACGCCACTTCAACATCATGTTGTATACCGTAAACACATAGAATGTTTACTTGCCAACTAAAAAAAAAAAATTAAAAACCATAATATTGTAATAGGCCCAGGTAATTGCAAACATACCAATTTGTAATGTGGAAATAGAATTTAATTAAATTGCCTTAATCTTGATGAAAATACTTTTTTGTAGTATGAATTGAACAAACTAAACTTTAGTAAAATTTAAGAACTTACATTTAGCCTTAGCATGATAAAAAAAAGAATTTAGAAGAAATGATATTTCAGTTACTTAACTTTAAAGACTAAATGTGATAAATTTAAATTCAATGTTAAGGAGGAAGAAGTCAAGATGGCACTCAGGAAGAGGAATGAGAGTGATAAGTGAATTCAGCAACTAAAACTGTAATATACAGGTTCATGCACTGGGACTGACTACGCAAACAAATCAACCCATAGAGAATGAGGAAAAGCAGACTGGGGTAATGGCCCACCCAGAGGCAGCACAGAGCCAAATGAACCCCCACCCCAGACAAGGGAAATGGTGAGCGATTGTGCAACCCTGCCTGGGTTCTTCTCCCATGGACCTTTGCAACCCCCGGATCAGGAGATCCCCTCATGGGCCCACACCACCAGAGCCTTGGGTCCAATACACAATAACTTTCGTATTTCTTTTCTTTTTCTTTCTTTTGAGATGGAGTTTCGCTCTTGTTGCCCAGGCTGGAGTGCAATGGCGCGATCTCGGCTCACCGCAACCTCTGCCTCCCGGGTTCAAGCGATTCTCCCGCCTCAGGCTCCTGAGTAGCTGGGATTACAGGCATGAGCCACCAGGCCCGGCCAATTTTGTATTTTTAGTAGAGACAGGGTTTCTCTATGTTGGTCAGGCTGGTCTCAAACTCCTGACCTCAGGCGATCCTTCTGCCTTGGCCTCCCAAAGTGCTGGGATTACAGGCATGCACCACCGCGCCCAGCCAACTTTGGTATTTCAAAGTTAGTATCTTACCCATAACTTTTGTCTATTGGAAGGGCTGTGTGGAGTCTCAGCAGAGCAGCCACTTAGGCACACACAGAGAACCAGGAGTTTTAGATACTCTGGCCCTGAGATCCCCTGCAAGGCAGGCCGATCCATCTGTACATAGCCCTAGGAAAGGGGCTGAATCTGGGGAACCAAACAAAATCATTCTGTGGACCCCACTTCCACAGCACCTCACAAGTCAAGACCTACTGGTTTGGAATTCCAGCCAGTTAGCAGCAACAGGCTGAAGTCTATTCCTGGGGGAGGGGCAGCTGCCATCTCAGTGGTTTGATAGACTCAGCCATTCCAGCCTGCAAGCACTGGAGAATCCGAAGGGTCCAGATGAGGAAGGGTCCCCCACAATGCAGTACAACTTCCCTGCCAGATCATGGCCAGACAACATCTTTAAGCAGAACCCCAATCCATTCTGCTTCACTGAGCAGGACCTCCCTGTGGGGGCTTCAGCCACTTTAGCCAGGGTTATACAGACAGAGCTCTAATCTCTCCCTGGTACAGAGCTCCCATGGGAAGGAGTGAGCACCATCTCTGTGGTTCGGTAGAATAAGCCATTCCAGCATGCCAGCACTGGACATTCCAAATGGTCCAGAAAAACAAGGGTCCCCGCCGCAATGCAGCACACTTACTCTACAAAAAAGCAGCCAGACTGCTTCTTTAAGCAAGACCCTGATCCCATTCCCCCCAACAGGGGTCTCTAGCCACCTCCTACAGGCACGCTTGGGCCAGCAACAAGTCAGCACCCCCCGAGATGGAGCATTCAGAGGAAGGAGCAGGCTATCATCTTTGCTGTTTCACAACATTCACTGAATATGAATTGCTTTTGAGCTTAGGCAGAACATTTAGAACATTTAGAAAAAGAGCTAAACTCAAGGCAAACTCAATATATTCCAAAAGATCAGTAACACACTGTCTTTTATGACCATATGCAATAAAGTATGAATAAAAAAGTGAGACTTGAAAATCATATATGTTTGAAAGTCAATGTCTTACCAACAACTTTTGTCTATTGGAAGAATAATAATAAATTTAAAAATACTTGAAGCTGAATTAAAGTAAAAACAGTACCTGTCAGAATTGGTATGTGGGGAGGCAGAGCAAGATGGTGGAATAGAAAGCACCACCAATGGTCCTCCTACAAGGACACCAAGTTAACCATCTACACAGCAAAGGAAAAAATAATAACACCATTATAAGATCCAAAAATCAAGTAAGCACTCACAGTACTTGGTTTTAACTTCATAGTGATGAAAGAGGCACTAAGAAGATAGGAAAAAAAAGGCCTGAATTACCGACACCATCCCTTCTCCATCCCCAGCAGCAGTGGAGTCTCTGGGTCCTGTGGGAGGGAGAACATAGCAATTGTGAGGCACTAAACTAAGTACTGGCCAGGCATGGTGGCTCATGCCTGTAATCCCAGCACTTTGGGAGGCCGAGGCAGGCAGATTGCTTGAGCTCAGGAGTTCAAGACTAGCCTGGGAAACATGGTGAAACCCTATCTCTACCAAAAATACAAACAAAAAAAGTTTAGCTAGGCATGATAGCGTGTGCCTGTGATCCCAGCTATAGGGAAGATGAGGTGGGAGGATTGCTTGAGCCTGAAAGGCCAAGGATGCAGTGAGCTGATATCATGCCACTGCACTCCAACCTGGGTGACAGAGTGAGACCTGAGTCAAAAAATTAAATTTATTTAAAATAAAATACAGTAAGTGCTGTCCTGTTGGCACACAAACAAAAACAAAAGCAAACTCAGCCTGCCCATGGTGGGAGCATTTAAACCAGCCACAGCCAGAAGGGAATCACCGACCCCAACAAATTGAACTTTAGTCTCTGCAAACCTTGTCACCAAGGGCTACAGCACTCTGTGTCTCCAAGAAACTTGAAAGGCAGTCTAGACCACAAAGACAGCAATTCATAGGTGAGTCCTAGTGTTGAACCAAGCCCACAGACACCGGACTAAGGGGGAATGCGACATACTGAGACAACAGCTGAAGTGGGTAAGGAAACGCTGGTATTGCCCCTCCCCTAACCCAGACTGCACTTTCAGCTCCAAAATAAATCCCTTCCTTCCACTTGAGGAGAGGAGAGGGAAGAGTGGAGAAGACTTTGTTCGGCATCTTGGATACCAGCTCAGCAACAACAGGATAGGGCACCAGTCAGCGTTCTGAGGCCCCCGATTCAGGCCCTAGCTCCCAGATGACATTTCTAGGCAAACCCTGGGACAGAAGGGAACCCATTACCTTAAAGAAAAAGACCCAGCCCTGGCAGCACTCATCACCTGCTAACTGAAGGGCCCTTAGGCCCTGAATAACCAGCAGTGATACCCAGGTACTACATCAAGGGCCTTGGGTGAGCCTCTGAGATTTACTGGCTTCAGGTGAGACTCAGCACATTACTAGCTGTGATAACTACAGAGCAAAATTTCTTCCACTTGAGAAAAGCAGAGGTAAAAGTAAAGGAGACTTTATCTTGCACCTTAGGTACCAGCACAGCCACAGGAGGGTGGAGCACCGAGTGGGTACTTGGGGTTTCTGATTCCAGGACTTGATTCTTGAACAGCATTTCTGGACCTGCCCTGGAACAGAGGGAACTGCAGTGAAGGGTAAGTACCATGGCAAGCAACATTCATTAACAGCTGACTTAAGAGTCCTTGGGCCTTAAGGGAACAGTGGCAGTAGTCTGGCAGTATTCCTTGTAGCCTGAGGCGGCAGGTGGTAAGGGGTGAGGCTTCTATGCCTTTGAAAGGGGAAGGAACACTGGGAAGAACTGCATCTTGTGGTTTGAGTGCCAGCTTATCTGCAATACAATAGGATACCAGGTACACTTCTAAGGTTTTTTACTCTAGTCCCTGAATCTCAGATGGCACTTGCGGATCCACCCAGGGCCAGGAGGACCTTGCCATCCTGAAAATAAGGACACAGGCCTCGCTGTCTTTGCCACCTGCCAATTATAGAGTCCCACGGCCTTCAGCGAACATAGGCAGTAGCCAGGGAGTGGTTACGGCAGGCCTTGAGAAAGGCTCAGTGATGTTCTGGCTTCGGGTCTGCCCAGTACAGTCATAGTAGTGGTGTCCATAGGGGTGCTTGTGACACTTCACCGCCAGATTTACATGGATCAGAATAAAGAGAGACTCTCTATCTTTGGGAGAAACCAAGGGAAGAGAATAAGAGTCTGTGCTTAGTAATCCAGAGAATTCTCCCAAATCTGGTCAAAAACTGTCAAGACAGTACCTCCATATGTCTGCAAGAACCACAGAATTACTGGGCTTGGGGTGCCCCCTAAAGCATATACAGCTTAGACCACAACACTCAAGTTCTTTCAAATATCTGGAAAGTCTTCCCAAGAAGGATGACTACAAATAAGCCCAGACAGTGAAGAATAAAATAAGTACCCAGATACTGAAGAACATCAGATAGCATCAACACCATCCAGGAAATGAAGTAAATAAGGTGCCAGGAACTAGTCCTAGGGAAAAAGAGATATGTGATCTTTCAAAGGGAGAATTCAAAATAGCTATGTTGGAGGAAACTCAAATTCAAAATAACACACAGAAGGAATTCAGAATCCTATCAGATATATTTAACAAAAAATTGAAGCACTTAGAAAGAATGAAGCAAAAATTCTAGAGCTGAAAAATGCAGTTGAGATACTGAAGCATGCCTCAGAGTCTTTTAAAGCAGAATTGACCAAGCAGGAGAAAAAAACTACTGAGCTTGAAGACAAGCTATTTGAAGATACACAGAGAAGAAAAAAAGGAAAAATAATAATAAACAAAAAAGCATGCCTACAGGATCAGGAAAATAGCCTCGAAAGGGCAAATCTAAGCGTTATAGGCCTTAAAGAAAAGGTAGAAAAAGAGATGGGGAGAAAAGTTATTCAATGGGATATTACCAGAGAACTTCCCATACCTACAGAAAGATACAATCAATGTCCAAGTACAAGAAGGTTATAGAACACCAAGCATATTTAACCCAAAGAAGACTACCTCAGGGCATTTAATAATCAAACTCCCAAAGGTCATGGATAAAGAAAGGATCCTAAAAGCAGCAAGAGAAAAGAAACAAATAACATACAATGAAGCCCCAATATGTCTGGCAGCAGAATTTTCAGGGGAAACTTTACAGGCCAGGAGAGAATGACATAACATATTTAAAATGCTGAAGAAAAAAATCTTTCATCCTAGAATAGCATGTCTAGTGAAAAAATCCCTCAAACATGAAGGAAAAATAAAGACTTTCCCAGACAAACAAAAGCTGAGGGATTTCATTAATATCAGACTTGTCTTACAGGATATACTATAGGGAGTACTGCAATTAGAAAGAAAAGGGCATTGATAACCAATAAATGATCACCTGACGGTACAAAACCCACTAGTAATAGTAAATACACAGAATAACACAGAATATTATAATACTGTAACTGTGGTGTATAAACTACTGTTAAGTAGAAAGACTAAATGATGAATCAATCAAAAATAATAACTATGACAATTTTTAAAGAATAGTACAATAAGATATAAATGGAAACAACAAAAAATTTAAAGTTGGGGGTAAAGTTAAGGTGTAAAGCTTTTATTAGTTTTTCTTTTGCCTGTTTGTTGCTTTATTCAAATAGTGTTAAGTTGTTATCAGGTTAAAAAAATAGGTTACAATATAGTATTTGCAAGCCTCATGGAAACCTAAAACAAACAAAAACATTCAATGTATATACAAAATATAAACAGCAAGAAAGTAAATCACATCGCTAGAGAAAATCACCTTAACTAAAGGAAGACAGGAAGGAAAGAAAGAAGGAAGAGAAAACCACAAAATAACCAGAAAACAAATGACAAAATGGCAGAAGTAAGTTCCTACTTATCAATAACATTATGTATAAACAGACTAATGTCTTCAATCAAAAGACAGATTAACTGAATGGATGAAAAAACAAGATCGATTGAACTGTTGCCTACAAGAAACACACTTTACCTATAAAGACACATAGACTGAAAATAAAGGGATGGAAAATGTTATTTCATGCTAATGGGAAAAAAAAGGAGTTGCCACACTTACTTCAGACAAAATAGTTTTCAAGACAACAGGGAGGGCACTGTAGGAAGAGACAAAGAAAGGCACTATATAATGATAAAGAGGTGAATACAGCAAGAGGATATAACAGTTTTAAATATATATGCACCCAATATAGGAGCATCCAGATATATAAAGGATATATTATTAGAGCTAAAGAGAGAGACAGGCCCCAGTACAATGGTAGGTGGAGACTTCAACACCCCACTTTCAGCATTGGACAGTTCTTCCAGATGGAAAATCAACAAAGAAACATTAAATGTAATTTGCACTACAGATCAAATAAATCTTATAGATATTTACAGAATATTTCATTCAAGAGCTGCAGAATATACATTCTTTTCCATAGCATATGGATCGTTCTCAAGAACAGACCATAAGTTAGGTCACAAAACAAGTATTAAAACATTCAATAAATGGAAATAATATCAACATCTTCTCTGACCACATGAAATAAAACTAGAAATTAATAATGAGAGGAATTTTAGAAACTATACAAATTCATACAAATTAAACAATATGCTCCTGAATGACCAGTGGATCAACATAGAAATTAGGAAGGAAATTGAAAAGTTTCTTAAAACAAATGATAATGAAAACACAACATAGTAAAACCTGAGATAAAACAAAAACAGTTTATAACTCTAAGTGCCTATATCAAAAAAGAGTAAAAACTTCAAATGAACAATCTAACAATGCATCTTCAAGAACTAAAAAAGAGCAAACCAAACCCAAAATTAATAGAAGGAAAGAAATAATATCAGAGGAGAAAGAAATGAAATTTAAATGAAACAAAAACATTACAAAAGAAGGAAATGAAATTTAAATGAAACAAAAACAATACAAAAAAAAGAAACAAAAAGTTGATTTTCTGAAAAGTGAAACAAAATTAACATGTCTTTAGCCAGACTAAGAAAAAAAGAAACAAGATCCAAATAAATAAAATCGGAAATGAAAAAGGAAACATTACAAGTGATACTACAGAAGTTCAAAGGATCATTAGTGGCTATTATAAGCAACTAAATGCCAATAAATTGGAAAATGCAGATGAAATCAGCAAATTTCTAGACATATGCAACCTACCAAGATTGAACCAGGAAGAAATTCAAAACCTGAACAGACCATGCATTAGTCTGTTCTTGCACTGCTATACAGAAATACCAGAGAATGGATAATTTATAAAGAAAAGAGGTTTAATTGGCTCATGGTTCCACATGATGTACAGGGAGCATGGCTGGGGAGGTCTCAGGAAACATACAATTGTGGTAAAAGACAAACAGGAAGCAGGCACATCTTCACATGGCCAGAGCAGGAAGAAGAGAGAAAGAAGGGAGGTGCTACACACTTTTAAATAACCAGATCTTGTGAGAACTCTTAGCAGGAGAACCGCACCAAAGGAGGAAATCTGCCCCCATGATCCAATCACCTCCCACCAGATCCCAACTCTAACGTTGGGAATTACAATTCAACATGACATTTGGGTGGGAACACAAATCCAAAACATATCATTTTGCCACTGGCCCCTTTCAAATCTCATGTCCTTCTCACATTGCAAAGTACTCAATCATCCCTTCAACAGTCCCCTGAAATCTTAACTCATTTCAGCATTAACTCAAAAGTCCATAGTCCAAAGTTGCATCTGAGACAAGGCAAGTTCTTCCACCTATGAGCCTGTAAAATCAAAAACAAGGTAGTTACTTCCAAGATACAATGGGGCAGAGGAATTGGGTAAATGCTCTCATTTCAAAAGGGAGAAATCAGCCAAAAGAAAGGGTCTACAGGCCCCATACAAGTCTGAAAGACAGCAAGGCAGTCATTAAAGCTCCAAATTAATCTCTTCTGACTCCATGTCTCTCACATCCAGGGCAACACTGGTGCAATGAGTGGGGTCCCAAGGTCTTGGGCAGCTCCATCCCTGAGCCTTTGCAGGGTACGGCACCCGCAGCTGCTTTCAGGGGCTGGTGTTGAGTACCTGTGGCTTTTCCAGCTGCACAGTGCCTGCTGTCAGTGGATCTACCATTGTAGAGTCTGGGGGATGGTGGCCCTCTTCTCATGGCACCACTAGGCAGTGCCCTAGTGGGGACTCTGTATGGGGGTTCCAACCACACATTTCCCCCTGCAGTGCCTGACTAGAGGTTCTTCAGGAGGGCTCTGCTCCTGCAGCATACTTTTGCCTGGAAATAGAGGCTTTTCCATACATTCTCTGAAACCTAAACAGAGGCTCTCAAGCCTCAACTCTTACACTCTGTGTACCTGCAGGCTTAGGACTATGTGGAAGCTTCCAAGGATTACATTTACAGTTTGGAACCTCTGAAGCAGCAGCCCAAGCTGTACTGTGTCCCTTTTAGCCATGGCTGGAACTGTAATGGCCTCAATGCAGTGCACTATGTCCTGAGGTTGCACAGGGCAGAGGGCCCTGGGCATGACCCAGGAAACCATTCTTCCCTCCCAGGCCTCTAGGCCTGTTATGGACACAGCTGTCTCAGAGTTCTCTGAAATGCCTCCAAGGCCTTTTTCACATTGTTTCAGCTATTAGCACTTGCCTTCCTTTTAGTTATGCAAATTTCTTCAGCCAGCTTGAATTGCTTCCCTGAAAATAGACTTTTCTACCACATAGCTGGGCTACTAATTTTTCAAACTTGCATGCTCTGCTTCCCTTTTAAATATAAGTTCAAGTTTCATGTCATTTCTTTGCTCATGCATGTAAGAATAGGTTTTTAGAAGCAGTCAGGCCACATCTTGAATGCTTGGCTGCTTAGAAATTTCTTATTTCAGAAACACTAAATCATCTCTCTCAAGCCCAAAGTGTCACAGGTTCCTAGAGCAGGGGCACAATGTTGCTAGCCTCTTTGCTGAAGCATAGCAAGAGTGACATTTATTCCTGTTCCCTATAAGTTCCTCATTTCCATCTGAGACCTCCTCAGCCTGGCCTTCACTGTCCATGTTACTACCAGCACTTTAGTTAAAACAATTTAACAAGCCTCTAGGAAGTTCCAAATTTTCCCTCATCCTGTCTTCTTTTGAACCCTCCACACTCTTCCAACCTCAGCTCATCACCAAGTTCTAAAGTCATATCCACATTTTCAGGTATCTTTAGAGCAATGCTGCACTCCTCAGTACCAATTTTCTGTATTAGTCTGTTCTCACACTGCTACAGAGAAATACCTGAGATTGGGCAATTTTTAAGTAAAAGAAGTTTAATTGGCTTACTGTTTCACAAACTGTACAGGAAGCATGGCTGGAGAGGCCTCAGGAAAATTACCATCATGGTGGAAAATGAAGACGAAGTAGGCACATTTTACATGGCTGGAGCAGAAGGAAGAAAAAGAAGGGGGAGGTGCTACATATTTTAAACATCCAGATCTCATGAGAACTCTATCATGAGAACAGCAAGTCGGAAATCCACCCCCATGATCCAATCATCTCCCACCAGGCCACAGCTCCAACAATGGGAATTACAATTCAACATGAGATTTGACACAAATCCAAACTATATATCAGACCAATACGTAATGAGATCAAAGGTGTAACAAAAAGTCTCCCACTAAAAAAAATCCCAGGACCCGATGGCCTCACTGCTGAATTCTAACATTTAAACAATAATTAATATCAATCATAGTCAAACTATTCCAAAATATAGAGGAGGAGGGAATAATTCCAAACTCATTCTACCAGGCCAATATTAACCTAATAATAAAATCAGAAAAAGACATCAAAAAAAGAATTCTACAGTCCAATATCTCAAATATTGGATATTGATACAATATTGATGCAAAAATTCTCAACAAAATATTAGCAAACTGAATTCAACAATATATTAGAGGCTGGGTGCCATGGCTCACACCTATAATCCCAGCACTTAGGGAGGCCAAGGTAGGTGGATCACTTGAGCTCAGGAGTTCAAGACCAGCTGGGGCAACACTGCAAAAACCCATCTCTACAAAAAGTACAAAAATTAGCCAGGTGTGGTGGCACATGCCTGTGATCCCAGCTCAGCTACTTGGAGGGTCAAGGTGGTAGGACTGCTTGATCCCAGGAGGTGGAAGTTGCAGTGAGCCAAGATCATGCCACTGCACTCCAGCCTGTGTGACAAAGCCAGACCCTATCTCAAAAAACACAAAAAACAATACATTAGAAAGATCATTCATCATGTCCAAGGAGATTTATCCTTGAGATGCAAGGATGGTTCAACATATACAAATCAATAAATGTGATACATCATGTTAATAAGATGAAATACAAAAACCATATTATTTAAATTGACGCCGATAAAACATTTGATGAAGTTCAACATCTCTTCATAAGAGTTCTCAAAAAAACTGGGGCCAGAAGCAAAATACATCAATACAGTGAAAGCCATCTATGACAGACCCACAGCTATTATCATACCAAATGGAGAAAAATGGAAAGCCTTTTCTCTAAGATCTGGAACACAACAAAGATACACACTGTCACCAGTGTTATTCAACATAGTAATGGAAGTCCTAGCTAGAGCAATCCAGCAAAAGAAAGATATAAAGATCATCCAAACTGGAAAGGCAGAAGTCAAATTATCCTTGTTTACAGATGATATGATTTTATACTTGGAAAAACCTAATAACTCCACAAAAAACAACTATTAGGACTGATTTAAAAATTCAGGAAAACTGCAGGATACAAAATCAATATACAGAATCAGTAGCATTCTTATATACCAACAGTGAACAATCTGCAAAAGAAAATAAGAAGTAATTTATTTTATAATAGCCACACATAAAATTCACTACCTAGGAATTAACCAAAGAACTAATAGATCTCTATAATGGAAACTACATAACACTGATGAAAGAAATTGAACAAAGACACCAAAAAATGGAAAAATATTCCATGTTCATTAATTGGAAAAACCAATATTCTTAAAATGTCCATATTACCCAAAGCCATCTACAGATTCAATGAAATCCCTATTAAAATACCAATTACTTTTTTACAGAAAAAAAAAGTTCTAAATTGTATATGGAACCACAAAAGATCCACAATAGCCAAACCTACGCTAAGCAAAAAGAACATACTTAGAGGAATCATATTACCTGACTTCAATTATACTAGCCCAAACAGCATAGGACTGTCATAAAAACAGACACATAGACCAATGGAACAGACTAGAGAACCCAGAAACAAATTCACACATCTACACTGAACTCATTTTTCATGAAGATGCCAAGAACATACACTAGGGAAAAGACAGTCTCTTCAATAAGTGGTGCTGGGAAAACTGGATATCCATATGCAGAAGAATGAAACTTGACCCCTGTCTCTCACCCTATACAAAAATCAAATCAAAACGGATTAAATACTTAAACCTAAGACCTCAAACTATGAAACTACTAAAGGAAAACTCTAGGACATTCTTCTGAGTAAAGATTTCTTGAACAATATCCCACAAGCATACGCAACAAAGCAAAAATGGACAAATGGGATCACATTATGTAAATACACTTCTGCACAGCAAAGGATACAATCAACAAAGTCAAGAGACAACCCACAGAATGGGACAAAATATTTGCAAACTACCCATCTGACAAGGGATTAATAACCAAAATATATAAGGAGCTCAAACAACTCTATAGGAAAAGATCTAATAATCAAATCAAAAGACAGGTAAGAGATTTGAATAGACATTTCCCAAAAGAAGACATACAAATGGCAAACAGGCATATGAAAAAGTGCTCAGCATTATTCACTGATCATCAGAGAAATACACATCAAAACTACAAGGAGATATTATCTCACCCCAGTTAAAATGGCTTCTATTCAAAAGCCAGGCAACAAATGCTGGTGAGGATCTGAAGAAAAGGGAACCCTTGTACACTAACAGAGGGAATGTAAATTAGGACAACCATGAAGGACAAGAGTTTGGAGGTTCCTCAAAAAACTAAAACTTGAGCTACCATATGATCCAGCAATCCCACTGCTGGGTATATAACCCCCAAAAAGGAAGTCAATATTTCAAAGAGGTATCTGTGCTCCCATGTTTGTTGCAGCACTGTTTAAAATAGCTAAGATTTGGAATCAATCTAATTGTCCATCAATAGATGGACAACAATGGATAAAGAAAAAATATATAACAATACAAAAGATAAAATTTCAAGAAAGTCTAAAACAATAATTTTGAAATTCAGGTAATCTTTCAATACTTATAACAATTGAACTATTTTTCAAGTACCCAGAGAGCCAATCACCTTGGAAATAATAGCAATATATAGCATTGTATAACACTTACAGAACACTATCTTTAGTGTTTATTTTTATTATGTTATTTATTTATTTATTTATTTTTACAGAGGGGTTTGTAAAGGTAACAAACCCCATTAATAGCATGGCCAGGAATTAAACCCAGTCTCCATGTATTCAGACAAGTTCAGACAGAGAGTTCTATTAGCCTGCCCACATTCCTTCTTCCCTTCTTTCCCATTAACAGGAAAGGAGAACAGATATTATTTCAGGTAGAAAAGTGCCTGTTAAAAGATAATTCTCAGCTTCCCTTGTAGCTGTCAGTAGAAAATGCCTTTCTCCTCTGCTTTATATGCGCTTCCACAAATGCATGTGTGATGGCTGAAATTGTAGTGACCATATTAATCCATGAAACTACCTTAATATGCCAAGTCGTGCTCTAAACCTAGAACCCTGATAGCTATGGAACCAATATACTGGCCCCAGATAGCATTATCCAGACTCAATTCACAAGAAGAAAAATAATTCCTTGTACACTCAAGTCACTGTTATAGAAAATGGAACCGAATCCTAACTGACATATGCTGTTTTCTTTACACCAAAGGTAAAGTAATCGGACTTCAGTATATGCATAGGACAAAAGCATTTAAAAATATATACAGCAATCTTAATTGCCCTAGTCCTACAGCCAGGCTTTAGTGTTTGAGGTTTCAGCCTTGTTGACAAGAGAGAAGATGACCATGAAATATGTCTTCAAAACACCTATGGGAAAAAATTAAATTGTATATGGTCACAGGTTAATTACACATTATTTGGGTACCATCGCTTTAAGTAAGGAATTGACTAAAAAAAATAGAGAATGAAAGATATATAACCTAAAACTACAAAAACACTACAAGAAAACCAAGGGAGAATTCTGCACATTAGTCTAGGCATAGAACTCATGGCTGAGTCTTCAAAAGCACAAGTAACAACAACAAAAATAAATAAATTCAACTTAACTATAAAGCTTCTGCACAGAAAAAAATAATAACAGAGTGAACAGACAACCTACAGAATATGAGAATATTTATAAATTATTCATCTGACAGGGGATTGATATCCAGAATTTACAAGGAACTCAACAACTCGACAACAACAAAAACAAAAACAAGTAACTTCATTAAAAAGTGGGCAATGGACATGAATAGATATTTTTTAAAAGAAGACATACAAATGGCCAGCAAGCATATAAAAATGCTCAGCATCACTAATCATCAGAGGAATGCAAATTAAAACCACTGGAGATAGTATCTTTCACCAGTCAGAATGGCTATTACTAAAAAGACAGAAAATAACAGACACTGGCAAAGACACAGAAGAAAGAAAATCACACACACACACACAATAGAATACTATTCAGCCATTAAAAGAAATGAAATAACATCTTTTGCAGCAACATGGATGGAATTAGGGGCCATTATCTTAAGTGAAACAACCTAGAAACAGAAAGCCAATACCACAGGTTCTCACTGATAAGTGGGTGCTAAATAATATGTAACACATGGACATAGCATGTGCAACAATAGTCACTGGAGATTCAGAAGAACAGGAGGGTAAGAGGTGGGGTCAAGGATGAGAAATTACTTAAGGGGTACAATATACATTTTTCAGGTGATGGTTACACTAAAAGCCCAGACTTTACCATGAGGTAATATATCCATGTAATAAAACTGCACTTGTACCCCTTAAATTTACACAATTAAAAAAAAAGAGGAAAAGAAAGAGGGAAGAAAGGAAGGAAGGGTGAAAGAGAAAGGAAAGGAGAAAGGGAGAAGGCAAGGGAAGGAAGGGAGCAACACCCCAGCAGTGCATTTTCATCCATACTTATAGCTTCAATTACCGTCTGATCCCCAGACCCCCAAATATATTTTACGAGCATAGACCACTTCTGTGGACCCTAAATGTCCACACCCAACTGCTTACTGACATTTCATCAGAAAAGTCTGAAGTACTAAATTGAGCATTGCCAATGGTGAATTCAGGAGCTTCCCTTCACACCTTACTACCTTAATTCTTTCCTACCACACTAATTATCTTCTGTTGAGTTAAGCAACCCAACAACTTAGAGGTCAGCTTAGAATGCTTTCACTCACCTTCCACACCCAGTCCATCATCAAGTATTGCCAATTTAAGATTCTAGGTATCTAGAATCTTTTCCCACCTTTTAATCTCTCCACTACAACCAGGGGCTACACAACTGTCATAGCTCTTCAGTACTACCATCGATACCTCTAAATCTTTCCACTTAAATCCATTTTGGCCTCTCTTCTAATCTCCTTTACAGTTTTGCAACCAAGTGCGACTTTTTCAAAAGCAAATCTCATAATGCAAGTACCTTGCTTAAAACAATATAATATCTTCCTATTGTCTTTAAGATAAAGACCAAAATTAATAATATAACCTAAAATTAATAATATAACCTGGCCTCTGGTATATCTTCAATATATCACGTTCTATACTCCAGCTTCTCTGACATTCTTTATGTTCATCAAATGCATCTTCCTCATGCCACACCTGAGTCTTTGCATACGTTGTTCTGTCTGCCTAGAAGTTATTTTCCTACCTCTTCTTTACTCCATGCTTCTCTATTTCTTTATTCCAACTCAGCATTAAAATCTCATCCCAAACTCTCCTTATTGAGGAATTTGCCTTTGAGTCCTAGTTATCTGATATGATATAGTGTCCTCTTATAGTATCTTATTTTGTCTTATACATACATATATTTTTGTTTTGTTTTTTTGAAATGGAGGCTTGCTCTGTCGCCCAGGCTGGAGTGCAGTGGTGTGATCTCAGCTCACTTCTACCTCTGCCTCCCAGGTTCAAGTGATTCTCCTGCCTCAGCCTCCCTAATAGCTGGGATTACAGGTGCCCACCACCATACCTGGGTAATTTTTGTATCTTTAGTGTTTCACCATGTTGGCCAGGCTGGACTCGAATACCTGACCTTAGGTGATATACCTGCCTCAGCCTCACAAAGTGCTGGGATTACAGGTGTGAGCCATCACATCATGCCCAGCCTTTGTCATATATTTTTATCTATAGCACTAAATCACAATGGCAATTATATACCTTTCTGATTATTTGGCTTATATCTGCCTGTGCCCTACCCCAGAATACACACTAGATGCTCTAAGAAATAGATAACTGCCTTTCTCATTATTGTACTCTTATACAGAACTTGGCACAAAGCAGATGCTGATATAAATATATATGTGGAGAGATAGATATATCTATATATAATTGATATTATAAATGAATAAATACATAAATATTCCAAAATATTATTAAAGGCTTTCTTTCAATAACAGTGCTCTGGATTTTTTTCCTCCTTTTAACTACTCTTTTTTTTTTGCATTTACTACTCCAGTACTATTAATTTCTAAAGATGTGTAATTTTTTTAAATACTGAAATGAAGAGAACGATTAGATTCTCTCCATATAAGTAAGGCATCTTAATTGATCCAATAACACTAACTCATTCCTCGAGAGCAATGGCCTTTGCAAAGGCCAAGGCATTCACAGAAAACAAGTGACCAGAAAAAGTCCACAAAAATATTTTTTCTCAGTATAATAAACATGTGTAAACCCAGTCCTGGGCTAGAAATAGAAAATTCCAATTATCCTTAAGCATGACCTCCAGTTTCTACACATGTCCCATGAGTGCATTTTCATCCATCATCATTAAAAAAAAAAGAAAGAAAAGGAAAGAGGAAAAGGGAAAGAAAAAGAGAAAAAAAAAGAAAATGAAAGAAAAAAAAAAAAGACAAGAAAAGGTATTCCCTCCAGAATTGAAAAACCTGTAAACCTTTGACAGAGTACTTAGATCTTGAGAACCTGTCCAATGTTCAGAGTTTAAATGCCATTTTACTTTAATCCCTTTGCAGGGAACTTGCTTACTTTATCCTGATCTTTCTACTGTGTATAAAGTCAAATAGCTTGTTCTCTTCCCACACGGAGCTCCTGCTCCAGAGCTGAGATTCTTTTGCTGATTTTGACCTATGCTTTTCTTTTTTGGACCTCTTCCCTCTTACTAATTGACATATGGTCCTGCCATAAAAAGCGTCCATCTGAGATACACAATAAATGTTTTTTAAGTGCTGGTTAGCACTATATCAGTTATCATTCATTTTAGGAAAAGAA
The DNA here is from genome assembly GCF_000001405.40 of Homo sapiens. NCBI lineage: Eukaryota > Metazoa > Chordata > Mammalia > Primates > Hominidae > Homo > Homo sapiens. The sequence continues at coordinate 54,657,838 of NC_000015.10, forward strand.
AAAGCAAGCATTCCACAAAGGTGCTGGCATAGTCTTCTTACATGTCCATAATTTAAGGATTTTTAGCATTTGTAACTCTTATTATTAAACATGGTATTAGTTACTAAAAGTGTTTTCAAAATGCTAAATAATTATAAGCATCCTCGTGAAGAAAACTAATTGATTCAAACAAATGTCTCCCTTGTTTGGGTATTAGGTAGGAATATTGTTTTAACCACTTTATTTTTTTCTGAAATTAGACAAATTAAAGCCCTATTACTTTTGGTTGGTATTTTAAAACTACTTGGATAAAACATCTCAAATATCCTACTTTGTCCAAGGAAATGCAGGTTTATGTTAGGCTGGGTTTTACTGTTTTTCTCTTTTTGTGGTGATGTTTGATTTTAGTCATTTTAAAATGCTAGGTATTACATCAGTTGTTTCCTGAAACATGTATCAACATTCCTCAGGAGTCCACGGCATCATAAAGTTTTGGGAGTCCCTCTTACTGACAGATAGCAGGATGTAAGAATAATGAAGAACTTTGGCATCAAGCAGACCTAAGCCCAATCTGTGCTCAACATTAAATAACTATGTGACCTTGAGCACTGTTTTACTTGAGTTTCAAAATCTACTTTTGTAAATTGAATCTAATAATATATACCTCATGAGTTTGTTTTGAGAATTTATTAGAAAAATACATGTGAAGCCCCTGCCACAAATTCTAACAAAACTTTAACAGAACGCTAGTAATTTTTCATCAGTTAATTAATGTATTCATTGAACAAATGAAAACACACCTGCTCACTCATATTCAAAACATTAAGTCCGTTTTTATTGTTTCTTTATAATGACTCTTAATGCCAGTCAGTATATGACTCTGAGATATTTTCCATGTACAATTAATACTTAGAAGAGAAGTTGCATTGAAATCTGACATGATGCCACAGACATAATCTGAGGTCCTGAGATGGATCTCCTTTTCATCAAATCTATATTTTTTGCTGGACTCTGTGATTGCTCAGTGGAGACACTTCATTTGGAAGATAGAATCGTGTGTATTTCCCACTGGAAGACCAGCTCCCCGCTTCAGTCTTCATGCCTCTCTGCTATACCCATCAGTCAGAAATCCCACATATCGGCACCAAATAAACACTGTCTCCTTTGAAAAAAAAAAAGTCAGGATGATATTTTAAATCCTCAGAAGGTACTGTTTAAGTCCTTTCTTCTCTTCTAAGACGTCTTCTCTCATTATTAGTGAACCCAGTGACACTATAGATTCACCAATTCCTCTAATTTCCTGGAGTGCATAGTCCCATCACCTGTCAAACTAAGTGTCTCAAGGAATCCTTCTCCCTCAGTTTCTGCCATGGTCAGCCTTCTCTTGGGGCCACAACTCACTTATTTTTCAGTTAGAGAAAAAGTCTGGGGGGAGACAAATGCTTTTCAAACATACTTATGTTATTGTAAACATTTCTCTGAGCTCACAAGACAAAATATCCAAATAGAAATTGGCTTAAAGCTCTGTTTTTCCCTACAATGCCCTTGTCTTCATCCATTTTCCTCAGCTGGCACGCTCCTACTGGCCTTCCCTTTATTTAAACCCAGAAGTCATTTTGTAGGAAACATTAGTACATCTCCCCACCCTACCCTCACACAGAGATGTCCCTTTCCTATCTCATGCACCTATTTACTTCTGGTATTTCCCATGTTAAACCTTTATTTCTGCATGCTGAGGGCTTGGAAAAACTCTCGAAGTTTATTGAATGTATAAACAAACATCACATCACAAACAAACCAGAAGTCCCATTGGATACAGCCACACAGACTACTGAACTAAAAAAGCCCCCAAGATTTGCACTTTTCCTCATCTTAATACAGTATCCAGCAGTGAACTCACTCATGTCCTCTCTCTCAGAAACGTCTTAAGACTATTTGGCATTCAGTTTTATAGAACTCTAATATGAGTCATACATTTCAAGAATTTTATTTCTTTATTATGTCTGTAGTTTTGTGACCAACTGTAGCTCACTCAAATCCCCACCCGCCAAGGCAGTAGCATTTTCATTGCCAGGGTGTGACCTACAATCCTTCAGAAAGACTCTCACCAGGATAAGAAGCCTGAAAGCTAAGGAGGCTTCTGGCATCTGAAGCTCAACAGAGGTGAAAGAGTGAGTTGGGAGAGAAAGAAAAACTTGTCTTTATTCCATCCTTTTGTTCCCCAAAGATCAATGTAGGCTGTTCTCTCTGTGGCCTGCTATACATATAATATATCCACCATGGACTGGCCATGTCCCCAGTAACAGGTTATTTATCATGTTTGTTTTTAATCCCCAATTATAACTATCTTATTAATGGGGAAATCTGATCCAAGGACTACAAAGAGCTACATGATACCTATTGATTATGACTTTGGTGATATGTTATATAAACTGCTCATTCTTGCTATCTATATTAATAATAATGGCTTTGAAATTGCTTTATCAAGTTACCTTCTCACTGCCTCTAGCCTAGAAGATGATACTGGTATTACATTGGTCTCCATAGAGCCTACGTTTTTGTTTTACTAATCTATCTTGAGAGACTACCTACAACTCCATATTGAAATTCCTTGCCTAGAATACAATGCTGGCAGAAATATGCACTCACTCTGGTCATGAGCCTACTTTCCTTAGACCTACTTTTTGCTTTAACCAGGCCACCTCATTGTACTCTGTCTCTACCCATGACTCATGATACTCAGTTTCATCTCTGTGGCTTTGTTCCAGGTGCTGTCTCAGCTGGTAACAGCCTCTGAAGTCCTCCCAGTTCGTCTAAATCCTATTTATCTAGATCAAGTTCCCATCTACTTGGCTCAACCTGGTCTAGCCACGTTGAAGCTAAATGTGCACATTCCATAATGGTCGTTACCGGGGTAGGGTTAGAATACTGTAAGAAGCTGCATCAGGGTCCAGGGGACACTCTTCCTGTGGGAATAGTGTTGAAAGTCTTGCCTGTCATGGGTGCGAGAATGCCCATCTTGTGGTGGCTTCTCCTACATTTACTATCCAGCCAGCCCTAATAGCCAAGACATTCATGAGAGAAGACACACTCTTTGGATAGTATGCTTCTAATTTATTGCAACATCCAAAGAAAGAAACCAGGCTTTCTCACATACCATCATCTCACAGTCACAATTCCTGCCAAAGAACAAAATACTCAATGTCTAAAATAAATGCAGAAGGGGGTTGCCAATCCAGAAAACTTGCTAAAAGTGAGTTTCAGAAGAGGAAATTCAGTCAAGGCAGCTGGCTACCACAAACGTACACAGCAGACCTGATGGTGGGAAATAGCAATCACCTTCCATAGAGTCGGATGGAGTCTAGAGGAGTCCACCATTCCCATGGGAAAGTGTCTAGGAAACCACATCCGGTTGACTACTGTAACGTTCTTCACACAAGAAATGATATAAGATTATCTATCTGGTAGCCAGTTTCATTTATAAATATAAGAGGGGTCAGAGACCTCAAAGATTTTATGTCAATGACTTTATTTGTCATGGATGTACTTCTCAGAAGCTTTGTGCCTTGGGAAAGATACTTACCTTCTCTTTACATCAGTCTGACTTTCATCTCTGAGATGAAACATATGGTAATGGGGTATAGTCCCCTTGGGGCAAAAATGCTGCTCTCTGCTTCTTATATTGTTACATTAAATTACTATCAGCTCTATGAAATCATTTCCAATTATAAGTTACGATGGAAGCTCCCTGAGATGTCACCTTCCTGGAAGACCCCCTCAATTACTTGGAATGACTAAGTTAACTAGTATGCCTCCAGTCAAGATGTTCCATGATATTCCACTTTACCTCACTGAAAAGACATGATCTTAACATTAATGTGCAAAATAAGTCAATTCTGTCTAATTTCTCATAAGAAGTAGCTGACATTTTTGGAAATACTATATTTATTTTTTATGATAAATCATATTAAATACCCTGACCTCTCCTGAAAAAAAAAAAAACACACAGCCTTATGAAGTTTTTACTCCTTCCAATACAATACTGCTTATTTAGTACACTGAAATTCTGTTTGCCTTGTCTCTAAAGCTCTCACAGCTAAATTTTAACTTTCTATTTTGGGAACTTATCATTTCAGTAATTTTCCAGCAAAATAATTTTATTCACAACTTATGGAATGACTAGACTGTTTCACAGACGCGTCCAGAGTGTGAAGTTAAATGTCTCATTGAACAGTAAGCTAATATTAATGAGAAATGGAAGTTCTGTGTCAGAATCTGATAAACCTAAAAGTTTGAAAGCTTTGTCCACTTCTTATATCAATGTATTCCCACAGTAAGCAAGGGTAAGAGAGGTCTTGACAGCCTGGACAAAATGTCAGTTAGGATCTGTATAAATAAATAATGTAAATGATTTTATCTGGAAAAATCAGTTTTGTCCTTATTAAATTTTGAGTAAAGATATTTCTAGAAACTAAATATATCTCCTGTCATCCTCAGAAATATCCCTCTGCTTCTACACAATATCCCTCTGCTTATACACACACACACACACACACACACACACATACACACACACACCTGATTGATGACAGTAGCATTAGTATAGTTCCCTGTCACATGTTTCTCACATTTTCACACACCTATTAAAATAAGCTAATGCTCCCATTTTGATGGATTCTTCAGTAAGAAAAAGGGCACAAGGTGAACGGATCTCTAAAACCCTTCTGTTAAAAAATAAAGCATATCATGTTTGTTCCATTGAACTGGCAAGCTCATTTTGCTTGTTTTATTATAATTATTGTCTTAGATAAGACAATCCATTGAACTGTAGCTAGAATTTTGTGTACTACGCTGACTCAAAATTCGAGGCTAGGAAGACAATTTATGTTTACTGAGTGCCTGCAGTATACTATAATATTAGATGTGTATTGTATTGAAACCTTAACTCGATCCTAAGCTCCTTTTACAGGTTTATTCACTCATTCATTTGTGTATTCCTTTATTGATCAAACATTTATTGTATGTTTTTGATGTACCAAGCATGCTTCTAGGCTCTGTGGACACATCAGTGAATTAAACAGACAAAAACTACTTGCCTAGGGGAGGTCTCACATTCTAATGTGGACAAATGAGGTAATCAAAGCTTAAAAATGCTATGCAACTTGCCCAGGATATTTAATATTTAAGTGTTTCCTAAAATCTGGTTCCAGGAACATCTATTTTAAAGTCACTGAGGATGCTTATCAAAAGGATGATTCCATCTCACAATCATAGAGTATGGGTAAGTTCCAGGAATTTGTTGTTTTTGTTTGTTTAAAGAACCACAGTGGTCCCTTTATGCACAGAGATTTCTGAAAGACCTGGAGCAAACCAACTAAAGGTGTTTGGCGTCATGCTTACATCTGTCCAGATTTCTATCTCAGAGAAAAGTAAAGGTATATAAAATAAACAAAGAGATGTTTAGAGAAGCATTGTTTATAATAGAAAAAAAAAAAGAGAAGACAGAAACCAAATGTTCATGAATTGTGTTCACCAATTGTGGTAAATTGTGGCTCATACATACTGAAAAAATACTCTGCAGCCATGTGTACACATATACACATACTTAGAAAGATTCTCACTTCCCAATGTTAAACAGAAATCCCAGTTGCAGAATACTATATAAAATATGATTACCTACTCATCACTATAGGTACAATTTAAATGTGGTAGATATGTACGTATTTATATGTTTCTATAGGCACAGAAAAGAGTATGCAGCAAAGCGTCAGTGTTTACATCATCAAGAAAAAGAGGAAGGGGAAAAATATAATTTTAAAAATGTATATACTTTTCTATTTTTTAATTATAATAGCATCATTTTATAATAAAAACATGAAGAATGGTTTCATGAAGAAATACATTTAAAATATAAATACAGAAAAAAATATTCCATAGAAAAATAATGCTTTCCTATGGAAAGTAAGAGGGTAACCTGTGAGTGACATAATGAGATACAAGAAAGTCTTGGATTACAGATGAGAGGCATGGATGCTAACCAAAAGATTTCAGGCTTCAGGAGGATATGAGAAATAAAATCTATATTCCTAGTTTCTGATATCCATAGTAATCTTATGGAAGAATTCCACCTACTTATTTCAAGTTGTCAGTATCTCTTTACTTCATGAAAACATGCTCTTATTCTTTACTACTCAGTTCTTCCCCCCGATCAAAAACGTTACACTCAAACTAAATTTTAGGGTAAACTCAATTACTTAGCAACATCTATCAGGCTACAAGGAGGTTTTATTTTTCTTAGAAGGGTAAATCATTTCTCACCTTAAAAGAAAAATGCGTGGTTGTTCTCTAGAGTAATCAATTGATTGTGGTGTTTCTTTTTTTAGTCATAGGTCACATGGGAAGCAAGTAGAGGAAATGGTTATTGGAAACCACCGGAAGTTCCTGAAAATAGCTATCCAACAGGAGCTATAGCCTTGGGCAAACACACACAGCCAATGGCCAATGGAGAGAGAACAGAGAAACACTCTAACCTCTCTTTCTTTCCATACTCCAATCTTCTGATGCTCCCACCCATTGGCCAATTCCAACCAAAAGCTGACAAAACAGGGAGCATGGTTTACACAATCCATAGAGGACAACCTTCTAGAACAGAGAGCAAGATATAAGTGGAGAGTAAATCTGGAGAGGAAAATTGAGAGTATCCAGCAAAAACATGTCATGAATTTCTACGCATCAAGTTCTAATCCTTATGTTGAAATTGCCAGCTGTGAATGAGCTGAATGAGACCACGTCCATGAATGTTTCTTTTTCACTACCATGGAACCCACAAATCAAAGGTATTCTCTTTCACCTAGTATTAACAACTTCTATTTTTCCTGCCTGAGTCTATTCTCAGATACTGTTAACCCTGGCTGATTGACACAGGGATCTCAAATGTAATCCTAACTGACATTTACTCTTCCTTTAAAAGCTGCTTAACTCCAGTCCATGGAGCTATTAGCTCTCCCTGGATTTGCTACAGAAAAATGCCAGACAATGATGGCCTAACTTTTAACGACTGTTGAATAACTATATTCAATTATTTTGCAAGGGATCGGGAAACTGTAATTAAAGGTGCTAGGGGGCACTTGGCCCTCAGTGTAGCTTTAGGTCTGCTATAAATGAAGAATTCTCAGGAAGCTGCCAGCTCACAAGATGGTCTGTGGGTCTGTCCTAGCACTTTCTTCATGATTATCCAACCAGTGACTGGTCTAGTATTATGTCCAATTCATTCTGTCTACTGACAAATAAAATGCTTTCTGAGAACTACTTGGCAATTGTGCAATTAGAAGAGGTTTATTTACAGCTGATGTAAATACAGTTTTTCCAGTAATAGGTCCTCATCAACTCTAGCTTTAAGATGGAAGGGTATTAATTAACCACTAGGAGTCAACTCCAGCTATATTTGGAACATTCCCATTTCTAATATTTTATCACTCCCATTGGCTTTAGTAATTTTTGAAAAAAATAAATATTTGAGACTTAGAAAATGTTTTTCCATAGCTATGACCATCACTTGTTGGGTCATAAGATTGTTTCTGATTAATTTGCAAGCTACTATACACCAGAGCCTGAGAAATGTTTTACAGCAGCGGTTCCCAACCTCTTTGCCAACATGGACGGGTTTCCTGGAAGATAATTTTTCCATGGGGTGGGGGTGGGGTGGAGGCCGGGGGCGTTAGGTGGGGGTGGTGGGGGGAACAGTAGGTATATGTTCAGGATGAAACTGTTTCACCTCAGATCATTGGGCATTAGTTATATTCTCATAAGGAATGCACAACCTAGATCCCTTGCCTGCGCAGTTCACAATAGGGTTTGCACTCCTATGAGAATCTAATGCCACAGCTCACCTGACAGGAGGCGGAGCTCAGGTGGTAATGCTTGCTCATTTGCCACTCACCTCCTGCTGTGCGGCTCAGTTCCTAACAGGCCATGGACCAGTACCTGCCTGCTGCCCAGAGGTTGGGACACCTGTTTTAGACAACTGAGATTTTTTTTTTCCTTAATAATAATAGCTCCTATGTGGGGAATACCTACCATACACCAGAAACCATGCTAAGCTTTTAGATAATTTATATGATTAATTCTCATGACATAAGATAAATAGCACTATCATCCTTAGTCTGATAAGACTCTATGGATTAGAGAGGTTATACACTTGTCCAAAGTCATTCATACAGTAAGTAGTAGAGCCCGTAAAATCAGAATGCAGGTTTGTCTGATTCCAATGCCCATATTCCTACCTTCCCTGGTATTTGTTCAGCTAATAAAACACCTGAAAGAACACCAATCTCATTGCCTCAGAGGTCCAGATTAGCTGTGTACGGGGAATGTAATTGTGTACGTAGGTGGTAACACATGAACTAAACATTAGATATTGTTATTCTTTCTGGAGGTCAAAGCCTTATGAACTCTTTATGGTTCCTGAGCTCCATTAAGAGTCATGAGCTTACAGGTGGGAATTGAATTTTTCATGTGCCTTTTGGGGAGAACTCCTTGAGTTTTCTTTTGCCAGTCTGGGAACTGTACAGCCTCACAATGGGTGTCAGCAACCACTTGGATAGGAAGGGACAGCAGGGGTTTGCTAGTGGAAAGATGATGCCAAAGAATGTTTCTCTCAGTCCATTTTCTTTTAGTAAGATATGACTTGTACTAAAGTTCAAGAAAAATCAGCTTTTGGGTGACTAACCTAACCTTTGGAGAACAAGTATGGTGTGCAGAATGGGGTCAAATTGAAATAAGTTAAGAGGCAGAATTATTTATAGTGATAACAAGAAACTCTACTAGATTCAGACACCATTAGTTGGCACTGATATCCTCAGGGATCTCAGGACCTAATGTGTGAGCAAAATAATAAAACAGTTGTTGATGACAATGATCATGTAAAGCTATAGTATATACAGGTATGGTCCTACATATCCAAAAGAATGTAGTATCAGATTAATTTCTGAACAGTATCTTTTACATAATAAAAAGTTATTTTGTACCCTCATGTGATATTTGAAAGTTAAAAGAATATCCTAGAGGAACAGTACTTTAAAGAAAATCCCTGAGCTAGAAGAAGGCTGCAGATGTCAGTGGTAGTACTTACTAAGTGGAGTTGTAGCAGGGAAAGGAGAAAGGCAAATCCATCATTCCAGTTAAAATGTACAAAAAGTACATTCAAAGAGAAAGATAAATTTCCATTGCTTCATAAACTCCTTTAAAAGCATCCTTCAACTGTCCTTGCCACTGATTAACTTCTTGAATAGATTAGAATCTCCCCAAAAGTATGTTCCATGGCCAGCTCTTAGTTGCCACTAGAGCTGCCAGTAATGTGAAATGTCTCCTTCAAGACACACAATAGAGTAAAATACACCGCACATGGGCCATAAACCCACAAGGCTCTTTGTGTGTCCAATGATCAAGAAACACAGAGGTCAGAAGGGACTCCAGAACCCAGGGCTGACAGCAACAGTGCCAGGTCACCAGGATTGGACTATTCTAAGGCCCAGAGTAGGAGTCTTCAGAAAGAGTCTGTGATTAACCTTTGAGATCACATATAAAGCTCAGATACCATATAATAAATATGTTACCTATTTTTTTTTTAAAGTATGAACTAAGGGATAGTAGAATGCTTACTTTCTCTCCCAGGCTATTAATGACAACTTGGCATTTCAGCCAAGAACTTAACCTCTTTTAGTCTACTCCCACATACTTGATCAAGTCTTTTATCCTAAACAAATATGCAGGCGAACAAATGACAGAGCTAGGATTCACGCCATGATCTGTCTGACTCCAAAGTCTGAGCTATCAAGCACTACACTCTTTTGCTTCCACTAAGTAAAAATAAATCATTATTAATTTTAATAAAAATGAATGTGTTTGATGTAAATTTGAATTTGCTACCCTGATTCCCATAACATCTCCTCCAAAGGTAATTTATGGAAATGAATGAAAATCTAATAGAGTCGATATACATTTGAAAACCAGTTCTCCAAATAAACAGGAGTATGTAGAGTTATTTAAACAATAAAAAGAATAATGCAAATCTGTTTATTAACTCTGAGGTATATGTCTATGAGTGTTGTTAATTCTGGACTAAAATGGTACTTATTTTCAGTAAAAAGTAAAATAGGAAAATCTGTAGAAATCTGACAGGCAGAGATAATGTTTCACATAGGTCTCCCAAGGTCATTTGACTATTAAATTATAGACATGAAGTTCAAGTGTAAGTTTGTTATTATTTCAAAGTACATTCTCTTTCCACTACTACACAGTATTAAAGATATACTGCAATACTTTCATGTAGAACACAGTTCCCTGCATTACCATATAATTCTTAACAAGCCATTAACTTGACTTACTTCTAAATAGTTTAACTGACATGTCAGCATATCAACAAGGAGTATTGTTTATTACCTAATTTATATTTTAAAGAGTTTTTAAAAGTCAATTTTATCAAAAATATTACCATTAGAAGTTACTGAAACATATCAACAACCCAAACTTTCAAAGACCTGATACTACAAAGTCCAAATACTAGTTAAAAATTCAAGCATTAAAATAAAATTGGAGTGGACTCAGAAAAACTTTCAGTTCAGGAGTAGGGGAAAATGGTAGATAGTAGGCAGGACTAACTCGCAACTCCCACTCAGACAGGCAGAGCAGCGCATGGAGACCCACAACATAAAGTTTTGCCTGAGAACTACCACAAGAACATACCAGAAACGTCAAGGGAATCCACAGACCCTTTGAAGGAGGCGTACTGCCACTGCAGGCTCCATGGGACAGCCAAGGAACTCCGAAGACAAGGAACATAATCTCTTGGGAGCTCTATGGCCCCACCCACCACCTGAACCTTTCTATAATACCACAGCTAATGTGCTCTTGAAAGTGTCACCTTCTGGATAGAGGCCAACCAACATAAAATCAGCATACATTTATCAAAAATACAACCAAGGACCCTCACAGAATCCACTTCACTTTCCTTCTACCTCCACCAGAGCAGGTGCTGGTATCCATACCTGAGAGTCCTGAAGATGGATCACATCACAGGAATCTTTGCAGACACTCCCCAGTATCAGCCTGGAGCCTGGTGGCCCCACTAGGTGGCTAGATTAAGAGAGAAATAACAAGCACTGTAGTTCAGCTATCAGGAATCCCCATCCCTAAGGGAAACGGGAGAGCACCACATCAAGGAAGCACCCCACGAGACAAAAGTATCTAAACAGCAGCCCTTGAGTCCCAGATTGATCATCCCTCTGGCATAGTCTACCCAAATGAGAAGGAACCAGAAAAACCATTCTGGTAATATGACAAAACAAGGTTCAATAACACCCCAGAAGATCACACCAGCTCATCAGCAATGGATCCAAACCTAGACGAAATATCTGAATTGCCAGCAAAAGAATTCAGAAAGTCGACTATTAAGTCAATTAAGGAGGCACTAGAGAAAGGTGAAGTACAACTTAAAGAAATTTTAAAAAAAGATACAGGATATGAATGGAAAAATCTCCAGTGAAATAGATAGCATAAATAAAAAACAATCACAACTTCTGGAAATGAAGTACACACTTAGAGAATTTCAAAACGTACTGGAAAGTCTCTGCAATAGAATTGAACAAGCAGAAGAAAGAACTTCAGTGCTCAAAGGCAAGTCTTTCAAATTAACCCAATCTGACAAAGAAAAAAAGGAATAAAAAAATAAACATTGGGAGGCCAAGGTGGGTGGATCATGAGGTCAGGAGATCGAGACCATCCTGGACAATATGTTGAAACTTCATCTCTACTAAAAATACGAAAATTAGCTGGGCATGGTGGTGCATGCCTGTAATCCCAGCTACTCAGGAGGCTGAGGCAGGATATTGCTTGAACCAGGGAGCTGGAGGTTGCAGTGAGCCAAGATCGTGCCACTGAACTCCAGCCTGGTGATACAGCAAGACTCCATCTCAAAAATAAAAAACAAATTTTTAAAAAGCCTCCAAGAAGTTTGGGATTATGTTAAATCACCAAACCTAAGAATAGTTTGTGTTCCCAGGAAGAAGAGAAATCTAAGAGTTTGCAAAACACATTTGAAGGCACAATCAAGGAAAACTTCCCTGGCCTTGCTAGAGAACTAGACATCCAAACACAAGAAGCTGAAGGAACACCTGGTTAATTCATCACAAAAGATCATCACCAAGGCACATAGTCATCAGGTTATCTAAAGTCAAGATGAAGGAAAAAATATTAACAGATGTCAGGAAAAAGCATCAGATAACCTATAAAGGAAAACCTATCAGGTTAACAGCACGTTTCTCAACAGAAACCCTACAAGCTAGAAAGAATTGGGGCTCTATCTTTAGCCTATTTAAACAAATAATAATCAGCCAAGTATTTTGTATCCAGTAAAACTAACCTTCATAAATGAAGGAAAGATACTGTCTTTTTCAGACAAATGCTTAGCGAATTCACCACTACAAAGTCAGCACTACAAGAAATGCTAAAAGAAGTTCTAAATCTTGAGACAAATCCTCAATATACACCAAAACAGAACCTTCTTAAAGCATGAATCTCACAGGACCTATATAACAATAACACAATGGAAAAAAAAAACAAAACAAACTATTCAGGCAACAAATAGCATGATGAATAGAATACTACCTCACATCTCAATACTAATAGTGAATGTAAATTGCCTAAATGTTCCAACTAAATGATACAGAATGGCAGAATAAATAAGATTTCGCCATCCAAATATTTGCTGTCTTCAAGAGACTTACTTCATACATAAGGACTCACACATAACTTAAGGTAAACAGGTGGAAAAAGATATCCCTTGCAAATAGAATCCAAAAGTGAGCAGGAGTAGCTATTCTTATATCAGACAAAACAAACTTTAAAGCAACAGCAGTTAAAGACAAAAACAGACATTATATAATGATTAAAAGGACTAGTCCAACAGGAAAATATCACAATCCTAAATATATACACACCTGACTCTGGAGCTCCCAAATTTATAAAACAATTACTACTAAACCTAGGAAATGAGATAGACAGCAACACAATAACAGTAGGAGACTTTAATACTTCACTGACAGCGCTTGACAGTTCATCAAGACAGAAAGTCAAAGAAACAATGGACCTAAACTATACCCTACAACAAATGGACTTAACAGATATTTACAGAACATTCTGCCCAACAACTGAAGAATATACATTCTATTCATCAGCACATGGAACATTCTCCAAGATAGATCATATGACAGGCCACAAAACGAGTCTCAACAAATTTAAGAAAATTGAAATTATATCAAGTACTCTCTCTGACCACAGTGGAATAAAATTGGAAATCAGCTACAAAATGAAGCCTCAAAACCCTGCCAATACATGGAAAGTAAACAACCTGCTCCTAAATGATGTTTCAGTCAACAAATAAATCAAGATGGAAATTTAAAAATTCTTTGAACTGAACAACAATAGTGACACAACCTATCTCTGGGATACAGCAAAAGCAGTGCTAAGAGGCAGTTCATAGCATTAAATGCATACATCAAAAAGTCTGAAAGAGCACAAATAGACAATCTAAGGTCACACCTCATGGAACTGGAGAAATGAGAACAGTCCAAATCCAAACCCAGCAGAAGAAAAGAAATGATGAAGATCAGAGCAGAACTAAATGAAATTGAAACAAAAAATACACAAGTTAAATGAAACAAGAAGCTGATTCTTTAGAAAGAGAAGCAGAATTGATAGACCATTAGCAAGATTAACCAAGAAAAGAGAGAAGATCCAAATAAGCTCAATTAGAAATGAAATGGGATATTTTACAACTGATACCACAGAAATACAAAATATCATTCAAGGCTTATGGACAGCTTTACACGTATAAACTAGGAAACCCAGAAGAGATGGATAAATTCCTGGAAAAATACAACCCTCCTAGATTAAACCAGGAAGATATAGAATCTCTAAACAGACCAAATAACCAGCAGCAAGATTGAAATGGTAATTTAAAACTTGTGAACAAAAAAAAACTCCAGGACCAGATAGATTCACAGCTGAATTCTATCAGACATTCAAAGAAGATTTGGTACAAATCCTACTGACACTATTCCAAAAGACAGACAAAGAGGGAATCCTCCCTAAATCATTCTATGAAGCCAATATCACCCTAATACCAAAACCAGGACAGGACATAACCAAAAAAGAAAACTACAGACCAATATGCCTGATGAACAAAAATGCAAAAATCCTCAACAAAATATGACCTAGCTAAATCCAACAGCGTATCAAAAAGATAATCCACCACGATCAAGTGGGTTTCATACCAGGAATGCAAGGATGGTTTAACATCTGCAAGTCAATAAAAGTGATACACCACATAAAAAGAATTGAAAATTAAAATCACAGATCATTTCAACAGGTGTAAAAAAAAGCATTTGACAAAATCCGGCATATCTTTATGATTAAAACCCTCAGCAAAATCAGCAAAGAAGGGACATAGTTTAAGGTAATAAAAGCCATCTATGATAAACCCACAGCCAACAACATACTGAACAGGAAAAAGTTGAAAGCATTTCCCCTGAGAATGGAAACAACATGAGGATGCCTACTTTCATTACTTGTATTCAACATAGTACTGGAAGTCCTAGCCAGAGCAATTAGACAAGATAAAGAAAGAAATGGCATCCAAATCAGTAAAGAGGAAGTCAAACTGTTGCTGTTTGCTGATGACATGATTGTATACCTAAAAAGTTCTAAGGACTCATCTAAAAAGCTCCTAGAGCTGGTAAATGAATTCAGCAAAGTTTCAATGTACATTAATTTTGTAGCCCTGCTACACACCGACAGTAAACAGGGTGAGAATCAAATCAAGAACTCAACCTCTTCTATCATACCTGCCAAAAAATTAAATACTTAGAAGTATACTTAACCAAGGAGGTGAAAGACCTCTACAAGGAAAACTACAAAATGCTGTTGAAATAAACATTAGATAACACAAACAAATGGAAATGCATCCCATGTTCATGAATGGGTAGAATAAATACCGTGAAAATGACCATACTACCAAAAGCAATCTACAAATTCAATGCAATTCCCGTGAAAATACCATCATCATTATTCACAGAACTAGAAAAAAAGATACTAAAACTCATATGGAACCAAAAAAGAGCCAACATAGTCAAAGCAAGACTAAGCAGAAACAAAAAATCTAGAGGCATTACATTACCCAAATTCAAACTTCACTATAAGGCCATAGTCACCAAAATATCATGGTACTGGTATAAAAAAATGCATATAGACCAAGGGAACAGAATACAGAACCCAAAAATAAGGTCAAATACTTACAATCGACTGATTTTCAACAAAGCAAACAAAAACATAAAGTGGGGAAAGGACACCCTATTCAACAAATAGTGCTGGGATAATTGGCAAGCCACATGCAGAAGACTAAAACTGGACATTCATCTCTCATCTTATGAAAAAAAATTGACTCAAGATGGATCAAAGACTTAAATCTAAGACCTGAAACCATAAAAATTCTAAAAGATAACATTGGAAAAACCCTTATAGACTTTGGCTTAGGCAAAGACTTCATGACCAAGAACCCAAAAGCAAATGTAACAAAAAACAAATATAAATAGATGGGACTTAATTAAACCAAAAAGCTCCTGCACATCAAAAGAAATATACAGCAGAGTCAACAGGCAGCCCATGGAGTGGGAGAAAATCTTCACAATCTATACATCCGACAAAGGACTAATGTCCAGAATCTACAAGGAATGCAAACAAATCAGCAAGAAATAAAACAACCAATTCCATCAAAATGTAGGCTAAGGCAATGAATAGACAATTCTCAAAAGAAGATATACAAATGGCCAACAAACATATGAAAAAAGGCTCAACATCACTAATGATCAGGGAAATGCAAATAAAAACCCACAATGCAATACCACCTCAATTCTGCAAGAATAGCCATAATCACAAAGTCAAAAAATAGATGGTGGCACGGAAGTGGTGAAAAGGGAACACTTTTCCAGTGTTGGTGGGAATGTAAACTAGTACAACCACTATGGAAAACAGTGTGGAGATTCCATAAATAACTATAAGTAGATCTACCATTTGATCCAGGAATTCCACTCCTGGGATCTACCCTGAGTTAAAGAAGCCATTATACGAAAAAGATACTCGAACACTCATGTTTATAGCAGCACAGTTCAGAATTGCAAAATTATGGAACTAGCCCAAATGCCCACCAATCAATGAGTGGATAAAGAAAATGTGAGATATTTATATCTATATCTATATATTATATAGATATAACATAGAATACTACTCAGCCATAAAAAGGAACAAAATAATGGCATTCACACTAACCTGAATGGAACTGGAGACCATTATTCTAAGTGAAGTAACTCAGTAATGGAAAAGCAAACATTGCATGTTCTCACTCAGAAGTGGGAGCTAAGCTATGAGGATACAAAGGCCCAAGAATGATACAATGGACTTTGGGGACTCAGAGGAAAGAATGGCAGGGGGGCAGGGATAAAAGACAACACTTTGGGTACAGTGTACACTGCTTGGGTGATGGGTGCACTAAAATCTCAGAAATCACCACTAAAGAACTTATTCATGTAACAAAACACCATCTATTCCCCAAAAACCTGTTAAAATGAAAAAGAAAAATAATGAGCAGTGGATGGTGGTGATGGATGCACAACAAGGAGAATGTACTTAGTGCCCTTGAACTGTATATTTAAATGGTTAAAATGGAAAATTGTATGTTAGGTACATTTTAACCACAATTTTTTTAAAATTAATGAACAGTATTAAAAAGTGTTAGAGAAGAGTAGAAAATAATATTAGAAATACCATTATATTCATATATCATATTTTGTTATGTTGATAATAAATACCAATACAAACTATTATATTCATATTATATATTTTTGTCATGTTAATAAATACCAATACAACGCATACTATGTGCCAAATACTATTTAAGCATAGAAATATAGCCTATTTCACTACTTCTCCCAGACCAGTCATAAAATTAAACCTTTTTAAACATTAAAATAAAAACAAAAATAACCTTTGAGTTTGACCCTTAGCTTATTTCCTGCTTGGTATTTGATTTTATATCCTCAAAGCATTATAAAGGTGAAAGAGCATATATTTGCTAAAACCTTCCCAGTAGTGACTGTTAATTACTAAAGAATACCCTGGCCACCCAAACTTTTCTAGAGCCAATTACAGCCTTCTGTGAACAGAGGTATGGATAGAACAATACCTTATATGATACACAAAATACAAGCTAGTTGGGATTTTTGATGCTTGTCCTATTTATTTAAGTCATAAATCATGGAAGATCAAATAAGATAAAGACTGTAAGAAAAAGAATCTTCTTCTTTTACCCTTTGTTTATATGGGTTAACATAGAAAAGAAACAAAGACTCAATTGAAAAGTGAGAAATATTATTGGACTTATAAAATCCTCATGGAATTCCCTCTTTCTAAAATAAGTTTAAATCAAAACAGTATGATTCCCATTGCAGTGTAGGAGTCTTATAGCAAGAAAACAAACAGGATGTGATGAAAAAGAACACCAAGGCCAGAGGGAGAGATCTGGATGTAATTTAGACAAGACAGTCAGAGAAGAAATCCCTACCGATATGATGTGTAAGCTGAAATGTGAAAAATACATGGTTTTCTTAGCATAGCTGTTTGAAGTATTTTTCTATTTCATAGCTAGAAGTGGAGTACTCAAGACAGCACTGGGAAAAGTGTAGTTTGTAAGGGTTTGTAGGATAAACAGTATGGTTTATATGAAAACACAGGAGGCTGATAGCATAGGCCTACATGGAAAATAATAGAGAAATTAGCTTTTACATATGATGGGAAATCACTAAAAGGGAGTAACATGATCAAATTTCTTTTTAAAATTCTCTGTGTGCAGGCTGTGTGAAACAGATAGACTTGAGGGGCTCTAGACAGAAAGACCAGTGAGGTGGCTATTGAAATAGTCTGGAAAACGTGGTGGTGATTTCTGTCCAGAGTGATGAACAGAATATTATTAAAGGTCTACTTGGATGTAAAATTAATACACTTGGCCGATAGGTTGCATGCAGAAATGGAAATGAAGACACTCGGCCAATAGGTTGCATGCAGAAATGGAAATGAAGGAAGGAAAGGTTAATTCTCAGTTGCCAGCTCCAGGCACTGAATGGATGGGTTGAGGGGAGGGTGTCACTGACTGGGGTTGAGCCCAGGAAGACTGAGAAGACCCACTGTGGGAGGACAAAGCAAAGGCTCCATCTTAGAAACATTCCATTTCAGATACTTGTGAGACATTCCAGGGAATACAACAAGTAGGTAATTCATTAGGTGAATGGGATGCAGTCCAATCTGGAGTTTTTATACTGCCAGTAACTCAGGATCTTGAGTTTTAATGACTACACAGGGGACAAAGAAGAAGCCTTAGGTCTGTTCAAGATTTGAATATATACATTTTTATAAATGCAAAACTCCAAGGGCATACGCACTCAGTAGCAGCGAGGACAGGGGAAAAAAACTGCAACAGTGGAAGATGTCAGAGAACAGTTTTTTAGGCAGGACTCTGAGTACAAGAGAGAAAAAGGCTCCCAGTAAAATTTGCTACAGAAAGCAAATTCTCATGCAAGTTTAGATGAATTCGTATTACCTACAATGTCCAAAAAACTATTATATCTTATAAATGTTCTTTTGTTGATAAATTAAGTTTTAGGATTCTCTTTTTATTGTATATATTTAAGGTATATAACATGATGTTTCAATATACACATATGGAATGAAATTGTTACTAAGGACAAGCAAATTAATATATCCATCATCTCATATCGTTACCATTTTATCATGGCAAGAGTACCTAAATCCTACTCTTTTAGTAAAAATCCCAAATACAGTACAATCCTATTAACTATATTCCTTATGTTATACATTAGATCTCTAGATTGTTCATCCTACATATCTGCTACTTTGTGTCAATTGTACTACATCTCCCTATTTCCTACCCCACCTCACCAATGATAATCACCGTTTTATTCTCTATCTTGTGTATCTGACTTTGGAAGTTAATTTAAAGTTGTCCTGAATTCAAAGTACTCCCTGGTATCTGGTAGGAAATAATCCAAATACAAATATGTAATCACAATAAACATAAAATTTTTCTGTTAAAAACAGTAATTATCAGACTATATTTGTAAAAATCATCTAGCCATACACCTAAAATAAAACACACAAAGGAATAAAAGTATTGATAAAGGCATACCAGTAAAATACTACGGGAAAAAAAGCTGAGAAACCTATTTAATATCAAACTGTATATGTGTTAAAGGAAAAAGTATTATTAGCAATAAAAAGGGTAATTATATGATAATAGTTTCAACAAATATAATTTTTATAAAGTTGCATTCCCCTAATAACATAGGTTAAAAATAGTAAGAAAATCAGACAGGACAATAGTAACTAAATGAAAATACCAGCACAATAAGAGATTTTAACATACTTCTATCAGTCAATTATAGGTCAAGCACAAGGAAAATCAGCCACAATGTAGAAAAATTTCAGTAACACACTCTCTTCAAAAAATGATGCTGGAAGCCGGGCGCGGTGACTCACGCCTGTAATCCCAGCACTTTGAGAGGCCAAGGCGGGCGGATCATGAGGTCAGGAGATCCACACCATCCCGGTTAACACGGTGAAACCCCGTCTCTACTAAAAATACAAAAATTAGCCAGGCGTGTTGGCGGGCGCCTGTAGTCCCAGCTACTCGGGAGGCTGAGGCAGGAGAATGGTGTGAACCCAGGAGGCGGAGCTTGCAGTGAGCCGAGATGGCACCACTGCACTTCCAGCCTGGGCGACAGAGTGAGACTCTGTCTCAAAAAAAAAATGATGCTGGAAAAACTGAATATCCATATGCAGAAGAATGAAACTAGATCCCTATCTCCTACCATATACAAAAATCACATAAAAATGGATTAAAGGCTTAAATCTAAGACTTCAAACTATGAAACTATTACAACAATGAGTAAACTAGATGTCATGGACCCAAGTAGAACCAAGCATTCAAAAACTTGAGAATATACAGTCTTCTGAATCATATAAGAAATATATAGAAGACTGACCATGTGCCAATCCATAGCACAAATTTCAACAAATTTTAAGAAACTCATATCATAGAGACTTATCCTATGATCACAATTAAATAGGTTGTGTTGTGTTAAAAAGTTATCCCTAATTCCCAGTGACTTCAGATATCAGAGGTATATTTCCCCCTCATGCTACAGCTCCAATGCAGGACAGCAGAAAACTTGGCTCTTCACAATCAGCCAGGAACCCAGGCTGAAGTAGGCTTGCCATTTTAGTTTCTGGAATGTACAATATTCTCCACTGATCAAGAGGGAAAGAAAGAGATGGAGGATCCCACGTCGACTCTTAAATTATTACACTTGGCCCAGGCACATAACACTTCCACCCATGTGCATTTAACAGAGCAAGTTAAAGAGCTTGAACTAATTGCAAGGGGGCTGGGAAATATGGAAGACCTCATGGGTATCTTGAGAGAAGTATAAAGTTCTCTGCTCACACCCAGCTTTCGGATCACTTTGCTGCCTTCTTCCTGCACGTAGAGCACATTCAACACCTCTCCAAGTTGATTTAATAACACAAATGCAGAACCTCAATATATGCAATTTAGCACACAGAAGAAAACATATAATATCATATTTTAAGGGAAAATATAACTTGTAATTATTTTTAACTTAATTACTTATAAGTTAACATAATAACTCAAATTTTATGCATTATAAATAAGACAACTATAAAGTATTGTGTTGATATGGGCAAATAGATTTTAAACTTTACACAGAAAAAAAAAGAAACATGCAAGAAAATCCAAGAAAACACTAAAGAAAACCATGATGGGAAATAACTCACCAGACATTAAAACATAGTATAAACACTGTAAATAAAATGGTATGGTACAGGTACATGCGTTGACAAATAGACTAGTGGACTAGAAACAGAGAGACTCCAAATGGTACATATGTGAATTTAGTATATATTAAAAGTGTCATCTCAAATTCACAAAGATAAATGTTTTAAATAAATAATGCTTAGGAATCTTGTTAGTATTTGGGAAAATATAAAATTAGATTCAGTTCATACCATGCATAAAAACAAACTTTAAATAGATCAGGGACTTAAATGTAAAAATGAAAACTTACAAGTAGTAAAAAAAAGGGGGGGGGTGAATTTTTCTATAATCCATTTATAGGGAAAGGCTCTGAAACTGTGACTTAAAAATCCAGAGGCAACAAAAGAGAAAATTTTAAAATTTGACTACATAGAAATTGTTTTAAAGTTGTCATGGCAAAAAACATATCAGAAACTAAGTCAAAAGGCCACTGATGAAATGGGAGAAAATGTTTACAACATGTGCTGCAAAGGGCTAATATCCCTAATATGTAAAGAACCGCTAAAATTTGATGAACAGAGCATTAAAAATTCAATACTAATGAAGAAAAGACATAAACAGATAATTCACAATGAAAAGATTTTAAAACAGTCTTTGAGGACACAGGAGTCAACCTTGAAGGAACTTCTCACAGGCAAAAGCAGGGACAATTTGAGTAAAAAAATAGGTAATGATAATAGTGAATGATACGCCTCAGAATAAATATCTGTCCATAAGTCCATCTAATATAAATAACGAGAAAGAATAAAAAGAAAAGGAAAGCAACAAGACAGTTCTTCCTTACATTAGAATTCCAATCGATTAATGTAGAAAGAATAAAGCAAAGAGAAACGGAAAATATCCAATAGGCGGATACCACAGTAGTAATTGTCATAGGCAAGAGTCGTCTATTAATAAGAAAATTAGCAGGCAAAAGTATAAGAAGAACCAGAATACTCACAGTCTCAAATATACTTACTAATTGAACTACTTAATTCATATTAAACTAATTTATTAATTTAAAAAGAAAAACAGTAAATTTATAGTCAAAAAAACTAATAATTTTCTTTAACTTCAACACGTTAAACAAGCTACCAAATATAACATCACCAATAAGAACATATATCAATAACATACAGCTTCTGATATGATACACTGCAAATGGTATAAAATCATTCTGGAATATTCCTGCCAAATATACGTAACTTCAAACTAATTATGAAAAATCATAGGCTATACCCAAATTAGTGGGACATTCAAGAAAATAACTGTTAAGTACCCCTCCAATGTGTCAAGATCATGATAAAGACAAACTAAAAAATGTCACAGATTGGGGCAGATTAAGAAGAGATGAAAACTAAATAAAATGTGTTATTTAGCATAAGTTCCTGAATCTGAAAAAGTATGTTAGCAAAAAAGTTTGCAAAATTCAATTGAAGTCTTTAGATGGGTAAGTAATATTGAATCAATGTGAATCTTCTGATTTGGGTCATTGTGCCATGTTCCTTTTGGAAGCTGACCTTAAGGGAAGCTTTGTAAAGACTGTTCCATAACTCTCTGTACTCTTTTGCAACTTTTTATAAGTCTAAAATTATTTCAAAATATGTTTATGATATAATTGAGTGTCTAAAGCAGAAAGCAGTAAAAACATATTGTAAGGTTTAAAACATACATAGAAGTAAAACTGGGACAAAAATAGCACAAAAGATGGGAGGAAAGAAAAAAGTATGCTTTTGTGAGGCTTTTATACTAGATGTGAAGTAGTATATTATTTGAAAGTAGACTGTGAAAAATTAGTAATAGTGACATGTGTATGTGTATACATATATAAAACTCTAGAGCAAACACTAAAAATTAAAATGGTATAAACAATTGAAAGAAAGATAGATAAGGCAGATACATAGAAAAGGCAGAAAATATCACTATATTTACTTACAAAATTCTATGATGAACAATGAAGAGACAACAATAGAATATATAAACTATTCAAATCACTAAGTTTAGCATGTTTATTAATAAAAGATGAATATGAAAACACATTTCTGTATACTAGGTGAGAACACTTAGAAAAAAGGTGCTATCTTTTTAAGCAAAGATACTGAGCTTAAATTCTGGAAATAGCTGTATTATTTTAGGCCACACATTTTGCTGAAAACAGCTAGAAATCTGGAGGTACATTTCATCAAAATAATGTATAATGTCATTAGGAGGCTAATTAGAATAGCAGTGAGGAATTGTAGGGCCAATATCTAGATCAGTAGGTAACACAGAGAAATGAGCCCCGCATTTGCAGCATTTTTTTTCCCTCAAGGCCATCAGTGATATGTGAAACAACAGACTGGAGTCTAAGGACAGAACATACAGAATCATTGACTTACTTCATGGAGGCTAACATCCTTCAGGTTCATCTATACTGTCCCAAATGACATAAATCCCCCCTGTTTAAAGCTGAATAGTATTCCATTGTGTATAATTACCACATTTCCTTTACCCATTCGTCTACTAGTACACACTTAGGTTGAGTCTCTATCTTCGCGGCTGTGAATAATGCTGCAATGAACAAGGGAGTGCAGGTATCTCCTTGAAATATTGATGTCAATACTTTTCATTATATACCCAGACATGGGATTGCTGGATCATAGGATAGTCATATTTTTACTTCTGTATTTAAATTAGGTTACTGGTTTTTCTTGCTATTTAGTTAAGCTATTTAGTTATATATTTTGGATATTAACCCCTTATTAGATATATGGTTTGCAAATATTTTCTCTCATTCTGTAGATTATTTCTTAACTCTGTTATTTTCTTTACTGTGTAGAAAGATTGTAACTTAATCCAAACCCGCTTGTCTATTTTAACTTTTGTTACCTATGCTTTGAGGTCTGTATCACACGATCTCACATGCAGAATCTAAAAAAGTTTAACTCATAGATGGAGAGAGTATAATAGTGGTTACCAGAGGCTTAGGGTAGAAAGGGAAGGAATGGGGAAGTGGTGGTTAAGAGGCACTAAGTTTCAGTTACACAGGAGGAAACTATTGTTTTTTTAGATCTACTGCACAGAAGGATGACTACAGATAATAATTTATTATATATTTCAAAATAGCTGAGAGTAAATTTCAAATGTCTCACCATGAAAAATGATAAGTGAGGTGACAGATTTGTTTATTAGCTTGATTTAGTCATTCCAGGCTGTGTGTGTGTGTGTGTGTGTGTGTGTGTGTGTGTATAAACATTAAATTGCACTCCAAAATGTATGAAATTATGATTTATTATTTCAAATAATATTAACTTTTAAGAATTCACTGGGCTTTGGGGACAAAGATTTTGGTTCAAGATCCAACAAGAAGAGTAAGACCTGGTAAATCCCCCATGGCTACACATTAATGGAATAAGGGTAAAGTGGAACTGTATCTACACTCATAATCTAGGATCATCTCATTTTCTGATTGGATGATGGTGTTCCATGCTTAGCTGACTGCAAGAAACATAAGTGACTCCATGTTACAATAAGATCATCCAGAGCCTCAAAATAGTTTGATAGCTTTTTCTAAACAATGTTTAGCACATAGCAGAAAATAAGTCAGCCTATGAAACATATGAGTTAACCTAAAATAAAGAGAAAATATACAAACCAAAGTAGATCAAGGTGTTAAGATTAAAATCTTAAAACTTTAAGCATTCATATTACTTGAACATATTAATCCTGTTAGGATTCAAATTTTAAAATTAATTTAATTTATAATTTTTTTAATTTTTAAATTAAAAATTTTAAATTACAATAGAAAATTTTAAAATGTTTAAATTTTAACCTTAACAGGATTAACATGTTCAAGTAATATGAATTTCGTTGCAGTAGTAGAAACTTAAAAATCAAATATAAATTCTGTTTAAAAAGATACAATAAGTAAAACACTGAATTCATCGGACTTTGGAGATGGGAGATGTATTAGTCCATTCTCACACTGCTATAAAGAACTACCTGAGACTGAGTAATTTATGAAGAAAAGAGGATTAATTGACTCATGGATCCATAGGCTGTACCGGAAGCATGGGTAGGAAGCCTCAGGAAGCTTACAATTATGGCAGAAGGCAGAGGGGAAGCATACATATCTTACTGTGGTGGATCAGGAGACAGAGTGAAGGGGGAAGTGCTACACACTTTTCAAACAACCAGATGTTGTGAGAACTCACAATCACAAGAACAGCAAGGGGGAACCACCCCCATGATCCAGTCACTCCCACCAGGTCTTTCCCCCAACACTCAGGATTACAATGCAACATAAGACTTGGGTGAGGACACAGAACGAAACCAAATCAAGAGAAATGTTAAACAGAATATAAATTGTAAGAAAATATTTAGAGTAAATCCAAAGAGAGAGAGAGTAAAGAAAAGCAATACTTGGAGAGATATTAGCTACGAATTTTCCAAAACTGATGAAAAGCACAAAGCCACAGATTCCAGAGGCATCACGCACAACAATAAGAATAAACAGAAGGAAACACACATCAAAGTAAAACTGCAGAAAATCAAGAACAAAGATTACTGGAAGGCAGCAAGACACACAGCCAGAGAGAAAGAGAAAGAATTTGTCACTCTGTCCAAAAACTAGAAGTGACAATTGACTTTCAACAGAAACAGTGGAAACTACAAGACAGTATGTCAATATAAAAAATAGGGTAAAAAACAACTAGAAACCTACGGTTCTATACCAGCAAAAATATCATTCCGAAATAAAAAAAAATTAAAAATGTTTTCATATAAATAAAACTGAGAGAATATTTCACTAGCAGATCTGAATTAAAATTTTCACTAGTAGATCTGAATTAAAAGGGGCTGAACTGAGTATTAGAAAAAATACATTAAATAGCAGTTTAGAGGTACAAGAAGAAAGAACAATAAAAAAGATAAACATTAATTGCAGGAAACAACAAAAATGATAACTAGTGAGAATTGTACTTGATGACAACAAATATAACTACAATAAAAATAAACACAATAAAATTAGCAACATTGATATAACTTGATAATGGTAAATGGAATTAAGTATTCTAAATTCTTCCCACTGTCCACACATAACTATATTTTTTAATTTATGTTAGGCTTCAATGAAACAATGATACATGGCAATCACTGAAAGAATAGAAAAAATATACGTAGGCCAGGTGCGATGACTCATGCCTGTAATCCCAGCACTTTGGGAGGCCGAGGCGGGCAGATCAGGAGGTCAGGAGTATGAGACCAGCCTGACCAACATGGTGAAATCCCATCTCTACTAAATATACAAAAAAAAAAAAAAATTAGCCAGGAGTGGTAGCGCTCTCCTGCAATCCCAGCTACTGAGGAGGCTAAAGCAGGAGAATCACTTGAACCTGGGAGGCTGAGGTTGCAGTGAGCCGAGATTATACCATTGCACTCCAGCCTGGGTGACAGAGTGAGACTCCGTCTCAAGAAAAAAAAAAAAAAAAAGAAAGAAAAGAAAATATGTAATTACCAAGCTAACAGAAGAAAAAAGGGAAAATAAATTGAAAACAAATACAAAAGTAGGGGAAAAAGCAGAGAAAGGGGAACTTTATATATCCATTATAATATTAAATATAAACAGCTTAAATAGTCCAAAGATAGCAAGGTGTTTTTTTTTCTTTAATAAAACATACCTTCAGGTTTCTACTTGTTGACTGAGAGTGAGGATCAAGAGATGAGACAAAGGAGTAAATTTTGAGGACAATAGAATTTGTTCCATATTTTAATTGTGGTGGTAGTTAGATATAAAAATTTCTCAAAACTTTAAAAAATGTTTTCGGTTCTATACTCAAAAATGTATGCTATTAATATAATAGTGTTAATTTTAAAAAGGACAGTGAAGTCAGCTTTAATGGGTACCTACTGGCCAAATCTACAATTTGATCATGAAAATAAAAAATAACAATGCATTACAACATGTTGAGAAAATGAGATCCATAAGTCTATACTATATAAATAAATAAGACTAGGGATATCTCTTCTTTAAAGCAAAAATACAAATAAAAAACTGAATGAATAAATGAATGATAGAAATATAAAATCAAAATTCAGAATCAATATAGTGGTAGCTAATTCAGTCAGGAATCATCAGTAAATGCAAAGGCTAGAGGACAGTCATTTGATGAAGAACCAGATACTGACATAGCCCTAGAGTATTTCCCCAAAAAATACTATCAGTTACAGGGGGGAAATGGTGATATCATTGTGGAGATAACGAGGAGGCATTCACATGGCCAAGTGATCAAGTTTAGCCTGTATGTTTTCTGACCTGAGAGGAACATCATGATTTTTATCATATTCCTGACAAGAATGTATCACTTGAATAGGGTCATGAGGAAACAGTGGAGGAACCCAGGTTGAGGGACACCATAAAGATTGAAAGGCCTCTATTCTACAAAATCTTCAAGTCATGAAAAACTGAGACAGCCTGAGAAACTGTTTAAAGGAGATGTAAGATATGTAAGTAAAAATCTATGCATGATATTCGACTGAATCAGGATCAGATAGAAAAACGATACTTTGTTGGGATAATGAGATTTAAATGAGGTCTGTGAGTTGGATGGTGGTATTGTATTAATGTTGATTTCCTGCTTTGGATAATTATATTGTGCTAATAGGAAAGAGTAGGTGGAATAGTTCAGGAAAAGAAAAATGATAATGATCATAAAACAGACATTATACACACATACAATACACATTATATTGAAAGAGAGAGTTGAAGGTTATTTGGTGAAACACCAACAATTAGGGCATCTGTATGAAGGAGTAAGGGAATACGAGAGGTTTTTTATACTGTTTGAAATAGTTTGAAATAGTTCTAAGTAAATTATGAAAAAAGTAATAAGAAATATCTACATATACTGATAAGCAGTGATCATTCAGCACATATTAAGTAAAAACAATAAGGTGTAGAGCAGTTTATGGTGTGTTTATCGTGTGTCTTACTGTTAGCAATAATACTGGTATTGTTATTTTACAATTATTATATAAATATAGAACAAGATAAATATGGTAATTTTATAAAGAACTAAGATACCCAATATAAAGGAAAAGGAAATAAATATATTTTTTAATGATTAAATGTATGTATTTTTTAAATGTATTCTTTAGTTCTGCTCATTAAAATAACCCGGAAGCACTAAAAACTCAGTAGCAATGAACATCACCATTTCTTAGATGATGGTGTCCAAAATCAATCCAATAGAACTAGGGCTCCTTGGAGAAATTCGTTAATTCCTGATCATGTGCAGAAAATGTACAAAATGAACCTGGTACTTATTTTCGTGTAAGGAAAATAAGTATCACAAAGTACTTACTGGGCTAGTGTCAAAAGGATACCAAAAAAAAAAAAAAAAAAAAAAAAGAAACACAGTAGCCAAAAGTGAAAACATTAATCAACATGGTTAATGACTACAGTTGATCAAAATGTCAAATAAGTGTTAAAACCCATGAATTCAAAGCGATACTTTTTGGGATGAACAAAAAAAAACTATTAATTGTTTTTTTGGAGATTGCCAGAATGCCATCAAATTAATCTGAAAGTTAAAATTACTTAATTGAAAGCCAACAAATTAATTCTGAAAGTTAAAGAAATAAATCAAATACTGATCTTGTTTTTCTGTATGAACTGTATTTCACAATAAACAGATAGTTCTACCACTAATCCATTGAGTGACTTTGTGTGAGTCTCTCTCCACCTCTCCGAGCCTTGTTATCGATCTATAAATGAAGATAGTAATGCCTGCTTTATAGCAATGTTAACAGCATTAAAATAGACAATATATGTAATGCTTCTAGTACAGAGGCTTATTTTCTCTGCAGAGCTTTTTATAATACTTAAGGACATTTAACCTGTCATGCACTTGTTTTGTATTCTACAGACCATTCTCCAGTTCATTCATTTATCATAAAACTTTACCTACTGAAGGGTCTACCACATATTAAGCACTGTGTTAGAGTTGAAGTATGAAAATTAAGACATGCTTCCTGACCTCAACTTTTTTTTTCTTTTTTTTTTTTTTTTTTTTTTTTGAGACATAATCTCACTCTCTTACCCAGGCTGGAATGCAGTGGCACGATCTCAGTTCACTGCAAGCTCCGCCTCCCAAGTTCACACCATTCTCCTGCCTCAGCCTCCCGAGTAGCTGGGACTACAGGCATCCGCCACCACGCCCGGCTAATTTTTTGTATTTTTAGCAGAGACGGGTTTCACCGTGTTAGCCAAGATGTTATCGATCTCCTGACCTTGTGGTCTGCCCGCCTAGGGCTCCCAAAGTGCTGGGATTACAGGCGTGAGCCACCACTCCCGGCCAGAACTTTTAATCTAGTAGAACCACTATCCAAAAGACAGTTGTTGAATCAAACAGAAATTTCCAGACCCGTTTAGATTTCAGAAGCCTGTCAAGGCAGTTCTCTACCACCCATGCTTCTTAGGCTTAAAAAAAAAAAAAAAAAAAAAAAAAAAAAAAAAAAAGGACGACAGCAGCAGTTTTGGTAAGAAAATAATAAGACAGCCAAATTAACAGACCAACAAGTAACAAAAAAATAGATATAATATGGCTTAGAGTTATAGATGACGGTGTCCAGAGGGTATGTCTATATTCAGTCTTAGCCTGCCTGACAGTACACCGGCACCATTAAGCTATTCAGGTCACGTTAACTGAATAGGACAAATGGGGCAAGAATGAAGATTAATGAAGACAAACAGCATTTGAAATGGCAGGATCTAATTCTAGGTAAGCTGCCTTAGAGATGACAGCTGAAATTTGCTCATACCCCAAAACTACACCCAACAGCAATTCATTATATGTATCAAACGAGATGAGAATCAACGACCCAGAGTATGTGCCTGTCTTCTGGGAATCTCCTGCACGCAGGTGGCAAGCCAGATGCAAAAATCTATTACGTTCTGGGTATAAAGGCTTCTATTGTAAAACCTGCATATAAACAAGGCTAGTGTCCGCTGAGAAATCTTGAGTAATCATGACTTAAAAAAAAATGGTATCTTGGTTGTGTGTCAGCTGTTATAACCAGTTGTGGATTAATTCGTAACTACGCACTTTTTCTTAGAGTATTATGTATAAACACTCAAACGAAAGCGAAACAAAAGAAAGTAAAAGCAGCCAGTGGATAAACTTGCATTTTTTAAATGCTGAAAATCATTCACTGAACGATTAATTGCTGAAATATTTGGTACAGTGAAATATGTAGCCTACAGAAAATAGCAGATATAAAATGGTGAAAATAACAGACATAGAAACGGTACAAATGACAGAGATAAACATGGCCTCTTCAATCAGTGCATCCCAACATTTTTCACCTTGTGTCATACATAGAAAATGATGACATCTTTACAGCACTCGAGTAGGCTACTGGAGGCAATTGGCCGGGAAGCTCTGTTATCTAGGTCTTGCTCAGTTGACCCAGTTCAAAATGCTCCTCCAGTGAATTCACTGCACACCTAAGCTAAGGGTTTTCAAACAGTACTGTGAGTGGTCTTATGAGTTCTGAGATGGAGCTGGAGGAATTCTGGTTAGGTAGACCTCTACACTCTCACCCCAGAGCAACTCCACTTTTTTCCGTCTCCTTAAAGAAAAAAAAAAAATCCACTTATGAAAAAATACATTTGGCAAATTAATTCCTTCATTCTAAGACAACTGTAATTAAATTTTAAAATAAAAACGAGTTTGGAAACTAGTTATCTAATTATTGCAATATTCCTCAACCCTGGCTACACATTAGAATCAACTGGAAGGCTTTTAAAATATACAGATGCCTGGGCCCGACCCTCAGTGATTCAGAACCAGCCATAGTGTGGCTCAGGCATTTGGTAATATTTTAAAACTCCCCAAGTATTTCTTATGTAGCCAGGTTTGAGAAGCACTAAATTAGACCTGGCAGCCACGTAGAAAAAGGACTGAAATAAGAGTCAGTTGAAACTCATTTATCCTTGCCAGTGTTATTTGCCAGTTACGAACAACTTGGAGAATGGGCGTGTACTAATTTTCTTGTTTATTAGACATTAACACTTACATGTGAGTTTTTCAGACTAGGACATTTCACCAGGAAAGAAACCAAGGTGGTCAATGATAGCAGGAAGATTTGGAGGCTACAGTCTGAGAGTTTTGCGACTTTTTAAAAAGAGAAAATTTTAGAGTACAATAGAAAAAAAAAAACACAAATTGGTAACGACTGAGTATGCTAAGACTTCATATTATTTTCTTCACCCCATTCTCTTTCACCCTCTATGTGCAAGGTAGGAATCAGCGTTACTTGAAAATGGAAACTAATGGGAAAGGGTATAAAGCTGGCAACCTCATTAAGGACAAAAAAGGAAAAAATAATTGAAGCCAATAGAGGCCATGAAGGAGAAAATCTGAAGCAAAGATCTGGTTTGCCTGTTTTGTTTTCTAGAATCCTAGAATTTCTGGTAAAAGTGGCATACAGATGAAGAAAATCTATAAAATCTCTGGGAGTAGAAAAAGTCAGTTGTGTACAAGAGATTATGTAATCATTTTTTTAACTGGAGTTTATTCAAAGTTCTCATTTGCTGAAATAATAATACTGATTGTTTAATGAATACAGTCCATGGGCCAGATGTTTTAGAGGTTTTATATATGTTATCTCAAATATATTTTTATAGTAATCCTTTACTTACGCTCTAATTCTTACTATTTCCATGTCCTGAAAGGTATTTATTTGTATTTTACAAAATAAGAAATTGAACCTTGAGGAATACAGATATCAAGTCCTCATGATCAGAAGCCAGAATAGATATTATTTGAGTTGCTTTCTGTCTACCTCCAATATCTAAAGTTTTTGCACAGCACGTAAACACACTTAGGAATTAAAGCATTTGACAAAGCATTGAATCTGTGGTAAACATTCATAAAATTTTGGGAACTGTATGGAAAGGAAGAGAAAGCCCAAGATTTCTTTTTAATTCTCTTTAAAATAAAAAGCTTGCGGTATAAATATTGAAAACATTATGCAATAAAAAGTTGAGTGACAGTTGTCAGGTTTGGAACTAGGAATACAAAGATGAAGTAAAATTGGAGCAAGAGAAGGAGGGATTAATCAATGCCAGATGCTTTTCAGCTAGGGTCTGATAAGGATTAGAAAAAACACATTTTGTGGATCTAGAAATAAAGCGAATATGTAATAAATAAAAACATCACAGTCTTTTTAAAACAAGCTCAACACTGTTCCTTCTGGCAGGAAAAGGGAAGGGGGAAAAAGGAGGAGAAAAACGTCTATAATTTTGTGTTTTAGAAAAGTACTAGCCAGTTCAGGTCACCAAAGACCATGAAATAATAAAAATAGGCAGAAGACATACATGTTCAGGATTCAGAACACAGGGAGGGAAGAGGAGTAACGAAGCAGGTAAAATTTGCTCCTGTGAATGCATAGTCCTCTGTGCAAAAGGAAAATCTCAAGAGGGTGCTTCAGAAAGAGATGGGAAGAAATACAAATGGTGATGGGCTTACAGTACTGAGACGAGAGAAGGAAAAGTAAAACAAATCATTTTACTACAAAGATAATTATTCAGTAAAAAGAAAAGATAGGGCCGGGTGTGGTGGCTCATGCCTGTAATCCCAGCACTTCGGGAGGATGAGCCAGGTGGGTCACTTGAGCTCAGGAGTTTGAGACCAGCCTGGCCAACATTGCAAAACCCCATCTCTACTAAAAATACAAAATTAGCCGGGCCTGGTTGTGCACGCCTGTAATCCCAGCTACTTGGGAGGCTGAAGCACAAGAATCACTTGAACCCAGGAGGCAGAGGTTGCAGTGAGCCAAGATCATGCCATTGCACTCCTGTTCTATCTCAAAAAAACAAACAAAAAAAGATCTTTGAGGACAAGAAAAAGAAACCAGTTCCTTTAGAGAAAACTACATGGTCAATTAGCAGTATAAGGGAGCTATTATATTTGTGAGTGACAGAAATGTTTTTCTTTTTGATTGCTGTGATGGTTATAAAGCCGTATATATGTGCCAAATGCATCAAATTGCCCACTTAGAGAATTTTAATGTACGTAAATTATATCCCAAGAAAGCAGATTTAAAAATCAAGCAGGAATGAAAGAAAGTAGACAGGGTATTCAGAGAAAGAGAAATCTGAAAGCATAAAAACAGGACATTGCAGCCGCCAAGATTCATACAAGAACTTCCAGGAAGACAGAGGCAATTGAGTAACAGCATATTAGAATATGAGGCATTACAGGTGGAAAAAGAATAAAGGAATTACAGAAGACCTTAAAAAACTAAAATCACACCAAATGGGGAAAACAAACAGGCCAAGTGATTTTTCTCTTCTCTACCTAAAATGTCATGTCATCCTAATACATAGGCAGTGCCATATATCTACTGGCAAACACAATGGACCATTTGGGGGACTTCACCATGGTGCCCACAGAAAGCCAGGCTACCATGGTACTTCTTAATGTACACATACTGTATTTTCAACAAATAAACAACAAATAAAATGCCTAGATTAGAAGTGGATTATGTGTCTAATTCCTCCAAAAATAACATGATTTAAGGATATCACATGTTCCTATCTAGTTAAAAAAAAAGTTAGCTTTTTTTTCCTAGGAAAGTTAAAAAAAAAAAGGTGGGGGGAATATCAGAAGAAAATGATGGGGATCCAAATAATACAAACAATTACATAAATTGGAAAAAAATGCATTTACTCAAAACTAAAGTGACCCAGTAGTACTTACAGCAAGCATGGCTAGAAAAAAAATACTGAGAAAAATACTTATTTTCTGACCATGTCGTGTCATGACTTTTTCCCAAAAAGTGAGAAATTTTGCAAAAAGATGCAGTATACCCAATGCACAAATTTATATTACTATAGATAAATTTAAACCATGAATAATAATCATCTAAAAAAGTACATTATAAAAGAAAACCCCAAGGTTTTATGGTACAGAATAGATACTCCAAGTCTCCATCCATATAAGAGATTACACATTATAAGCAAAAGGGGGAAATTAGAGAAGACAGATTAGACCATTCTCATCAAACAGAGTCATAGTGGTTAAAGCAGAAAATGCCCGGAAAAACAGAAACACTGTACTTACCAAAACCTTACAGTTAGAAAGTAGAGAGTGGTAAGAGCCATAAAGGGAAAAAAAAAAGCTGACTGCTTGAACTTTAGTAAAAATCATGGAACATGACAAACGAGGGAAGTATGAAGAAAACATCTAAAAGCTGTCAATCTAATCAATGGTTTTCTAGTCAAGATTGTGTAAAATAACCTTTGCCTAAAAGGTTGTTGATATGATACTAGCATCCCTATCCATCCCTGGGTTAGATGCGGAAAAAAAATAATAATAAGTGAAAATGAACAGGTTGCTCTAGTAGCCTCTCGAAGTCCATAGAAATTCATGGAGTTCCCAGATCATTTTACAGAAAAACTTATCAAAATTTAGAAGAGCGTAAATATGTATAATGAATGAAGGTGCCGGCCAGTCCAATCATTGCTTATGCAATGGATATTTTTCCGGAAGTTATCAAAAGATGTCAAGAGTCTGCAAGAGAAATGGGGTAAGAGATGAAAGGGCAAAAATTCAAAAGTACAAAAAAAAACAAAAAAGATGAAAATTAAATACAACTGAATTGAAAAAGCAAAACTGATGGATGAGTCAAGAATGATTATTTGTCGTCCTTGGTGGTAGAAACAAAATGAAAATAAGTGAAGTAGGCCAGGCAAGGCTCAAGCCTGTAATCCTAGCACTTTGGGAGGGCAAGACGGGCAGATCACCTCATGTCAGGGATTTGAGATCAGCCTGGCCAAGATGGTGAAACCCTGTCACTACTAAAAATACAAAAATTATCTGGGCGTGGTGATGCATGCCTGTAAGCCCAGCTACTTGGCAAGCTGAGGCAGGAGAATTGCTTGAACCCAGGAGGTGGAGGTTGCAGTAAGCCAGATCGCGCCAGATACCCAGCCTGGGCAACAGGGTAAGACTCCATCAAAAACAGAAGGGAGGGGAGGGGAGGGGAAGAAGAGACAGAGAGAGAAAGAAAGAAAATAAGTGAAATAGAAAGGGAAGTATATTCATAGGAAATTTAGTGGCTGATAGAAAACGTGAATATGTCCTGGTGTCCCTTTTATTCTTATACTCTAGTTGTGGGACAGCTCTTAGCCACAGGGTCCCTTTTCATTGCCCTATCAAAAAACACAGTACCCTTGACCAGAAGATTCATTGTGTATCTGTAACTGGAGAAAGGAAGTTTGGGCAAAATCAGTGCAGAGGAGTTCAATGTCTGTATAAAAACATCACAGGTACCTCATAAGTATATATACCTACTATGTGTCCATAAAAATTAAAAAAAAATTAAAAAGCATTTTACAAAAAGCAGGAGATGGTAACAATTGTAGTTCTTGCTCTAGATTTTACCCATCAGTTTTGAAAAACTAGTAGAAAGATTTCTGTCTAATGAGGAAACATTTTTCAAATAAAACTAGACAACACGCAAAAGGGAAAATGACGGTATGGTTGCAGATGAAGCCTGAAGATTTAGAAAGAAAAAGAGCAGAGGATTAAACAAAGAAATCTTAAAGGAGATTTTTTTTAACACTCATAAAATACATATTGATTATAATGATCTTAGCAACTGAAGGAAATTTAAGAGAGTTCACAGCAGGGATGTCACATGGAATATCTTGCTTTGAATATTCTAGTCCAAACCAGAACAAAATTCTGAGTTTATGAGATGAGAAGAGAGCACACCTTCAAGAGAAAAGACTGGGGAAGTGGCATGCCAAAGCATTAAAAATCTGAAGACAACAATTAAAGATGAATCTGCTGAGACTATGGAAGGGGAAAAAAGCACCCAATTCTCAGCAGTAATAAATAGCTTATGGGGAGGTTCTTACTTTCATCTCATTGATATTAATAGTATATCAGGCCAGACGCAGTGGCTTACGCCTGTAATCCCAACACTTTGGGAGGCCGAGGTGGGTAGATCACGAGGTCAGGAGCTCGAGACCAGCCTGGCCAACATGGTAAAACCCCATCTCTACTAAAAATACAAAAATTAGCCAGGTGTGGGGGCGGGCCCCTGTAATCCCAGCTACTCAGGGGTCTGAGGTAGGAGAATTGCTTGAATGGAAGGCAGAGGTTGCAGTGAGCCAAGATAGCCCCACTGCACTTCAGCCTGGGTGAAAGAGTGAAATCCTGTCTCAAAATAATCATAATAATAATATCAATAATTAAAATTCCGTAAGTTAGAGAACGTCCAGAATTCCTCACTCTTAACATGTAAGGAATTACATATGTATATATGCTAAGAGGACCTGGTAGTTAAGGGGTATAAAAAAGTAAAGAGGTGAACAGAGTGAGGTGTCAGAACATCTTTATTACACATCTTACAAAAGTTCTTTTTGTTCCTTTTGTTCACTATTATAACCTCAAGACCTAGATAAATGCCTGAATAAGTTTCTACTCAACGAATTAACAAACAAAAGAAAAAGTTTAATAAATGAACTTGACTTTTTCTGGTGATCATATCAGTAATATTAAAAATATATATATTCTTTTACTAAAAATAAAACCCCAGGAATTACAATGTTGGCAACTTGGCAACAGCATAAATGCAGATATGAATATGTAAAAGTTACCAGAGAAGAAATCAAGAAGGTTAGATACATTACCAAAAAGAGGAAGATAAAAACATAGGAGGAAAAATATCAACATTTGGGGATCATGGATTTCATTAGAATCCAAAATACATTGTTTATGAGTAAGTTGGAGTGAGAGAATTATAAGAGGTGTGTAAAGAAATTTAAAATAAATAAGCCAAGATTAAATGGGCCACTTCGTGAGACACTGTATTCTCTGCATTCTCTGTGCCAGAAGAATTTGTCCAGCCAAGGATAAGCCAATGATCTTGGTGAGAAATTACAGCAGGACTACAGAGGAGCAAAAGATTTGGAGAGTGGAAGCACGAGATGATACCTACATTACCTTTCAGCCTAGATTCTAGGTTTTGTTCTTAAATATTAGTATGCTTTTTACATTAAAGCAGAAAACAGAAGCATAAGAAAATGAGATCTTTGTGTTGTGCTGAGCCCATTTCTCTCTAGAATAAAAGGCAACTGCTTGTTGTTTTAATACAGATTTTTTAAAAAGGAATAAAGGAAGCATAGATAGGGTGACTGCATGTTAATAAACAATGCTGAATGTATTTTTTTCCAGAACCACCATACAGACCAAGGATCGGAAAGACAAGTTTGAGTTTGCAAGATGCCTTTGCTCAAAAATATCTTTTCTCACGGTTAACAGTCATAACTGATAGAGACAGGAGGCAGCCAAGGGTTCCCAGTGAAACCCTGCCTTCAAGCATAAAAAAGCCTGAAGGCTGAAAACTCAGACTGCTGGTCCCAGATGAAGCTGGCCCTTTCCCAACTGTTTCTGTATAATGACCACCTGAGCACTCCTGGACAGAGTGGAACCTCGGGAAGCTCTCACTGTTTGCAGAGGGGAGGAGCCTGGCCTCTCCTGTTCCTGTGTGGTGACCTGGGATTCAAACTGCCAGCAGGATTCTCTCTCACTTGGCTGAGAGTTATTTTTCCTTTTTCCTTTTCACCCAATAAATACTGCTCCTCAGCCTTCTATGTGTCGGTGAGCCTAATCTTTCCTGGTCATATGACAAGAACCTGGTTATTTCTATGACATAACCATATCTTAGTTAATTTATCTCAAATTCAGTTATCTGTAGGAATGGGTTATAAGGCCTAGAGTTTGGCAGTATAAAAACCTATCAGTAATTTACCTCTTATTTTTATCTTACTTCCAAATTAATATATTGGCTATGAGAATGAGAGATTTCATGGGGTTATATGAAAGACATTTGATATCTTTGGTGTAGGATAGAAGAGCATTTGAAGGAAAACAGTAATTAACGGAGTTTGGACCTCAAAACATAAACTGACCAACCTGAAATTTTGTCTAGAACTCTAGTTATACCCAACACACAGATGAATAGTGATATTAAGACCAGTTTGGAAGACAAAATCCCTAGATTTCTTAATTTTACTTAGCTTTCCCAGTTTAGATTTACTTACCCAAACTTACAATTCCAGAGCAGTGTATCACCATCCTTTTCCTGACTTTTATTTATTTGGGGTAGGATATATTGACATCCACAGAGAGGAGTAAATGATAATGATAAAATAATTAACACTTCTTGAATACTTACCTTTTCTCAGGCTTGTGGTTAGGGTCATGCATACAATTTTTTTTAACTTCACCCATCAAACACTACATAATCTGCATCTTGTCTCCCTTTCCAAACTAGCCCCCTTCCATTCTTTCTCTAGCCAACTATGCTGCAGCCAAACTGACTTTTCAGTTGCTCAAATACATCAAGCTTATTTCACTTCAGGGCTCACACTTGAAGTTTGCTTTAACTAGAATATGCTTCTTCTCTTCTACCTGGCCTTCTCAAAGCTGATTTTTTCGGGGGAAGATGGAGTCATTCAGTTTCTAGTCAAAAGTAACCTACTGCCCACACACTGTAAAACAATCCCCACCTGACTTCATTAATTCTGTATTCTTACCCCACTTTTTCTTCAAGGCACTTACTACCTGAAGTTACCTTAATTTTTCTCCATGTTTATATCTGTCTCTTCCCAGTAAAATGCATGCTTTGCAAGGGCAAGGGACAGCTTCTCCCTTGTTCACTCCTGTATTACTAACACCTTTATTACTGACTATGGATGCTCAAATTCATTTTTTGAATGAAAAAGTATATTCATGATCTTTACAACAATAGTACGAAAATGATGCTTTTTACATTACAAAGTAATGAGCTACAGAAAGCAGTTAAGTAAGCTTACCAGTGTCACTAGATAATTAGTGGCAAACCATTTCCTTATAGTATCCTCTGGCTACAAGTAAAAGCTTCTATGTTCATCACAACACTCAGTCTCTTCACATCCCTTGACTCATATTTTTTCAAATGATAAAGAAATGTATTTAATGACTAAAATGCAACTACCCAATTTGAGAATGTTTATTTGGCTATCATAATATAAACATGTAGAACCAGGAATAACAACAGTTAGATGATTATCCTTACACATTTTTAATAAGAGTGGGCTGAGGTGTTCTACTGCCTCTAATATAAAGCAGCAGGAAGTATGACTGTCATCCTAACAAGAAGAAAAAGCTGGGAAATCTACAAAATCATAACTTTCCTTAAACCTATCAGAGAGCTGAGGTTTCAGAACAATTATGTGAACTGAGTTTCAAAAGGTAGACAGGACACCTGAACTGTTTCACTTTTGACAAAACACATGAGAAAGAGGCAAGTGCCATTAAAAAAAAAAAACAAGAAAGAAGAAACAAGCAAAATAACTAATTAATTCTTAAAGGCTGACTGTGGATTCATGTGACAGACAGTTTGAGATCCCTGGAAGCTCAGACACAAGGGTATGTCTACGTTCACTTACAAGTTCTTTTCCATAAGCCACCACCAGGCACTCTCAAAAAAGACTTGATTCAAAGAAGGAGATCCAAGAAAGAACCACTTCGTGGTGCACAGACATAAAATATGCCCATTCTCTGAGCCATCCTTTCTATGACACAAAAGTCAAGCCATGGGAGAGGGTTAGAAAATCCTATTGCCCTAGCAGCCAGAAAGAATAGTAGCAAAATTGTCTGCTGCTGAGGGAGGGCTAGGAATGTGGAGAGAGACCCCCATTATGCCCAGATATGCAGATGGAGCACGAACTTTGAGAAAAACTTTGCGGTACCCCAACCCCTAAACGAAACACAAGGCAGAGGCAGCCCACTGCTGTAAGCATTTGAAGGCTGTGGTGCACTGAATATAACAACAAAATATCCCAGCTCAATCACTTACTAAATTGACTCAACTCCCACATCCATGACCTAAAGAAGGGGTGGCCCATTTCCAGGCATAAATATTATTCACCTCAGTCTCTACCATTCTTCTATACAATGTTTGACCTCTAACTGAAAAGTATCAGAAACACAAAAAGACTAGAATAAGAACAGCATTTTAGTGAAACATCAGTTAAAAGAACTAGAGCCAGAGATGACTTGGATGTTAGAACTTTCAGATCAACAAAAAAATCTATGATTGAGATTTTAAATAATCTAGAAGAAAAGAAAGGCAATATGCAATAACAGATGAGAAATCTCATCAGAGACATAAAATATATGAAACAAGGAGTCTAATGGAATGCTGGAAATGTGAATAGACTCTTTAGCTTTTAAATTTTCACTGGCCAAAAGAAAATTCTAAAGCTATATATGTATACTCTGATTTTTACATATCTTTAATTATATAGAACAAATATCATGTGCTAAACTTAGACTTAATCCAAGTTTTAAAAACAAGTGACTTCCTGTCTGATACTGCTGTTTATCTCAGTCACCAAGAGAAGTGAACTAGCACCCCATCAACTCTTCCACTATCATATAGATTCTTACAGTTCCGATAGTTTGTACATTCCCTTCCTTCAAATCCCTTTTCCTGAGACCTTCAGGAACAGTCATACTATACCTTGCTTCAGCTATTCACTGTTTGTGTAGATCTGAAAAAGGTAATTTACCTTTCTGAACTTTAATTTCTTTATCAGTAATAGAAAAAGAATAACAATTACCAGGTCACAAATATGTTAGAATTATAAGTAATATACATCAAATGTATGCTATACAGAAGACACCCAATAAGTGGTGGCCATCATTAATATAATTTGGTGCTTGTGTGCATAGCATAGCCATCCTTATATCTGAAAATGGGGGAGAGTTGCTCAGGTGTCTCTAGTGCACTTATTTATCTATAATGGATACAAACAATATTTGTCAGGAGTCAGAACCAGATCCTCCTTAATCCAGATCAACATAATTGGAAGAGTCACATCAGACTTCTGAACCCTGGTTTCCTCAAATGTAAAATGATCAAGCCAGATCATCTCCAGGTTCTCTTGAAATCCTAAAATTCGGGAGAGAAGGAGCCAAGATGGCTGAATAGGAACAGTTCCCATCTACAGCTCCCAGCGTGAGAGACACAGAAGACGGGTGATTTCTGCATTTCCAACTGAGGTACCGGGTTCTTCTCACTGGGGAGTGCCAGAAAGTAGGTGCAGGACAGTGGGTGCAGCGCACCATACACAAGCCGAAGCAGGGCGAGGCATCACCACCCAGGAAGCACAAGGGGTCAGGGAATTCCCTTTCCTAGTCAAAGAAAGGGGTGACAGATGGCACCTGGAAAATCGGTTCACTCCCACCCTACTACTGTGCTTTTCCAACGGGCTTAAAAAACGGTACACCAGGAGATTATATCCCACACCTAGCTCGGACAGTCCTATGCCCACGAAGCCTCCCTCATTGCTAGCACAGCAGTCCGAGATCAAACTGCAAGGCAGCAGCGAGGCTGGGGGAGGGTCACCTGCCACTGCCAAGTTAGTTGTTTGATTAGGTAAACAAAGCGGCCGGGAAGCTCCAACTGGGTGGAGCCCACCACAGCTCAAGAAGGCCTGTCTGCCTCTGTAGGCTCCACCTCTGGGGGCAGGGCACAAACAAAAAGACAGCAGTAACCTCTGCAGACTTAAACGTCCCTCTCTGACAGCTTTGAAGAGAGCAGTGGTTCTCCCAACACGCAGCTTGAGATCTGAGAACCGGCAGACTGCCTCCTCAAATGGGTCCCTGACCCCCGAGTAGCCTAACTGGGAGGCACCCCCCAGTAGGGGTGGACTGACACCTCATACGGCCGGGTACTCCTCTGAGACAAAACTTCCAGAGGAACGATCAGGCAGCAGCATCTGCGGTTCACCAATATCCACTGTTATGCACCCACCGCTGCTGATACCCAGGCAAACAGGGTCTGGAGTGGACATCTAGCAAACTCCAACAGACCTGCAGCTGAGGGTCCTGTCTGTCAGAAGGAAAACTAACAAACAGAAAGGACATCCACACCAAAAATGCATCTGTACATCACCATCACCAAAGACCAAAAGTAGATAAAACCACAAAGATGGGGAAAAAACAG
Source organism: Homo sapiens (assembly GCF_000001405.40). Taxonomy (NCBI): domain Eukaryota; kingdom Metazoa; phylum Chordata; class Mammalia; order Primates; family Hominidae; genus Homo; species Homo sapiens. Next base: position 54,699,863 of record NC_000015.10, read on the forward strand.
AGCAGAAAAACTGGAAACTCTAAAAATCAGAGCACCTCTCCTCGTCCAAAGGAACGCAGCTCCTCACCAGCAATGGAACAAAGATGGATGGAAAATGACTTTGATGACTTCAGAGAAGAAGGCTTCAGACGATCAAACTACTCCGAGCTACAGGAAGAAATTCGAACGAATTGCAAAGAAGTTAAAAGCTTTGAAAAAAAATTAGACAAATAGATAACTAGAATAACCAGTGCAGAGAAGTCCTTAAAGGACCTGATGAAGCTGAAAACCAAGGCATGAGAGCTACATGACGAATGCAGAAGACTCAGTAGCTGATGCGATCAACTGGAAGAAAGGGTATCAGTGATAGAAGATGAAATGAATGAAATGAAGTGAAAAGAGAAGTCTAGAGAAGAAAGAATAAAAAGAAATGAACAAAGCCTCCAAGAAATGTGGGACTGTGTGAAAAGACCAAATCTACATCTGATTGGTGTACCTGAAAGTGACGGGGAGAATGGAACCAAGTTGGAAAACACTCTGCAGGATATTATTCAGGAGAACTTTCCCAATCTAGCAAGGCAGGCCAACATTCAAATTCAGGAAATACAGAGAACCCCACAAAGATACTCCTCGGGGAAGAGCAATTCCAAGACACATAACTGTCAGATTCACCAAAGTTGAAATGAAGGGAAAAAAATGTTAAGGGCAGCCACAGAGAAAGGTCGGGTTACCCACAAAGGGAAGCCAATCAGACTAACAGCGGATCTCTTGGCAGAAACTCTACAAGCCAGAAGAGAGTGGGGGCCAATATTCAACATTCTTAAAGAAAAGAATTTTCAACCCAGAATTTCATATCCAGCCAAACTAAGCTTCATAAGTGAAGGAGAAATAAAATACTTTACAGACAAGCAAATGCTGAGAGATTTTGTCACCACCAGGCCTGCCCTAAAAGAGCTCCTGAAGGAAGCACTAAACATAGAAAGGAACAACCGGTACCAGCCACTGCACAAACATGCCAAATTGTAAAGATCATCCAGGCTAGGAAGAAACTGCATCAATTAACGAGCAAAATAACCAGCTGACATCATAATGACAGGATCAAATACACACTTAACAATATTAACTTTAAATGTAAATGGGCTAAAAGCTCCAATTAAAAGACACAAACTGGCAAATCGGATAGAGAGTCAAGACCCATCAGTGTGCTGTATTCAGGAAACCCATCTCACGTGCAGAGACACACATAGGCCCAAAATCAAGGGATGGAGGAAGATCTACCAAGCAAATGGAAAACAAAAAAAGGCAGGGGTTGCAATCCTAGTCTCTGATAAAACAGACTTTAAACCAACAAGGATCAAAAGAGACAAAGGCCATTACATAATGGTAAAGGGATCAATTCAACAAGAAGAGCTAACTATCCTAAATATATATGCACCCAATACAGGAGCACCCAGATTCATAAAGCAAGTCCTTAGTGACCTACAAAGAGACTTAGACTCCCACACAATAATAACGGGAGACTTTAACACCCCACTGACAACATTAGACAGATCAAAGAGACAGAAAGTTAACAAGGATACCCAGGAATTGAACTCAGCTCTGCACCAAGCGGACCTAACAGACATCTACAGAACTCTCCACCCCAAATCAACAGAATATACATTCTGTTCAGCACCACACCACACCTACTCCAAAATTAACCACATAGTTGGAAATAAAGCACTCCTCAGCAAATGTAAAAGAACAGAAATTATAACAAACTGTCTCTCAGACCACAGTGCAATCAAACTAGAACTCAGGATTAAGAAACTCACTCAAAACCACTCAACTACATGGAAACTGAACAACCTGCTCCTGAATGACTACTGGGTAAATAATGAAATGAAGGCAAAAATAAAGATGATCTTTGATACCAACGAGAACAAAGACACAACATACCAGAATCTCTGGGACACATTCAAAGCAGTGTGTACAGGGAAATTTATAGCACTAAATGCCCAGAAGAGAAAGCAGGAAAGATCTAAAATTGACACCCTAACATCACAATTAAAAGAACTAGAAAAGCAAGGGCAAACACATTCAAAAGCTAGCAGAAGGCAAGAAATAACTAAGATCAGAGCAGAACTGAAGGAAATAGAGACACAAAAAACTCTTCAAAAAATTAATGAATCCAGGAGCTGGTTTTTTGAAAAGATCAACAAAACTGATAGACCGCTAGCAAGACTAATAAAGAAGAAAAGAGAGAAGAATCAAATAGATGCAATAAAAAATGATAAAGGGGATATCACCACCAATCCCACAGAAATACAAACTACCATCAGAGAATACTATAAACACCACTATGCAAATAAACTAGAAAATCTAGAACAAATGGATAAATTCCTCAACACATACATCCTCCCAAGACTAAACCAGGAAGAAGATGAATCTCTGAATAGATCAATAACAGGCTCTGAAATTGAGGCAATAATCAATAGCTTACCAACCAAAAAGAGTCCAGGACCAGATGGATTCACGGCCAAATTCTACCAGAGGTACAAAGAGGAGCTGGTACCATTCCTTCTGAAACTATTCCAATCAATAGAAAAAGAGGGAATCCTCCCTAACTCATTTTATGAGGCCAGCATCATCCTTATACCAAAGCCGGGCAGAGACACAACCAAAAAAGAGAATTTTAGACCAGTATCCTTGATGAACATCAAAGCAAAAATCCTCAATAAAATACTGGCAAACCGAATCCAGCAGCACATCAAAAAGCTTATCCACCATGATCAAGTGGGCTTCATCCCTGGGATGCAAGGCTGGTTCAACATATGCAAATCAATAAATGTAATCCAACATATAAACAGAACCAAAGACAAAAACCACATGATTATCTCAATAGATGCAGAAAAGGCCTTTGACAAAATTCAACAACCCTTCATGCTAAAAACGCTCAATAAATTAGGTATTGATGGGACGTATTTCAAAATAATAAGAGCTATCTATGACAAACCCACAGCCAATATCATACTGAATAGGCAAAAACTGGAAGCATTCCCTTTGAAAACTGGCACAAGACAGTCATGCCCTCTCTCACCACTCCTATTCAACATAGTGTTGGAAGTTCTGGCCAGGGCAATAAGGCAGGAGAAGGAAATAAAGCGTATTCAATTAGGAAAAGAGGAAGTCAAATTGTCCCTGTTTGCAGATGACATGATTGTATATCTAGAAAACCCCATCATCTCAGCCCAAAATCTCCTCAAGCTGGTAAGCAACTTCAGCAGTCTCAGGATACAAGATCAATGTACAAAAATCACAAGCATTCTTATACACCAATAACAGACAAACAGAGAGCCAAATCATGAGTGAACTCCCATTCACAATTGCTTCAAAGAGAATAAAATACCTAGGAATCCAACTTACAAGGGATGTGAAGGACCTCTTCAAGGAGAACTACAAACCACTGCTCAATGAAATAAAAGAGGATACAAACAAATGGAAGAACATTCCATGCTCAAGTGTAGGAAGGATCAATATCGTGAAAATGGCCATACTGCCCAAGGTAATTTATAGATTCAATGCCATCCCCATCAAGCTACCAATGACTTTCTTCACAGAATTGGAAAAAACTACTTTAAAGTTCACATGGAACCAAAAAAGAGCCCGCATCACCAAGTCAATCCCAAGCCAAAAGAACAATGCTGGAGGCATCATACTACCTGACTTCAAACTATACTACAAGGCTACAGTAACCAAAACAGCATGGTACTGGTACCAAAACAGAGATATAGACCAATGGAACAGAACATAACCCTCAGAAATAATGCCACGTATCTACAACTATCTGATCTTTGACAAACCTGAGAAAAACAAGCAATGGGGAAAGGATTTCCTATTTAATAAATGGTGCTGGGAAAACCGGCTAGCCATATGTAGAAAGCTGAAACTGGATCCCTTCTTACACCTTATACAAAAATTAATTCAAGATGGATTAAAGACTTAAATGTGAGACGTAAAACCATAAAAACCCTAGAAGAAAACCTAGGCAATACCATTCAGGACATAGGCATGGGCAAGGACTTCATGTCTAAAACACCAAAAGCAATGGCAACAAAAGCCAAAATTGACAAATGGGATCTAATTAAACTAAAGAGCTTCTGCACAGCAAAAGAAACTACCATCAGAGTGAACAGGCAACCTACAGAATGGGAGAAAATTTTTGCAACCTAATCACCTGACAAAGGGCTAATATCCAGAATCTACAATGAACTCAAACAAATTTACAAGAAAAAAACAAACAACCCCATCAAAAAGTGGGCAAAGGATATGAACAGACACTTCTCAAAAGAAGACATTTATGCAGCCAAAAAACATGAAAAAATGCTCATCATCGGTGTCCATCAGAGAAATGCAAATCAAAACCACAATGAGATACCATCTCACGCCAGTTAGAATGGCAATCATTAAAAAGTCAGGAAACAACAGGTGCTGGAGAGGATGTGGAGAAATAGGAACACTTTTACACTGTTGGTGGGACTGTGGACTGTTAACTAGTTCAACCATTGTGGAAGTCAGCGTGGTGATTCCTCAGGGATCTAGAACTAGAAATACCATTTGACCCAGCCATCCCATTACTGGGTATATACCCAAAGGACTATAAATCATGCTGCTATAAAGACACATGCACACATATGTTTACAGCGGCACTATTCACAATAGCAAAGACTTGGAACCAACCTAAATATCCAACAATGATAGACTGGATTAAGAAAATGTGGCACATATACACCAGGGAATACTATGCAGCCATAAAAAATGATGAGTTCATGTCCTTTGTAGGGACATGGATGAAACTGGAAACCATCAATCTCAGCAAACTATCACAAGGACAAAAAACCAAACATCGCATGTTCTCACTCATAGGTGGGAACCGAACAATAAGAACACATGGACACAGGAAGAGGAACATCACACACCAGGGACTGTTGTGGGGTTGGGGGAGTGGGGAGGGATAGCATTAGGAGATATACCTAATGCTAAATGACGAGTTAATGGGTGCAGCACACCAACATGGCACATGTATACATATGTAACAAACCTGCACATTGTGCACATGTACCCTAAAACTTGAAGTATAAATAATAATAAAATTTTTAAAAAAAAAGCAATCCTAAAATTCTATGATGCTAAGCCTGGAGGAGCTGTTAAACTGTGATTTTCAGTAAGATAATTAAGGAGGTTTATTTTTCTTTCTAAGCCAATTAGAATGTTTCTTATATCTACCATGAATTAATGTATAATGGAATCAGAAGATAGGCCAAATTTGACATCTGTCTGTGGAATAACTGAATTAAACGGTACATACATGCCAGCACCTGGAGTTCAGGTACACTCATTTTACCTAACAGCAGGCAACTGTGTTGTTTTCTTAATCTTTTCAGCTCAAAGTTTTATTTTTGTTTATGTTGAGCTTTTTCTGTGATGTGAATTTTATTTTTCTTTATACAATCATAAAGATTTGTGATCATTAACCAATTGCTACCTAATATACACATAATTTCCACTAAATTTCCATCTGTAAAAGTTTGTATTTGTAAAATAATTCTTTAGCATCTGGCTTTATTCTAGAACTGTATGTGGCAAGATTAGTAAAACTGAAATGAATCACACATTGGATTAACATGAAACATTTGGTGTTGCCATCAAGAAGGTTTACTGAGCTGGAAATTAATGTAAAAAAAAGTTCCAAAGAGGGTTGTTTTTAAAACATTTCATGCTTTTTACGTTTCATCATTATGGCTATTAAAAGACCTTGGACTAATCCCTCTGTATTTCAGGGTAAGTAATCACAGGAAAATTAACATTATAGAAAAGCCTAAAAATTATTTTTATTACACATATTTCTTTTAAGGTAAAAAATCAAAATATTCAATAATACAATCAGTCCTTACTTAACACCATTGATAGGTTCTTGAAAACTGTGACTTTAAGCCAAATGATATATAATGAAACCAATCTTACCACAGGCTAATTGATATAAATAAGTAAGCTCCTATGCCACATTTCTAATCACAACAGCATCACCAAACCTCTAAATAAAGACTCTAAACGCCTCTAATATTAAACACTGAAATAACTGTGAGATCAACATACATTTAAGAAGAACTAATAAATTCAAGATAATTATTCATCCAGTTATTCCAGGTCAGGGTCATGGTGGCTGGAGCCTATCTCAGCAGCTCAAGGGGATAGGGAGGGACCAACTCTGAACAGAACACCATCCCTTCACAAGGCACACACACACACACACACACACACACACACACACCTGCACTCACTCAGACTGGCATCACTTACACACACCAATGCATCTAACACACACAGGCATTAGGACATGGGAGGAAACCAGAGTACTCAGAGAAAACTTATGCAGACATAAGGAGAACATGCAAAATCCACAGAGAATGTGGCCCCAGCCAGGAATCTATTTTTTTCTCATCAGTGATATAACTAAACTATGTTGAACAAAATGATGTTTTTTGAGGACTTGATGTATCTGGATTTTCAGCCAATTTTTTTATTGTATTCAAATGTCATGTAGGCTCCATTTGCCAAGGAAAACAATTTGATGTTAAAATAAGAAAAAAAAACTTCCTTCCTATAAAATAGTTATAAGCACTACTGATTTTTAAAATACAGAAAATTATTTTGTCCTATAGTAAAAGTAGTCAAGGAATGGTCATTTGAAAATCAAATAAACTGTAAGAAGAGGGTTCATAGTTCTTCCGAAAAAGAAATTATTTCAGGAAATTTCTCTTTTACTTCAGGGGACCCATGATACAATGCAATTGAATCCTATTTATACTTCAAAACTGACTTTACACAGGACCTTATAATTGATAGCTGAATAATTTTGAAGACACAATAATAGACTACATAAATTAAAAGAAGTCGTGTTTTTCAAAGACTACAAAACTTTATAAGGTGATTTTAAGCTTCAAATATCCATTTTCCTTTGTTGGCTTACCAAAAATACTTACTTAAAATATAATAACATAGCTACAAATTTTTAAATAATTTGATTCCTGCTTCCACAACAGTGAACGCTAACAGAACTTGTAGGAACCAGAGAGAATATAGTTAGGCTTTGAGGGAATCAAAGCCTGCAATGAAGACTTGTCGCTTCAGATCTCCTCATGTAAGGGGACCAGAAGGATCCTGGCACTAAACAAATTAACAAATGCATGTGAGCAACAGAGTGAGGTGGTACCCAAAGGCCAGCAACTTACTCTGGCAGATCCAGGGAACTCCTAAGCAAAGCTAAATCCTACACTATGGTTCCAGAGTTAACAGGTTAACTTCCCTAAATTGATAGAGGAGTTTCGGCATAATTCTATCCCGAGTTTCTAAGAGTAGAAAAGTTCATCCCCAAGCTATGCTGAATATTTCAAAAGCCTAACAGAATTAATGTCTTAAATTATAACAGATATTTAATAGACAAAAAAAAATCATGGAATTAAGTTATATTATGAGAGATGCTAAAAATTATCCACAAAAATAATTTTTAGATATTTGGAAAATCTCTAGGCAGGGCAATGAAGCTCACAGGGAATATGTGATTTTTCCTCCCCCGCCCTCTTTCCTTTTACTTTTAGTTTCTTCTGCATTATCTTTGCTTTGCTCTCTCTCTTCCTTTCTGTTCTTCTTTTTTTCTTTCTCTCCAACTTTTACTAGCAAAAACAATCAATCATTCATTCTGGATCACTGGCACACACTGAAAGAAAACCATCTTCTTGACTCTCCTACTGTTAACGGGATCTCTGGGGTGTCGATTTTTCTGACTGGAAACCTCTGTGGCCATGGTGCCTTTGCCCAAGTTCTTGTCCTGAGGAAGAATGAGATACACAGACAAGCGAAAGGTGAAGAAGAAGAAGAGTTTGATTTAGTGTTAGAACAGCTCAGAGGAGTGGGTAGCTCCTCTCTGTAGGCAGGTCATCCTGTGGAATGTTCAGCTGTCTTCAAAGAGGAGGCCCTGGAGAGGATAGGTCCTCTCTGTAGACAGGTCTTCTGGACATTTCCGCAGGTCTCTGAAGCTCTGAGCGGAGAGGGTAGCTCCTCTCTGCCGGCAGATCGTTCTCTGCAGCTCTAAGCACAGAGGATACTCCTCTCTGCAGCTGATCGTCTCCGTGTCTCTCTGCCCTCTTAGTCCTCTGGCTGTCCTCTGCCCTGCTCTGGCTGAGTCCAGGGCCGTTGTGGACCTCAGACGGGAGAAAGTGTGTGCCAGTTGGTCCGGAGGTGACCATGGGAGGGCCTGGAAGAGGCACCAGTAATTCCCACTCTGGTCTGAGGAACTGGCAGCCTAGCTCCCAGCCTTCAGTCCCTGCGTGGCCTGAAGGTGGGGCCTTACTGGAGACCCGCCCCCTTCTGCCCAGGAATTAATCTCCCTGCCGCTGCCATTCATGGCCCTGGGGCTCAGCCCCAACCCTGCTCCAAGATCAGAGCCAGCATGGGAGCCGAAAGAGGCCAGGTAGCAGGAGAAGACATTCTCCGAGCCTGCAGGGATTGTGGGGGGCGAGGGGACCTTCCCAGGCCCCCATGGGTGCAGGCTGCAGAGATGCCCAGTTCCTGAGCCTGGGAGGGCAGCCACAGCTGCACTCGCAGAGCTCCCACCCGGCCAACTCAGAAGGGGAAGGGTTCCTGCTTGTCCCCAGCTCCTTCTTGCTGAGTGGAGTGGGAGGACCAGGTCGGCAACCAGGGGTTGGGCGGTTGCAGCTACACCCAGGAGGGGAGATCCTGCCTGCTCCCGGTTCCCCGCAAGAGCACAGGGAGGCTCAGATCCACAGCGCAGTCTGGGCAGCTGTAGCCCCACCCAGGGCACCTCTCTGCTGCAGCCGGAGTGATGACAACAGCCACTGCCATCACTAGAACCTGTAAAAGTAGCTGATTGCTCCGTTTTTCTGAGCCCACCGTGATACATACCAGACTCAACACAAATAACATTGCTTTCACTTGCAAATTATTATTTTTCTCAGAAATTTGGTCATAAGAAACTTGGAAATATTTCATAAAGCTCATATGTCTACTGACTTGCTCCATCTTGTAGACAGTCTGGTAGCTTGACACCATTTATTCAGACTTTTGAAGAATGTATGCCTAGGTTTATAAAAGGAACTAGATTAACCCAATAGGCTAATAGGAAAGAACAATACCAGCAGAAAAATAGATCAGTGCTCCACAATTATCATATCCTCTTATAAGTCTTAGTTTCTGGTCCCGTCAATTGTTTGTTTTTTGATATTACCATATCCTATTATGTGCCCACATCCTACCAAAATGCATCAGTCATGACATGATGCAATGGTTTCTCAAAGAACTATATGGTATTTATCAGTTGGTGAAGCTCCATTCTAAATCTAAGAAATGATTAGTGATAACTGTAGCAACATGCAGCTCTTGCAATGAGAGTACAGCTCAACTTCTTCAGATTCATCCTCTCAAATAGGTTATGTCTGCTCAGAAAATAGCACAGTCCTTTTCTCCTGGGCCTGAAGAGGATATCCTTCCAACTTCTCTTCTATGTGAATGACCATCCCTTGAAAAGAGTCCAAATATTTTCACCACCTGTTGAATATGTATTCAAAACACACACACTAAAAAAATGATACAATGAAAGTCACTGGTCTTATTTTGGGCAACTCTGAGTCTTTTGTCATATTCATTGTGCATCAGATTACTCAGTCTCATTAAATGAGGCTACCTGTGTGATTTTAGGCAGTGAGAGATAGATATTTTTTACAAGCTGGTTGTCTGCCTAAATTCTGTTGCTGATGTTTTTCTGGGCTACTCCTTGACTAAGTTTTTTACCTTAACAACACAACTTGAATTTGCCACACTATAGTTTTATTTTTAAGTAAGGTCCCATTGGTCAAATTCAATTTATGTGACTTTAGCAGATACTTCTAATAGGCCAATACAAGCCAGTAATTGTTATAAATTAGAAAGCTATTCCACACAGTTCTAATTTCAGAGAGCAAAATTATCCTCACTGATCTTGAGTACTTTGTATTTTTCCATCATATTAACAGTGCCCTTGGCTCTCTCATATATTCTCATTTTGGCCACTAATGTTTTGTCACTTTGCTGCTCACAAAGCACATTTGTCTTGTTCTTTTCTTCTTACAAAATGCCTATGTCTACTCACAGCAATAAATGTGAGAATGCAAAGCATTGCAAAACAGCACACCATCTTTACTAGTAAGAATTTATGGAACAGTTTAAATCTATGATTTCTCAAACCTTCCAGCTCTAATATGTCATCCAGCATTTAAACACAGGTCTGTGCACATCTTGCTCCTCTAGAATCACAGTGATAAAAGATAAATTGTCTCCTGTCTTCTTTCACAGCCTTAACAGTAATTATAGAAGTTCATGCTTTTACATTTATAGTCCTAGTATATATAGATCAAGGCCATGGATGTAGGGGTGCCTAAGCAAGTACAGAGAAATTTTGAGAAAAGCACTTCAGGGGTTTGTATACATAAAGAACGAAGGAACTTCATGGGGGAAAATATCCCATCCTAAAACAACAAAAGCTGAAACACATGTTTGATGAGGTGCAGTAGACTAGTGCAAAAACAAAAACAAACAAACAAATAAAAGATTGATTACTTTTTTTCTTAAGTTTTTAATTAGTATGGGTATGTAACAGTTGCATATACTTATGGGGTACATGTGATATTTTGATACAGACATACAATGTATAGTGGACAAATCAGGGTAATCATGATATCCATCACCTCAAGCATTTATCATTTCTTTGTGTTAGGAACATTTGAACTACACTACTACTTTAATTAGGATCTTCCAAGAAACAAACACAAAGATGGGATTAAACACTGACAGTTTTGTTAGGGAAAATACCTGTGTGAAAAAGAAGTAAGGAGGCAGCCAGAGAAGACTTGGAGAGTCAGCAGACCATCATGATTTGGAGTGAAGAAGAAACAGAGAGAAAGTTCGCTGGATGCGTCCTAGACCACCACATGGTCGAAGAAAGCTTCAGTAAAGCCTTCAGGAAATTGGCCAATAACAGTCCTGTGTTTCCCTGAAATGAGTCAGCTTTCTTCCCTCAGTCATTAACAGGGATTGTCCTGGAAGAAGCATGGCTTCAATGCAAACACACTCTTGGATTTCAGGGTGCAGCAGATGGGGACTTAATTACACTCCTTAATTGAAGGTCTGAAAGGCACATGCCCCTCGTCACCACACCTACGTATTTGTCACTATAATCATTCATTTGCCCAGCATCCCTTATCTCCTCCTTGAGGGGCTTCAATAAAAGAACAAGTAAAAACTAAATATGTATCTTCGCAATAAAAATATCTTCACGACGTCTAGAGTCAAGGGCATTAACATTACTCATACCATAGACTTTGGTGTCTAAACTCAAGCAGCTTACTTGGGAGGGGAGTGGTTTGAGAAGCAAGGTGGCTGCCATTAAATAAATAATTGCCTATAAATCCGATTATAATTTTGGTAAGATCTACAAATAGAAGCGCAGGGTTCTTAAAGCCTATAACATAATACCTTGCCATAAGATTTATTCAGGTGCTCAATAAATACTTCCTGTATACCTACTTTGGTTCAGACACTGCACTGCTATAGTCCTCAAAGAAAGATGCCTGACATGGAGATAATACCACCCTCTTTTCATCATTCCGTTGCAGTCTCAGTGATGATAACAGTCGGTGGAAGCAGCCACAGTAGCAGTGTCCTTTGCAGTGAGAATATGTGGGTCCAGTGCCTTCATTTCAGAAACCAGCTGTCTGGATACTGGACACAAAAAATCTTGTTTGGTAGAAGCAGACGCAACTACTTCATACTTTGCTAGAACTGTATTTTATTTAACTTATGGATCAGCACCTCATTTCTGTGTCATATATCACATGCCCGGCATCGTGCCACCTAATGAGGAAGAGAAGTGCCCCCACATGAAGTAGAATAGAGTGGTACCCTCACTGTGTATGCTTTCAATCTTTTAGGGGCCTAAGCATCACAGAAGTGTAGATACCATTAAAACTAAGAAACCAGCAGATAATAAAAATAGCTATTGTTAGGAAATAGCCATGATGTTTCACATTCTAAAGGCTACCAGAATTTTTTAGAATTATCAAACTCATGCTGGGTAGGTGGACATAAATAGGAAAAACATGGCTTTGTGTTAGCTATTTTTAAAGTTATACTTGTATAAAAAAGGACACAGAATATTTCATTTAACATATGGATCAACCCCATGTCTCCGTGTTGGATATCACATTTCCAGCATTGTGTCACCTAAAGGAGGAGGAGAGGCTCCCCCACACAAAGTATGTTGGAGTGATACCCTAGCTGTGCTGGTTTTCATTATATTGCAACATATTTCATTCTATGTAAGGCTGATTAAATGTTTAGTTTGTTGTCTATTTTTTTTGACCAAACTAAAAGGAGTAAGAGTGTACAAGCTCTTTGTCAGCTTTGAAGTTAAAACAAAAGTGATAATCTATCACATCTGACAAGAAGTAGGCTTCAAAAACCTGGATATATCAAGATTATTTGAAATATAGATCTACATCTACTATTTTTAAGAGTGACCTTTGCCCTAAGTATTCACTGTGCCTTGAGATATTACCCAACGATTGTATGAAGTCATCAAGATTAACATTAAAACATTAATTATCCAGAACCTGAACACAAATTTCTACAGTATCACAGCAAATCATGTGATTCTCAATCCAGGGTACAACAACATTTCACTAAATGCTATAAAAAGATAAGAAGCCTCTTTAGAGATTTCTTATTTCAGAGTGCAAGCCAAATGAGGGGGCTTGGCTTTGCCAGCAGTGCTTATTCCACCTGAAGTTGTAAAAGTAGCTAAATAGCTGAAACAACACACTGAATACAATATAGTGATCAAAATGCATTTCTTTAGCAAACAATGCTTTCAGAGGGTGCATAGATATACTGCTAAAATTTTGAAGAAACAAGCATTAGAGTGAATGACGTTAAGTATGGAAGGTTTTTTAATATAGTTGGATGAAAACATATTTCTAATATCCTATTTTAAAACATTTGCTACATTCTGTTTGTTGGTTGGTTGGTTGGTTTTTGAGACGGAATTTCGCTCTTGTTGCCCAGGCTGGAGTGCAATGGCACGATCTCAGCTCACTGCAACCTCCACCTCTCGGGTTCAAGCGATTCTCCTGCCTCAGCCTCCCGAGTAGCTGAGATTACAGTGGGATTACAGGCATGCACCACCACACCCAGCTAATTTTGTTTTTTTTTTTTTTTTTAGTTGAAATGTAGTTTCTCCATGTTGGTCAGGCTGTTCCCAAACTCCCGACCTCAAGTGATCCACGACCTCAGCCTCCCAAAGTGCTGGGATTACAAGCATGAGCCACCATGCCCAGCCTACATTCTGTTGTAATAATACATTAAGAACTGTTTAGTGAAACACCAAATGAAAGAGTACACACACACATACATTCTCAAAAGTAAATATATTCTTTAACTTAAAAAATACAAGTATTTATTTTTTAAAACCTGCAAGTGTAACTACTGATGGAGTTATACTTTAACCGGAATCTTTAAGTGACAGGCATCATTTAAATTCATTCAGTTATTCATCTATTCATTTACTCCAAGGTAATATTATATTCTTTGACTGCATATCAAACAATTGCAGCAAAAGCTTACAGCCATAGCTCAACCTTCCTAATTAGATCTGTAGAATAAATCTTTAGATGCCTAAGTAAGGCCAGAACCTTGGAGATTTAAGTTCAGCCCCAATCAGTTCCCCACAGGGGAAATCCAATTCCCAGTAACATCAGGATTAGTACATAGGGCTTGGTACTGGGCTGTCTTTATGTGAATATTTCACTAAAAGCATAAATATATTTTCTCAAGAGGTAGTCTACACGTGCATTCTCCTTGACTAAATCTTGCATTCTCTAAAGTTAAGTAGATTAAACACAGATAAACACAGATTCCCATTTTATGGGTTTGGTTTTACTGTAAGTTATAGCTTTCAAGACTTAAAAGTGTGCCTAAATAAAGTAAAAATGTAAGTAATTATTATTTGTTTGGCAAGCAAAATATTTCAGAATGAGGTTCTAGGTGGTGAAGATATTAAGAAATCACTGGTGCCCAACACTGTTGGACTATATTCATTTTAAACACATTTTGGTTCTGTCCCCTAATCCTGGTATGCTAACAGGGATATACTGTATTTGTAGAGTTCCTCTTCAGGAATTCAGGTCATATTTCAGATCCTCCAGACCTCAGATGTGGTTCAAAAGATCAAGAGGCACTTCCTTAATTCAATAAATATTCATTTAGGATCTACTATATGCCAGTATTCTATGGAAGCTTAATTTTGTAATATGGTTTTGGGCATGTGTACATATGTACAAAGACATATATATGAAGATATTACCCATAGCATTGTTAATAATGAGAAATAGGTGGAAACGATTCAAGTATTTATCAATAGAAGATGATGTAATGATTCACCTGAACAACAGAACTTTAAGATCATTAAAAAGAGTTACATCGTTACGTATTAATATGCAAATATGCCGAAGGAATAAGACCAAAAGTTGTAAAATATATTTAATTTAAATTTTAAAAAAGGCTACAGTAAGAAATGCACCAAATGTTAAAAGGTATCATGATTTAATTAACTGTGTAAAAATGAGAATTTCAAAATACTGTGTAGAATACTTAAAATACCTAATGAGACAGAAAGAAATCATTAAAGTCTTATACATGTGAAATTTTGCTCGTGGCAAAGCACTTAAAAGAGCTGCAGAATTTTCATATTAGTTATAAATTATTATACAGAGAAATCAAATGGTTCATGATTTTTATGATAAATGCTCCCAAGTGATTTTAAAATGTATATACATATTTAATTTATCCTTTCAAGATAAAGGTCATATTTTTAACAGTGAGTGAGAGAAGTGGTTTCTTAAAAAATAAAGTTATACTTCAGCAAGAATATTTTGGAAATTGATATTTGGAAACTTTCCTAGAGTCATGTCATTTTGATTCCAAGAACAATTTAAGTATATTACCTATTTAAAATTTTGTCACATATGATCACTTCAGAAATTTGGAAGGAGAGTACCCTAACATTATTTCAATATCTTTCAGAGTTTCAGTGGGTTCTGCGCCAACTTGTTAAAAACTACAACAAGGCAGCACTTTCTGATTACTTTGCAAGAACAAGTGACTGATTGATACAGTAGAAGATGGAAATTTACTATATAAGTTGAGAAAAAATTTGCATAGTTGGTGCTTAAAATTGAAATATGGAAGTACACAGTCAAAATATTTTACCTATCAGAGTGTGCAATGAGAATCTTGAACCTCGTTCATCTATAGAAATAAATGGTGTATTATTTCTTCTTACCTTGTCTTTCCTCAGGAATGATCGCTAGAGTCACTGCTGTCACAGTTTGCCTTCCTACTTTGTCCTTCTATTTCATTAAATGTTATTAGCATTTATATAAGTATTAGTATCACTGCCTCTATAGTACTAATTCCCTCTGTACCTCATTTTCACCAAAGGAATGATTTCAACTGTACCTACAACTAGAGATCTTATGATAATCAAATAATAATATGGATATGAAATTACAGTATACATGATAATGTCTGAAACTAATTTGAGATATTAACAAATTGCCTTTGTCTGTTTATCTTAAACTGCATTTGCTGTGTCTCTCAATACTGTGAGGCTCCCAAAGATTTCATATCTATTATTTTTATCCCCCTGAAACATTGATAAATAACCACTTATTCCCAGGAACTAGGCTATTATTCATTTTCCCATGATCAAAGAAGTTAGCACAGAAAGTATGTAAAGATGGTAAAAGGCTTTGGGTCCTCAGATTGTCAGGTAATCCATATTCCTCATAGCCTGACTAAGCACAAGAAAAGGAGCACCCACCCCAATATATATTTGATGTTCTGATGTTGATTTCTCCAGTCATCCCTTCACACTCTTCACCAATATAATGCAAATAGCTGCTGTGTCTCCAACAGGAATTAAGAAGAACATGTTACACTCACAATATGAATCTGAATCTTTTTCTTTTGGGATGAACAAATCTAACAAACATAAAAAGTATAAATTCCAAAATCACGATGGCACAGTGTAAAACACCTTGACTTATCATAAGATTCTGCACATCTATTACCACTGGATGACTGCATAACTATTAATCAACTAACCATAAAGTGATGCCCAGAACTTGATAAATACTCCAAAATACTATGTATTAGAATTATTATTGTAATTGTAATAAAAACCTCTAATCCTCAGTTTCACTATATTAATAAAATATGTGTGTGTCGGGGGAATAATGTCTGTGGCACAACTTATCAGACCTTCTATGAGAATCGAATAAAATATACCTATGAAACTTCTATGAGAATCAAATATAATATACCTAAGTTATACCTATGAAAAGCCCTTGAATATGATACAGTTCAGTATAAATATGTTAATAGCTTACATAGGACAACACGTCCCTGATGGTTTTTGTATACTAATGTAAACAGAATGGTAACAATTATAACTTGGTTACAAGGAACTTTACACGTTACTGCACCTACAAATCTATTAACAACAAAGAGTCCCAAAATGAGATAATACAGAGTCATTAAGGGAGTCATTATTCCCAAATCCATTTTTGGAGAACTAAAGCCCATGAGCTGATGACAGATGCTTAAAGAGACGCCAGTTGTCTTATCTTAATGCAGTGAGTATCTCCCTCCACCACACAAACTTCCAGGAAGTTTTCCCGCTAGTCATTTGCAGATTTGTAACAACCCATTAAGACAGTTTGTAAGTGTGCATAATTTTGAAAACGCTTTTGCTTAATTCTCTCTTTATAATTACAATAGATGAAACTTCTTCTCTTGGCTCGTTTATTAAGAAAGGATCATGAGGCTTGTGATAGGGTGACCATTTAGGTAGAAAATGCTGTAAAATATGCAGCATTAGCAATAACAAATTCCCATAAATATTGAAGCCATGGGAAAACTTTGAATGAGGAATATACGCATTTTTATGTGCCATATAGTAATGTAACATGATAATGTATATATTTTGTTCATTTTGAAATGTAAAATATATTCATTTTTTGCTCATATTTGCTCATTTTGATCTTTAAATTGAATGGATCAAATAAAATTATATCTATTATCACTTCTTTCCACATGCATCTGTGAACAAAATTGAACAAATAGTTTACATGTAGTTATAGATTTATAAACTGAATACATTTTAAAATGAATATTTAATTTTCAGGTACTGTGCGATGGTTTTCAATAAATTGAGATGGTACCAAAAAAAAATCCTGCTGTAGTTCTATACCCAAAGAAAAAAATACTATTACCAGTTTGTATATAACCTCTTAGAAACAGTATTTTACTTTTTTATTCTAAATGGAACTATTAATAGAAGAGCATTGAGAACTATGTCCATAGAGCTTTCAAATTTTTTTAAGAACAAGTAGAAATTCAAACACAAAAGAAAGATTTAGTGACAACTAAAACAAGCCTGAAGTGTTCAAAAGAAAAATAAGCAGGCTAGTTTATGACAATAACATTGATGTGTTTTACCAGACAAGTGCAGGAATGTAGCTGGCCCTCAAAGATAGTGAAGTCGGTCAGCACCTGGAAATAGTAAGAACTTGTGACCTTCACCTTCTGTCTCTTATCTCTGCATATCTGCTTTTCTTTCTTTTATACACAAGCTTTCTCTGTCCTAGGTTCATTTACATGGTGTATGGTGGCTCCATAACAACTAAGAAATTTTCACATAAGAAATATCCTCTATTTAAGAAATAAAATGTGAAACTGAGTCTCACGTTTTAGTTCTAGTAATAATTTCAAATTAATGGAGAAGCACTTTGTATTAGGGTCCCAACACAAAACGGAAGGTGTACTTAGCTGTTACTTTCAGCACAAATTAATTAAGGGAGTATTTACAGCAATTGAGGCAAAAATTAAGGAACCAATAAAGGATATAGAGACCCAGGATCTACCAACAGAAAGAGGCCTTTATTACCCTAGACTTGAAGGAGCAAAGAGAGGGAGCCAGGAGAGGGAGCCTTGGGAGAAGCAGTTTTCCAGCAAAGGTTATAGCTAAAAATAAATACGACCATTGAAACAACCAGAGTGACAAGGCAGAAAGACAATGAGGGAAGAAACATCTAGACCTGTTTCCCGTACTCCAAACCCATCTGCAAGCCAGAGGGTAAGAAAATTCCAGTTAGGAGGTCTGTAGGGGTCAGCCCCATAGGCACAGGACGGGGCCCAGAAGAATGCAGAAGAAAGATGGAGAACGATGGAAAAGAAGATGAATAAGATGGGAAATGTGGGTAGAGAGATAGGCAGAAGAGAGGGGATAGAGGAAGACAGTAAAAAATAAATAAAAATTTAAAAATCCCAGCATACGCTCTAAGAACAAGCATATGCTCTAAATAGTCTACCTAACTTGAAATTCTTTCTTCCCCATTCAATCAGTCATGACCAAAAGGTTAGATCACTAAAGGGTTACTAGAGATTATCCCTATAACAACCTGTATTTGTTCTTTCTAGCAGTCATTCCGTTTGGTTTATACAATTATTGGTTCACCTATAATATTCACATATGCTATTTTTGGTTTCCTTAAGTTTCTTGAAAAGCTACTTGACTGCTGCCTTACATTATATGCAGTTTTTGGGTAGTCTGATGCCAGTTTAATTTTCGTGCCTTTGTAGGTGTTACTCATCTTTTTACCTGGAGATTCTGATTACATTATTTTTATGCTTATTTTTACTGTTTTGGAGTTGATTTTTGGAGTTTATTTTTCTAGATCAATTTTCCAAAGTACCAGATGGCCACTTTCAATTGGAGATTTAAATTATTTTATTTCTGGTAAGTTTTTTTTTGGATTATAGTTTTAAATATTGTTTTTCCATTGTTTGGTTTTTCCATCATCAAGGAAACCAGTTATACATATGTTAAACCTCCTTTGTTTTCTAATTCAACTACTTTGTTCTCTGACTCTTTATTTTTATGTCTCATTTTTATTCCCTTTGATTTTTTTTTAACTTTCCTTTGGGCACTCATAATTTACCCTTCATTTCTTAAATATTTTTGTCTTTTTACTGTACTAGTTTCCTGAGTTCAGTCAACTCTCATTATCTTTCTTCCTATTGGGGTCAATGTCCTGCCTCAATGTTTGCATTTTTAATTCAAGGTATCTATTTGTACATACTCAAAAGCTCATTTAAGAATATTTAATATGTGGAGTATTATGTTACAGTTTTCTCCCCCTTCAAGGGAGATCTTTTAAGGGAGATTTTTAATCAGCAGTGAAGACTTTATTAGCATTTTCTAATTTTTTTTACAATAGTCTGCTTTTTGCTGCTCTTTTTTTTTTTTGGACATGGCTCAAATACAAGAGTATTCTCTTTTGTTAATTCTTGTCTCTTTGTGCAGTCTCTTTTATAGATACTGCTGTTAGGTTGGGGAAGGAAAGGAACTGGGAAGTCTTACTTCAGTTTTTGTTTCTGTAGAATTCTTAACTTTCTACTCATATTGCTTTCATTTGCATCACTGCTTTTATTTTTGCAAGAAATACTTCCCCCTCCCCCTCCGTATGTCTGATTTCCTTCCAGAATGCCACCCTAAAGTTGATACTTCCTGTCCTACACACTTGCAAGTCCCTTTTAGGTAGCCAGAACAAGTGACCTATGTTCTGTGTTTTGACTTTCATTGCTGCACTTTTTCTTTCTTGCGGTGATTGTGTCTTTTTTTCCTAAGTTCTCTGCTCCCCTCTACTCTTTTGTTGACATCTTTAAGCCTCCCCTCCCTCTTTACTTTTATCACAGGCTTGCAGTGGCAAGTGCATAATGAAAAATTTGTTGACATATCTTTCCCTCTTCTTACAGGTAATTAGAAAGATGTGGTGTTCTCTGTTTTCTGGTAACGCAAGAAGTATGGGTCATGAATAGTTTAATGTGATCTTTTTATTTTATGTTACTTTAGAATAAAGTCTAGGAGATACTGGAATCAGACAGGTATCGCTATTCTCCAAAGCCCTACGATCATTTTTATTTGAAAAAAATTAACAATAAATACATGCATATGATGAAACAAAATCAAGCAGTGCAAATAAGTATATAATGAAAATATGTTTCTCTCCCACTCCAGAACCATAATCTCCAAGAATCCCTTCTCAAAGATCCTGGTACACATTTTATGGAAGAATCTTCCACAGATACTGAGTACAGATGCGATATATTTCCATATATTTGTGTTTATATGTAAGAATTCTTTATTTCACACCTAAAGTATTAAATACACACCATGTTATAACCATTTAAAATATAAGCATAAAAAATACACAAAGAGATAGTTCTCTTGTTAGTGTTATAGGTCCCATAAACCAATAGAAAATATTTGAAATTATTTAAAATTATTTTCCCTTTGCCTTTAATGAAATTAATAATTATATTTAAATCTATCTTCTTACTATATATTTTTATTTTTGGCCTGTCTATTCTATATTCCTGTACCACTCCTTTTGGGTTGAACAAATTTTATTATACCATTTCTTTCATTAGCTTGTTACTTCTCAATTCTTTTTACTGTAGTTTTACTGGTTAAAAGATAAAGAACTATATTTACTCCTTCCTAAACAATGCAAAGCTCTCAGTATACTTGAACTCTATTCCTTTCTGTTTGCCATTATTCTCATGTATTTTTAAATATCTAAAATAATATTTCATTATTTTAAGTCAATTTTCAGTTAGATTAACCCATGGGTTTACTTTTCTCATTTCTCTTTATTATTTCTTGCAGTTTGGAGCTGTAATCTATTATCAGTTTTCTTTTGCCTGAACAACACAAATTAGCATATACTTTAGTGTGGCTCTACTAATAATTTCTCTCACTTATTGTATAAAATTAGATTTCCTTTCTTTTCGTTCTTGGAAGATATTGTAATTGAGTATTAAATTCCATAGAATAGTAGGTTGGCAGTTATTTCCGTTCAATAATTTCAAGATATTTCATTTTATGACCATTTCCATCTCTTCCAAGGTCCACTGTCATTCTTACTTCGCTCCTTTGGAGTTATTTTTGTCTCTCTAGCCACATTAACGATTTTTCTTTTTTAGCATTCTTAATATGATGCATCAAAACTTAATTTTCTTTTGACATAATGTGCTTCAGGCATAACTGTGATCTCAAGTCTTTCCTCTGTTTTCCCAAAATCTTAGTAATCTTTTCTTCACGTATTGCTTTTGTTTGATTCTCTTCTTGATTCTTTAATTCCACATGTTAAAACTTTTAACTATATGTTTGTGTTCTTTTCTGCATTTTGCGTTGCTGGACTAAAACATTCATGGGTTTTTTTCTTCTTTTATTTTCTATTTCACCAATTCTCTCTTCAGTTGTGCCTAGTCTGCAGCTGAGTGCATTCATTGAATTGCTACTTTCAGTTTAATTTTTGTCCTTCACTTAACCTATCTTCACTATGGTTTGTTTTTTCACCTGATCTTTTCTGGTGAAATCAGTGACTTCTAGACCCCACCAGGACCATATTTATCAAATGACCAATATGTCTAATCAATCTCTAATCTTCACTTCCTAGAGCAAATATCTACACTACTTTATATTGAAATTACATAATTCTTAACATTTATTCTGCATGCTGCAGAAAACAACAGACTATGAATCTACTCTTCAGAAGATATGTTGGAAGTATTATTAGAAATGTCATTTAGAATTGTGTTTCACTCCAATACAGGAAGAGTAAGAACCTGCTATGAATATGCAAACTTGCTCTTTTTTAAATTGTTTTTAATTTTTGTGGGTACATAATAGGTATACATATTTATAGATTACATGAGATCCTGTGATACAGGTAGCAATGTGTAATCATATCAGGATAAATGGGGATATCATCACCCCAAGCATTTATCCCTTATGTTATGGACAATCCAATTATACTCTTTTAGTTACTATAAAATGTACAATAAAATTATTTTGACTATAGGCACCCTGTTATGCTATCAAATACTAGGTCTTATTCACTCTTTCTAACTATTTATTTTGCACCCATTAACCATTCCCATTTCCCTCCAACTCCCCCTATTTTCCTTCCCAGCCTCTAGTAACCATCCTTCTACCCTCTATTGCCATGAGTTCAATGGCTTTAATTTTTAGTTCCTATAAGTGAGAGTATGTGAAGTTTGTCTTTCTGTGCCTGGCTTATTTCACTTAACATAATGACATCCAGTTCCAACCATGTTGATGCAAATGACAGGATCTTGTTCTTTTAATGGCTGAATAGTATTCTAATGTGTATATGTACCACATTTTATCTATTCATCTGTTGATGGACACATAAGTTACTCCCAAATCTTGGCTATTGTGAACAGTGATGCAATAAACACGGGAGTGCAGATATCTCTTCAATATACCAATTTCCTTTCTTTGGGGTATATATTCAGCAGTAGGATTGCTGGATCACATGGTAGCTCTATCTTTAATTTTTTTAGGAAACTCCAAACTGTTCTCTACAGTGGCTGTACTAATTCACACTCCCAACAACACCATACTAGCTTGCCCTTTTATATACATCCTCGTCAGCATTTGTTATTGTCTGACTTTTGGATAAAAACCATTTTAACTGAGGTCAGATAACTCATCGTGGTTTTGGTTTGCTTTTCTCTGATTATCAATGATGCTTAGCACCTTTTCATGTATCTGTGGTCAGACCGGTTCTCTGCTCTCAAACCCTGTTTTCTGTTATTTAAGATGTTTATCAAGACAATACGTGCACTGCTGAACATAGACCCTTATCAGTAGTTCTGCTTTTGCCCTTTGCATATGATCTTTGTTAGACCGTTACTAGTAGTTCTGCTTTCTGCCTTTTGAAGCATGTGATCTTTGTACCTACTCCCTGTTCTTACACACCCTCCCCTTTTGAAACCCTTAATAGAAACTTGCTGGTCTGAAACTCAGGCAGGCATCACGGTCCTACGGATATGTGATGTCACCCCGGACCGCCCAGCTGTAAAATTCCTCTCTTTGTACTGTCTCTCTTTATTTCTCAGCTGGCCAACACTTATGGAAACTATAAAGAACCTACGTTGAAATATTGAGGGTGGGTTCCCCCAATATTTATTAAGATTATTTGATTTGTTCGTATACATTTGAACTCCTTCTACATTCGGGTTATCAATATCTTTTCAGATGCATAGTTTGAAAAATTTGTAATCCATTCTGTGGGTTGTCTTCACTTTGTTTCTTTTCTGTGCAGAAGCTTTTTTACTTGATGTTATACCATTTGTCCATTTTTAAGTTTGTCTGCTTGTGCTTGTGGGGTATTAGTTAGGAAATCTTTGCCCGATTCAATGTCCTGGAGAGTTCCTGCAAAGTTTCTTTTAAGTAGTTTCAGTAGTTTGAGATCTTAGATTTAAGTCCTTAATCCACTTTGATTTGATTTTTGTATACGGTAAGAGATAGGGGTCCAGTTTTATTCTTCTGCATGTGGATATCCAGTTTTCCCAGAACCATTTATTGAAGAGACTGTCCTTTCCCCCAATGTACGTTCTTGGCACCTTTGTCAAAATGAGTTCACTGAGATGTACAGATTTATCTCTGGGTTCTCTATTCTGTTCCACTGATCTATATGTCTGTTGCTATGCCAGTACCATGCCGTTTTGGTAACTGTAGTTATGTAGTGTAATTTAAAGTCAGGTAATGTGATTCCTTCAGTTTTGTTCTTTTGGTTTAGGATACCTTTGGATATTTGGGGTCTTTTGTGGTTGCAAGTAAATTTTAGAATTATTTTTTCTATTTCTGTGAAGAACATCATTGGTATTTTGATAGAGATTGCATGGAATCTGTATATTGCTTTGGGTGGCATGAACACTTCAACAATATTGATTCTTTCAATGCATGATCATGGAGTGTCTTTCCATATTTTTGTGTCTTCTTCAATTTTTTACATCAATGTTTTATCGTTTCTATTGTAGAGATCTTTCACTTCTTTGGTTAATTGTTAGATATTTTATTTTATCTGTAGCTATTATAAATGGGATTAGTTTCTTGACTTGTTTTTCAGATTATTCACTGTGGCATACAGAACTATTACTGGTTTTTGTATGTTAATTTTGCGTACTGCCGCTTTACTGAATGTCAGCTCTAATAGCTTTCTGGTGGAGTAGCTGGGTTTTTCCAAATATAGGATCATATCATCTGCAAACAAGGATAATTTGACTTCTTCCTTTTCAATTTGGATGCCCTTTATTTCTTTCTCTTGTCTGATTGCTATAGCTAGGACTTCCAGTACTATGTTGAGTAACAGTGGTAAAAGTGGGCATCCTTGTCATGTTTCCCCTCTTAGAGGAAAGGCTTTGTTTTTCCACATTAACGATGATACTACCTGTGAGTCTGTCATCTATGGCATTTATTATGTTGAGGTATGTTCCTTCCATACCCTTTTTAACAGTTTTTTTAATCATGAAGGGACATTGAATTTTATGAAATACTTTTTCAGCATCATTTGATATAGTAACTTATGTCTATAAACATCCCTCTTCTTACTACTTTCACCGTATCCCATAGGTTTTGGTATGTTATGTTTCTATTAACCTTTATTTGAAGAAATGTTTCAATTTCCTTCTTAATTTCTTCATTGACCCACTGGTCATTCGGGAGCATATTGCTTAATTTCATTGTGTTTGTAAAGTTTCCAAAATTCCTCTTGCTATTGATTTCTAGTTTTATTTCATTGTGGTCAGAGAAGATGCTTGATATTTCATTTTTTGAAAGTTTAAGACTTGTTTTGTGACCTAACATATAATTTATCCTTAAGAATGATGCAGCATGTGCTGCAGAGGAAAAAATGTGTATTTGGCAGCTGTTGGCTAAAATGTTCTATAAATATTTATTAGATCCATTTGTTCTATAGTACAGATTAACTCTGATGTTTCTTTGGTGATTCTATCTGGAAGATCTGTCCAGTGCTGAAAGTGGGGTGAAGTCTCCAGCTATTAATGTATTGGGATCTCTCTCTTTACTTCTAATAGTTCCTATATATATCTTAGTGCTCTAGGGTTAGGTGCATATATATTTACAAATTGTTATATTATCTCACTGAATTAGCCCCTTTATCATTAAATAGTATCCTTGTTTGACTCTTTTTGCAGTTTTTGTCTTGAAGTCTATTTTGTCTGATGTAAATATACCCACTCCTGCCTTTTTTTAGTTTCCATTGGCATGGAATATCTTTTTCCATCTCTTTTCAGTTTATGTGTATCTTTCCAGGTGAAGTGTGTTTCTTGTAGGCAAAAGATCATTGGGTCTAGTTTTTTAATTCATTCAACCACTCTCTCTTTTGATTGGTAAGTTTAGTCTATTTATATGCAATGTTACTACTGATAAATAAGGACTTACTCCTGCCATTTTTTAAATTGTTTTGTGGTTGTTTTGTGGTCTTCTCTTCTTTCTTTCCTTTTTTCCTATCTTTTAGTGAAGGTGATTTTCTCTAATTATGTGATTTAATTTATTGCTTTCTATTTTTTGTGTATCCATTGTAGTTTTTTATTTGAGGTTACCATGAGGCTTACAAAAACCATTTCATAACCTATTACCTGTTATTTTAAGCTGAAAGAAACTCAACACTGGTTGCATAAACAAAGAAACAAAAAGAAAACGAGAAAAAACTCTACACCATAACTTTGTCACCCTACATTTTAACTTGTTGTTTCTATTTATATCTCATTGTACTGTCTATGTCCTGAAAAGTTGTTGTAGTTAGTATCTTTGATTGGTTTATCTTTTAGTCTTTCATTTAAAATAAGAGTAGTTTACACACCACAGTTACAGAGTTATAAGATTCTGTGGTTTTCTATGTTCTTACTAACACCAGTGAGTTCTGTACCTTCAGATGATTTCTTATTGCTCATTTACATCCTTGTCTTTCTGATTGAAGTACTCCCTTTAGCATTTCTTATAGAACAGGTCTGGTGCTGATAAAATCCCTCAGATGTCTAGGAAAGTATTTACTCTTCATGTTTGAAGGATATTTTTGCTCAAAACACTGTTCAAGGTTAAACGTTTTTATCTTTCAACACTTTATATATATCATGCCACTCTCTCCTGGCCTACCAGGTTTCCACTAAACAGTATGCTGCTAGACATATTAGAGCTCTATTGCATGTTATTTGTTGTTGTTGTTTCTCTCTTGCTGGTTTTAGGATCCTTTCTTTATCCTTGACCTTTGGAAGTTTGATTATTAAATACCTTGAAGCTTTCTTCTTTAGTTAAATATGCTTGGTATTCTATAACCTTCTTGTACTTAGATATGAATATCTTTTTCTAGAAAGTTCTCTGTTATTTGCACTTTTAATAAACTTTCTACCCCCCTCTCTCCCTCTACCCTCTTTTTAAGTTCAATAACTCTTATTTTGCCCTACTGAGTCTATTTTCTAGATCTCATAGGTGTGTTGCATTGTTTTTCAGTCTTTTTTCTTTTGTCTCCTCTGTGTATTATCAAATAATCTGTTATGGTCACTAATTCTTTCTTTTGCTGGATTATTTCTGCTACTAAAAGACTCTGATGCATTCTTCAGTACATCAATTGCATTTTTCAACTCCGGAATTTCTGCTTGATTCTTTTTAAATATTTCAACCTCTTTGTTAAATGTATCTGATAGAATTCCAACTTCCTTCTCTGTGTTATCTTAAATTTATTTGAGTTTCCTCAAAACAGCTATTTTGAATTATCTGTCTGAAAGGTTACATACCGCTGCTTTTCCAGAATTGGTCCCTGGTGACTTATATAGTTCATTTTGTGAGGTTATGTTTTCCTGGATGGTCTTGATGCTTGTGGATTTTTGTCTGCGTCTGGGTATTAAAGAGTTATATATTTATTGTAGTCTTCTCAGTCTAGGCTTGTTTGTATTCATCCTTCTTGGGAAGGCTTTCCAGATACTCAAGAGGACTTGAATGTTGTATTCTAAGCAGTGTCTGCGCTAGGGGTCACCTCAAGTCCAGTAATGCTGTGGTTCCTACAGACTCTTAGGGGTATCCCCTTGAAGGTCTTGGATAAGATCTGGAAAAATATGCTATAGATTACCAGGCATGGACTCTTGTTCTCTTCCCTTACTTTATCCCAAACAGAGTCTTTGTTCTGAGCTGCCTGAAGCTGTGGATTAACATAAACATTCCTTTGGCCACTGCCACAAAACTGTGCTGGTTCAGAACTGAAGCCAGTACAGCACTGGGTCTTGCCCAAGGCTGGCTGTAACCACTCCCTAGCTGCCACCTATGTTCTCTCAAGGCCCTTAGTCTCTACAATCAGGAGGTAGTGAATCCAGACAGACTTGTGACCTTCTCTTAAGGGCAACACCAAATTCCCTGGTGCCTGCAGTGGAAACTGTTCGTGGTATGCATGGTCCAGCCACAGCCTTGCATGCAGCCAGCACCCTGTCTGTGAGCAGTGGCTAGACACTGCTCTCACTCACACACCCCTCACCACTCCACACCTGGCTCACCCTTGGCAAGCATGGGATCCCGGCTGGTAGCATGAGCAGAACACAACCTACTGGGCCAAGTGGGTGGAACAAGACCAGTGGGCCCAAGCAAAACGGGCAATGGCGCCACCGGCTACAGAGGTTTCCGGCTGCAAAAGTGACACCCTAAGGATCCTGCGACAAAGGGCCAGCAATGAGTTCAATTTATTGTCTCACAATTGCTGTGCTCTCCCTCTCCCAAGAGCACAGGCTCTCTCTTTGTGCCACCCAGCCACTGACAAGAGTTGGAAGAGAGGTGGCATCAGTGATTCAAAACTGTCCTCTTTCCCTCTTCACAGTAACAAACCTACACATTCTGCACTTGTATCCCAGAACTTGAAGTAAAATTAAAATAAATAAATAAATAAATAATAAAATAAATAATAAAAACTAGTTATAGCTTACATGGTTTATTTAACTTAGCACCTAAGTCATCTTCGGTGTTAATGTGAAGTTAATGAAAATCATTTGACAAATATTTGTCATGCGCCTCCTATGTGCAAAGGACAGTAAAGTTGTACCACTCATGTAACTTAATGTACTCTCTGATTAAGAGAGGCAGGCAGTAAGTAAACACACTGGTAAATACAAAATACATTTTACCAGATGATGACAATGGCTATGGAGAAAAACAAAATATGGTAAGGATGGGGAGGAGTGGGCAAGGAAGGGTACTACGTTATTGTCAGGATGACAGCATGACATGAGATGAAAGACCTGATAGGCCTGAGAATGTAAGCCATGAAGATTTCTGGGGGAAGGGCATTAGATGCCAGAGAAAAAGGAAGTGCAACATTCCTGAGTTAGTAGCATGCCTAGTAGGTTTGGGAAACAACACAAAAGCCAGAAAACGTGTTATAAATGAGGTTAGAGTAGATATAGTGGAACCATAATGTTTAGGGCTTTATTAGTTACTACAAAAATTTTGACTTTTAACTTGAAGCATAGGAAGCCACTGGGAAATTTTAGGTGGAGAAGTGACATAACTTGACTTTGTTAAAATCTCACTCAGGCTAACACATTGAAAATAAATAGCAGAGCATGGGGCATAAGGAAGCCAGGAGACCAGTTAGAAGGCTATTGCTATTGGCATACTAATTGTGGCATGTGGTCATATTCTAGATGTTTTTTCAAAGTAGACTTGACAGCATTTGTCAATAAATACTACATGAAGATGATGGATGACTTCACAGTGTTTGGCTTATGCAAGTGGAAAGATGAGTTATCAAGATGTGAAAGACAAGGCAAAACAAAACTAGAAATAGTATGGCTGGGTTTCTTTTTAGACATAATACATTTTAACAGCTATTAGACATCTGTAGGGAGAGTTGAATAGGTCATAGAACACACAAGTCTGTATTCTGAGTGAAGGTAGAGATACAAATTTGGAAGTCATCAGTTCATTGGTAGTAGTTAAAGTCTTTACGTCAGATAAGGTAAGCCAGTGAGTGAGTGTGAAAACTAGTAGAAGTCTGATGCTTGAACCTTAGAATATTCCAATATTCATATATCTTAGAAATGAGGAAAAAGCAAACCAAAAGTTACCTGCCAATGCAACAGTGCTATGGTCTGAATATTTGTGCCCCCCAAAATCTGTATGTTTAAATCCTAACCTCCAAGGTGATAGTATTAGAGGTGGAGACTTTGGAAGGTGATCAGGTCAAGAGGGAAGAGCCCTCACGTATGACACTAGTGCTCTTCAAAAAGAGACCACAAAGAGCTCGTTTTTCCCTTCTGCCATGTGGCATTACAATGAAAAGACAGCTGTCTCTCAGAGGAACTGGGCCCTCTCCAGACACCAAATATGCCAGCACCTAGACCTCGAACCTCTAAGCCCCTAGAAATGTAAGAAATAAATTTGTTGTTTATAAGGCACCCAGTCTATGCTAGCTTGTTATAGCAGTCAAAAAGAACTAAGACAAGAAACCCAGAGGCTGTTAAAAAATAAAAATAAAAAAAGATTGAACAAGTGATCATGACAGATTAGGTATGACAAGGACTAGGAATTGACCTCTGTGCTTAACAATATGACCGTAACTTAAGACTTCTATAGAGGGGTAGAGATAAGGCCTGACTGATGTGAGTTCAAGCAAGAATGGGGAAAAGGGAACTATATATACTGAGACAACATGCACAGGTAATTATTTTCAGGAGTTTTGCTGAAAGAAGCTAAAAGAAATGGAACAAACTAGAGATAAATTTGAAGTTGAGCAAGTTTAATTTTTAGTATATGATTACAGCTTATTTGAATAAACCAATAAGAGTAAGAAATTGATGATGCAACAGAAGCAGAACAATTACTAGGGTCATATCCGCAAGAGGGGATGGGCTGCAATGTAAAAGCAACGGGGTTGGCCTTCAATAAAGGTACAGACATTTCACCAATAATTAGAGCAAATGCAATATAAATAAACACAAAAGCAGTCAACTTTTTTTTTTTTTTTTTAACTCTGTGGAGTAGAAAAAGGATTAGACTTAGCCAGGTTTGAGATTTTTCCAGAAAAAGTCAATTCATAGACAAAGTGGCCATGAAGGTATGCCCAAGGGGGTGATTATAATGATTGGGCATGGACTCTACATGAAAGTAGAAGTGAAAAAAAAAAAAAAAAAAAAAAAAAGAAAGTGGAAGTGAGAGCATATGGTATGCGAGAAATATTGTAATGGTAGCAAAAGCAATGGAATGCAGGATGCTGGTAGGATTTAAGAATTCTTAGTGTCAGGGCAGTAGAAGGAGTAAGCTGGAAAAATGGGAGTGGTGTTTGGAAAGTGTAATGCTTAAAATGAAGATTATGGAGAAGAGCAATTATTGACAATGCCAACATCTTGGTCATGACCATAGAAGTATGTGCCTGAGACAGGGTAAAAAAAAAAAAAACAATCGCTGGAGGGGAGGAGGTAAAAAAAATGAGGTAGCAGATATGTGAAAAATAATATAACACACATACATATATACACATACATATTTTATATGCATATATTTTACATATACGTCTATGTATTGAGAAAAAGGATGTGCTAGGTGCTGAGTTTGAAACAATGTGCAGGAGAAAGACCTGGAGATCTGTAGATGCCTGCAACAAGGTGGAGTAATAAAAGGTTCAATATAACAGCTTGAACTTAAAGCTGGGTATTTTTAAGGAGAATTGTCTGAAAGGTGCCAAGACAGTATATGCTTATCTCCAGGCCCAGTAGCAGAAGAATGCAGAAGGAAAAAAAAAAAAAAACCTTCTTAAGAGGGCTTCATGGGAAGCCATTTCCTTAGAGAGAGTCAAGTTTCATAGAGTGAGAAGAATGTTTGGTAAATAGGTTAGGAATGCAGAGTTTTGCTGATAACAGACACTGAGTCCCACACACTTGTGGGGATGAAGGATAAATTTGGATGATGAAGAATGACTTGGAAGTCTTAGAGATCATAGAGTAACTGACAAAATCAAAGATAAAGTGGAAAATGGGATTAGTCTTGGGTCCTTAAGCAGGATACATTAGGGATACAGCATGTGTTGGTAAAAAGAGAAAGGGGGTCTTGATAAAAGTGTTTAGAGTCTAAGGATCCTTTCTTCACTAATATTGATGAAGTATGAAAGGCAGATGAGATGTTACATTTAGTGAGATATTCTGAAACACATATACAGAGAAAATCTGATCTGTGTGATAAATGCTAAGGAATATATACAATGGAGTTTGAGCCAAAATATTGTAGGGTATGTGGAAAGCTAATATTATTAATTCATTCACACAATTAATTATAATTTTTGTTGGAAGCCAAAACATCTATTTATTTCCCTGATGTTAATAAAATAAGCCCATCTGATTTATGCAATGCTATTTTGCAATTGTGCAAATAAATCATTGCACTGTCAATTTCTACCTGTTGGCTGGGTATCTAAATCTTGGAGATATTTTTATTTTTATTTTTATTTTTGTGATGGAGTCTCGCTCTGTCACTCAGGCTGGAGTGCAGTGGCACAGTCTCGGCTCACTACAACCTCCACCTCCCAGGTTCAAGCAATTATCTTCCTCAGCCTCCCGAGTAGCTGGGATTACAGGCACCTGCCACCATGCCCAGCTAATTATTTTGCAATTTCAGTAGAGACGGGGGTTTCACCATCTTGGCCAGGCTGGTCTTGAACTCCTGACCTTGTGATCCACCCACCTCGGCCTCCCAAAGTGCTGGGATTATAGGCATGAGCCACTGCGCCCGGCCTGGAGATAAATTTTTAATCATCAACATATAATATCCACATTTCAGACACTCAGAAAACCCAACCTTGAATTGAAGATAATTCCTAAGAACAGTAACTATAGAATACTCTCCAGTCCACTACCACAGTGCACTGTGCTTAAACCACTGATCCCTGGTAACACATGCAATAGCCTTGCGATACGTTATTTCCATTTTTCAGAGGAAAAAAATGAGACACAGTGAGATAAAACTGTCCTAGGTCATGCAGTGAGTAAATATTTAAACATGATATATCTGAGCCTAAACCACTGTCAGAAACCATGATGTCTGTCTTTCAGGCTTCTGCAGTGAGTACTTCTCAAAGCATAGTCCCTGGACCAACGAATTTGTAAGAAATGTGAATTCTGCGACCCCACCTCAAACCCTTGAACCACAAAGTCTGCGGATGGTGTCAACAATTCTATATTTTCATAATCCTTCCAAGTGATTCTGATGCACGTTCAAGTTTGAGAAAGTCTATAGTAAGGAGAGATAAAACATCAAATTATTGAGAACATGATAAAGGGCAGAATAACGAACCATTACCCTAGGTTATTTATTTCTCTCTTATATGGGTGGTGTGTGGGTGGGGGTGGTATGTGTTGGGGGGTGGGTATGAGTATGTATATGTGTGTATGGGAAGGGGGTGTAGTACTAGCTAACACCCCTCCTCTGTTATAAGTACCTTTAGAATTATTATCAACTTCAGGAATTACTGAAACTGTTATGAGAGTCAAATAATTTGGAAAAATACATCCAGCTTATTATAATCTTGCCACTCTGAGGAGTTGGTTATCAGCACAACTGTTGTTTTTACTTTTTTAGTGTATTAAATATATGAAGAAACAATAACTCTTACAGTTCCAAACATTAAAGCTCTCATTTTCGCTACAAAATCTGGTGCCTTATAAGTGTGTGAGCCTCTCAGTTATGCCAGAAGTGAGACTTCGCAGAACAGGACAGTAATGTCACAGGGCTATGAGACAAGAGAACTGTCATGACATTAATCTCTGACTCCATATAGGGAACACCTTATTATAAAAGGCATTCTTGCTGCTGCAGAGCTGTTGGCAGGGCAGCTGAATTACTGCAACAGCCATTTAGTCTCTCTTTTTGAGTGAATAGAGAGTCAATATGAAATAGATTGCAACTGACTTTTTTATATTACATGAATAATTGATTTTCATGGAAAAATGTTTTCTAAAAATAATCATAGCAAGAGTTCTCTCACCTAGTTCCACACTTTCCAACCAAAATAGAGACCACTACAAAACGATTAATCATTCAATACTTTCCCTTTAGCCCTGATGGCATAATGATAAACTAAATTCACCAGGAAAGAACTCTGAGAGACAGAAAATCCTACATCTATTAATTTTTGTGAGGCACAGCTTATGAAAATAAATGGTGGTGAAAGGTAAGTAACCTCTTGCATTTGTTCACCTCTGCTAACTTTTACTCCAGCTACTTAATATCTATGATATCATATGTATCATCATCATAGAGGCAATTGAGAGGTACAATTACCCCCATTTTACAGAGGGAGAAACAAGGGCCATAGATGTTTAACAAACATGCATAGGTAATGGTATACATTGTGTTTAGAACTTGGATTGGAATCTGGTTCTCTTGACCATTATACCTCTCTATCTGACAGTGCCCCAATTCTCTCCTAAACTTCTGAGTGACCTGTCTAGGAAGAGTATGCTCCACTGCCACTTAACAAGTACATGATCATCTAAACCAGTAGTTCTCCAAGTAAAACAGAGGGACACCTTTCAGGGGATGTTTTTTATAATAACACTAGGATGTTATCAGGCTTTTTCACTTGCATTCATTCAGGAGTGTGTGGTGGAATTTTCCAGAGGCTACATGGTATGTGATATGAAAACAGACAATGCAGAAGCAGAAAAGAATATCCAGCTTTCTTCTGTTGTCATTTAGAAGATTTTCAAAAACATAAAAATGGCAATCTTCCCAAATTTTTTGTTTTAAAAATTTTCATAAAATTTATATCAACGTATGATTTTAATCATTGTTTCTTAACTTCTAATATGATAAATGGTAACAGATATAATCTGTATTTTTCACAAGTTATTGGAGGCCTCAATCACTTTCAAGAGTGTAAAGGGGCCTGACAATGAACATTTTAACAACTGCTGAAGAGTTGACCAACAAATAAATTCCTATGCTTCAATTATGTTCTTTCATTTACTCATTCTTCCTTTCTTCATTCAATAAATATTTCTTGAGCCCTATAATGTGCAAAGAAGCTCCAGATACTGGGTGTACAGTAATGAACAAAGTAACAGCCCTTATTCCTAGTAAGGGTAGAAAACAATCATCAATGCATAACAGATACATGTTATAAACTTCCATATATATTTTAAAGAAGGAGAGCAAGATGCTATGAGGTAAAACAATAGAGGGAGGAAAAAGAACCCTCATATAAATTAGGAAGGCTATACGGAGGAATAAGAAAGAATCATATGAAATGAATGACAGAAAGAAGACCTGACAGAGGAAACACCACGTTTTTAACATCTTGAGGTGATAAAGAGCTTGATGTCCTCAAGGAACTGAAGCATAGACAGGCAGTTAGAGTATACTGAGCAAAGAAGGGACAGAAAAGAAAGAGGTTGGAAACTGAGCCAGGGACTGTATCTTACAAACCACCATATGTCATAATAGGAAGTTGAGATTGTATTCCATGCACAGTGGCAAGTCCTTAAAGAATTCCAAGCAGTAGAATAGCATGATGTCTATTAAGTGGGCAGTAGTGATTGAAAGAAGGAAATCTATCAAAGTTAACCAAAAGAAATAGAAGAGGCAAAAAATCTGTGGATCAAGGGGAGGAAATCTATGCATTATCAAAACCTTGTGGAGAAACAGGCAAACTAAGGAAGAAGAAACTGCAGAAGAATTACATTTTTTTGAACAATAAGGTGAGGTGAGCTAAGAATACAATTGGAGTTTGACCAAATGGACCAGTGTCCACTTGAGTTTGACCCCCAGGTGCCACCCCAGCTTACCCTAGACAACGAACCTTCCCTCTATGTCTATAATATAACAATAAAGCATACAAATGGAAAAAACAGTAATAAGGAGCAGAGAAATATATGCTCCATCTATTAGCTCCATCTAAGATGTTTTAGGATGAGGAAGTAATGTGAGTTCGGTGAAAGAGTAAATTTGAGTCTGGGTATGACATACCATCTTTGGCAAGGGACCTCAGACTGAGAAATGGAATCATGATGTTCTCTTTGTAAGTTGGTCTTTGATCAGGACAATTTTAACATTTATTGCTTAGACTGCTCTCCCTGCCCTAACTCTCACCCAGGAAAGTTGGGCCTGCTCTGTGAGAGGTAGAGATAGAGCCCAGAGTCAATAATCTGACATTTATAAAAGTTCACTATAATTGCCATGTGAGAACAGACTGGAAAAAGGGGAGCAAAACTGGAAAGAGTCATTAGAAGTAAATTATAATTGTCAAAGGGAAAGATGATGATAGCTTGGGTAAAATGGTGGTGTTGGAAATATAAAGTAGATGACTGTGTGACAGGAATTAGATAAAAAGCTAATAGAGTTCTTGATGCAATGGTTTGTGAAAATCAAGAAAGGGAGAAATAAATATTACTCCCATATTACTAGTTTGTGCAGCTGAATAGATGATGACTCTATCAACTGAGATAAGAAAAACTGGGGAGAAACATGGCAAGTAAGAGAGAAGAGAATCAAAACTCAGACATGTTAGGTTTAACTTATTTGTGAGACATCTCAGTGGAAAATGTCAAGGATGCAGTTGGCTAAAATAAATAAATCAATAAAGTTGGAGCCCAGAGGAATGGTTTGTAATGAGGACACACATTTTGGAACAATAGACGTGCATATTGAAAGACATAAAATTCTAAGTGCTGCCTTAACATCTTTGAGCCTGAAAAAGGATTAGGTTCAAAGGCCTAACCATCATCTCCCCTGCTTGCTCCAAATACACTCCACACCCTGCCAGAATTGCTCCACTCCCAGCGACTCCCCACCTGTACTAGCTGCACCCCACTCAGTCCTTAACCTAAGTGGTTTCACTTTTCTGCAAGCCAGAATTCTTCAAACAGGCCAATCACACCTTTCAGTGGGAAGCCCGGGACCCCCCTACACCCCTGTTACTATAAAGCCTGCCTCTCACAGCCCCTGAGCATTAACTCTCTTCCAAAGTACAACCCCCATGTCACCTGCATGGTATGTGGTATCCTCCTCTCCCAAATCCTGAATATGTGTAACTAGTAAACTTCTGTGAGTGTAAGTCTCATCTATCCAGTGTTGGGTGTCATGTATTTGGCCATCTCATACTACTTAGGACTAGGGATCTCCCTTTCACCAATAACATGAATAGCAGATTATCAGAATAACAATTACATGGTATATAATGCCACTGAGATGAATAAAGTCATCTAGGCACAAAATTTTAAAAGGAGTAGCCATCAGGTACAGTGATGATCCAGCAGGAGAAGCTGAGAAGTGACATGAGAGAATAAAAGGAAAACCAGTTGGTAGGAGCCCTGGAAACCAAAAGGAAAGATTATTCAAAAGAAGGATAAAATTTTACCTATCCACACTCAGCAACTGAGAGTCACTGATGTTAATAAGGCATGAGCAGGTTCAAGGGAGTAGTGGGAATGAAATCATATTGAAGTGAATTAAACAGTGAGTGAGAGATGAGGATGTGAAGACAACATGTCTTTTTGCAAGATTCAGTAATAAAAGGGAGCAGATAAATAGATCACTATCTAGACAGAAAACTGGCCTAAAAGAAATGAGTCTATTTGGGTTCTGGTAGGAATAATCCAATGGGGGAAAAGGTTGATGATGCTAAAAAAAAGAAGGGACATCCAAAGAAAAGAGGCCCTTGCGAAGGCAGGGTCTATTAGTCCATTTGCACACTGCTGTAAAGAACTGTCCAAGATTGGATAATTTATAAAGATAAGAGGTTTCACTGACTAACAGTTCAGCATGGCTGAGGAGGCCTCAGGAAGCTTACAATCATGGTGAAAAGCAAAGGGGAAGCAAGGCACCTTCTTCACAAAGCAACAGGAAGGAGAAGTGTCAAGCAAAGGGGGAAGAGCCCCTTATAAAATCATCAGATTTCGTAAGAACTCACTATTATGAGAATAGCATGGAGGAAACTGCCCCCACTCCAATTACTTCCACCTTGTCTCTCCCTTGACATGTGGGAACTAAGGGGATTACAGGGATTATAATTCAAGATCATATTTGGGTGGGGACACAATGCCTAACCACATCACAGGGTGAAGTACAAAAGATCCCATTTGGAGAGAATGGTCTTTGATGAGAGCAAAAACTCATCACCCTTGTAAAAAATAAAACTTTGAGTATGAATCCTAGTGCTTTGTAGATATGATATTAGAAGGAAGAGAGAGCTCTTTTCTTGTGGTTTGAATTTTTCCATTGAAGTATGAGCAAGAGTATTTGCAACTAAGACTACAAATTTGAGGAGTGAAAAGACAGCAGGAAAGAGTTAATGTGGAAACTGGAGAGAAAGCCCGCTTGAAAAATCACAGTGGAATTCTGAAAATGTAGTCACTCTTAATTAAATCAGTCCTCGATTGTCTGCACATCACAAATTTAACAGTAACTGCTACAATTTTGGAAGCCCTACCATCACTTCACATATATTATCCTTTATTTTAAACCTTACTACAACCTTATGATGCTGAAATTGTTTTTCCCACTTTATATATAAGAAAATTGAAGCTCAAAAAGGTTATGTAATTGCAAAGTTAAAAAGTGACAGAGCAGCTGAGTTCAGTTCTATCCAATGTAAAAGCTGTTGCTATCTGCACCATATCAGTTTTTGTCAAACTTGAATAATGCAAACATATTTTAAAGTTAAACAAGTCTCATGGACTCCTAACACTGAATTGTTAAGTCGTTTGATCTTCTCTTGGCATCAGGAGATTTGTAAACCAAAATAAAGATGAGGCCACTAAAGTTGTGTGAATCATTTGTAAGGTAGTAATTTAAATGATCCACAGTTTTCTTAAGTTTTTTCCTCCTAGGGTGACTGCAATCTTCCCCCTTCAGACACATCGAGACAATCACTACACCTCCATCAAGTGAGTACTCAGCTTTGTACACATTACCTTGAGAAAATGCAGTGAACAAAGTCATGTAAAATAATCCAGGGTTCCTATGGAATAATGGCAACTTCCTAAATCTAATCTCTTTGCCCGTAATCTAACTACCATATGGAGGAAAAAAAAGGGAGCAAATAAAACTACCTTTAAAACATGCCAAAGAATAAATTTGGAGACAAGGAATATAAAACAGTTTACACACTTGAGATTTCAACAAGATGGCTGACCAGAGATGCCTGGCACTCATACCCCTAACAACAACAACAACAACAACAACAACAAAGACTAGAGCAATAAATAAACAATTAAAATTCACGTATAGTGTCTAAAAAGAGAACTGGAGTACCACAAGGGAGGTGTGAATTCCCTGTGAAGCATGGACACCCAGAACAGCAGCATAGAAAGGGGAGCAGAGCACCCTGCTTCTGGTACTACATCACCTCCAACAAGATTGACTGGGAACCAGAAAGGACTTTCATTTGCAGGGGAAAAGGTAAGCAGAAGATCTCCAGCAGCTCCATTACATAGAAGTCACATACAGGAGAATCCTGCAGCCCTCACAGACCATGATCACAGCTGGGTGAGCTGCCTAGAGTTCACATGGCTACATTGCTCCAAAATACAAGCCCATATGGTGCACCCCTCACTTCCAGTGACACAAGTTGCTATAGTACAGCGTCATCTTAGAACTGGAACCAATAACCAGAGTGTACCTTTCTCTGAGGGCCATTGACTACCCTGTCTCTCCATCCATGAGGCTCTGTCATTTTTATCATGCTTACACATGTGACTACAGCACCATATTCCCAGTTATTGAAAGCTTGGGCCCAGTGGGATGTACGTACTCCAGCATCTGAGCCCCTCCACTGGAGAGGCTATGCCAGAGCCAGTGGATGCATTGCGTGTGTGACTCTTTGGCCTGAAAACCAACCCAGCAACCAGAAAGCTTTGCCACCACTGCCACAAATCCCCACACTCTAGGCCACTAAGGCACCTGCAGAAATTGCTGATGTGGATTTCAGTGGAAGAATCTGCATGGAGACTACACTATTATGTAGTCTTCCAGAACCAAAGCTAACAAACTACCCAATGACACCCTAGGACAACAGCTACAAGAAGATGTCTTTCCTTTCAAAAGCTATTCCATCAAATTGGAAGAAGTGACAATTCCATCAAATGCACAGATATCAAAGTAAGGATAAATGAAACACAAAAATAAACAAGAAAATATGACACTTCCAAAGAAACAAAATAATTATTTAATAACAGCCTTGCAAGAAAAGGAAATCTATGAAATGCCAAAGAAGGAATTCAAAATCATAATCATAAGGAAACTTGGCAAGTTACAAGAACATACAGATAAACACTTCAATAACGTCACAAAATGAGGAATTTAAAAAATGAGGAATTTAACAAAGAAAATGTGAAAAGAACCAAACAAAAATCCTGGAACCTGATGAATTGAGAGCTACAACAACAGACTAGAAGAAAGAATTCTGAACTTGAAGATAAGTCTTTGGAAATAACCATGTCAAAGGAGGAAAAAATAAGAAGAAAAAGTAAGCCAAAGGGACTTATGTGATATCATTAAGTAAATATATCTTTACATATATTTACATATATATTTGGTTAATATGCTTAATATATATTACAGGAGTTCCAGAGGCAAAATAGGTGAAGAAATGCACAGAAAGCCTATTTAACAAAACAATAGCAGCAAACTTTATAAGTCTTGAGAGAGAGATAGACGTCCAAATCCAGGAAGCTCAAAAGTCCCTAAATATATTAAAACAAAAGTTCCTCACCTGGCAACATTATAAGTATGTTAGACTGCTCTTGAATCACACAATGCAGTATTCAAGGGTGGGTAATTTATAAAGAAAAGTGGTTTTATTGGTTCACAGTTCTGCAGGCTGTACAGAAAGCATGGCACCGGCATCTGCTCACCTTCTAATGAGGACTCAGGAAGCTTACTATCAAGGCTAAAGGCAAAGGGAGAGCAGGCATCTCACATGGGGAGAGAGCAAACAGGGGGAAGGTACAACACATTTTTAAACAACTAGATCTTATGTGAGTTTACTCACCACTAAGGAGATGTCACGAAGCCAATTCATGAGGGCTATGCCCCAATAATCCAATCACCTCCCATCAGGCCCCACCTCCAAGACTGTAGATTACAAATTCAACATGAAATTTAGAGGGGATAACACCCAAACTTTATCAATAGCCAAACTGACAAAATACAAAGAGAATTCTATAAGTAGCAAGAGAAAGAAAAGAGTGAAGCCACATACATGGGAATCTCCATTAGACCATCAGCAGATTTCTCAGCTGATGCATTGCAGGCAAAGAAAAAAATGAGATGATATATTCCAAGTGCTATATAGGGAAAAAAACTGCCAGCCAAATATACTATACACAGCAAAACTGTCCTCCAGAAAAGAGAGAAAAAAAAAGTCCTTCCCAGATGAGCAATACTACAAGGAATTCATCAGCCCTAGTCTTAAAAGAAATGCTTAAGGGAGGAATACAACTGGAAGCAAAATGACAATAATTACTATTATGAAAACACATCAAAGTATAAATTCATTACTAGAGGTACATTCATAATCATTCAAATCTCTACTATGAAGGTTAAAGTCAATATGGTCAAAAATAACTACAGCTTAGTTGTAAAAGAACCCACAATATACCAATATGTATATTAAGGTAAAAGTAATGTATTGTGAGAAGTGGGTGAAAGTCTAGAGGGTTTCTATACAACCAAAGATAATTTTCTCTCAGCCTAAATTAGTCTATTTTAGCTACAAGATTATTTATATTACCCACACGTTAACCTCAAAAAAAAAATGCAGCAGTTACACAAAATAGAAAGGGAATGAAATCAAACCTTAGCACCGAAAGGAAACAGAAATCACCAGACCACAAAGGTAAACAAGAACAAAAGAAAAAACAAAGGATCTACAAAACAACCACAACAGAATCAGCAAAATGGAAGGAATAAGTATGTACGTATCAATAACAACCTTGAAGGCAAATGAATTAAATTCTCCAATTAAAAGATATGAAATGGCAGAATAGATTAAAAAACAAGATCCAACTATATGCTCCCACAAAACTCACTTTACCTGTAAGAACACATCCAATTTGAAAGGAAAGAGATGGAAAATACATTCTAAGCAAAAATAAAAAGGGAGCAGGAGTTGCAAAAATAAAAAGGGAGCAGGAGTGGCTATGATTGTAATAGATAAAACACACTTTAAGTAGAAAACTATGAAAAGAACAAACAAGGTTATTATATAGTGATAAAGGAATCTACTAAGCAAGAGGATATAACAAGTATAAATGTATACATACCCAAAACTGGAGTATGCAAATATATGAAGCAAATATTATTAGATCTAAAAGGAGAAATACAATGTAATACAATAATAGTAGAAGACTTTAATATCCCACTTTCAACAATGGACAGATTATGCAGACAGAAAATCATAAAAGACACATTGGACTTAAACTGAACTCTAGACCAAAGGGACATAACACTTACAGAATATCCTACCCAAGAGCAATAGAATATACATTCTACTCAACTGCACATGGAATACTCTCCAGGACAGATCATGTTAGGCCACAAAATATGTCTTAACAAACTTAAGAAGATAGAGGTCATATCAAGTATCTTTTCTAATCATAACAGTATTTAACTAGGAATCAGTAACAGAAGGAACTTCTGAAACTTTACAAATACATAGAACTTCAACAACAGGCTACTGAATAACCAATGGGTCAATGAGGAAATTAAAAGAGAAGTTAAAAATTTTTTAAACAAATGACAATAGAAACACAACATACCAAAATCTATGAGATACGGCAAAAGCAGTACTATGAGAGAAGTTTGTACCTCAAAGTACTGTTTATACAAATGCATATATCAAAAGAGTAGAAAGATCTCCAATAAACAACCTAACATTGCACCCTCAAGTAACTGGAAAAGTAGGAACAAAATAAACTCAAAATTAGTAGAAAAAGATAATAAAGATGAGAACAGAAATAAAAAAGAATAAAAATACAAAATATTGATGAATGTAAAATTAGTTTTTTGAAAAGATAAAAAAAATCAACAAATCTTTAGCAAGACTAAGAAAAGAGATGACAAGTAAAATCTGAAATGAAAGCAAAGACATTACAACTAATACCACTGAAACACAAGAGATCATGAAAAGCTTCCAGCTTTTTGTCTAACATGTAGAAAAAGAAAAAGATGCCATGTTCACCACTTCTATTGAACATAGTAGGTAAGTGAAAAAGTAATTGAGTTTTTTTGCCATATAGTACTGAAATAACAGTACTGCAAGTCCTAACCAGAGCAGTTGGGCAAGAAAAAAGTAAAAAGAAGCATCCAAATTCTAAAGGAGGAAGCGAAATTGTCTGTTTGCAGACAACATGATCTTACCAGTAGGAAACCCTAAAGAATTTTTTTAAAAGCTATTGGAATGAGGAAACTAAGTGAAATTGCAGAATACAAAATCAATACACAGAATGACAATTAGCAAGATGACTGACTAGAGAAATTTGAAACTCATCTCTCCCACAAGAAAAGACCGTGGTGACTGGAAGCCCAGGAGGGTGGCAATGTAGACATTCATCCTCTGTAGCCCCGTCTCTCCACCTGGATTGGATTGGCCCAGAGACAGGAGGGCAATTATAAATATGTAAGTCCCCAACACTGGAACACCAAGATATGTAAAACAAATGTTATTAGATCTACAAGGAGAGATTAGACTCCCAATACAATAAGAGTTAATGACTTCAATATCCTACTCTCAGCATTGGACAGATAATCTAGACAAAAAAATCAACAAGGAAACATCAGATTTAAATTGCATTATACATCAAATAGACCTAACAGATATTTACAGACCATTTCACCCAAAAGCTGCAGAATATACATTCTTCTCACCTACACATGGAACATTCTTCAGGACTGGCCATATGTTTGGACACAAAATAACTCTCAAAATGTTTTACAAAGTGTACATCATATCAAGTGTCTTATCTGACCACAATGTAATACAACTAGAAATCAATACCAAGAGGAACAGCTGAAACAATGCAGATGCATTGAAATGAAATATGTTCCCGAATGACCGGTGGGTGAAGGAAATAATTAATAATAACATTTATAAATACCTTAAACAAATTAAAATAGACACTATATGCCAAAACTTATGGGACACAGAAAAAAATATTAACAGGCAAATTTATGGTAATTAATGCCTACATCAAAAAATACAAAGATTTCAAATAAACAACTTAACAATAAATCTCAAAGAACTAGAAAAGCAATTACAAACTGAACCCAAAATTAGAAGGAAATAAAGAATAAAAATCGGAGCAGCATGAAACAAAATTTGGACTAAACAATACAAAACATCAATGAAACAAAAAGTTGTTTTTTAAAAGATTAGCAAAATTGACAAATTATTAGCTACAGTGAAAAACTTGAGGAACGACCCACCTAAATAAAATCAGAAATGAAAAAGAAGACATCATAATAAAAACCGGAGAAATACAAAGGATCATTAGAGACTACTATGACAATTATAGACCAATAAATTTGAGTACCTAGAATAAATGGATAAATTCTTGGACACATACAACCTACTAAGATTGAACCAAGAAGAAATAGAAAACTTGAACAGACCAGTAACAACTAACAAGATTGAATCAGTAATAAAAAAATCTCCCAAAAAAGAAAAGTCCAAGACTGGATGGCTTCACTGCTGAATTCTACTGACTCTTAAAAGAAGAACTAATACTAATTCTTCTCAAACTATTTTAGAAAACTGAAGTAGAGGGAACTCTTCCTATCTCATTCTATGATGCAAGCATAACCCAGATAATGAAGTCAGACAAGGACACAAGGAAACAAAAGAAAACTACAAGCCAATATCCCTGATAAATATAGATGTAAAAATCTTCAATAGAATACTAGCAAACTGAATCCAATAATACATTAAAAAATACCTTATGATTAAATGAGATTTATCCCAGGAATGCAAGGGTGGTTCCAGATTTGCAAATCAGTAAA
This sequence comes from Homo sapiens, assembly GCF_000001405.40. Taxonomy (NCBI): domain Eukaryota; kingdom Metazoa; phylum Chordata; class Mammalia; order Primates; family Hominidae; genus Homo; species Homo sapiens. The sequence continues at coordinate 54,743,913 of NC_000015.10, forward strand.
CATGATATATTACATCAGCAGAATAAACAACAAAAATAATAATAAACAACAAAAAACATATGACCATCTCAATAGATGCAGAAAAAGCATTTGACAAAATTTAACACCCCTTCATGATAATTTCTTCAGCAAGGAAGGAGGGAGGGAGGGAGGGAGGGACGGAAGGAAGGAAGGAAGGAAGGAAGGAAGGAAGGAAGGAAGGAAGGAAGCAAAGTATGTCAGGGAGACAGAGAGAGAGAAGAGATGAGATTAGGAATAAAAGGAAAGAACCTCAAAATGATAAAAGGCATATATGACAAACCCACAGCTAACATCATACTGAATGAAGAAAAGCTGAAAGCTATTTCTTTAAAAACTGGAACAAAACAAGGATGTCCATGCCCACCATTCTTATTTAACATAGTAGTGGAAGTTCTAGCCAGAGAATTAGGCAAGGAAAAGAAATCAAAGCATCCAAATTGGAAAAGAGAAAGTCAAATTATCCCTTTTTGTAGATGATAAGATTTTAATAATATAAAAACCTAAAGACTCTACCAAAGAAACTCATAGAACTAATAAACAATTTCAATAAAGTTGCAGGATACAAGATGAACATACAAAAACTCAATAGTGTCTCTGTACATAGACAACAAACTAGCTGAAGAAGAAATCATCAAGACAATCCCATTTACAATAGCTAAAAAAAAAGAGAAAAAATACCCTAGGGATAAACTTAATCAAGGAAGTGAAAGATGTCTACAAACTATAAAAACATTGATGAAAGAAAGTGAAGAGAATGAAAGCAAATAAAGAGACCTTTCATGCTCACAGAAAGAATTAATATTGTTAAAATGGCCATACTGCCAAAAGCAATCTACCAATTGAATCAAAGCCGTAACAAAATGCCAGAAACAATCTTTACAGAAACAGAAAAGCCCATTCTAAGATTTGTATCGAACCACAAAAGATCCCCAAAGCTAGAGAAATCTCAGATAAAGGGGAGGGAAAAGCTGGAGGCATCAAATTATCTTACTTTAAAACATACTACAAAGCTGTAATAACCAAAACAGCATGATATTGGCATTAAAACAGATATTTAAACCAACAGAACATAATAGAGAGCCCAGAAACAAACCATGTATTTAAAGCCAACCGATTTTCAACAAAGGTGTCATGAACACACTATGGGGAAAAGGTCATCTCTTCAAGAAATGGGTACTTGGCAAACTGAGTATCCACATGCAGAAGAATGCAACTAGACTCTTAACTCTCACAATATACAAAAATCATCTCAAAACTCTCACAACATACAAAAATAATCTCAAGATGAATTAAAAACTAAAACGTAAGATCCCAAGCTATCAAAACACTAGGAGAAAACATAAATGTTTCATGACTCTGGACTGGGCAAGAATTTTTTTGAGAAGACCTTAAAAGCACAAACAACAAAAGAAAGGATAGACAAACAGAATTACAAGAAACTAAAAACGTTATGCACAACAAAAATGCAATCACTGAGTGAAGGCATACCCTACAGAATGGGCGAAAATGTTTGCAAAGTATGCATCTAACAAGGGTTAACATTCAGAATATATAAGAAACTTAACATGAAAAAAATTTGATTTTAAAATGAGCAAAAGACTTGAATAGATATTTATCAAAAGAATACAGACAAATGTCCAACACACACATAAAAAAATGTCACTATCACTAATTATGATGGTTAATATTAAGTGTCAACTCAATTGGATTGAAGGATGCAACGTATTGCCTCTAGGTGTTGCCAGAAGAGATTAACATTTGTGTCAGTGGACTGGGAAAGAAAGGCCCACCTGCACTGTGGATGGGTCCACATCTATCCACAATGGACCCACAATCCAATCCACTGCCAGTGTGGCTAGAAAAAGCAGGCAGAAGAAGGTAGAAGAAGCTGAATTGCTGAGTCTTCCAGCCTTCATCTTTCTCCCATCCTGGATGCTTCCTACCTTCGAATATCAGACTCCAAGTTGTTCAGCTTTTGGGGTCTAGGACTTACACCAGTGGTTTGCCAGAGACTCTCAGGCCTTCAGCCACCGACTGAAGGCTGCAATATCATCTTCCCTACTTTGAGGTTTGGGGACTCGGACTGAGCCACTACTGGCTTCTTTGCTCCTCACCTTGCAGACAGCCTACATGGGACTTCACCTTGTGATCATGTGAGTCAATTCTTTTTAATAAACTCCCTTTCGTATATACATATATCCTATTATGTCTGTCCCCCTAGAGAATCCTAATACACTAATTATCAGGTTAAGGAAAATCAAGACCATGATAAGGTATCACCTATTGGTGACATCTTGGCTGTCACCAAAAAGACAAAAGGTAGGTCTTGATGAGTATATGTAGAAAAGGGAACCCCTGCACACTGTTGGTTGGAATGTAAATTAGTATAGCCATTATGGAAAACAGTATGCAGGTCTCTCAAAAAAATTAAAAATAGAACTATCATATGATCCAGTGATCCCACTACTGCATATATATATGCAAAGAAAACAAAAATCAGTATTTCAAAGAAGTAATCTGCATTCCCATGTCTGTCACAGCACTATTCACAATAACCAAGGAATGGAATTAACCGGTGTCCAGTGGCAGATGATGGATTAAGAAAATATGGTGTATATATACACAATGGAATAATATTCAGCCACAAAAAAAGAACAAAATCCTGTCCTTTGCAAAATCATGAATCAATCTTACAGACATTTCGTTACATGAAATAAGCCAGAGAAAGACAAATACTGCATATTCTCACTCATATGTAGAATCTAAAAAGTTCAACCTCATAGAATTAACTGAATACAACTGTAGTTACCAGAGACTAGAGAGGGTAGGGGGCAGTGGGAGCTAGGCAGAGGTTAGTCACTAGATAGAAAGTTACAGGTACAAGTAAAAGTTCTGGTGTCATATTGCACAGTAGGGTGACCACAGTCAACAAAAAAACATTGTATATCTAAAATAACTATACGAGAGGAGAGGATTTTGAATGTTCCTACAGCAAAGAAATGATAGATATTTGACGTGCTTGATGTGCTAATTACTCTAATTTTAACATTACACAATGTATACATGTATGGAAACATCACATTGTACCCTATCAATATACAATTAGTCAATTACAAGTAAAATAATTTTTAAAAATATAGTATAATTTAATTTATATGTAAGAAAGGCAATAAATATATGAAATTAGTAGAGTCAGCTTCGGACCCCAATCCAGAGTAGATAATCAGGTAGTGCCCTGCAGAGAAGAGAGAAGACAGTGGACAGCTAACCATGGTAGAGTGCAGATAAAACCTATGTTAGAGGGAGTCAACTATTGAATGGGGAAAGCCACTAAGACCAAGTTTGAGACTTCATAGATCAAAGCATAGCTCCTGAGAAATCAAAAAGAAGGGGATTAAAAATGTGTGGGGCTGATGGTGGCATCTTGGAGAGGGGCATTCTTAAGGCTTGTGAAGGGAAAGAAGTAAGCAGTGGGGCCGGGTGCAGTGGCTCAAGCCTGTAATCTCAGCACTTTGGAAGGCTGAGGCAGGCAGATCACGAGATCAGGAGTTCAAGACCAGCCTGACCAACATGGTGAAACCCCATCTCTACTAAAAATACAAAAATTAGCTGGGCATGATGGCACATGCTTATAATCCCAGCTACTCAGGAGGCTGAGGCAGGAAAATCACTTGAACCCGGGAGGCAGAGGTTGCAGTGATCCAACATCATGCCATTGCACTCCAGCCTGGGCAACAGAGCAAGACTCCATCCCCCACCCCGCCCCCCACCAAAAAAAAAACAAGCAGTGGAAATGTGGAAATATAGAAAGAAAAGAGAATTGCAAAATTAGAAGACATGTTATCAATTTCTTTCCTCATCACCCCAAAAAAATACACGAAAGATTTTACCACCCCCAAAGAAGAGGGTGCTATTAACTAAGACATCTAGAAAACAACAAAAACTTCAGAATAACAGACAGAAAAATCTTGTATTGGTAGTCCAGGAAAATATAAGACATTCAAAATAAGTAACAATGGCAAAAGCCATCCCTACAAGGCTACTAAAGGGAAAAAAATTAAAAACATTTTAGCTGATAAAAATGCCCTAAAATAAACCCAAAGCAGAGAAAATCTGCATTACAATATCCCAACTGGAATTATCTATCTTTAAACAACTGTTTGGAGATATTTCAAAAGATTTTGAACCACATATTTAAATCTTTCAATATAAATGGATTAAAAAGGGAAGCTATGAAATGAGAGTCAATTAAATTCAAAACAAACTGAAAACAAACTGAAAATTATCTCAGAAATGAAAGCTAAATTTAATTACAATGTATGTAAGAGAATAGATACAACTTTAAATATACTAAGGAGAACTGAGAAATGAAAATATCCAAGGAAACAAAAACACTATAACAAAGAAAATGATTTCTTAAAAAAGAATTATAGAGTGATAAATAAGTAGATAAACAACAATCCATCAAATTATTGGAGTCCCTAAAGTTCCTAAATACAAATGTTACATATTCTGAAAATGTAGAGATAACACAATTTTTAAAAAGAGAAGAGAAGGGAAAGAGAAAAAGGAACATGGAATAAGCACAGTGATTGCCCTAAATGTGTGATGTTGGAATCAAAATATATTCCCTTGAAGCAGAAAAACTAAAAAAACCAAATCAGGCTCAAATAAGAAAACATATAATGAAAGTATCATTTTTAAAAAATGAGTATAAAAGTAACAACTGGAACAAATATGTTCAAATCTGCCAATACAATAAAAGAAATTTAAAAGAGGAAAACACATACCTCATAGAGGAAAAAATACAGTAAATATAGGATCAATTAATACAAAGAGAAGCATAACATTAAAAAAATGACAAAGCTGGGACCACACTTAACAAGCCATAACAATAATTGTAAACGGGCTTAGCCCACCTACTTTTTTGTTTAAAGACTTTCAGATTGATTCTCAAGCAAAATACAAGTCTACACTGTATGCAAGACATGAAGATACACCTAAAACAAAATACAGAAAGATTATGAATAAAAGGCAATACATGGACAAACATATGTGAAGCAAATGCAAACACTGAGAAAACAGGATTTGCAATACTGATATCAGGCATACAGGGCAATTCATGCCAAAAAATTTAAACAAAAAAGAGTGCTTTGTAACACTAAGAAGAACAATTTACAATAAAAGTATCATTTATGAATCTATACACCAAAATCCCACAGCAATGGCATACATAGAACAGAAATGACAAACATGCAAAGAGAAACTGACAGAAACACACTCATAACACACCACCACTCTTAGTCTAACACAGGTAAAATAAAGAAAATATAAATAACGGGTTCCAAGATGGCCAAATAGGAACAGCTCCAGTCTACAGCTCTAGTGTGAGCGATGCAGAAGACGGGTGATTTCTGCATTTCCAAGTGAGGTACCAGGTTCATCTCACTGGGGCTTGTCGGACACTGGGTGCAGCCCACGCAAGTGTGAGCCGAAGCAGGGCAGGGCATCACCTCACCCAGAAACACAAGGGGTCAGGGAATTCCCTTTCCTAGCCAAGGGAAGCTGTGACAGACGGTACCTAGAAAATCCGGACACTCTCACCCTAACACTGTGCTTTTCCAATGGTCTTAGCAAACAGCAAACCAGGAGATTATATCCAGCACCTGGCTCGAAAGGTCACACGCCCACGGAGCCTCATTCACTGCTAGCACAGCAGTCTGAGATTGACCAGCAAGGCGGCAGTGAGGCTGGGGGAGGGGCGTCCATTACTGCTGAGGCTTGAGTAGGTAAACAAAGCGGCCAGGAAGCTCAAATTGGGTGGAGCCCACCTCAGCTCAAGGAGGCCTGCCTGCCTCTGTAGACTCCACCTCTGGGGGCAGGGTATAGCTGAAAAAAAGGCAGCAGAAACTTCTGCAGACTTAAATGTCCCGGTCCAACAGCTTTGAAGAGAGTAGTGGATCTCCCAGCACAGAGTTTGAGATTTGAAAACGGACAGACTGCCTCCTCAAGTTGGTCCCTGACCCCCGAGTAGCCTAACTAGGAGACACCTCCCAGTAGGGGCCATCTGACACCTCATACAGCCAGGTGCCCCTCTGAGATGAACCTTCCAGAGGAAGGATCAGGGAGCAACATTTGCCATTCTGCAATATTTGCTGTTCTGCAGCCTCCGCTGATGACACCCAGGCAAACATGGACTGAAGCTGACCTCCAGCAAACTCCAACAGACTTGTAGCTGAGTGTCCTGACTGTTAGAAGGAAAACTAACAAACAGAAAGGACATCCACACCAAAACCCCATCTGTATGTCACCATCATCGAAGACCAAAGGTAGATAAAACCACAAAGATGGGGAGAAACCAGAGCAGAAAAGCTGAAAATTCTAAAAATCAGAGCGCCTTTTCTCCTCCAAAGGAACGCAGCTCCCCACCAGCAATGGAACAAAGCTGGGCAGAGAATGACTTTGACGAGTTGAAAGAAGAAAGCTTCAGATGATCAGTAATAACAAACTTCTCCGAGCTAAAGGAGGATGTTTGAACCCATTGCAAAGAAGCTAAAAACCTTGAAAAAAGATTAAACAAATGGCTAACTAGATTAAACAGCATAGAGAAGTCCTTAAATGACCTGATGGAGCTGAAAACCGTGGCACAAGAACTATGTGACGAATGCACAAGCTTCAGTAGCCAATTCAATCAAGTGGAAGAAAGGGTATCAAAGATTGAGGATCAAATGAATGAAATGAAGCAAGAAGAGAAGTTTAGAGAAAAAAGAATAAAAAGAAATGAACAAAGCCTACAAGAAATATGAGACTATGTGAAAACACCAAATCTACATCTGATTGGTGTACCTGAAAGTGATGGGGAGAATGGAACCAAGTTGGAAAACACTCTGCAGGATATTATCCAGGAGAACTTCCCCAACCTAGCAAGGCAGGCCAACATTTAAATTCAGGAAATACAGAGAATGCTACAAAGGTACTCCGTAAGAAGAGCAACTCCAAGACACATAACTGTCAGATTCACCAAAGTTGAAATGAAGGGAAAAAAATATTAAGGGCAGCCACAGAGAAAGGTGGGGTTACCCACAAAGGGAAGCCCATCAGACTAACAGCAGATCTCTCAGAAGAAACCCTATAAGCCATAAGAGAGTGGGGGCCAATATTCAACATTCTGAAAGAAAAGAATTTTCAACCCAGAATTTCATATCCAGCCAAACTAAGCTTCATAAGTGAAGGAGAAATAAAATCCTTTACAGACAAGCAAACGCTTAGAGATTCTGTCACCACCAGACCTGCCTTATAAGAGCTCCTGAAGGAAGCACTAAACATGGAAAGGAACAATTGGTACCAGCCACTGAAAAAACATGCCAGATTGTAAAGACCATCGATGCTAGGAAGAAACTGCATCAACTAACGAGCAAAATAACCAGCTGACATCATAATGACAGGATCAAATTCACACATAACAATATTAACCTTAAATGTAAACAGGCTAAATGCCCCAATTTAAAGACACAAACTGGCAAATTGGATAGAGTCAAGACCCATCAGTGTGCTGTATTCAGGAGATGCATCTCACATGCAGACACATATAGGCTCAAAATAAAGGGATGGAGGAAGATCTACCAAGCAAATGGAAAACAAACAAACAAAAAGCAGGGGTTGCAATCCTAGTCTCTGATAAAACAGACTTTAAACCAACGAAGATCAGAAGACACAAAGAAGGCCATTACATAATGGTAAAGGGATCAATTCAACAAGAAGAGCTAACTACCCTAAATATATATATGCACCCAATACAGGAGCACCCAGATTCATAAAGCAAGTCCTTAGAGACCTACAAAGAGACTTAGACTCCCATACAATAATAATGGGAGACTTTAACACCCCACTGTCAACATTAGACAGATCAACGAGACAGAAGGTTAACAAGGATATCCAGGACTTGAACTCAGCTCTGCACCAAGCGGACCTAACAGACATCTACAGAACCCTCCACCCCAAATCAACAGAACGTACATTCTTCTCAGCACCACATTGCACTTATTCCAAAATTGACCACATAGTTGGAAGTAAAGCACTCCTCAGCAAATGTAAAAGAACATAAATTATAACAAACTGTCTCTCAGACCACAGTGCAATCAAACTAGAACTCAGGATTAAGAAACTCACTCAAAACTGCACAACTACATGGAAACTGAACAACCTGCTCCTGAATGACTACTGGGTACATAACAAAATGAAGGCAGAAATAAAGATGTTCTTTGAAACCAATGAGAACAAAGACAAAACATACCAGAATCTCTGGGACACATTCAAAGCAGTGCGTAGAGGGAAATTTATAGCACTAAATGCCCACAAGATAAAGTAGGAAAGGTCTAAAATTGACACCCTAACATCACAACTAAAAGAACTAGAGAAGCAAGAGCAAACACATTCAAAAGCTAGCAGAAGACAAGAAATAACTAAGATCAGAGCAGAACTGAAGGAGGTAGAGACACAAAAAAAACCCTTCAAAATATCAATGAATCCAGGAGCTGGTTTTGGGAGAAGATCAACAAAACTGATAGACCGCTAGCAAGACTAATATAGAAGAAAAGAGAGAAGAATCAAATAGATGCAATAAAAAAATGATAAAGGGGATATCAACACTGATCCCACAGAAATACAAACTACCTTCAGAGAATACAATAAACACCTCTATGCAAATAAACTAGAAAATCTAGAAGAAATGGATAAATTCCTGGATACATAAACCCTCCAAAGACTAAACCAGGAAGAAGTTGAATCCTGAATAGACCAATAACAGGCTCTGAAACTGAGGCAATAATTAATAGCCTACTAACCAAAAAAAGCCCAGGACCTGACGGATTCACAGCCAAATTCCACCAGAAGTACAAAGAGGAGCTGGAACCATACCTTCTGAAACTATTTCAATCAATAGAAAAAGAGGGAGTCCTCCCTAACTCATTTTATGAGGCCAGCATCATCCTGATACCAAAGCCTGGCAGAGACACAACAAAAAAAAAGGGAATTTTAGACCAATATTCCTGATGAACATCATTGCAAAAATCCTCAATAAAATACTGGCAAACCAAATCCAGCAGCACATCAAAAAGCACATCCACCACAATCAAGTTGGCTTCATCCATGGGATGCAAGGCTGGTTCAACATACACAAATCAATAAACATAATCCATCATATAAACAGAACCAAAGACAAAAACCACATGATTATCTCAATAGATGCAGAAAAGGTCTTTGACAGAATTCAACAGCGCTTCATGCTAAAAACTCTCAATAAATTAGGTATTGATGGGACATATCTCAAAATAATAAGAGCTATCTGAGACAAACCCACAGTCAATATCATACTGAATGGGCAAAAACTAGAAGCATTCCCTTTGAAAACTGGCACAAGACAGGCATGCCTTCTCTCACCACTCCTATTCAACATAGTGTTGGAAGTTCTGACCAGGGAAATCAGCCAGGAGAAAGAAATAAAGGGTATTGAATTAGGAAAAGAGGAAGTCAAATTGTCCCTGTTTGCAGATGACATGATTGTATATTTAGCAAATCATCTCAGCCCAAAATCTCCTTAAGCTGATAAGCAACTTCAGCAAAGTCTCAGGATACAAAATCAATGTGCAAAAATCACAAGCATTCCTATACACCAATAATAGACAAACAGAGAGCCAAATCATGAGTGACCTCCCATTCACAATTGCTTCAAAGAGAATAAAATACCTAGGAATCCAACTTACAAGGGATGGGAAGGACCTCTTCAAGGAGAACTACAAACCACTGCTCAAGGAAATAAAAGAGGACACAAACAAATGGAAGAACATTCCATGCTCATGGGTAGGAAGAATCAATATCATGAAAATGGCCATACTACCCAAGGTAATTTATAGGTTCAATGCCATCCCCATCAAGTTACTAATGACTTTCTTCACAGAATTGGAAAAAACTACTTTAAAGTTCATATGGAACCAAAAAAGAGCCCACATCGCCAAGACAATCCAAAGCCAAAAGAACAAAGCTGGAGGCATCACACTACCTGACTTCAAACTATGCTACAAGGCTATAATAACCAAAACAGCATGGTACTGGTACCAAAACAGAGATATAGATCAATGGAACAGAACAGAGCCCTCAGAAATAATACCACACATCTACAACCATATGACCTTTGACAAACCTAACAAAAACAGGAAATGGGGAAAGCATTCCCTATTTAATAAATGGTGCTGGGAAAACTGGCTAGCCATATGGAGAAAGCTGAAACTCAATCCCTTCCTTACACCTTCTACAAAAATTAATTCAAGATGGGTTAAAGACTTAAATGTTAGACCTAAAACCATAAAAACCCTAGAAGAAAACCTAGGCCATACAATTCAGGCCATAGACATGAGCAATGATTTCATGACTAAAACACCAAAAGCAATGGCAACAAAAGCCAAAATTGACAAATGGGATCTAATTAAACTAAAGAGCTTCTGCACAGCAAAAGAAACTACCATCAGAGTGAACAGGCAACCTACAAAATGGGAGAAAAATTTTACAATCTACCCATCTGACAAAGGGTTAATATCCAGAATCTACAAAGAACTTAAACAAATTTACAAGAAAAAAACAAACAACCCCATCAAAAAGTGGGCAAAGGATGTGAACAGACACTTCTCAAAAGAAGACATTTATGCAGCCAAAAGACACATGAAAAAATGCTCATCATCACTGGCCATCAGAGAAATGCAAATCAAAACCACAATGAGATACCATCTCACACCAGTTAGAATGGCAATCATTAAAAAGTCAGGAAACAACAGGTGCTGGAGAGGATGTGGAGAAATAGGAACACTTTTACACTGTCGGTGGGACTGTAAACTGGTTCAACCATTGTGGAAGACAGTATGGCAATTCCTCAAGGATCTAGAACGAGAAATACCATTTGACCCAGCCATCCCATTACTGGGTATATACCCAAAGCATTATAAATATGCTGCTATAAAGACACATGCACACGTATGTTTATTGCAGCACTATTCACAATAGCAAAGACTTGGAACCAATCCAAATGTCCATCAATAATGATATACTGGATTAAGAAAATGTGGCACATATATACCATGGATTACTATGTAGCCATAAAAAAGGATGAGTTCATGTCCTTTGTAGGGACATGGATGAAGCTGGAAATCATCATTCTCAGAAAACTATTGCAAGGACAGAAAACCAAACACTGCATGTTCTTACTCATAGGTGGGAACTGAACAGTGAGAACACTTGGACACAGGGTGGGGAACATCACACACCAGGGCCTGTCGTGGGGTGGGGGGAGAGGGGAGGGATGGCATTAGGAGATATACCTAATGTAAATGATGAGTTGATAGGTGCAGCACACCAACATGGCACATGTATACATATGTAACAAACCTGCATGTTGTGCACATGTACCCTAAAACTTAAAGTATAATTAAAAAAAGATATAAATACATAAAAGAAATAAGGTAGATCTTATATATATATATATTATATATATAATCATATATATAATATATATAATCTTAAAAAGAAAAATATGTATTTTTAAATAATTGGCAAACAGACTGTATATTTTCAAGGTGTGCAATGTTGTGATTTGATATACATATTCCTTTTGTTTGTTTTTTGGAAATGGAGTCTCGCTCTGTCACCCAGGCTGGATGGAGTGCAGTGGCACAATCTTGGATAACTGCAACCTTTGCTGCCTGGGTTCAAGTGATTCTCCTGCCTCAGCCTCCTGAGTAGCTGGGATTACAGGCGCATGCCACCACACCCGGCTAGAATTTTAAAAAGTTAAATTCTGAACTCAAAAGAATAGAACTAAGTACACCTGATCATGCCTGTAATCCCAGTGCTTTGGAAGGTCAATGCATGACAATGGCTTCCAGTTCAGGAATTTGAGACCAAACTGGGCAACATAAGGAGACATTGTCTCAATAGAATATAAAATAAAATAAAATAAATAAAATAAAATGCCCAGTGTGGTATTGTCTGCCCATAGTTCCTGCTACTCAGGAGGCTGGGACAGGAGAATTACACAAGCCCAGGAATTCGAGGCTGAGGCTGCAGGCAACTATGATCTGGCTACTGGACCTCAGCCCAGGGAGAGAGGGAGACCCTGTCTTAAAAAAAATAAAAATGGTTCCCACACTAGAGGGAGATGGCTGACTAGACACAGCCAGCAAGAACATATGCCATGGAAGGACTAAGAAGGACTATTCAGTATTATTAAAAAAAAACGCTGGTGCAGTCTGAGCACATATTCAGAGGGAAGATGCTGAGAATAGAGGGAGAATAGAGGGAGAACAGAGATGCTGGGCTGAAGGAAGAGGAAGCTGGGAACTCTGCCTGGGGCTACCCCACACCAGGATTCCTTCGTGGTCCCCAATGACTACTGGCAAGGGGTGAATTTCACAGTCAAGGAATGACTTATTCTTGCTATGGACCTCTGGAATCATGGCAGCAATAGATCCCATGACACCCATGGACACTTGAGCTTGCAGGGAGGTGTAGGACTCCAGCCTCTGCAGTGCCCAGAGTGTTTGGTACAGGAATGTGTTCAGTGGAGTATGACCAGGGATGCCTATCCCCCAAGGTTCGCCATGTGCCCTTTGGAGACTTTAGCCTTAGAGGAACTGTTAGGCCTGAACAGAGCAAAGTGGCCTCGGCTGTAAGATGGGGCAGTCTGACTTGAGAGCCCCCTTGTCAGCTGGCCTCTTCCAGGGCCTCAGCCTCACTGTGCGCATTTGCAGTACATCCTTGGATGCCCATCCAGAGTGCCTCCAGCACTGAATCCACCTTATAACACAATCAAACCCCCAAGCACATCAAAAAGATAAAAGAAAAAAAAATCCAAAGGATGGCAACTTCAAAGATTAAACGAACATCAACCCACAGTGATGAAATAGAACTAGCACAAGAATTTAGGCAACTTAAAGAGCTGGACTGTATTCTTACCTCCAAACAACTGCACTAGTTCCCCAGCAATGGTTCTTAACCAGGCTGAAATGACTGAATTGACACAAATAGAATTCAGATATGGATAGGAATGAAGATCATCTAGATTCAGGAGAAAGTCAAAACCCAAGCCAAGGATCCTAAGGAATACAATAAAATAATCCAGGAGATGAAAGATGCATGGCTATTTTAAGAAGGATCAAATTGATCTTACAGATTTGAAAAACTCAGGTTGAGAATTTCACAATAAAACTCCAAGTATTAACAACAGAATAGACTAAGCTGAGAAAAGAATCTCAGAGCTCCAAGACCAGTTCTGAGATAATTCAGTCAGAAAAAAATAAAGAAAAAAACAATAAGTAAGAATGAACAAAACCTCTGAGAAATATGGGATTATATAAAGAGACCAAGCCTATGACTCAGTGGCATCCTTGAAAGAGAAGGCAATAAAGAAAGCAACTTGAAAAACATGTTTCAGGATATCATTCATGAAAGTTTCCCCAGCCTTGTTAGAGGCCAACATTCAAATTCAAAAAATGCTGAAAATCCCTCCAAAATACTACATAAGAAGACCATCCCCAAAACACTTATTCATCACATTCTCCAAGGTCAAAATGAAAGAAAAAATGTTGAAGGCAGCTAGAGAGAAGGAGTAAGTCATCTACACAGGGAAACCTATCAGGCAAGCAGCAAACCTTTCAGTAGAAATCCCACAAGCCAGAAGACATGGGGGTTCTATATTCAGTATTATTAAAAAAAAGAATTTCCAACCAAGAATTTTGTATCCAGCCCAACTAAGCTTCTTAAGTGAAAGGGAAATAAGATCCATTTCATTTTTCATTAAAAATAAAAAACAAACAAAAGATCCATTTTAGACAACCAAATGAACAGACTAATAATGAGTTCTAAAATTGAATCAGTAATAAAAAGCCTGCCAACCAGAAAAAGCCCAGGACCAGTTGGGTTCACAGACAAAATCTTACAAACGTACAAAAAGAGCTAATACCATTGTTACTGAAACTATTCCAAAAAATTGAGGAGGAGGGACTTCTCCCTAACTCATTTTATAAGGCCAGCATCATCCTGATACCAAAACGTGGCAGAGATGCACAAATAAAGAAAACTTCAGGTCAAAATATTTGATGAATGTCAGTGCTAAAATCCTTAACAAAATACTAGCAAACTGAATCCAACAATACATCAAAACACTAATCCATAAAGATCAAAAAGACTTTATCCCTAGAATGCAAGGTTGGCTCAACATATTCAAATCAGTAACTGGGTTTCATCACATAAACAGAACTAAAAACAAAAAAAATTTGATTATCTCAATAGGTGGGGAAAAGGCTTTTGATAAATTTCAACATCGCTTCATGCTGAAAACCCTCAACAAACTAGGCATTGAGAAAACATTCTTCAAAATAATAAGAGCCATCTATGAAAACCCTATAGGCACAACATAGTGAGTGGGCAAAAGCTGGATGCGGTCCCCTTGAAAACCAAAACAAGACAAGGATGCCCTCTCTCACTCTTCCTATTCAACACAGTATCAAAAGTCCTGGCCAGAGAAATCAGGCAAAAGAAATAAATAAAAGAAATCCAGAAAGGAAGAGAGGAAGTCAAACCATCCCTGTTTGCAAATGATAGGATTTTGTACCTAAAAAATCCCCACAGTCTCTGCCCAAAAACTCCTTGATCTGATAAACAACTTTGGTGAAGCATCAGAATACAAAACCAATGTACAAAACTCACTCATGTTCCTATACACTAACAAAAACCAAGCCAAGAACCAAACCAGGAATGTAACCTTATTCACAACTACCACAAAAAGAATAAAATACCTAGGAATACAGCTAACTAAGGAGGTGAAAGATGTCTGCAATGAGAATTACAACCACTGCTCAAAGGTATCAGAGATGACACAAGTGGAAAAACATTCCATGATCACTGATACAAAGAATCAACATTGTTAAAATAGGTATACTGCCCAAAGCAATTTATAGATTCAATGTTATTCCTATCAAACTACCAATGACATTCTTCACAGAATTACATAAAAAGAACTGTTTAAAAATTCACATGGAACTAAAAAAGGAGCCTGAAAAGCCAAGGCAATATTAGCAAAAAGAAAACAACTGGAGGCACCATGTTACCTGAGTTCAAACTATAATAGAGGGCTATAGTAACCAAAAGAGCACAGTACAAGAACAGACACATAGATCAATGGAACACAACAGAGAGCCCAGAAATAAGACCACACACCTACACCCATCTGATCTTTGACAAAGCTAACAACAACAAGCAATGGGGAAAGGACTCTCATTCAATAAATGGTGCTGGGATAACGGGCTAGCCATATGCAGAAGATTGAAACTGGATCTCTACCTTACACCACATACAAAAACCAATTTAAGATGGATTAAAAGCTTAAATGTAAAACCTAAAACCACAAAAATCCTGAAAGACAACCTAGGCAATCCTATCCTGGACATACCACCTGGCAAAGATTTCATGATGAAGATGACAAAAACAAGTGCAACA
The DNA here is from genome assembly GCF_000001405.40 of Homo sapiens. NCBI lineage: Eukaryota > Metazoa > Chordata > Mammalia > Primates > Hominidae > Homo > Homo sapiens. Next base: position 54,759,474 of record NC_000015.10, read on the forward strand.
AAGACAAAAATTCACAAATGGGACCTAAATAAACAAACGAGCTTCTGTACAGCAGAAGAAACTATCAAGGGATTAGAGGAAGAGCAGCAGAACAAAAGGCAGAATAGAAGGCTCCTCCAAGGAGCCTCCCTTCTCCACAAGGACACCAAGTTAACATCTATAGATACTTTAAAAAAAAAAAAAAAACTTTCTTAAGAACCAAAAATCAGGTGAGCACTCATAGTACCTGGTTTTAACTTCATAGTGCTGAAAGAGGCACTGAGGAAACAGAAAATACAGTCCTGAATCGCTGACACCACACCTCACCCACTCCTAGAAGCAGCTGCTTGGCGCAGAGAACATCTCTGGGCACCAGGGTAGGGAGAATACAGCGACTGTGAAGCACAGAACTCAGCGCTATCCTGATAGAGTAGAAAGGAAAACTAGATTCATCTTATCTGAAGCTCATTCACAAAGGGAGCATTTAAAGCAGCTCTAGACAGAGGGGAATCGCTGATCCCAGTGGTCCAAACTAGAGTACCTACAAACCTTGCTACAGATAGTTACAGCATTCCATGTCTCCAGGTAAATTTGAAAAGCAGTCTAGGCCACAAGAACTGCAACTCTTTATTTTTTTTTTCTTAAGACAGGGTCTCCATCCATCACCCAGGCTGGAGTGCAGTGGTGAGATCTTGGCTCACTGCAACCTCCACTTCCCGGGATCAAGCAATCCTTCCACCTCAGCCTCCCAAGTAGCTGGAACCACAGGCATGTGCCACTGCACCCAGTTAATAAGAGCTGCGACTGTTAGGTGAGTCATAGTGCTGAACTAGGCCCAGGACAGTGGACTGTAGGGGGACATGACATACTGAGACGCCAGCTGGGACAACCAAGGAAGTACTGGCATCACTCCTACCCTAACCCCAGGCTGAACAGCTTGTGACTCCAAAAGAGACCCCTTCCTTCTATTTGTGGAGAGGAAAGAATGGAAAGGACTCTGCCTTGCATTTTGGATGCCAGCTCAGCCACAGTAGGATAGGGCACTAGTTAGACTCATGAGGCCACCGATCTAGGCCTTAGCTCTGAGATGACATTTCCAGATACATCCTAGGCCAGAAGGGAACCTGCTGCCTTGAAGGAAAGGATCCAGTCCTGGCAGCATTCATCACCTGGTAACTAAAGAGCCCTTGGGCCCTGAGGAAACATTGGCTTAAAGTCTGGCACTACTCCTCCTGGATTGGGGTGGTGGTGGCTACAAAGTAAGGCTCCTCTGCCTATGAAAAGGGGAGGAAAGAGTAGGAAGGATTGTGTCTTGTGGTTTAAGTGCCAGTTCACCACAATACAATACAACACCAGGTAGACTTCTAATGTTTTTGACGCTAGTTCCTGGCTACAGGACAGCATCTCTGTACCCACATGAGGACTAGGAAAACTTGCCACACTAAAGGGAAGGACTGTGTTGCCTTCATCTATGACCCAGCACAATCATAGTGGTGGTGGCCACAGTGGTGTTTGTGTTACTCTGCCATCAGCTTTAGGTGGCTCAAAACAGAGACAGAGACTCTGTATGTTTGAGAGAAAGTAAAGGAAGAGAACCAGAGCCTTTGCCTGGTAATCCAGAGAATTCTCCCAGATCTCATCCAAGACCGTCAAAGCAGTACTTCTACAAGTCTGCAAGAACCACAGTGTCACTGGACTTGGGGTGCCCACTAAAGTAAATACACTGAGAGCACAACAAGCACATCCTTTCAAATATCTAGAAAGCCTTCCCAACAAGGATGGCTACAAATAAGCCCAGACAGTGAAGACTGCAATAAATGCCTAACTCTTCAAAACCCATACACTGAAGAACATCTACTAGCATCAAAACCATCCACGAAAACATGAGCTCACCGAATGAAATAAGGCACCAGTAACCAGTCCTGGAGAAACAGAGATATGTGACCTTTCAGGCAGAGAATTTAAAATAGCTGTGAAGAGACTCAAAGAAATTCAAGAAAACACAAAGAAGGAATCCAGAATTCTATTAGATAAATTTTAAAAAGAGACTGAAATAATTTAAAAGAATCACGCAGAAATTCTGGAGCTGAAAAATGCAACTGGCACACTGAAGAATACATCAGAGTCCTTAATAGCAGAGTAGATCAAGCAGAAAGAATTTTTGAGCTTAAAGACAAACAATTTGAAATGAATTCAGCAAAGTTTCCATTACAAAATTAATGCCCTGCTAGACAGCAACAGTGACCAAGCTGAGCATCAAATCAAGAACTCAACCCCTTTTACAATAGCTGCAAAAATAAAATACAATACTTAGGAATAACTTAACCAAGGAGGTGAAATACCTCTATGGTGAAAATTACAAAACCTTGCTGAAAGAAATAATAGACAACACAAACAAATGGAACACATTCCATGCTCATGGATAAGTAGAACCAATATTGTGAGAATGACCATACTGTCAAAAACAATCTACAAATTAAATGCAATTCTCACCAAAATACCACCATCATTCTTCACAAAACTAAAAAAAAAAATCATAAAATTCATATGAAACCAAAAAAGAGCCTGCATAGCCAAAGCAAGACTAAACAAAAAGAACAAATCTGGAGACATTACATTACTTGACTTCAAACTATGCTGTAATGCTATAGTCACCAAAACAGCATGGTGCTGGTATAAAAATAGACTTATGGGCCAAGGGAAAAAAACAGAGAACCCAGAAATAAATCCAAACACAGCCAACTGATCTTCAACAAAGCAAACAAAAACACAAATGGAGAAAGAGACCCTATTTAACAAATGGTGCTGGGGAAATCGGCAGGCAGCATCTAGAAGAATGAAACTGGATCTTCATCTCTCACCCTATACAAAAATCAACTCAAGATGGATCAAAGACTTAAATCCAAGACCTTAAACCATAAAAATTCTAGAAGATAACACTGAAAAAAAAAACTCTTTTAGACATTGGCTTAGGCAAAGATTTCATGACCAAGAACCCGAAAGCAAACACAACAAAAACAAAGATAAACAGATGGGACTTAAGCTAAAAAGTTTCTGCAGAGCAGAACAAATAATCAGCAGAGTAAATGGAAAACCCAGAGTGGGAGAAAATCTTCACAATCTACACATCTGAAAAATGACTAATATCCAGAATCTACAAGGAACTCAAACAAATCAGCAAGAACAAAGCAAACAATCCCATCAAAAAGTGGGTTAAAGACTTCAATAGACAATTCTCAAAGGAAAATATACAAATGGCCAACAAACATATGAAAATATTCTCAACATCACTAATTATCAGGGGAATGTAAATCAAAACCACAGTGCAATACCACCTCACTCCTGCAAGAATAGCCATAATCAAAAAATCAAAAAATAACAGATGTTGGTGTGGAAGTGGTGAAAAAGGAACACTGTTACACTGTGGATGGAAATGTAAAATAGTACAACCACTATGGTAAACAATGTGGAGAATCCTTAAAGAACTACATCTACCATCTGATGCAGCAATTCTACTCCCGGGTATCTACTCAGAGGAAAAGAAGTCATTATATGAAAAAGATACTTGCACATGCATGTTTGTAGCAGCACAACTTGCAATTGCAAAAATATGGAACCAGCCCAAATGCCCGTCAATCAATGAGTGGATAAAGAGAATGTGATACACACACACACACCGTGGAATACTACTCAGACATAAAATTGAATGAAATAATGGCATCACAGCAACCTGGATGGAATTATAGATAATTATTCTAAGTGAAGTAACTCAGGAATGGAAAAATCAAACATTGTAATTCTCACTCAGAAGTGGGAGCTAAGCTATGAGGATGCAAAGGCATAAGAATGATACAATGGACATTTGGAGACTCAGAAGAAAGGGTGAGAGAGCGGTGAGGGATAAAAGACTACACATTGGGTACAGTGTACACTGCTTGGGTGATGGGTACATTAAAATCTCAGAAATCACCACTAACAAAATTATTCATGTAACCAAACACCACCTGTTTCCCAAAAGCATATTGAACTATTTAAAAATGTTTAACAAGAACAGAAAATACACAGAGGAGACAAAACAAAAAAGAATGGGAAACAACGAAGCCTGCCTGCAGTATTCAGAAAGTAGGTTCAAAAGGGCAAATCTAAGAGTCATTGGCCTTAAAGAGGAGGTAGAAAAAGAGATGGGCATAGAAGGTTTATTCGAAGGAATAATAATAGAGAACTTCCTAAACCTACAGAAAGATATCAATATCTAAGAACAAGAAGGTTACACAACACCAAGCAGATTTAACCCAAAGAAGACTACCTCAAGGCTTTTAATAATCAAACTCCCAAAGGTCAAGAATAAAGGATCCTAAAAGCAGCAAGTGAACAGAAACAAATAACATACAACGGAGCTAGAATACATCTGGCAGTAGATTTTTCAGAGGAAACTTTACAGGCCAGGGGAGAATGACATAACATATTTAAAGTGCTGAAGGAAAAAAAAAAAACTTTTATCCTAGAATAGCATATCTGGTGAAAATATCCTTCAAACATAAAGGAGAAATGAAGACTTTCCCAGAAAAACAAAAGCTAAGGGATTTCATCAATATCAGACCTATCCTACAAGATACACTAAAGGGAGCACTTCAGTCAGAAAGAAAAGGATATTGACGAGCAATAAATAATCACCTAAAGGTACAAAACTCACTAGTAATAATAAGTGCATTGAAAAACTACAACATTTCCAGACATAGTCAGTACAATAAGATATAAATAGAAACAACAAAAAGTTCAAGAGTGAGGAAAAAGTTTAAGACATAAAGCTGTTATTAGTGTTCCTTTTGCTTGCTTGTTGGTTTCTGCAAATAATGTTAAGTTGTTATCAGGTTAAAATAATGGGTTACAAGATAGTATCTGCAAGCCTCATGGTAACCTCAAACCAAAAGAGACATACAATGGAAACAAAAAATTAAAAAGCAAGAAACTAAAGCACATCACTAGTGAAAATCACCTTCCCTAAAGGAAGACAGAGAGGAAACAAAGAAGAGAAAACCCCAAAATAAACAGAAAGCAAATAACAAAATGGCAGGAGCAAGTCCTTACTTATCAATAACAACATTACATGTAAATGGACTTAAGTCTTCAATCAAAAGACAGACAGACTGGTTGACTGCATGAAAAAAAAAAAAAAAGAACCATTTAGCTGTTGCTTGCAAGAAACACACTTCACCTGTAAGGACACACACAGATGAAAATAAAGGGATGGAAAAAGTTATTCCATGCCAATGGAAACCAAAAGGGAGCAGGAGTTTCTATACTTAAGACGAAATAGATTTCAAGACAAAAACTGTAGGAAGAGACAAAGAAGGGCACTATATAACAATAAAGGGATCAATAGAGCAAGAATTTATAATAATTTTAAATACTTATGCACCCAACAGAGGAGCACCCAGATATATAAACAAAATATTATTATAGCCGAAGAGGGAAATAAGCTTCAATACAATAATAGCTGGAGACTTCAATACCCCACTTGCAGCATTGGACAGACCTGGCAGACAAAACATCAGCAAAGAAACATCAGATATAATCTGCACTATAGACCATATATATCTAATAGATATTTACATAACATTTCACCCAAGAGCGTCAGAATACACATTCTTTTTCCTAAGCACATGGATCATTCTCAAGAGAAGACCATATGTTAAGTCACAAAACAAGTCTTAAAACATTCAAAAAATCTGAAATAATATGGAACATCTTCTCTGACTGTAATGAATAAAACTAGAAATAACAGGAGCAATTTTGGAAACTCTAAAAATGAATTCAACTATATGCTCCTGAATGACCAGTGGGCCAATGATAAAACTAAGAAGGAAATTGAAAGATTTCTTGAAACAAATGATAACAGAAACACAACATACCAAAACCTGTGGGATACAACAAAAGCTGCACTAAGAGGGAAGCTGATAGCTCTAAGTGCCTATATCAACAAGAGGAAACACTTCAAATAAATAACGTAACAATGCATCTTAAGGAACTTAAAAAGCAACAGCAAACCAAACCCAAAATTAGAGAGAGAAAAGAAATAACAGAGATCAGAGCAGAAATGAAATTTAAATGAAAAAAAAAACATAAAAGATGAATGAAACAAGAAGTTGGTCTTTTGAAGTTAAATTGACAAGCCTGTAGCCACAGTAAATAAGAAAGAGAGAAGATACAAATAAATCAAATCAGATGTGAAAAAGGAGATATTACAGCTGATACTGCAGAAATTCAAAGGATAATTAGCAGCTACTATGAGCAACTATATGTCAATAAATTGTAAAATCTACAAGAAAAGGACAAATTCCGAGATATATGCAACCTACCAAGACTGAACCAGGAAGAAATCCAAAACCTGAACAGACCAATAACACATACCGAGATTTAAGCCGTAACAAAAAGTCTCCCAGTAAAGAAAAGCCAGGGACTTCATGGCTTCACTGCTCAAACTGTTAAACAATAACTAATATCAATCCCACTCAAACTATTTCAAAAAATACAGGAGGAGGGAATATTTCCAAAGTCAATTTACGAAGCCAGTATTGCCGTGATACCAAATTCAGACAAAGACACATCAATAAAAGAAAACTACAGACCAAAATCTCTGACGAATATTGTTGCAAAAATTCTTAACAAAATACTAGCAAACCGAATTCAGCAATACATTGGAAAGATCATTCATCATGACCAAGTGGGATTTATCCCTGGGATGCAAGGATGATTCAACATATGCAAATCAATCAATGTGATACATCGTATCAACAAAATGAAGAATAAAAACCATATGATCATTTCAATTTATGCTAAAAAAGGATTTGATAAAATGTAAACATCCCTTCATGATTTAAAAATAAACCATCAAAAGCTGGGTATAGAAAGAAAATACCTCAATATAATAAAAGCCTTATATGACAGACCCATAGCATTATCATACTGAAGGGGAAAAAACTGAAAGGCTTTTTTAAAGACCTAGAATGCAACAAGGTTGCCCACTGTCACCACTGTTACTCGACATTGTACTGGAAGTCCTAGCTAGAGCAATCAGATGAGAGAAAGATATAAACTGCATTGAAATTGGAAAGGCAGAAGTCAAATTATCCTTCCTTGCAGATGATATGATCTTACATTTGCAAAAACTTAAAGGACTTCACAAAAAAACTATTAGAACTAATAAAAATTCAGTAAAGTTGTAGAATACAATATCAACATATCCAAATCAGTAGCATTTCTATATGCCAACAGTGAACAATGCAAAAAAGAAATTTAAAAAGTAATCCCATTTACAATATCCACACATAAAATTAAATAGGAATTAACAGAGACGTAAAAGATTTCTAAAATGAAAACTATGAAACACTAATGAAATAAATTGAACAGGACACCAAAAAAATGGAAAAATATTCCACGTTCATGGATTGGAAGAATCAATATTGTTAAAATGTGCATACTAGCCAAGGCAATTTACAGATTCAATGCAAGCCCTATAAAAATACCAACGACGTTCTTCACAGAAATGAAAAAAATCCTATTATTGAAATGTATACAAAAAAACTCAGAATAGCCAAAGCTATCCTAAGAAAAAAGAACAAACCTGGAGGAATGATATTACCTGACAGGTAACCAAAACAGCATGGTACTTGCATAAAAACAGACACATAGACTAATGGAACAGAATACAGAACCCAGAAACAAACCCACACACCCACAGTGACTCAGTTTTGACAAAGGTGCCAAGAACACACACTGGGGAAAAGCTAGTCTCTTCAATAGATGGTGTTGGGAATCCTGGATATCTGTAGGCAGAAGAATGAAACTTGACCCCTCTCTGTGACCATATACAAAAATCAAATCACAATGGATTAAAGACTTAAATCTAAGACCTCAATTTATAAAACTAATAAGAGAATAGATTGGTGAAACGCCAGGACTTTGGTCTGGGCAAAGATTTCTTGAGTAATATACCCAACAAGTGCAGGCAAGCAAAACAAAAATGGACATATGGGATCATACAAAGTTAAAAAGCTTCTGCACAGCAAAGGATACAATCAACAAAGTGAAAGAGACCACCCAAAGTATGCGGGAAAATATTTGCAAACTACCTCTCTGACAACAGATTAATAACCAGAATATATAAGCAGCTCAAACAACTCTATAGGAAAAAATATAATAATCTGATTAAAAATGGGCAAAAGATTTGAATAGACATTTTTCAAAAGAACACATACAAATGGCAAACAGGCATATGAAAAGGTGCTCAACATCAATGAGCCTCAAAGAAATGGAAATCAAAACTTTAACAAGATATCATTTCACCCCAGCCAAAATGGCTTATATCCAAAAGACATACTATAACAAGTGCTGATGAGGATGTAAAGAAAAGGAAATCCTGTACACTATTGGTGAGGATGTAAATTGGGACAATCTCTATGGAGAACAGTTTGTAGGTTATTCAAAAAACTAAAATTTGAGCTATTGTATGATCCAGCAATCCCATTGCTGGGTATATACCCCGAAGAAAGAAAAACAGGATATTAAAGTGATATCTGTACTTCTGTGTTTGTTGCAGGACTGTTTATTATAGCTAAGATTTGGAAGCAACTTAAGCGTCCATCAAGAGATGAATGCATAAAGAAAATGTGGCACACATACACAATGGAGTACTATTCATCCTTAAAAAAAGAACAAGATCCAGTTATTTTCACAAACATGGATGAAACTGGAGATCATTATGTTAAGTGACATAAGCCAGGAACGGAAAGACAATGCACATTCTCACTTATTTGTGGGGTTCAAAATTCAGAATAATTGAACTAATAAACATACAGGGTAGAAGGATGGTTTCCAGAAGTCAGGAAGGGCAGTGGGGAGGTAGGTATTGATAACGGGTGCAATAAAGTAGTTAGAAAGAATCAATAAGACCTATTATTTTATAGCACAACAGGGTGACTATAATCATTAATAACTTAATTGTGTATTTTTAAATAACTTGAAGTATAATGGATTGTTTGTAAATCAAAGGATAAATGCTTGAGGGGATGGATACCCCATTCTCCTTGATGTGCTTATTTCACATTACATGTCTGTATCAAAACATCTCATGTACCCTATAAATATATATACCTTATGTGCCTACAGAAATTTTGAAATTGTTTAAATTAAAAAATAAATTTAAAAAATAATCAACAGAGTAAAGAGCAACCTATAGAATGGGAAAAAATATTCACAAACTATGCTTCTGACTAACATCAGAAAATAAACAATGCCATTAAAAAGTAGGCAAAGGACATGAAAAGACACTCTTCTAAAAAAAGACATACACGTGGCTGACAAGCATATGAAAAAAAAGTTCAACATCACTAATCGTTAGAGAAATGTAAATCAAAACCACAATGCGATACCATCTTACACCAATCAGAATGTCTACTATTAAAAAATTAAAAAATAACAGATGCTGGTGAGGTTACAAAGAAAACGGAATGCTTATACGCTGCTAGTGGGAATATGAATTAGTTCATTGATTGTGGAAAGCAGTTTGGCAATTTCTCAAAGAACTCAAAGCAGAATTACCATTAAAACCAGCAATCCTATTATTGGATATATACCCAAAGTAATATAAATTGTTCTACCATAAAGACACATGCACACGTATGCTCATTGCAGCACTATTCCCAACAGCAAAGACATGGAACCAACCTAAATTCCCACTGATGGCAGACTGAATAAAGAAAATGTGGTACATATACACCATGAAATACTATATACCCATAAAAAGGAATGAGATCATGTCCTTTGCAGCAACATCAACGAAGGTAAAAGCCATTATCTTACATGAACTAATGCAGGAACAGAAAACCAAATACTACATGCTCTCACAAGTAGAAGCTAAACATTGAGTACACATGGACACAAAGAAGGGAAAAACAGACACTGGAACTTACTTGAGGGTGGAGGGAAGGAGGAGGGTCAAGACTGAAAAACTACCTATCAGGTACTATGCTTACCACAGAGGTGACAAAATAATCTGTACATCAATCCCCAGTGACACACAATTTACCTTTGTAACAAACCTGCACACATACCTCTGAACCTAAAAGTTTAAAAAAAAGAGTTGATAAAAAGTAAATCAAAAGAAAGCATAAGGAAAGGAAAATGTGAGATAAAAACAGAAAAATAGTAGATATAATAAGAACTTTAGTACCCTGAAAAAATTAAAACAGACAAATTAGAAAGGAAATAAGCATAAAAGCAAAATAAAAGACAAGAAAAAATAATAATTTAACTCTATAAGGGACTATTTTGCACTACTCTATGCAAATACATTTGAAATCTGCATTCATTACTATCCAATAGAACTTCTAAATCATGAAAATATCCTACATCTGTACTGTCCAATAGGTAGCCACTAGCCATATGTGTTGAGTGAATACTTATACATTTAAATGTGGCTCAGGTGACTGAGAAACTGAATGTTTTGTTTTATTTAATTATAATTAATTTAAATTTGAATAGCCTCAAGCAGCTAGTGGCTATTGCATCAGAAAGCATAGAAGATGAAATTGAAATTTTCCTAAGACAGTGTTATTTACCAAAGTCAAATCCAAAAGAGTATTTTTTTAAAAAAAAAAAGAAGCTTAAACAGACCAACTCTATAAAAGAAATAATGTTATCAAAGAATCTCAATCTCTCTCTGACACACACACATACACACACACACACACACAGGTGTTTACAAGGAAAAGGAAAGCTCTTCTTTATAATATAGAACAGGGCTTTGGCAAATTACTATCCATGGCCCAAATCCTGCTGCAGACTGTTTTCCTGCAGTCCATGAGCTAAGAATATTTTTTTACACGACTAAAGAAAAAATAGAATATGTAACTGTAACAGAGACCATATGTAGCCCACAAAGCCTAAAATACTTAGAATGTGGCTCTTTACTGGAAAAATTTACTGGCCCCTGATCTAGAAAAATGATTGAAATTTAAAATCACCATTTTGCAAATACCACCAAGGTAATATGAGATTCTGGCAAGCAATTACTCCTAACACTATAAGCTAACATATTGTTAGAAAAAGGACATTCATATATCTCTATCACCCATCAAACGTTTATTAAGTACAAAAGTTGAAACTTGCATTTTAAATGAAAACATCAAACTTAGCTTCACTAATATTCAGACAAAGTGACATTACAAACTCCTGATGTAATGCAATGGGAAACGTAGTATTTGCTGAAACATTTTATCCATAATCGAATCCAGAGGGAACAGTTAGACGAATCCAGTTTGATTGAACATTCTATGAGACAATTAGTCTGAACTCTTCAAAAATGTCAAGGTTGTAAAAGTTGAGGAAAAAGGGCGCAGGGTGAGCAACATTGTAGACTGATGAAAATAAGAAACATGACAAAAAATCCAATATATGATCCCTAATATAAAGAATATTTTAGAGCAATTAGAGACATTTAAATTTAGACTGTATACTACATAATATTAATTATCAGTAGCAAATGTCTTATGCTTGTTATTATAGTAATATAAAAGAATGTGCTAATTTTAGGAAAAATACCTTAAGTATTTTTGGATGATCTTGATGTCTGAAACTTGCTTTAGAGCAGTTCAGAGCTCCCCCAAAATGCGTGTATGTGCATGTATATGTGCGTGTGTGTAAGAGAGAGAGAAAATGAGTGTGTGTGTGAAGAGGGAAAGAGACAGAGACACACAAAGCCAATCTCAGAAAATGTTAACAATTTGTGAATCTAGGTAAAGGGTACATGTGTCTTCATGGTACTTCTTTTTCAACTTTTCTGAGTTTAAAGTTTTATTAAAAGTTGGAAAAATTTTAAAGGCATTTGTTTATTCAGGGTGAACATGGTCTTCAAATTTATTTGCTAGATGCTGGTTTCCTGTAGTTTTTAATATTTTCATGCCACCTGATTGCCTTATGACTAAAATAAACTTAGCTAGGAAAGAAAAATCTGTGTAGACATGAAGCCAAACAATTTCTCCACTGAATAGGAAAAGAAAGTATTAAGCTTATTGGCAAGTAATATTGTTATAAATTGTTATTCTCCTAATGCAGTGTAACCAATTATTACCTTGTGTCAGCATCTACTAGTAAGGAGAGACAAACAGGCAGTATTTATATACAATTACACTGTGACAAATTCCTTACAGCCTGAAAAACAATATATCAAACATTAATAAAAGATACAGGAGGTGTTTCTTCAAGATTTACAGGACAAGAAACCACATTATCTCCTTTTATTATATGATTAACTATTTTGGGAAACATATTCAGGTTTATGGTTATAATAGACAAGAATACAAGGTGCAGAAGCAACTCTGTCATCTTTCATCATTACAATCTCGCCAATCTGGAATGCAAAAAAATGACACAAGTAGGAAGGGGCATTTGCTTAAGAGGAAGAAGACCAGAGTTATGGCTTCAGCTCTGCTTCTAAATAGCACCAACATTTTTTGGTAAATCACTTCCCTTCTCTGAGCTTTAGTTTCCTCATCTATCAAATGTGGCAGCTGAACTGAATTAAGATTGTTGGAACTGCAAGATCAAGGGCTATTTATTCTTCAAGGACTGGGAGACCAGATGGCAATTTAGAACAATTTTATATGAAATAAAAGTTTAATGTGATGTGAATATTATTCATTAGATTTCAGTGGGACACAGGGAGAGGAGACCAAGATATAGCTAAAAATGATTATCAGCTTCAGGAATCACTCCCTTCTAAGACCTACGGGCTGCATTCGGTGGGGAGAGACACTTGACCAGAGCCCCAGAACATTTTGGATGAAGAATGGCCCCAAGAGGAAGGGTGGAGATTATATTGGGCCACGAAAAATGCCACTGACTGCTTGTTGTGTGATATGACTTTTCTATCCTAACCCACAAAAATCTTTATATATTTGGTGGGTTATAATTTTTTCACGAATCCTAGAAAGAAGTAATATTTGGCAACCAGGTAGCAACAGAAGTTGAAAACTCCCTCAGAAATAGAAGACTAAACTCTGAGGAAGTTAATCCAGAAATGCCCGAAAACTATGAAATTGGGGTGTATAGAGCACCCCTTCATTAAACTCCATCTTAGAAAAAGACTCCATTTTATATTTCATATGGCATTTTGCCAACAAGGATAAGATGTTTTACTTAACAAATAAAAATATAAAGACTATGTCCAAGCAGATAAGCACATAAACAAACACACTCTTCCACTATAGGTTCTCACCAGAGGACTCTGACTATAAAAAAAAGCAGAACTTCAGCAGCTCCAAACAGCTGCCTTAACTGACTGAGTCTTGCAGTGACCCATGATAAGCACTTGGCATCTACCTCTAAAGGCTCTGCCACATCAAAGACTCTTCCTTTGGAGAGTCCATTTGGAGACCAATGGACCAGACCAGGAATCCTTTTGTCTTCTTTGCTCCCGCTGGGACTTGCTCATTAACCCTTTCTCCTATCTCTTTCTCCTCTTGATGTTAAGTGTTACTTTTGTTTGTTGTGTAAGGTTTAACCTCTAATATTTATATATAGATTAAATATACTATTATGTATGGTATATAATATAGACTGACTTGTGGAGTGGATTGAGCTTGTGTGGCCATGGCTCTGACTACAGAGTGAATGGGAAGTACTAAGGAGAATTGTCTCCTTGGGAACTCCATGTAGCTCGTGGCTTTTGTGATTAAAATAGTTATCAATAGAAGTCTGACTCTGAGTAAAGACATACACATGTGTGAACCTGGACACCTCTAACCCTGCACTGCTCATGACATGGGACTTTAAGAAAAAATTGCCTTAACTACTGAGGACATGGATACCACCAAGTGAGCTATGGGTTAAATCAAACAGAGTAAGACCATAGGTGAGTAGAATGCTTTGGAAATTGATTATCTGATTAACTCTGAGTTACTCTGGAAAACTTGTCAGTCAATTCTGTTGTGTGTGTGGGTTTTTTTTTTTAAGTACATAGCAAATTTTCTTTCCTAAATAGGCACAGTCTCCTGAACGTTACTGAATCTTCCTTTGATCATTTTACATTTTGTAATATCTCTGAGTCATTATTTTAAACATCATTACCTCTGTATAGGGATTGTAAATATGGATATGGGATGTGAACATTGGACTGAATCTGTATAGGACTCAGGCATCCCCAGAAGGTGATTTTTGGCGGGAGATAGATCTTGAGTGTGAACTAGTTTTCGCTCTTTGTCCCCTTCTCATGAAACATGAGTATAGCAACAACAACAACAACAGCAAAAAATAGGTTAATTGAGGATTCTGATTAGTTTGGCTTCATAAGTTTATTTATCAAATTCTTACTGTATTTTGCTTTAAATCAAAGTGAATCAAATTAAAATCTACATCCCCTATTCTAATTCCCTTTAATAAGACTGCATTCTTTCAACAGCTATTAGAGGAATGTTGTTTTGCCCACACATTTTCAAAGAAGTTACTGGAGCTTATAACACACAGGTCATTATTTAAACTTTAAGAATTCAGAAGCAGAAATTCTACTCACAATTGAACTTCACTGAGTTGGCTGACACAGTGTTTTAAATTCCAATTCTACTGTAGAGCAAACTCAGAATGAAAAGTTGAGGACAAATAACATGTATTGTGTGTACTGGGAAATTGCATCATTAACAGAACCTTTGATACACAATGGCAAGCCCTGTTTAAGATGTATATGCTCCTGGGAGCTTGTCCTATCATTCTTCCATTAGTTGATATGTACACAGAGCAGTGTTCACAAACTCTGAGTGGCACTGACATTAATTTCTAATAAGGTTTAGAAAAATTTCTAGACATATAAACTTTATCAGGCCAATGACATATTTGATTCTAAATTAATACTTGATTTTAAATCTTTTCTTAGAATAAAATGCTTACTTGCCCAAATTCTTTGTTTAAAAAAAGTAGAAATTTCATGTGAATGGACAACTGGTAAAAGGAAACTATGTCTTCTTGGAATGGTTCACAAAAGATGGTTCACATCACCCATGGGGTTTTTGGACAGGAGTTCTTAAGGCAGGAGAGTAGAACAAAATTCTCAAGGTTACGTCTTGCTACAATTAAAAGAGAGGTTTAAACCTTAAGCTCTTTTTAAAAAAGTTTTCCATATGCTCAGGATAAGCACTCTGGTATCATAGCAGAAATGAAGCATGCATGAACCAAATAGTGTCAAAATCTCGCTCAAAAAGGATCATCTAGCTACTACCGTCACTGCCACTGCCACACGATGCCACAAAGATCAACCGTAAGCACTGATAGAGCACCATCCCTCGGAGATCAACTAGCCACTTATTTTGACAGATACCACTACACTTTTCAGTATAGCTTCCACAAATACCACTATCCAACAGTTTACAGGGCATTTGACCCACTAGCATGCACCTCACACACTTTCACATCAGACAAGCAACTTACTTTACACCAAAGGCAATAAGGCAGTGGGTACATGACCATGAAATCCACGTTCTACCACTAACTTTACTACTCAGAAACTGCTGACCTAAAAGTGTATGGGAATCACTTATTGAAGGTGCTGCTGAAGCCCCACACTAATGACAATATCCTGCCAGCCTGGGGCACCATCCTCCAATATACAAAATCCATACTAAATCAATGACCACTATTTGATGCACTGTCCCCCAAAGAAAAAATATATGGGTCTCAGAATCAAGGCATGAAAGCCACATGGCCCCTCCTACTATCACCCCCAGTAACCCACTTTGGGAATGTGTGCTCCCCATTCCCACAATTCTGGGCACCACAGGTTTAGAGAACTCTTCTACCAGCAGACATAGCAAAGTCCCATTAGATAGAAGATACAGCTGCCATTTCCACACTTTGGGCACCTTGTGTCCAGGGCCCGAAAAAAAAAAAAAAAGGATTTGGGATAATCACCATCCTGGAAAAGGTACACGACCTAGTCGTCAGGAGGAAAGCTGCTGCTACACATTAGAGAAGTGGGCAATCAGCTTAACACCAAGGTGGTTGGCATATGTTAGTATTCCATCATCTAATTTTAATAATAAACCCATAATTGCCACAGCAGCCACAGCCTATGAAAAGTAAACATTAACTTGGTCCCCTCAGGAAGGAAGGTCTGGGTTACTCACAAAGTTAGCATCCTTGTACCATTATAAGAACCAAGGTAAAGGGCTCCAGAATGGATCAGAGAGTTTAGCCTAGAGCTCCCTGTCCCCAGCAGCAGCTGGGGTTGCAGTTTCTCCTACTAACCTTTTTCCCTTATAACCTTATAACTTTATCCAAAGAGAAAGTCTTACCAGAGTCTTAAAGCAGCTACCCTGAAAACTTGTATGAAACAAATGGCCCCAGAAATATGGGTGAATTGTCACAAATGCTGCACTGCCCAGATCTCTACGCTCTATTCCCCTAAAGACTCAAGGATATATACCCTAAGCTGGGTATGACCTCACTGAAAGAGCTTCCCTCTTCCCCAGTGAATCCCGACCCAAGTACTGGGGATAAATGACCAGCTCCTCTCCCCAAAAAGGAACAACCCTGAGGGGCTACCCAAGCTTCAGAGATCCTTTTGGAGTCAGCTGAGTCCCTGTTGTGATGCATCACAGCCTCAATTCTTCCTAGGCCCAACCCTAATTCCTTTCCTTTCCCCACACCCCAGGTGCTGAACCCAAGTCCACTCCTAAGAAAAGTCCTTCACACTCATTGCCATCTGAGTCTGTTTCCTAGGGTAAACAATCTACAACAAATTTTATGTATCCCTGGCAGACTAACAGCAAAAAGTTAATATTGCTATTTTACTTGGGCCATAATTTTTTTCTATAGTTTTGCAGTATTTTTTCTCCTTACTGTCTTCTAAGAGCAAAGAAAATTCTCCAATCAATGTGTTTATACTCTGGTAAGAGCTGTACTACACAAGATTTTTAAATATGTAAGACATCTTTGATTCCTCCAATATAAATACATGTTTAACATGGCCAAAAAATGTTAAGACAAACAGAAAAAAAGAAAATTTGATTATGAAATAAAGTATTTGTGTATTTAAAGCAAAGAAATGGCTAAAATGTTTATTGTACTTAATTGGCACATAACCTGAAATTGATCCAATGTATCAGAAATCACGTGACTTCTACACTATGATCAGATTGTAATATCATTTACTAGACTTTCTTTCTTGTTTTCTTCTCCCTTTCTTTGCTCATCTCTTCATCTCTGAGAATCTGTTTTTAAGCCTGAAATCTCAGTAGCTGTGCCTTCCTACCCATTGCTGTTCATCTCTGAAACGTGTTTACCACCCTGGATGTGCCTGCCTCTTTATTAGCTGTCTGCTGACTCGAGGAAGCTACTACCTAGTCCTGCAGTATCCAGCAGTTTCCAATATTTGCCTTACTTAGACTCCTTGCCCTAGCTAACTTTTATTTCTTCTTAGTGGATAATGCAACGGAGTCACAGCTTACTCCTGGGTTAGGTTCTAACATTAGTCTATTAGGTGAAAAAATATATATATATCAATGATAATACTCTTGCAAATCTCATCAGATCAGAAAAGAAAATATGCATCTCAAAAATGCATCACTGCTGGTTTTTCTTTCAGCATTTGAACCAATCACTATGACGTGTTTGGCTTTCATTTATGGTAATACATTGTTCAAACCAGGTCTGTGTTTAAATACAGAAGTTCCACTTAGCTTAGCTTGATGTGATACTATAAAAGGCATGAGGGAAAGGCCATTCCTGTTCGTTGAAGGAAGTCACTGGTAGACTCCCCTGAATGCTTTAAAGGATTACTTTTCCTCGAATCTTTCATTTTTGTTAGTTCATTTTTGTTGGTCATTATACATAATTCTTTATAAATTTTTAACCAATGCATAATATTTGTATATTTTTATGGCATACCTGTGATATTTTGATACATGCATGGAGTGTGTAATGATCAAATCAGGCTGTTGATCAGATATTTAGGATATTCATCACCTCAAATATTTATCATTTCTTTGTGCTGGTAACATTTCAAATCTTCTCTTCTAGCTATTTTGAAATACATATTGTTAATTATAATCACCCTACTGTGCTATCAAACACTGGTATTTCTTTCTTCTAACTATATGTTTGCAACCACTAACCTCTGTTCATCCCCTCCCACACACATAAACCCATCCCAGTCTCTAGTAACCATCATTCTACACTCTACCTTCATGAGGTCACCATTTTTAGCTCCCACAAATGAGCGAGAACATGCGGTATTTGTCAGTATCTGCCTTATTTCTCTTACCATATGGCCTCCAGTTTTCATCCATGTTCTGCAAATGAAAGGATTTTATTCTCTTTTATGGCTGAATGGAATTCCCATATATATATATATACCACATTTTCTTTACCATTCATCTGTTGATGGACATGCAGGTTGACTCGATATTCTAGCTTATGTGAACAGTGCTGCAGTACACATGGGGTTGCAGGTCTCCCTTTGATATACTGATTCCCTTTCCTTTGGATAAATACGCAGGAGTGGGACTTCTGGATCAAATGGTAGCTCTATTTTTAGTTGTTTGAGAAATCTTTCTACTGTTTACCTTAACAGCTTTCCTAAATTACACTCCCATTTACAGCGTTTAAGAGTTCCTTTTTCTCTGCATCCCAGCCAGCATTTATTGTCTTTTTAGTAATAGTTATCCTAACTGGGAAAGATGACATCTCAGTATTGTTTTCATTTGCATTTCCCTGATGATTAGTGATGCTGAGGATTTTTTTCATAGACCTGTTGGCCATGCATACTTTAATTCTTATAAATGAAAACCACATATACAATGTAACCCAGTGAGTTAGGCATGGATATGATAACCATGAGATCAACTAACCCTGGGAAGTGGCAGGACCCGACCTATGCAAATGCCATGTCTTCCTGAAACCCTGTTCCAGAATTGCTTTCATGTGACTCTCTTTCTACTCTTTCACACTATCTCTTTGTTTACATACTTCCCCCAACTTACATATTCCCAACCACACCATTTTAATCTCAGTGCATGACTGATTTACAGCTTTGCCACTCTATGTGAGCACTGACCCCAAAAGGGACTTCCAATCTGTTTAGTTACTAGATTATAATACAGAAGAGAAAAATAAACGTAACATTGAATTCCTATACCCATATTAGCTTTTTACAAATCAGATCAACCATGGCAGTGAAGACTCACCATTCATCTTTTCGTTCATTAATATTATAAGGAAATCTATTCCTGTGGGCAGACATTAAACATGAGAGAAATTAACACAGTTGCACTAATGCAAACACAATGTCAATAATTTATAATCTGGGAAAAGCAACTGGTAAACCACATTTTAATTATATAGGCTCATCGTGACACATCACTTATGTGACATTTTAAAACTCATTCACACAATAATTAATCCAGACAAGAAGGTTTTAATAAATTATAACCAGATACATTATACTAGCATAGTTTTCTGTCAGCATATTTTTTCCTATACTACTGGACGTTTGTAAGAATATCACTGGGGTCAGATATATTCATACTCCTTCATTTACCAAGCTGTACAAGTGTTTTTAAATATATTAGTTTAATATGTTACCAACAAGAGAACAAATTACTCAGTAAACAAATGGGTATCTGAAAATAAGATGCGTTGTTCATGGATTTCATATTTGCTTCCAGGCTGCAATACATGGAACAGTAAAGAGTAGCTTGGAAATTAAAATATGTTAAATTCAGGAACATGCTGGATAATTTTAAAAGTTGGATGGTTATAAAGATGCAAACCCATGTTTCATTTATGAAAAACAAAAGTTTCTATTAAGAGCATTAAAAATTTGAAAAAATTTATTTTTTATCATTTGTTTTTTGACAGATCTAAATTCAGTATTGTCACTGGGCTTTTTTTTGCAACAGTTCTAGTAAAGAATCTAGTTTTAAAACACCCAAGACATGTTCAACCCTTTGACATTCTAGTCACCATGGCTCTCTACCAAGTTGGACACTTGAGAAGGAATGCTTTTAAGTCTATTTAGCCAGTTGTCTATGTTTAAAAAAAAAAAAGCAAAACAAAAATAATCTCCTTACATTTGCTTTGCTCATTAAAAAGTACTTCCACGTGCATTAGCACATCTGATCATCTAAAGACAATTTATTTGGGACAGATATTATCCCAATTTACAGTTGAGGATACTAATATCAGAGAGGTTTGGACTTGCCCAAGGTCACACAGTTTTGATTCTGGAAAGCTTCTAATATAATTTTAACTTTTATACCACCATACTACTGCTGCAGTTAGAGAAAATGTGCTTTGTTTA
This sequence comes from Homo sapiens, assembly GCF_000001405.40. Taxonomy (NCBI): domain Eukaryota; kingdom Metazoa; phylum Chordata; class Mammalia; order Primates; family Hominidae; genus Homo; species Homo sapiens. The sequence goes on from NC_000015.10 coordinate 54,779,800, forward strand.
TATTGGCATCACTCAGCCATAGAGCAGTGTCTGACACCTAGTTGTTTAATGTATGTTTTGTAAATGAATGAATAGAGAAATGATTTAATGTCGGAGTCACTGTTGGGTTCTGTAAGAGAAATTATTTAGCTACCTTTGGCAGGAAATGAATCCCCTCGGCTCATTACAGTGGCACCAAGAGCTCCAGAGATCTGATAAATTTTGAAGATTCCTAAAACATGAACACCTGAAGGCCCAGTTGTATGCTTCATTTAGAAATCCCCACCTCTTCTTGTGAGTCAAGTTAACTTGAGTATGAGATGTTTAGCATTAGCCTCATGGCAACCCCAAGGCAAAAACCTATAGTAGATACACAAAAGAGAAAAAGAAAATAATCAAAGCATATTACTACAGAAAATTATATAATTACAAAGAAAGACTTCAAGAAGGAAAGAAAGGAATAAAGAATCTACAAAATATCCAGAAAACAATAAATAAAGTATCTATAGTAAATATTTACCTAACCAATTTAAATGTAAATGGCCTAAAATTAATAAAGTATACAGAGCAGCTAAATGAATTTAAAACAGGACCCAACTACACGCTGCCTACAAGAGACTCATTTCACTTGTAAGGAAACAAGCAGACGGAAAATGAAATGATGGAAATAGATATCCCACACAAATGGAAACCAAAATAAAGCAGGTATAGCTATACGTATCAGATAAAATAGCCTTTACATTCAAACTGGAAAAAAAAGAAAATAAAGTATTATATGATAAAGAGGTCACTTCATTAAAAGGATAAACAATTATAAATACATATGGACCCGATATCAGAGCACCTACATGAATAAAGCAAATATTAACAGATCTGAAGGGAGAGATAGACAGCAATACAATAATTGTAGGAGATTTCAGTATCACACTTTCAGCAACAGAAAGATGATCCAGGAGAAAATTAATATGGAAATATTGGACTTCACCTATATTTTCTTTATTTTTTCCCACCTCTACTTTCTTTTTTTTTTTTTTTTTTTTTTTTTTTTAGTATTTATTGATCATTCTTGGGTGTTTCTCAGAGAGGGGGATTTGGCAGGGTCATAGGACAATAGTGGAGAGAAGATCAGCAAATAAACATGTGAACAAAGGTCTCTGGTTTTCCTAGGCAGAGGACCCTGCGGCCTTCCGCAGTGTTTGTGTCCCTGGGTACTTGAGATTAGGGAGTGGTGATGACTCTTAACGGGCATGCTGCCTTCAAGCGTCTGTTTAACAAAGCACATCTTGCACCGCCCTTAATCCATTTAACCCTGAGTTGACACAGCACATGTTTCAGAGAGCACAGGGTTGGGGGTAAGGTTACAGATTAACAGCATCCCAAGGCAGAAGAATTTTTCTTAGTACAGAACAAAATGGAGTCTCCTATGTCTACTTCTTTCTACACAGACACAGTAACAATCTGATCTCTCTTTCTTTTCCCCACAATTCCCCCTTTTCCATTCGACAAAACCGCCATCGTCATCATGGCCTGTTCTCAATGAGCTGTTGGGTACACCTCCCAGACGGGCAGCTGCCGGGCGGAGGGGCTCCTCACTTCTCAGACGGGGTGGCCGGGCAGAGGCGCTCCTCAGTTCCCAGATGGGGTCGTGGCCGGGCAGAGGCGCTCCTCACTTCCCAGACGGGGTGGCGGCCGGGCAGAGGCGCTCCTCACCTCCCAGACGGGGCGGCCGGGCAGAGGCGCTCCCCACATTGCAGACGATGGGTGGCCAGGCAGAGACGCTCCTCACTTCCTAGACAGGATGACGGCCGGGAAGAGGCGCTCCTCACTTCCCAGACTGGGCGGCCGGGCAGAGGGGCTCCTCACATCCCAGACGATGGGCGGCCAGGCAGAGACGCTCCTCACTTCCTAGATGGGGTGGCGGCCAGGCAGAGGATGCAATCTCAGCACTTTGGGAGGCCAAGGCAGGCAGCTGGGAGGTGGAGGTTGTAGCGAGCGGACATCACGCCACTGCACTCCAGCCTGGGCAACATTGAGCACTGAGTGAGCGAGACTCCGTCTACAATCCCGGCACCTCGGGAGGCCGAGGCGGGCAGATCACTCGAGGTCAGGAGCTGAGACCAGCCCAGCCAACACGGCGAAACCCCGTCTCCACCAAAAAATACAAAAACCAGTCAGGCATGGCGGCGCGCGCCTGCAATCCCAGGCACTCGGCAGGCTGAGGCAGGAGAATCAGGCAGGGAGGTTGCAGTGAGCCGAGATCGTGGCAGTACCGTCCAGCCTCGGCAACGGAGGGAGACCGTGGAAAGCGGGAGACGGAGATGAGGGAGAGGGGGAGACCGTGGAAAGCGGGAGACGGAGATGGGAGACGGAGACGGAGATGGGAGACGGAGACGGGAGATGGAGACAAGGGAGAAGGAGAGGGAGCAACCACCTACACTTTCAATCAAATGGAGCTAAGAGACATATGTAGAACATTCACAGGATATTCTCCTCAAGCCCACATGAAACATTCTCCAGGATACAGCATATGTTAGGTCACAAATCAAATGAGAATAGAGAAACTGTAGGGAAAATATCAATAAAATAAAAAATATAAAAAATAAAATAAAAATATCAATAAAACAAAGAGGTGGGTTTTTGCAAAAATAAGTAAAAATGAAAAATCCTTAGCTAGACCAACTAAGTAAGAGAGAAGATTCAAACAACTGAAATCACAAATTAGAGAGGAGACATTACAACAGATGCCCCAGAAATGAAAAGGATTGTAAGGGACTTATAAACAGTCATATGCCTACAAATTAGATAACCTAGAGAAAATTCATAAATTCCTAGCAACATACAACCTAGTGCGATTGAATCAAGAAGAAATAGAAAACAAACCATTAACAAACAAAGCTGAAGTAGGAACCATTTACTAATTGGGAGATACTTTCCCCATTGCTTGTTTTTGTCAGGTTTGTCGAAGATAGATGGTTGTATATGTGTGGTGTTATTTCTGAGGCCTCTGTTCTGCTCCAGTAGTCTATACATTTATTTTGGTACCAGTACCAGGCTGTTTTGGTTACTGTAGCCTTATCATACAGTTTGAAGTTAGGTAGCACGATGCCTCCAGCTTTGTTCTTTGTGCTTAGGACTGTCTTGGCTATACAGGGTCTTCTTTGATTCCATATAAAATTTAAAACAGTTTTTTCTAATTCTGTGAAGAATGTCAACTGTAGTTTGATGGGAAAAGCATTGAATCTATAAATTACTTTGGGCAGTATGACCATTTTCATGATATTGTTTCTTTCTATCCATGAGGATGGAATGTTTTTCCATTTGTTTGTGTCCTCTCTTACTTCCTTGAGCAGCGGTTTGTAGTTCTCCTTGAAGAGGTCCTTCACATCCCTAGTGAGCCATATTCCTAGGCATTCTCTTTGTAGCGATTGTGAATGGGTGTTCATTTATGATTTGGCTCTCTGCTTGCCTATTGTTGGTAGAAAGGAATGCTTGTGATTTTTGCACATTGATTTTGTATCCTGAGACTTTGCTGAAGTTGTTTATCAGATCAATAAGTTTGGGGGATGAGATGATGGGATTTTATAAATATAAAATCATGTCATCTGCAAACAGAGACAACTTGACTTCCTCTCTTCCTATTTGAATACCATTTACTTCTTTCCCTTGCCTGATTGCCCTAGCCAAACAATACTATGTTGAAAAGGAGTGGTAAGAGAGGGCATCCTGGTCTTGTACCAGTTTCCAAAGGGAATGCCTCCAGCTTTTGCCCATTCAATATGATGTTGGCTGTGGGTTTGTCATAAATAGCTCTTATTATTTTGAGATATGTTCCATGCAAAGACCCATCTCACATGCAAAGACACACATAGACTCAAAATAAAGGGATGGAGGACAATTTACCAAGCAAATAGAAAGCAAAAAAAGCAGAGGTTGCAATCCTAGTCTCCAACAAAACATACTTTAAATGAACACAGATCAAAAAAGACAAAGAAGGGTATTACATAATGATAAGGGAAACAATTCAACAAAAAGAGCTAAGTATTCTAAATATATATGCACCCAAAACAGGAGCACCCAGAGTCATAAAACAAGTTCTTACAGACCTACAAAGAGACTTAGACTCCCACACAATAATAGTGGGAGACTTTAACACTCCACTGTCAGCATTAGATCAATGAGACAGAAAATTAACAAGGATATTCAGCTCTGGATCAAATGGACCTAGTAGACATCTACAGAACTCTCTACCACAAATCAACAATATACATTCTTCTCAGTGCCACATGGCACTTATTCTAAAATTGACCACATAATTGGAAGTAAAACACTCCTCAGCTACTCCAAAAGAACTGAAATCAAAACAAATAGTCTCTCAGACCACAGTGCCATCAAATTAGAACTCAGGATTAAGAAACTCACTCAAAACCACACAACTTCATGGAAATTGAACAACCTGTTCCTGAATGACTCCTGGATAACTGTTGAAATTAAGGCAGAAATAAATAGTTTCTTTGAAACCAATGAGAACAAAGAGACAACATACCAGAATCTCTGGGATACAGCTAAAGCAGTGTTAAGAGGGAAATTTATAGCACTAAATGCTCACATCAGAAAGTTAGAAAGATCTCAAACTGACACGCTAACATCACAATTAAAAGAGCTAGAGAGGCAAGAGCAAACTAATCCAAAAGCTAGCAGGGGACAAGAAATAACTAAGATCAGAAAAGAATTGAAGGAGATAGAGACACAAAAAGCCCTTCAAAAAAAATCAATGAATCCAGGAGGTGTTTTTGAAAAAATTAATGAAATAGGTAGACCGTAGCTAGACTAATAAAGAGTAAAGAGAGAAGAATAAAATAGACACAATTAAAAAATGATAAAGGAGATATCACCATTGACCCCACAGAAATACAAACTAAGAGAATACTATATCACCTTTGTGCAAATAAACTAGAAAATCTAGAAGAAATGTATGCATTCCGGGACACATTCACCCTCCCAGGACTAAATCAGGAAGAAGTCAAATCCCTGAATAGACAAATAACAACTTCTGAAATTGAGACAGTAACTAATAGCCTACCAACCAAAAAAAGCCCAGGACCAGACGGATTCACAGCCCAATTCTACCAGAAGTACAAAGAGGTACAAATCTGAAACTGCTCCAAACAATTGAAAAGGTGGGACTTCTCCCTAACTCATTCTATGAGGGTAGCATCATCCTGATACCAAAACCTGACAGAGACACACACAAAAAAGAGAACATCAGGCCACTATCCCTGATGAACATCGATGTGAAAATCCTCAATAAAATACTGGCAAACCAAATTCAGCAGCACATCAAAAAGCTTATCCACACAATCAAGTCAGCTTCATCCCTGGGATGCAAGGCTGGTTCAACATATGCAAATCAAGAAATGTAATCCATCACATAAACAGAACCAAAGACAAAAACCACATGATTATATCACTAGACACAGAAAAGGCCTTTGATAAAATTTAACATCCCTTCATGTTAAAAAAACACAATCGGCCAGGCGCGGTGGCTCATGCCTGTAATCCCAGCACTTTGGGAGGCCAAGGTGGGCGGATCATGAGGTCAGGAGTTCAAGACCATCCTGGTTAACATGGTGAAACTCCGTCTCTACTAAAAATACAAAAAATTAGCCAGGCGTGGTGGCGGGCACCTGTAGTCCCAGCTACTCAGGAGTCTGAGGCAGGAGAATGGCGTGAACCCGGGAGGCAGAGCTTGCAGTGAGCAGAGATCATGCCACTGCACTCCAGCCTGAGCGACAGAGCGAGTCTCCATCTCAAAAAAAAAAAAAAAAAAAAAAAAAAAAACATGCAATCAACTAGATATTGATGGAACATATCTCAAATTCTGCTTACACTCTTCTACAGTTTAGAACTAGAGGGAGTACTTCCAAAGCCATGTTTGAGGCCAGCATCATTCTTATGTCAAAGCCAGACACAATAAGAAAACTACAGGCCAATATCTCAGATTAACATAGATGCAAAAATCATCAAAAGAACACCAGCAAAATGAACTCAAGAACACATCAAAAAAATTATAATGACCAAGTTGGATTTATCCCTGGTATGCAATGTTGGTTTAAAAAAAGGCATATCAATTAATGTGATAAACCACATTAACAGAATTAATGACAAAAACCATCTGCTCAACAGATGCAGAAAAGGTATTTGACAAAGTTGAACCTTCTTTCATGGTAAAAACACTCAACAGTGTTTTTACCATGAAAGAATGGTAAAGAGGCTGAAGAGACAACTTAAATACTTACTGGGAGAATATATGTTCCAAACCATAATCTCTCTCAAGAGGTTAATACCTAAAATATGCAAGGAACTCAAACAACTTAATAGCAAAACAAAAGAATAACCTGATTAAAAAATAGGTAAAGGACCTGAATAGACTTATTTCTAGAGAAGATATACAAATGGCCAACAAGTACATGGAAAGGTGCTCAACAACACTAGTCATCAGGGAAGCGCAAATCAAAACCACAATGATTTATCATCTAACATCTGTTGAAATGCTCATTAAAAAAAAGACAAGAGATAAATGGTGGTGAGGGTGTAGAGAAAAGGAAACATTTGTAGACTGTTGGTAGGAATGCAGATTTGTGTATCCCCTGGAAAACTTCACAGAGCTTCCTAAAAGAAATTCAACATAGAACTACCATATGACCTAGTGATCCCTCTTCTGGATATATACCCAAACATAATGAAATCACCACCTCATAAAGGTGTCTGCATGCCCATGCTTATTGTAGCATTATTCACAATAGCCAAGATAGGGAAACAACCTAAGTGTCCACTGATAGAAGAATGGATAAAGAAGTCATGGTATACATACACAACAGAATACTATCTGGTCTTAAAAAAGGAGATTCTGCCATTTTCAGCAACATGGGTGAACCTAGATGATACTATGTTTGCTGAAATAAGCCAGATATAGAAATACAAATACTATACTACAGGATCTCACTTATATGTGGAATCTTAAAAAAATAATAATAAACACAAAACGGCAGAGTAGAATGGTAGTTGGGAAAGGCACAGGGGAAATGGGAGATGTAGGTCAAAGGGTACAAATTTTTTGTTTACACAGGATGAATACATGTAGAGAAACAGCATACAGCATGAGCACTATAGTTAATAATATTGCATTTTATATACTGGAAATTCATTAAAACAATAAATTTTAGATACTCTTACCCCACGCACATGTACATGCACAAAGGAAAGGTAACTATGGAAGATAATATATTATTAATTTGACTGTTATAAGCACTTCACCATGCAGAAATACACAAAAACATGTTGTACACCTTAAATTTACACAATAAAAAATATTACTTATTATTATTGAAAAATAAAATTATTTTTCATAAAAATTAACATGTAACTTATATTAAGATAATTATATATTTTAAAACATTTGTCAATGTTAATTGTTAATATGGTGAATACTAATAGAACCCACATAAACAAAAAAATAAAAATAAATATCTCTGCCCCATTCTACTGAGAGATCTTCAGGGAAAATATTCTAGTAGTCAAGGTAAATTTTTTCAAAACCCTATGAATAAGTTGTGTGGACATAATTACCAAGTCAAATAAGAATCTGTCTATGAATCATCAATTATTTCAGTGTCCTAGGCATCTCTAAAAATAAGCCTCAAAACAACATGAACCTGGAAAAGAATTTAAATTTTCCCCATTCAGATGTATTGTTTTTGTTCACAGGTAACTGTAGGAATTTTTAGAAATCAAGATGCGTTCTACACGTTCACTGCATTCAATAGTATGGATGTCATGAAAATGTTCCCTTATTTATCTGTATGCCTAATCATTCAATTGTAATATGAAGTAAATACTCAGTAATTCACTTGAAATACTCTTCTCTAGTTACTGCAGATTTGAGTGATTATTCAAATGTCATCCAATGAGGTAGAGTAGGTTGATTGCCAACCAGGTGCTCATCTAATGTATTCCTCCTGAAAGGCACCAAAACTCATGTGCTTGCAGTAAGAAGCATAATATAATTATTTCTTCTTACTTCAATAAAGTATGCTTCAGTTTACTACTGTGAGCCAGGGAGGAGTGATGAAAAAGTGGAATGGACTAAAAACTCTGAAAAATAAAGCATGGCTAAGACCGACAGCCAGAGAAGCTGTGGTTCTGAAATTGGCTGCTTTCTCTCAAACACTAGGAGACTTTTCTTTCTCATAGAGATTAGCTTATTTTCCTCACAGAGGTAGAAGGGGACTTTTGGAAATGAAAAAAAAATCACACACTGCTGTACAGGAAGAAAACTTTAACTCAAGAAGATCTTTCACAGTGATATGAATGAAAACATAAGGCAGGGCTATCCTGACAAAGACCAAATATGCAATTATATAAGCCAATATTCATCATCTTTCTCAACATCATCTACTGAATTTCTACTATGTACCAACAACAGGTTAAGTGCTTTCCAGGTAACCTCACAAAACCTTTATGAGCCAGGTACTTTTATGAATCCTTTTCAAATGAAGAAATTAAAGCCTACGGAAGTTGTAAGTTACTGGTCCCAAGTGGCTAAGCTACTAAAGATCAAAGATTCCTCTCACTCCAGAGTCCCAGTCTTCCCAAAGAGCAAAGAAGAGACTAAAGTGTACCTAGAATAAAAATACCATGTAGTATTTGGATAAGAAAATGAAAGTTACAGGAAGAAGGAGAAAGCACGCAGGATGGGAAGAGAAGAAAACGAGTTATGTTTGTGGCATAATTAGGAGACTGATCAAGTCAGTGGAGGATTTGTAGTGAGGAATGCGAGGAAGCAAACTAGAATAGTAGACTGGGGGCCAATCAGTCAAATGTATTTAAATGCTAGTCTAAAACCCATGGCAATTGGAAGCCATTGCACATTTTTAATCAGAGTCCAAGACTAGAAGAATCCTGTGCTTGTTTGAAGAAAAGAAAACACACAAGCTCATCAGAATTTACAGCCAAAATTAATTTTATTGACAATCTGTTTAAATACCTTCAATTTAGGGATTAGACACTGAGACCTGAGTTAAGGATCCCTACTCTTCACTACTGCTACTAATTTAAAAATCAACATAAGTGAACATTACATTTAGCTGAGGAAAGAAATAACCAGTAACTGCCTTTTGAATATGAACCTTTTAATCACAGTTACATTGTTTTGTTCCTTGTGAATCTGTAATCTTCTAAAGAAAATAGATTCCTATCTTTATGATAGGAACTTTATGAATGTAGACACTTAGTAAAGAAGCAATATAAGTGGTACCAGCTACAGAGTATGGATTTAGGAGAAGTAATTGACATGAATTGGGGGAATGTCATATGCCCCATTATAGCCATGTTCCCCAAGACCCCCAGAATGCCCTTCACCCATAACTGCTCAATGACATGGTGGCTTTCAGGTGAATGCCATAGAGCTTGCTGGCCAAGGAACACAGAGAAGACAGATCAGAAAATCCCTTGAGTCACTTGCCTACAGTAAAATATCTCCTCTTTGAGGCTCTTTGCATTCTGCACTTTCTCAATAATCAGCTACATCAGATCACTTTTCCTCTTTTTGTTTCTATTCATTTATTATTTTTTAAGAGATGGGTTCTCACTGCATTGTCCAGGATTGCCTCAAATTCTCAGGCTTGCCTCAGACTTCCAGGCCTAAAGCCATTCTCCCACCTCAAGCCTCCTGAGTAGCTAGGACTACAGGCTCATGCCACTGCATCTGGCTCTTCCTCTTATTTCTGACCACTGACTTCTAGAATTTCCTGCTACGTGACACTGCAATGTGAACTTACATGTATTTATAGAGGCTGCTAAGAAAAGTCCCAGAAGTGCTGTGTTCCAAATCTGAGAACAGAACTTTGGTGTGCTTCATGTATTGATTTTCAGGCTAGGGAAGCAGATGCATCCTTAAAATCAACTTATGTCCTTCCCGTCCCTGGGAAGCCTTCTCCAACTGCACACTCCTTCAAACAAGGAAATTATATTTCTAAAAACGGACAAAGGTAGAAAAGCCATGTCTGATAAATTTAAGTTCTCATAGCATAGTGGTTAAGAAAAAGTAAGCAATAAAAGTGGCATTGAATATACGCATTCACATATGTGAGACAAACATAGATTTGTGAAGACAACCCACTTTCAAAACAAAATATTGACAGAGTTTAATGTTTTTGCTATATCCCTTCTTCTGAATCAGCTTATGCAGATCTTTAAGAAATATTGCAATAGTGTTGAGATCTAAGGTATGTTCTCCTTCAAATTTTAGGTTTTGCTTCTTTGAAAGGACTTGAAGCAATGCTTAATGGTTAAGTTACTGTCTTTTGTATGAGCATTTTCTCCTGTTTCACACATCTTTGCCAAAAAAAAAGTTTTTGTTTGACTCCCTTTCCAGTTAACTTGGTGCCTAAGGGTAACTTTTTACTGTATTTTCTCCATAAACTGAAAGGATAGACGTATTTTCTCTGTGGACAACCCCACAGAGCCACCATCATTTGCTAAAGAACAGTTGCTATATGCCTTTGTGTTCACGTGTGCTCAATTAAGTGTGGCTTATATTAAATATAGCACAGATGTTTTATTACAAAACCAAGATTAGAAAAGGGTTACTACAGCCAACTCCACACTCATCTCTCTTACCATTTAGTTTCTACCATTCTTTGAGTGAGTCAAACTATCAGCGTTGAACATCTGTTTGCCTCCCATTATTTGGCATTTCTCTTTGGTGCTTCGCATAGTTTTTAAATATCTATCATAGTCCTACTCTGTCCCAACAAGTACAATTGCTCAAATAATTAAATGAGGACTACCTTGGTTTAGATAGTGCCCTTTCATGTTTTCTCACGTAAGTCTTATAAAAACTAGTTTTACAAGACCTTAAAGTTATGTGATTCAAATTGGCAATATGTAGCAATATGTTAATCTTTGATCCATCAATCCCACTCTTGGGAATTCATTCCAAGGACCAAAATGTATATACCAACTTCATATATTAAAATAATACCAGGTTTTAAAATGACCACAATGTCCAGTAATAGGAAATTGGTTAAATAAGTTATGATACATTTGTATGATGCAATAATGCATCCAATGTCCATCATCATGTTAAGGATCAAAGGAAGCATCTAAAACTATCAATATTATGACATAAACTTGTATGTATTTACTGACATGTACACAAAAGAGCTGAAAGTGTATTTCACGAAATAGTAGGCTTATCAGTGCTTTTCATCTCTATCCTTTCCTCTCTTTTCTTTTTAACTATAAATAGTATATATCTCATGTGAGATACACATATGTGTAAATACCCATATGTATAAAATTTATACCAAAGTACTTACCATAATTTTAAGAAAAATAAGACTTATGTTACCACTTAGATATGACCCAGAAATTCCACTGCTAGGTATGTACCCAAAAGAAATAAAAACATATGACCACACAAACACGTGTACATAAATTTCTATAGCAACATTACTAATAATAGCCAAAAGGTGGAAACAATCCACATGTCCACCTTATGAATTTTAAAATGTGGTAGCCATACAATGATTATTCAGCCATAAAAAAATACTGATACACACCACAAAATTATTTAACCTTGAAAACAATGTCAAATGAAAGAAGCCAGTCAAATAAAACATACGTTGTGATATGCTTTGGCTGTGTCCCCAACCCAAATCTCATCTTAAACTGTAGTTCTCATAATTCCTACGTGTGCTGGGAGGGATCTGGTGGGAGATAATTTAATCATGGGGTGGTTACCGTCATGCTGTTCTAGTGATAGTGAGTTCTCATGAGATCTGATGGTTTCATAAGAGGTTTTTCCCCCTTTTGCTTAGCACTTCTCTTTCCTGCCATCATGCGAAGAAGCACGTGTTTGTTTCCCCTTCCACCATGATTCTTAAGTTTCCGGAGGCCTCCCCAGCCATGTGAAACTGCGGGTCAATTAAACCTCTTTCCTTTATAAGTTACCCAGTTTGGGGCAATTCTTTATAGTAGTGTGAGAATGGACTAATATACATTGCCACACAATATTTTTATTGAAAGGTTCAGAATAGGAAAATCTATAGAGACAGGGAGTATATCAGGGGTTGCTTAGGGATGGGGGGGATGGGGCAATGGGGGTGTACAAATAAAGGGCATGGAATTTCTTTTTGAGGTGAAGAAAACTAAAAGTGACTGTAGTGATGGTTGTATACATCTTTTAATATACTAAAAGCTATTACTGTATACTTTAAATGAATTAATTGCATGATATATGAATTATAACTCAATAAAGCTATTTTAAGAAAAGGAAAAAATAACATTACTAGCAGTTTACTTTGGAAACAACTTTAATTTACATTTGTAACAGACTTTTTTAGAAAAAAAATCACAGGACTAGATTCTTCAGTTACACAAATATAAAGCAAGTATACACCCCTTGACTTTGGAAAATTATGGAATCCCAACAATTTTCAATGCAGAAGCTGCAGGCCAAAATATTATATATTCTGTATGTGAATGTAAATTGAGTATACTTATTTTTAGGATCACTTGCCTTTAGAAAGTTAGATCCTCTTCCCCCCATCCCCACATAAACAAATTTAGTCTGAACTGTTGGTATCACATATGAAGTTAAGATTAAATAGTTTAATCTTTTAGAAATGTATGGCAACTATCATGAATGTGTTCCTTGGGTCAGGAAAGCCTAACCACATCATTGTAGGTGAGGTATGGGTTTTTATGAAGGAATGGCTACTACCACTGTCAAACATACAAGATCATTAAATAAGCAAGATTTCCTCGGACAAGAGGGGAGGAGACCTGCTTTTCTTTCTGGCACCCAGGAAGGTTGTCTCCTGGTATACCTGGGACTAAATGGCAGAGTTTACTTGCTGATGGAGCTAACTCAGCAGGAGTCCTGACTCAGCAGGAGCCTGCCAGGAGCTAGGCATGAACTCTCTGGTTTGCTTAGTATCTACATACTAAGAGAAACTATTTCTAATAGCAGTGTAATATGTTTCCTCTATTGTGCTCTATGTATCTGCATTTACTCAAGTTCTATGATACAGCATTTCCTCACCTGAAATATAATTTGGGGAAATTAAATGAGGGGTTTATATTCATCCCGTAAGTAAACTGATAGAAGAATAGTATGACCCAGAGAAGCCACTGGATTTAGTGAAGTGATCTAAGAATTCCTGAGATTTAGAACAAAAGCAGAATACAATCCAATAAAACAATTCCCAAATACAGGCAATGGGTTGATTTGCAGTACATGTTATGCATATTCTGTACATACATTTTTAGGGATTTCCAGAATTTTCTTGGATAAAAAGAATGGACTTCCTCCTGTGATCTAAAGGATGGGGTCTGAAATTATTATAATGTAGATATTTAAAATAAGGGCTGCATTATAATGATCTGCACATGTATCCCAGAACTTAAAGTATAATAAAAAAGAGAAAAAATAATAAAGATGTATAATAATTAACTAGTTTTCTAACACTCCCATGTTAGAAAGAGTTAAACATCATCTATGAATACCTCATGTTTCTCAACATTGATAGGAAATTTAACATTTTTACTTGCTAGGTCCTATCAATTCTGATTTAAAATATTTTATTTCCATGGTTCTATTAGTTCAAAATAAAACAAGAAAGTGCTCCTGGCTATCATATTTGTGATCTGTATACTATAAATGCACTCTTCTATTTGCTCTTAATTATGTACAAAACAGAAGATATAAAATATTATTGTGATGTTTATAGAGCAAATAAAATTTTATGCATCAAAAATTAAAACAAAATACGGGCTCAAATGTCAAATACATAAGATAGGAAAACCTCAAAAGACAAATTTATTTCTTTTACTTAGAAAAACAATTGCATGGAAGTAATACATTATCATCACATCTGGGTTGCAACATGAGAGTTTTCTGTTTTCTTATTCATACTTTTCTTATTTTTCATTTTTTGTTGTTGTTGTTGTTTGAGAGACTGTCTCACTCTGTCGCCCAGGCTAGAGTGCAGTGGCGATCTTGGCTCACTGTAACCTCCACCTCCCGGGCTCAAGCCATTCTTGTGCCTCAGCCTCCTGAGTAGCTGGGACTACAGGCACATGCTGCCATGCCCGGCTTTTTTTTTTTTTTTTTTTTTTTTTGGGTCTTAGCAGAGATAGGGTTTCACCATGTTGTCCAGACTGATCTCGAACTCGTGGGCTTAAGTAATCCACCCACCCCAGCCTCCCAAAGTGCTGGGATTACAGGCATGAGTCACCATGCCCGGCCTCTTATTCATACTTTCCTATGCTAAGTTTTCCAGCATGCACTGTTATAAAAGCCTGAATTGCTTTTATAGTCTAAACAAAGAATATGTTATATTTTAAAATCATGTATTTATGTTGTATATAACATATTGTAGATAGATATAATTGTAAATATATTATTCTTCCCAAGGTTAGGGAATAAATAAAACTGCTCATTTGAATTTTGAAAAGGTTGAAACTTTAGAAGGTTCATGTTTATATTGAGATTAAATCTGCCCTAGATCTAAATGTGTAGTTTATCTCAAACACGTCAATAAGTCCTACTGTATTTGAAAATAATTAAAATATCCTTCCTGAATCTGCTCTCCTTTAACCTCATACTTCATTTCATTCAATTCCTCCTCAGAAGATATGGATTAGAGTTCCTTTACTCAAGAATGATATCAAAATTATTTAACAGCATATATTATGGATATGATCAGTCAAAACCAGCTGCCAACTAATCAAAAAACTTGCAGATCAATCAGAACACATGCCACCCAGTCAAAATGAACACAGGTGAGTGCCAAAGCAGGGTCCTAGAAGCCCGTCTATTATATCAGACATTACCTCATTAGTTGCTAAATCATGGGAGACATTCAGAGGTCTCAGAAGGGGCAGGAGGCTTGGAGTAGACACTAATAACCAATACACATGAAAGTGTTTTGCTGTTTTACCTTGCGTAGCTGTAACAATTACGTGTTGACTATCAGCCCTGCCTTCATTTTCCTTCTAATGTCTTCTAGGGTCTCTAGGTTCCTTTTTAAGTGCTGTAACAATAGAGTTATGATGGAAAAATTTATTTCTGCTCCCTCTCCAAACATTGCTAAAGTGTCAGGTAAGCAATAAAAGAAATATAGTACTATATTAAGTGATAGAGCAAGAGATGTTAACCAACTTTTGGAAGATGGAAAATTTCTAGGTGATAGCTGACTTTATATAAAGGAAAAAGGTGTTGCCTAAGAAGATGCAAAGCAAGATTCCAATGAGAAACAAGCTAACTCATCTTTCAGAATCCTAGGAAATTTCAGACATCGGAGATGCCGGGTATTTCTGAAGTTAAAGGGGGTTAAGGACCATGACACTGAAAATGTGGCATTGCCTAGAAGTCTGTAAAAGAACAACTGGACTCTGTCTTTCCCTGACTCCATGCAACCAAGTAATTTCCTCTTTCTTCCATGTCTCAAGAGATAATCAATTTATTCTCTGTAGAAGTTGAGTCCAAGTGTGTCAGAATCCAGGTCATGGAGGCACAATAACAGTTGAGGTGAGGTGCCATGCTAGAAACAGGATTTACTGAGAGTACTAGATCCAGTCCCCTTCCCTCACCCAAATTCTGAAATATTTACAGACAGGTTTATCCATCCAGGCGGGCCTTTGGAGGGTTAGTCTCTGGAGAAAACATTGGTGAGAATGTAAAATGATACAGTTACTTCATGAAGTATTTTGGCAGTTTCCTAAGAAGTCAAACATACACTTACCACTTGATCTAGCCATTTTACTCCAAAGTTCTGAAAGAAAAGAAGCACAAGTCCATGCAAAGACTTGCATATTGATGTTCACAGCAGTTTTATTTGTAATAGCCAAAAACTAGGAATGCCCTCAATATCCATCATGAAATATAGAAAAACTGTGGTGATTATATACAGTGGACTACTATTAAGCAACAAGAAATGAACTATTGGCATAAGTAAAAATATGGATCTCAAAAATAAATCTCAAAATAATTTTTCTGGATGAAACAAAAGACAAGACAAAAAGGAGAACACTCTATGTGTATGAGGAGTGGGGAATGAGCAAATGTGGGAGCAAAGGATTACAGAGAGGCATGAGTAAACTCTGGGAGGTGAAGGATATGTTCATTATCTTTGTTACAAAGGGTTCACAAGTTTATAAATAGGTCAAGACATTACATTCTATGATTTAAATATATGCAATTATTGTAAATTTTAAATATACAGTTTTTGTATATTGAGTATAACTTGATGATTTGATAGATGGCTAGATTAATTGATTGACTGATCGAAACATAAAGCCAGGAATCCCCCTGGAGATCTTTGCATTTCTAAAGTTTGGGTCAGTATTTTAAATCGTCACGTAACTAGGTTGTTCCCTTTACATCACCAGTGAATGAGAATAACCTTTAGGTCTCTGGCATTGCTATTTTTTAACAATTATTACAGAAGTCATTTTGTAGTTATATTCTTATTTATGCTTTGCTTTAAATGCAAAGCTTCCCCAACAATGGACATCAGTATCCAATAACAAACAGCAAGTATTAATGCCTTTTAATATAAAATTTATTGAGAAGTCAAAACACAAAATTTACAAGTACAGACATGATGGTTTTGCCTTAGTTTATTTTATAAATAACCTCAGATCGTGCTAAATGTCCAAAGTTACGTTACCATCATTTGAAAACTTTGGTTCCTTTTATGAAGAGGTTCTCTCAATTTAATATATTTGCTTTATGTCTGATTTAGAGAAGTATATCAAGTACTATATCTACAATTTAATCTTTTCTGCTGGAAGATGCAAGAATAATTTTATGCAGTCATTTGGAAAAGGTTGAAAATATCCCAGTGGATGCAGCTTAATTCAGTACCTTTACTACTTTATTGATTTCATTTTGAATGATTTGTCCATGTTGCGCTTTATAAATCATTTTTACCATATGCCTGGCATGCTTCTATCTTTATATTACCCCAGGTTTCTTTTTTTCCACATGCTCTTCAGAATCATAATTTAACTCAGAGTTTCATACTGGCTGCATATCACAATCACCTGTTAAAACACCAATGCCCAGGCCCAACTCACACAGATTCTGACTTAATTGTTTCAGGTAGGGCCCTGGCGTACATAGTTTTAAAAGCATCCCTAATGTGCAACCAATATTGAGAATCACTAACTATCTTACACACTGTCTATATCAGCATTTCCCAAATGTGCGTGAACATAAGAATGTTCAAACAAGGTACCTCAAAAAAACGAAACGAAACAAATGGCTCTGAATTCCCAAATTCCAGAGCCTCAAGCAAAACCTCATGAATCAGGAGCTCCACAGAAATAAGTAGGATCAAGAGCCTCAGATTAAGAAGCATGGTTTCACAAGACTCCAAACATATTATAATTAATCCCAGAGGTTGGAGAAGAAAAAGGACATATAGTACCTTCTCACACCAACATCTAATGCAGCATCGTTTTTAAAACTTTTACCTCCTAAATACATGTGAAATATCTCTATTTACCTCCATTACCCCTCATCACCCTTGTAGTCTAAGCCCCTATAAACAAACTTCAGTCTACTGCAGTATCTTATTCTCCCACCAGGTTTCTGGCTTCCACTCTTGCCTTACTCCAATCTGTTTTTTCCATTAGAGCCAGGCTTATGATTTGAAACATCAATCTTACCATGTCACCCAGGGCTTAACATATTTCCCACAGCTCTTAGGTAAGTACAGTACAAAACTTCCACAGCCTGGTCTAGCTCCCACCTTTTCCAGCCTCCTTTAGGACTCAACTCGCCTTTACTTCCTGTCATCTGGCCATGACAGCCTTCTTTGAGACTGTTCATTCTGGCTAAGCCCCAGACTGCCACAGGCCATTTGTAGATACTCAGTCCTCTGCTTGGAAAGCACATGCCCCACCCCACTACTTTATCTAGTTAATGTCTATGCATTCTTCACAAGTCAGGCAATAGCCAAGCCCTCACCTTCCTCTAGACAAGTCAAATCTTGCAACTTCAGGCTTTTTAAGTAGCATACACCACTCCGTCTTAAAATTTACCAGAATTAAAACACGCATTTATCTGTATGACTTCTCCTTTCCCCAAAACCTATTTGACTATAAACTCACTGGGGACAGGACATTTTTGTTCTCCAAGATCAGATTGCCTAGGTTCAAATCCTAGCTTATTGATGTGGTAACTGTGGGCAAGTTATTTGTCCATTTGTGCCTCGGTTTTCTCATCTGTAAAATAAGACCCATACCATTACGTACCTCATTAGGTTGGTTTAATGATTAAATTTACATGTAGAAAACTTAGCACAGGGCTTGCTACCACTATTACTATTATTATTATCATTACTAATACTATTATTTTGCACAGCGCTTAGCACAATACCTAGTTGTGGTTAACAGAATAATAGTTCCTAATTGTAGAAACTTGTGAATATGTTACTTATGGCTGAAATAATTTTGCAGATGTGATTGAGGTTATGGACCCTCAGATGTGGAAATTACTTAGGGTTATTATTAGATGGGTCCAATCTAATCACATGAGTCCTTAAAAGCAAAACAGTAAATCAGAGAGATGAGGTAGAAGAAAGAGGAGAGACTGAAATTCTGAGAAGGACTCAATCTGCCAATGCTAGCTTTGAAAATGGAGGAAGGTGACCATGAGCCAAAGAATGCAGGTGTCTGCTAGCAGCTGGGAACTCAGCAAGGAGATGCAGTGTCAGCCTTATAGCCACAAAGAAATGAATTCTGCCAACAATGCAAGTAAGGAGAAAGTCGATTTTCCCCAAAGATTTTTATTTTAACCCAACCCTTGTCCTGACCTGACCCCAGAGATAAAATTTCCCTCTACTACACTACAGCATCTCTAGCCTCCAAAGTAAAAATTTGATATACACATACCACTTGAGAGTTTGCATATCATTTATCTACATTATCTCCTCAGTTCCTCTCCTTGTAAATCTAAAAGCTTTCAGGTTTGCAGCTTCAAGGAAAATCTATAAAAGGAAGATATTGCTGGGCACAGTGGCTCATACCTGTAACACCAGCACTTTGGAAGGCCTGCGAGGGTGGATCACTTCAGGTCAGGAGTTTGAGACCAGCCTGGCCAACATAGTAAAACCCCATCTCTACTAAAAATACAAAAACTAGCCAAGTGTGGTGGTGGGTGCCTGTAATCCCAGCTACTCGGGAGGCTGAGGCAAGAGAATCACTTGAACCCAGGAGGTGGAGATTGTAGTGAGCCGAGATCTTCCATTGCACTCCAGCTAGGGTGACAGAGCAAGACTCCGTCTCAAAAAAAAAAAAAAAAGGAAGATACTAAATGTAATTTATGTAATAACAAGTAAAAATAATTAAACACTTACTTTGTGCCTGGTACTATTCTAAATATTTTGTGCCTGATAACTCACTTAACCCAGATATTAACATGGTGGTAATTATTCTGATTAATTTCCCATTGTCATTGTTAGCTTTAGAGCAATTGTTTTTTCAGATCCATGCAGCCCTGGTTAAACTGAAACTTCTATATTACGGCAGCAAAATTAGCCAAATATTTATGTTGTTACACATTTAAGCCCAGCAATTTAAAATACATTTTAAAAAATCAGCAGACTTTTCATATGCTATATTTCTAACTTTAATAGCATAATGGGTTTTTTAAATCTTGCATTTAAATAATGAAATATGTTTAGATAGCAACAGATGTATACAGAAGAGATGTACCCCAGATGTAAGGCTTCCCAGAGAGACATTTGTAAATGTTTAATCATAATTTCAGGTGTTAATTAGCATAGCAAATCATTCTTTTAGGCAAAATTATTTTTATGACTTGACTTAGTTATTAAAATGGAAATTAAATAGAAGAACAGAAATTCAGGGCGTTATTTTGTTCATAGGCATTCAAGCCTATATCAAATTGTATAAGTTCTTTTAATGATTTCATACTACTATTATATGACTTTGGTATTTGTTTAAATTTATGACTGACACACAGTAATAGCACATATTTATGAGGTATAACATGATACTTCAATACACATGCAAAAACTTACATCATTTTCTTGTACTTTACCTTACTGTGCTTCCCAGGTAATTGCATTTTTTGGTGCCTTTTTTCCCCACAAATTGCAGATTTGTGGCATGGCAACCCTGTGTCAAACAAGTCTATTGGCACCATTTTTCTGACAGCATGGTGCTCACTTTATGTCCGTCACATTTTAATAATTCTCGAAATATTTTAAACTTTTATGTTATCTGTTAGTTAGGGTGATCAGTGATCTTGGACGTACAAAATTGTAATTACTTTGGGGCACCACGAACCTTGCCTATATAAGATAGCAAACTTACCCAATAAATAAATGCTGTGATGTATTCTAACTGCTCCACCAACTGGTTGTACTTCATCTTTTTCTTTCTCCTTGAGCCTCCCTATTCCCCAAGACACAACAATATTGTAATTAGGCCAATTACCAACCCTACAAAAACCTCTAAGTGTTCAAGTGAAAAGAAAAGTGGTATGTCTCTCACTTTGAACCAAAAGCTAAAAACGATTGAGTTTACTGAAGAAGGCATGTTAAAAGCTGAGGTAGGCCAGAACTGGACCTCTTACTCAGTTTTTGTGCATATATAGTAGGTGTATGTATTTATGGGGTACATGAGATGTTTTGATACAGGCATACAATACGAAATAAGCCCATCATTGAGAATGGGGTATCCATCCCCTCAAAATAACTTAAAGAGTATAGTTGGATTGTTTGTAACGCAGAGACTGATTCTTATCAAAGCAGACGCCAGCACCGCATATGCCTCCTATAAAGCTTGCAGAACCATGAGCCAATTAAACTTCTTTTCTTTATATAAACTACCCAGTCTCAGATATTCCTCTATAGCAATGCAAAAACACCTAACACACTCAGTCAAGTTGACATGTAGAATTAACCATCACACCAAGCCACAGGAATTTACATTTGACTTTCCTCATCTCTGTCATGACATATTATAATACAAGATTATATATATCAGCCCATTTTCATTGAGTATTTTTCTTGTTTTCTATTTTGCTAGTTACCTTGGAATAATCTTAAGAGACAGAGGCAGAAACTACTTCAATTCCACTATTTTGAAACTGAAACACCCCAATCTGAGCACCCTAAATAGGCTATTCTGTTAGGCTGCTTTGGCGTTGCTATATAGAAATATCTGAGGCTGGGTAATTTAAAGGGAAAAGTAGTTTAATTGGCTTACAGTTCTGTAGACAGTACAAGAAGTGTGGTGCCAGCAAGGGGGACCAGGTGTCTCACATGGCTAGTGCAGGAGCAAAAGAGAGAGGAGGGAGGTGCCACATACTTTTAAACAACCAGATCTCAAATGAACTCAGAGAAATAACTCACTTATCTTCAAGGGATAGTGCTAAGCCCTTCATGAGGGATCCACCTCCATGGCCCAATCACCTCCCACCAGGCCCCACTTCCAACAATGGGAATCACACTGCAACATGAGATTTGTATGGGACAAACATGAAACATATCAGCCATCATGGTACTTTCTCCTCTTTATCTGATATTAGAGATCTTTATGTATGTGATTTATTTCTGCTATAAAACTCATGCTTCCTTAAAAGAGGCTATCTGCATCTACTTCACGGCCTAGCACACTTCCTTTTATATGCTACATTCTTTATGTAATTGTGGAATGAATAAATTAAAAAATTAATAATACTAAATCAAAACAATATCATTTTTCTTAATCTCTTCCTGTAAATTTTTCTGTAGAGTATACAGGCTTGACTGTCTCATGTTTTCTGGAGTTATACTAAAAAAATTTACTAAAATTTAGCTTGGTTCTAGAAACCATGAGGGAAAAATAAGACAAACAGAACAAAGCAAAGGTGCAATCAATGCCCTCAAATAGGTCACAATCCTTTTGAAATTCTAATATTCACAAGAATATAACCAGAAAAGACTAGAAATAAAACATTAAATATTTTGTCATAATGTGAGTTCAAGTGTAGAGGGGTCAAATCTAGGATTTCATAACAGATTTATAGTTTCAAATGTCTTTTTTATCATAGAACCACCTCCTTTGCAAGATGACCCTAATATTTTCTAGAATCAGCCTGTCTACTTACAATTTTCTAATTATGTTTAGGAGTCAGGTATCCTGAAGAAACCAAACACCATTTTATGGGCAATAACTCTCTTGACTCCTTGGAATAATCATCACCATTCAGTTTGCATTTTCATGAGACTGCATTATTTATGACATTATAAATGCTTCTTTCTATTCCAAATGGTTCTGAGTTATCTTCATCAATAAATCAATAAATTATGTCTGTACCTCAGAAATCCTCCTCAGGTGTTTGTTAATGGCAAGCCATTTGCCAAGGAGCCAAGAATTCAGAAACTGAGCTTGTCTTGAAACACATAATTGCTTTCCAAAAGCTTTGAGACAGTACTAGATTGATTTCAAAAGTCCCTTCCAGTCCACATTTCTGTGATCAGATAGATTACAGATAGATAGTTATAGGTCAGTAGATATATAGATAGATACACAGATAAACATAAACATGTTTTTAAAATGGCCAAGTTTGGTCTAACAATATTTCTTGACTTGCCATGTCAATAGTCAACATACGAATAATAAAACCTGCTTTCGAAATATTTTAATTCCTTGTAATAACTTCAATGTGTCAGGAGGACCATCCATATTCAAGGCATCTGATATTAAAATAAAGGATATCTTTTGTTGAAATTGAGTTATGAGTAATAGAGGGATGCTAAGTGAATAGACAGACAAATGGATTAAATCTTACGGGTAAGGGCTTTGCTTCCAGATGCAGAGAGCTTTTAACTTGAATCTCAATGTTATTACTTGTGAAATATGTTACGTTGGACAAGCTACTTTTTATTTCCAGGCCTTAATATCTCCATCTTTAATGTGGGTGTGATAATGGTATTTACCTCCAAAAAGGGCTACATTAAATGAGATTACACATATTAAGTATTACATAATTCTGGCATATAGTAAGTGCTGAGTAAATGTTAATGCTTTAATCAAAAGTAACAAGTGTTCCAAAAAGCAAATCTTTATGAAAGTGTACGATGCTTAGGACATGATGATACCCTTTTTCCTCCCTGGACAACTGAAGTAAAGTGAAGTAAAACAAGACACGACAAATATGTTCACCAGATACAGAATGATCTGGGCTCTCTATAACATGCTCTCCTATCAGTTCCAGTAACTCTAATTTCTATCTATTCCAAAGTACTTAGAGCTCACCTAAAGTATTATTCTGTGACATGCCTTCGGCTCTTTTTACAAGTTTTCTCTGACTAAAATTTGCATCCCTCCCCAACTACCTCCCCATTCTTAACTGGAAAAGTCTTACAAATCTTGCAAGAGCCAGTTCAAGTACTTCCTTTTCTGTGAACCCTGCCTCTCACCTAAAAAAAATAGAATTACTTACTTCCTCTTTTACTCCACCATAGCACTTATAGATGCCTCTACTAATGAAACTCTGTTTCATAGTCTTTTGATGTATCAGTTTCCCCGGCTGGTCTGCGAGTTTGTTGAAGGTAAATACTATGTCTTATTTACCTCTGCACTGCTAGCACATAGAATAGAACCCAATAACTAGTAAGAGATTAATACTGAACTAATGACTGAATAAAATATAGTATGTTACAAATGACTCATGTGTGAGTCACTGTTTCATGTGACAGAAAACCCAAAATGACAATGGTTTAAACAATTTACAAGTGTTTTTCTCTCTTATGATGGAAGTCCAGAGTGAGGCACAGTAGAGTCAATACAGAGGTCTTACAGTCATTGTCATCATGACTCAGCCTCCTTCACATGCTCAGTCCCTGGGATGTGGCTCTGGTATTCATGGTGTCAAATGAAAGCTGGTGCTTCAGCCATCATTTCAGTGTCCTATCATATTTCAGCAGCGAAATGGAAAACTAGGATAAAGGTCATCTTAAGACAACATCTTGGAAGTACAATAGTCCCCCCTTATTCACAGGAGTATGTTCGAAAACCCCTGTTGGATACCTGAAACCACAGTAGTATTGAATTCTACATACACTGTATTTGGAGTTCAAGTGCATTTGCCTCTACATACATTTTGATGAAGTTTAATTTATAAATTAGGTACAGTAAGAGATAAAACAATAATAAAATAGAACAATTATGACAATAATGTATTATACTAAAAGTTATGTGAATGTGATCTTTCTTTCTCAAACTATCTTAATATTTTTGGACCACAGTCGACCACAAGTAACTGAAACAGGAAAGTGAAACCACAGGTAAGGACACACTACTGAACTACACAGCACTTCAGCTTATTGGTTAGAGCTTTGTCACATGACCACATGTCCTAAGGTGTTTATCAATAGCAAGAGGTAATCAGGCATTTTCAATCCAGATTCTATCACCAAAGAAGAATTAGTGCATCCATATTAGGAGCACTGGGCAGTAAAGAGGTAATTAGAGACCATCTCAATCACTTCTGTTCACATTATTTTGTGGTAACATAGAGTTTGGACCCAGAGATCTTTAAGATCCCTTGCAAGTCTTTCTTGTCTAATATTGTAAAAAAAAAAAAAAATTAAAGCTGCAGATGGTAGAAAACAATTGTGTGCATTTATACTATAACATAGTTATTTTAGTCCCCAAAATCTGTATTTTTTAAAAGAATTCCACTATTCAAAGAGCCAAAAAAGGAAAATGGAAGAGTGGGATAAACCAATATTTCCTAATAAAATTTAAAAGAAAATCTCTAAAGGCAGCTTTTTAAATGTTAAATATATGTATCAGCCTATGTCAGCAGCAGTAGTTATGGGGAAGTCACCCCCTGATTATCTCCATCAATATCCCCAAACTCCCAAGTGAAAAATAACATTATTTTATATAAATAACTGGGATTTCCTCAATTCTGTGCTAAGCATTTTAACATTTTTATTGACCTGTAATATGCTTAAAACAATCTACTCACGCATCAAACACAGCTTTAGAATAAGCCCCCAAACCTTCCTGCAACCCCATTCTCTACCACCACCCTTGATGGCAAAAAGCCCATTCTCATAGATGTCCTGGAAACACCAAGCATCTAGACTTGAGGAGTAGGAAACTCATAGGCACCACCAAACATCAAGTTTTCAAAACAAAATGAATTTTTATAGCTGCTAGGTATTAAAGGCATTTAGTAATTTGTAAATCACAATCTGTTACCAATCCAGCCTTGAAAAAGCTCTATCTTCAAATGTAAACCCCAAAAAAACCTCAATCTGAGATGTCTCTGTAAAGCTATAGAAAGCAGTCAGCCAAGGGGACATGGCAGTGTGTGCTCTGAGCTAACATTCCATACCTGCTGCTGCCAATTTTCTGCAAAGTGAACTCGTGTGACACTGTTTTTTGTCTTGTTTTAGCTACTTACCTGGTATTTTCATTCCAAAGAAGTCCAGTTAGATTTCAAGGTTCTGTCACATAAACACCCATAGAAAATGTTGAGCTGCTTTTTTAAGTTATGTGCCTCATACTTCGGTCCTTGTAACACTTAAGAATCCAAAATTATTTCATTTTCCATAATTCAGTTTTGACTGGTAGCAACAAAAATATATAGAAATTCTATTGGTTGATCAATAATTTTCTAAGGCAGCAGACAGACTGTAAGAAATTCATTCTTTCTGTGCAGTTGACTACTTACCAACAAGATTACCTACATCTCATGTCATGACCCTGAGAATTGCAAAATGATTATCATTATCTTGCCCTCCAAAAAGAAGAGAGGTTTTAAACTGACCCATTTCACATCTCAGAAATTATTTGGGCCTGAAATTGGGTAAAACATCCTAAGGGCCTGGCAGTCTCCTTTGTGCTTTGATAGCACATAAACCATCAAAAAATTAGAAACAGTTTTGAAATTGAGTCTAATGTAAATACAATAAAAAAGATAAAGGTTATACTTGTTTAATAAATGACAATGGAACCAACTGTCCCTGCTGTCCCTGGGAGAATGCCACCAATGCATTCTCCTGGCTTATGAAGAATAAGTACCTCACTCCATCCTCAGCCAGTATGCTTTCTTTTCTAGCCAAAGGAAAGTGTCATCACTACAACTGTTACAATCCCCCCAAATCTCATAAACCCCTTTCCAGGACATAGTCCTATACAAAAATACTACACTCCCCATAGAAAATCATTCACAAGATTCCTATAATCTATTGGATCAAATTTATGATTTCATTCACTCATGCATTTTTTTATACTTTGGGGCTTCTGTGTTCAGCACCTAGATAAAAGACAGATTATATCAACTCTACTTTAAATGCTTTGCCAAGACCCTCAAAAAAATTACTGAAAGACAAAAAGAGTGAAGAAAGAAAAACAGGGAGCTGAAATAACAATGTTACGTGATCTCAGAAACCAAGGCTCTGTCAGAACAACAGCTGATGTTAGAAACTAGATCTTTAGGGATTAACTGCTTAGGAGAAAACAAGAAAGTAGGTATAAGTTCACCAAAGTGTGTGCATGTGTTGGGGGAGAGTACTGAACTTGAGATCCACACCTAGAATTGAATCCCGAAAGGAACCATATCATCAAAAGGAAAGGTAGGCTAGAAAAAAATCCACCTGCATGCAGTAATGACAACTCACAAGAAAATCTATTAATCTCTGTTAACATGTTGTATGGAAATTAACAACAACAACCATCTCCCCTAAGAATTAGTAAACATAGTCCTCTCTTCACATGGATGCACAATTGAAATTGACATGACATGTACAATAGAGAAAAATCTGATTCAAAAGTTTAATGTGGTACTGAAAAGGTCTTAGAAGGATTCAGAGAGAAAAATCAAAAACCTGTAAGGAACTACAATTAGATAGACTGCAAATTTCACAAGAGCAAAACATTGTACTGGACAAAGTTAAACAAGTGAAGAAGACTTCATTCTAGACTACTGCAATCAAGGAGACATACCCCAGTGCAGTCTGACCTCAACTCCAATGAAATAAAGGGTGTGACACTCTCCCAAGGAGACTAGGAGATAGAGGTATGGTCTTCCTTGATGATTACATTTGTAAAGGATGACTTCCAGGTTCTTGAGAAAGATATCCTGGATTGTAAAATCAGCAAGAAGCTTTTAAAAAGGATTTACATCTCAAGGAAGCGGGGGAAAAAATTACAACTTGAAGTTTCTCAAAGTAAATGCTTTAAGAAAAAAGATCTCAAGAGGTCCCATACCCAGAGTCAGGAAAAAGCCTGCCTAAAAGTTTAGTCAAGCTGAAGGAGCAACATTAAGACCATCTTGGTCAAGAACTGTATATAAAATTGGCAAATATATTTTTATTGTGGGAAATTTAACATCTTTCCATAACTGAAAGATCAAATTGACAAATATTAGAAAGAAAATAAAGCATCTAAGCAATACAGGTACCATTTCAATTAGTTTATCATAATCAATAATTAGATAATACACTTTCTTTATAAGTACATACAGAATATTTATAAATATTGGTCATGTACTAGACTACAAGGCAATTTCAAAGAGTCAGTATTATACAGATTATTTTCTGGTCACAAAGGAATTTTATTAGAAAACAAATATATTTATTATTTTTTAATAACAATATTTTGAGGATCTATTATTTGCCAAGCCTCTTCTTGGGGTGAAAGGGAGAGGGGAATTTGGTAATGATGCTGAGATTTCTAAGAGGTAACTGGATGGATTGGGGTCCATTGACCAAGACTCCTTCATTTATTTATCAGATAACGTTTTAGTTCTACAGTTTTCTGGTATATGACATTCAGAATATTTCTATTCTGAACTGTCATTTTAGCATTATCTTCCCCAACCCAAACCCTTGAAATGCAAGCTTGTCCCTGTCTTCTACTGCACAAAACAAGTTGAATCTTAATGAAAGCATTCATCCCCCAACCTTGACCCAGCTCCAAATCAGAAAGAAGTAGAATGCTCTCCATAGGGAAAGGAAAATGAATCAGGATTTGTAATTTTTATGCCTATATCTGACATTAAAAGTATCTCAATATTCCTTTAATCACTAGCACAAAATGTCTACACCAGTCCAAAAGATTTTCCTTATGCTGACTTACCACTGAAGTTCAAATGCACAAATTCTTTCCCCATCCTTCTAGGCTCACAGCTACATTACATTTCCAAATGTCCTTTCAAGTTAGTGTTACTGGACAGGGGTCCTGATCCAGACCCCCAGAAAGGGTTCTTGGATCTCACTCAAAAAAGAATTCAGGGTGAGTTGATGGAGTAAAGCGAAAGCAAGTTTATTAAGAAAGTAAAGGAATAAAGAATGGCTACTCCATAGACAGAGCAGCCCTTGGGCTATGGTTGCCCATTTTTATGGTTATTTCTTGATGATATGCTAAACAAGGAGTGTATTATTCATGCCTCCCCTTTTTAGACCATATAGGGTAACTTCCTGATGTTGCCATGGCATTTGTAAACTGTCATGGCATTGGTAGGAGTGTAGCAGCGAGAACGACCAGAGGTCACTCTTGTCAGTGTCTTGATTTTGGTGGGTTTTAGCTGGCTTCTTTACTGCAACCTGTTTTATCAGCAAGGTCTTTATGACCTGTATCTTGTGCCAACCTCCAATTTCACCCTGCGGCTTACAATGCCTTAATTATCTGGGAATGCAGCCCAGTAGATCTCAGTCTTATTTTCCCCAGCCCTTACTCAAGATGGGATTGCTTTGGTTCAAACACCTCTGACATTTGGTATAGCTACTTGACCAAGTCCTGAACAATGATATGTATGCAGATGTAATTAAAACTCAGCATGGCCCAAAAAATTTACTACAAGTTCACTTTCCCTTCTCCACCCACTGGCTGAGTGGAAAGGAACTCAAGAGTCAGTAGAAAACAGTGCCACTTTGGAAAGGAGATTGTAAATTTTCTTCCTACAGAAAAATGGTAAGTATGTGAGGTGGTAGATATATTAAATAGCTTGATTGAATCATTCCACAATGTATACATATATATCATAACATCACATGGTATCCTATAAATATACATTACTCAATTAAAAATTAAATTAAATTAGCCTTTTTAAAAAGAAAACAGAGTCACACAGTGAGTTCTGTTCTTCCTAAAACTGATACAAATTGTATTGTCTGTTATACTGCTCAATGTCTTTTACATACCAAATTGGAAATTAAGAGACAAAATCATGTCTCATCTGAAGACTCAGTACATTTCCATTTATCAGACAAATTCTCATGTTTCCTATTCTTTCACTGCCAGGAAACTTGAAGCTAAATGTAAGGCCCATTTCACACTATTAATTAACTGTTTTAACATTATTTTAAGCTATACTAATAGGTACTCTAAAAATTCTGCCTCAATTTCTGCTGGAATTGGATAAGATAGAAATTATGAGTAAAATAACTGATTCAGGTTATGGCTCTGATTACGCAGTTCCCCAAACCTGAAAAGTCTCTTTCTTTTTGTTGAATCCTACCCAACCTTCTAGACGCAATTCAAATACCATTTCCATGAAGCTATCACCAAAAGACTTCAACACATTTTGACCTCTTTCCTTTCTAATCTATTACTGTACTTTTTATCTGGAAAAAAATGTGTTGTCTATACTAACATTTCCCTATTGCACCTTCTATATCAAAATAATCATGATCTCATCCCCACATGATAGTAGTTGTGCTTTCTGCATTCCATAAGAAATTTAAAAATCCCATAGGCATAAACACTGTACCATTTCCTTCACTGTGTATCCTCACAGCCCATGAAAGAGGAAGCACAAATTCATGCCACACAATTTAGCCAAGTAATAGACCATTTTCCTTCTGTTACATTCTAATTCTCAGATATAGAAGAAAACTTTCTAGAGATCTACTGCCAAGTACTATATCATTATGATGTCTCTCTAAGATCCTAGTAAAATGCTGGGTCCAAAATAAGTTCTGAAACAGCCAACAGTAATTCACTGGCCCAGAAAGAGTAACTCAGGAATGACTAAAACCAAAGCCTGAGGATTTTAACCTCCTGATCAAGGATCTCTTTCCCACAAACCCTAAAAACTAAAAAATCCTGACTCATATTTTTGTCTTTCTTTCTTTTTCTTTTTTTTTTTTTTTTTTTTTTTTTTTTTGGTCTCAGAAACTCTTTACCACAGGGAGTTCAAGGTATAATAAAAGAGAATGTGCTCTGGAGTCCTGGCAGAAAAACCCTTGAGTCTTAGATGTCATCTACATATTGTTTGACATGGTTCCTTATCTTATTCAACCTCATCTTCCTCTTCTCTAAGATAGGAATGGCAATTACGAACCTCAAAAGGCTAACATGAGGAGTAAATTAGATACTACCTGCAAAGCATATGGCACAGTGCCTTGCATACAGAGTCACTCAGTATTTTCCCTCCTTCCCTGCTAGAGTAATCTGTCCCAACATCCACATGCACTCAATGCTCTGAGGCTACCTATCCTGATTTATCGTTCTCCACTTGAAATTAGAATTTTAGAGGCTATGAACACTTACAAATTGAAAACTTAAAATATATCAAAACAAATTAAATGATCACCCTTTTTTTAAGTTTTATAAAAATGCTGGAAATTCTGCCTTGAAAGTTACCAAGATGGACCTGGATCAACTGTCTCAGACTCAACTACTTACTGAAGA
Source organism: Homo sapiens (assembly GCF_000001405.40). NCBI lineage: Eukaryota > Metazoa > Chordata > Mammalia > Primates > Hominidae > Homo > Homo sapiens. The sequence continues at coordinate 54,810,517 of NC_000015.10, forward strand.
AAAAAACAAAGGGGAAAAGCCTATTTCTCATACTTCAAAGCTCTATAGTTTATTTCATGAGAATTTTTTTACCTTCATTCTGATGTCTATCAAACTACAAGAGAATGGCAAATAGCCAAGGAAATAAATCTATTAAAAATTCAGTAGCAGCATGCTAAGACTCATATTGTCAGTTGGCATATGGTGAACTAGCTGCCCACACCATGTGTTCACTAATTCTATGCATGATCTTCCAGAATGGTCTTTTGAAGTTTCTCACCCTGTAAAACAACAACTTTTTTTCAATAGATATTGTAGACATTTGTATTCAAAGTTACAAATCTTTGGTCTTGACCTAGCCTTCTGTTGTTTTATGTTGCATTTTATACTATTGTCAAATCCGTAATTGTTTTACTTTTTAAGTTATTTCAAATGCTCTCAGCCTATATGAAAATACTTCTCTCTGTGTTAAGTGAACTGAATATAGACTTCTAAGGAGCTGGTATATAAATAAAAACCATTGGCTGGGTGCAGTGGCTCACGCCTTTAATCCTAGCACTTTGAGAGGCCAAGGCGAGTGGATCACGAGGTCAGGAGTTCGAGACCAGCCTGACCAACATGGTGAAACCCCATCTCTGATAAAAATACAAAAATTAGCCGGGCATGGTGGCACACACCTGTAATCCCAGCTACTCAGGAGGCTGAAGCAGGAGAATCGCTTGAACCTAGGAGGCAGAGGTTGCAGTGAGCCAAGATCATGCCACTGCACTCCAGCCTGGGTGACAGAGTGAGACTCCATCTCAAAAAAAAAAAAAAAAATCAAGTACTGTGCTTTAAAATATGAAATTACTATTTCAAAATATAAGCATATATTACCTGGAAGTATTATTGATGGAATGTAAGAGTTTATAGAAATATTATATTTAAGGGATTATTCGGTGATGCATGATTTAAATCCATTTTTAATGAACTACTCTGAGCCTTTACACATGTAATTACATTCAGTCAAAAGAAATGCATACTAGTATTATTTAAGCACCACCTCCAGCTCCAAGGAGGACTTTGCATTTGAGACAGTATTAGCCACTGCTGATAGTGTGAGAATCCAGACAGGGCTGCCCTAGAGCAGAGGAAAAGTCTTGATAAGACAAATACAACTTGTGTATCCATGTAGTGAGCAGAAGAAAAGTCTTGATAAGACAAATACGACTTGTGTATCCATGTAGTGAGCAGAGATTTTGGCTTCTAAGAGGAAAATTAAGGAAAAAAGTAAAGATAGGTAGAAAGAAAGGATTAGGGCAAAGATGAAGAAATATGATAACTGGGAAAGGGTAAGTTGGGATTGTGTGCTTAAAAACTTCTACTCTGAAATAAGCTAGGCACAGAAAGACAAACTTCACATGTTCCCACTTGTTTGGGGGAGCTAAAAATTAAAACAATTGAACTCATGGAGATAGAGAGTAGAATGATGGTTACCAGGGACTGGGAAGGGTAGGAGGTGGGTGGGGGAGGGGATGAGGATGGTTAATGGGTACAAAAATGTAATTATGTAGAATGAACAAGATCTAGTATTTGATAACACAACCGGGTGACTACCCTCAGCAATAACTTATTGTGCATTTAAAAATAACTAGAAGAATATAATTGGATTGTTTATAACAGAAAGAATAGATGCTTGACATGATGGATATCCTCTTTACGTAGATGTGATTATTATGCAATGTATGCCTGTACTAAAATATCTCATGTATACCATAAATACATATATACTTGCTATGTGCCCACAAAAATTTAAAAAGAAAATGTAAAGTTACTTAAACCTTCTCCCCAGTCCACCTCCAACTCCACATCTCCACCTTTTCAAACCCATTGCCAAGGTCATTCACACAGGTGGATCAATTTCCCAAGCCTCTGCTTGGTAGTTGCCTCTATCCCTCCTTAGTCATTTTGCCTCCTCATTCCCATTGCCTCATGAGCAGCCCATGTTTGCTTTAAAAATAAATAAATAAATAAAATTTTTTAAAAAACTTCCTTATATTTCTCCTATGCAGATTTGGCCTTGACTAGCCCAGTAAAAGACTCAAACTCAGATCCAGCCTGTTGCCAAGGGACCAACCTGTTTACTGAATAGCTATGGATAAGCCTAAGTTAAAAATTAATAGGACTAGGGCATAGGGTTTCATGGCAATTCTCTGTATTTTCCATTTAATTATTATATAAACCTAAAAATGCTCTGAAATAATAGTCTATTAAAAAATTATTACAACTTAAAGTAGTAGCAACTGTGAAAATACTAACAGATAAGGAGAACCTAATTTGCACAGACCTGGGTTGATCAAAGATAAGATTGTTTGCTAGCCATGGCCATTAGCAGTGCCTAACTGGCTATAAGTATGGAATCCTAGCATCCTGCAGAATCTAAAGTCAAATAAGATATGATAAAGTACAGCACATTTTGTCTCCTCCCAAGTGACTCATAAACATTTGCATTATTTTCACCCACTCCTTAGTTTCCATTTAATATAGACAAGAAAGAATATAGGGTGCAGATAAGATTCTGCTTCACCTCTACTATTAAGACAACTGCCCTCTTACCCAATTCAGAATACTTAGGGGTGACTGACCTAAGATGCCTTTTTAGGTTAGAGATGCACAAAAAAGTGTCTTTAATTCACAATTCATTAAAAGGATTAATTCATCAAAATTTGGACCCATTAATTCATTAAAAAGATTGAAGTACTACTGTACTCCTAGCACAGTGCTTATTACTAGAGATAGCTCAATAAGTAAGATATGACCTGTACTCAAAAAAAGCTCACCCATCTATCACCTATCACCCGAAGTAAGAGACACTCACCATCTTAGTCCATTCAGGTTGCTATAAAAAAATACCACAGAGTAGATGGCTATAAAAAAACAGAAATTTCTTTCTCACAGTTCTGGAGGCTGGAAGTCTGAGATCAGGGTGTCAGCATGGTGAGGTTTTAGTGAAGGCCCTCTTTCAGGTTGGAAATTGCCAACTTCTCCTTGTATCCTCACCTGGAAGAAAGGATAAGGGGTCTCTCTGAAGTCTCTTTCATAAGGGCACTGATATGGTTTGGATTTATGTCCCTGTCCAAATCTCATGTCAAATTGTAAAAGGGGCCTGGTGGGAGGTGATTGGATCATGGGGGTGGATTTCACCATTGCTTTCTCATGATAATGAGTGAGTTCTCACAAAATCTGATGCTTTAAAAATGTGTGGCACTTTGCCCTTCTCTCTCTCTCCTGCTGTGACATGGTAAGACATGCTTGCTTCCCTGTCACCTTCCACCACAATTGTAAGTATCCTGAAGGCCTCTCAGTCCTGCTTCCTGTTAACCCTGTGGAACTGTGAGTCAAACCTCTTTTCTTCATAAATTACCCAGTCCCAAGTAGTTAAGTTCTTGAAAGCAGTGTGAGAATGGACTAAAACAGAAAATTGGTACCAAGAATGGTGTACTGCTATAAAGATACCTGAAAATGTGGAAGACATTTTGGAACTGGGTAATGGGCAGAAGTTTGAACAGTTTGGAGGGCTCAAAAGAAGACAGGAAGATGTGGGAAATTTTGGAACTTACCAGAGACTTGTTGAATGGTTTTAACCAAAATGCTGATAGTGAGATGGAAAATGATATCTAGGCTGAGGAGGTCTTAGATGGAGATGAGGAACTCACTGGGAACTAAGGTAAAGGTCAGTCTTGCTATGCTTTAGCAAAGAGACTGGAGGTATTATGTCCCTTCTGTAGGGATCTGTGGAACTTTGAACTTGAGAGAGATGATTAGGAAGAAATTTCTGGTGAAAGAAATTTCTAAGCAGCAAAGCATTTAAGATGTGACCTGGCTACTCCTAACAGCATGCACTCACATGCATTTACAAAGAGATGGTCTGAAATTGGAACTTATGTTTCAAAGAGGAGCAGAACATAAAATATGAAAAATATGCAGTCTGACCATGAGGTAGAAAATAAAAATGCATTCTCTGGGGACAAATTCAAGCCACCGACTGTAGAAATTTACATAAATAAAGAAAAGCCAAATGTTAGTCGCCAAGACAATGGGGAAAATGTCTCCAAGGCATTTCAGAGAGCTTCACGGCAGCTGTTCCCATCACAGGCCAGAGGCCTAGGAGGAAAAAAATGGTTTTGTGGGCTCTGCAAAGCCTTGGGACATGGCACCCTGCATCCCAGCAGCTGCAGCTCCAGCCATGGCTAAAAGAAGCCAAGGAACAGTTCAGGCCATTACTTCAAATAATGCAAGCCCCAAGACTTGGCAGTTTCCATGTAGTGTTTGGCCTGCAGGTGTGTAAAAGGCAAGAGTTGAGGTTTGGGAACCTCAGCCTAGATTTCAGAGGATGTATGGAAATGCCTGGATTTCCAGGCAGAAGTCTGCTGCAGAAGTGAAGGTCTCATGGAGAACCTCTGCTAGGTCAGTGTAGAGGGGAAATGTGAGGTTGGAGCCCCCACACAGAGTCTCCACTGGGGCACTCCCTAGTGAAGCTTTGAGAAGCAGGCCAACATCCTCCAGACCCCAGATTCACTGACAATTTACACTATGCACCTGGAAAAGCCACAGACACTCAACACCAGCCCATGAAACCAGCTACAGGGGCTGTACCCTGCAAAACCACAGGGATGGAGTTGCCCAATGTTATGGGAGCCCACCTCTTACATCAGCATGCCCTGGATGTGAGACATGGAGTCAAAGGAGATTATTTTGGAGCTTTAAGGTTTAATGACTGCCCTGCTGGGTTTCAGACTTGCATGGAGCCTGTGACCCCTTAGGTTTTGACCAATTTATCTCTTTTGTAACAGAAGGATTTACCCAATGCCTGTACCCCCATTGTACCCTGGAGGTAACTAACTTATTTTCACTTTTACAGGCCAATAGGTAGAAGGGACTTGCCTTGTCTCAAATGAGACTTTGGACTTGGACTTTTGAATTAATTCTGGAATGAGTTAAGACTTCGGGCGATTGTTGGAAAGGCATGATTGATTTTGAAACATGAGAATGACATGAGATTTGGGAGGGGCCAGGGGTGGGATGATACGGTTTAGGTTTGTGCCCCTACCCAAATTTTATGTCGAATTGGTAGAAGGCCCTGGTGAGAGGCGACTGCATCATGGGGGCAAATTTCCCCCCTTGCTGTTTTCATGATAGTGAGTTCTCACAAGACCCACAAGATCTGATGGCTTAAAAGTGTGTTGCATTTCCCCCTTTGCTGTCTCTCTCTCCTGCTCTACCATGATAAGACATGCTTGCTTCCCCTTCACCTTCTGCCATAACTGTACGTTTCCTGAGGCCTCCCAGTCATGCTTCCTGTTAACTCTGTGAAACTGTGGGTCAATTAAACCCTTTTTCTTCATAAATTATCCAGTCTTAGGTAGGTCTTTATAGCAGTGTGAGAACAGCACTAATCCCAATCATGAGGTCTCTTCCTTCATGACATAATCACCTCCCCAAAGCCCCTTCTCCTAATACCATCATTTGGGGGTCAGAATTTCAACATATAAATTTGTAAGGTGACACAAACATTCAGATCATAGCATTCACAAATAACAAAAAAATAAGATGAAAACTGTATCATGAAAAGAGGAAAAAATATTACAGGTGTCCTGACTTTTCACTGGGACTGCTTCATGGTTACAGTGCTACCTGAGACAATATTTGAAGGACAAATCAGGGTGTTATTCATAACTACTCAATTCAATTCCTCACACTGCAGGAGAATTCCACATCCCTGCCCCCTTAAATGCAGAGATTGCTATGTGACTTGGTTTGTACCCTGAATAGAAGTGGAAATGTTATGTGCTGTTTGCCTTGGCCCCCTTTCCTTTGCAGTTGAAACACCTGCAGATTTACAAACAGAGGTGCTCTATCAGACCACGTACCAGGGCAATGACCACTGAGACCTCTCCCTTTCCCCCATCTGGCTGCCTCCCTAAGACCCTGACAAGGCCATCAACCTAGGAAAAAATAAGGCTGCACATTGCAATCTTTCCTCATTTTCATCGCCCTCTCTGGTAGCCAATATTTGCTCATCTCATTTGCCATTTTCCTCCTCCTGTCAGGAGTGTCCTTGCCAAGCTCAGGCCTTGCCAAGCTCAGGCAACTCCAGACCCAACCTTCAGCCAAGAGAGCTTCCTGCTCACTGAATAGGAACAATAGTGAGGTCAAGATGGACCCATGACATTAGTAAAGAAATAACCCTTTGTTGTTATGAGACATTGAGTATTTTGGAGGTTGTTGATGACTATAGTACAACTTACCCTATCCTGGCTGGTACAGTAGGTTTTGAGTTTGTGGCAAGGAAGATACTGCACATAAATGGAGAGAATTCTGGAACTCTGAAAACATTATGAAAAGCAATAGTTCAACACTGTTCTCACTTAAAGCATATAAAAGGAAAGCATGAAGCCTGCTGCGTTTGAACCTATATTTTAAGAAAATCTGCAATTTCTTATACCCAGTGATATCTATTTCTAGCTCATGTAATTTTTTTCCTCAAATTTTCGTTGATTTCTCTACCTGCTTTGATTGCTTTTATTTAATCTCTCACACACAAAATGATTCAATATTATTCCCTCATTTCCAGGTCACATTTAAAGATTGGACTAAATCCAGCAAACTCTGATTTATGTGGCTCTGATAAACCATGACATTTCCCAAATGAGTCCATAAAAAATGCATAGATGATAGATTCTACTGATGTTCTGGGGGCATAATGATGATTTCTGCACTAAAGAAATACATAAATTCTGCCTTTAAATTGTCATTATGTACCTATGGCTTCTTGCTTTAAGAAGTAAGATGAATATTTTAAAAAGTGCTCTCTTCAAAATTTAGAAACTATGCTCTGACTGGATAAACCTGTGAACAAGTAACCAACCTTTCATAGCTACTTTCTCACCTTGTAATAAAAATACATAAATTTACAATTATTTTATAATGGCCTTATTGGAATTGAATGGCCACGTGTAACCTAAAGCCATCATTCACTTTTAATTTACAGTAAATCAAATGTGTCTTTCATTCATATAGACTGTTGCTAGCCACAAAGGGCTTTCACATAATCTCATTTAATTTAAAAACAACTCTGAATAGCATCATTAGACTCATTTTACAAATGAGGTTACTGAAGCTCAGAGAAAGTATAATTTTTCTATTAATAGCATTTATTATAAATTCTATGTCACAAAATTACGTATAACTAGAATTTAAACCTCAAAACCTAATTCCTTGTATTCCAGTAAGCTTGGTACACTCAATACTTTGCCCAAACTTCCCACATGCAGAGCCATAGGTACTATATTAAATGCTCCCTTCCTTCGACCTCTGCTTTCTGCTGGTCTATAAGCCTGTGCTTGCTCCTCTTCGCCTTGCTAACCCCAAGTGCAAAGCCTTCAGTGCTGACTCAATCAGTGCTTTGACATCTCAGAGCTTCTCCTTCATTGCCAAGCCCTAGCTTTTTATCCTTCTTGGGCAGTATCAAATCTCGCTCCTTCCTCACTGCTATCCCTTGGCTTCCCAAGTAACCTAGAGCCCCAAATGCCACACTTTCCCAATAATTCCCTATCCTTCCACTTTAGCATTTTATGCATTCTTTTTATGCATATGTGTACAAAAAAGACTCGTCAACAAAACTACTCCTTCTTATTGTTAGTACTTCAACATGTTTTTACATGAAAATAACCCATATTTTAAAGCCCAACCTAAACTAATAAAATGTTTTAATGTACATTCTTCCCATATAAACTACTGAGATTTGCTTTGGCTGTTTCTAGGTCACATACATATCACCAGTCACAGTGATTTGCCACAACCCACAAACACATTTCACTACCTATATTCTATAGAGAAGTCACCAGCTCAACAGCAAGCATCAACAGAGATCAAGAACTGTACACACCCCACAGAGCCAAAAATTATGCCACCATTCAGAAGCAACTTCCATAAGAGGATGTCAATAACCATTGCCTAACAGACATAATTCTCTTTAGAACAAGACATATCGTGTGCAGCATAGAGATCAAATGATTTGCTACAATTTTTGTGACACATTAGGAAAAAAAAAGATGATAAAGCAATTCATTTTTGCAAGCCAAGTAGCAGTAGTTGCTATCCCTGACTGTAATCTAGGGATTTGATAAGAAAAAGAATTGTAAAATGGTCGCAGTGTTTTCTAAGTCTGGTTGAAAAATATACTGAGATCACGTGGCAAAAACAAACCTAAAGCTTTCTCAATTCGTGAAGAACTACAAGGGCCAATGCCTCTTTTAATGTTAGAGAAACTTTTTTTAAAATCTTGGGTGAAAAGGTAAAATTTTAAGAGGGCAAAGACCATGCCTTGGACTTCTATCATATATTCTGTAGTGCCCAGCTCAAGCAGAGTGCTTAGGTCATCATGGTACAGTGAAACATTCCCAGACTGAAAGTTAAACAACACACCTGCTCCTCTAAGCCCTGCCATTGCTTTAGATACAATCTGTTACCTTCTCCCTGCCTCTGCCTCCTCATCTGTGACATGAGGGGAATAGCCTAGGTGACCTATAAGGTCCTTCTGTCTCTAACTCATTGGGCTCTCATGACTTCCTTCAATCTATGCTCAATGGTAGTAATAGGCTCATGCAACTAATTAATTTTCTGCTCCTCATCTTAAAACTCTAGGATTGGTAGAGCTATTTTGAGCAAATTTGCTAGTAAGATTTTCAGTAGGTCAAAGATATCTTTTCAAATGTAAAATGACTGAAAACGGCCTAGAACAGGATAGAAAATAAAAACAGCATCTTTGTTGGAGCCAGAGGGTAAAGCTGAGCTTAGGGAATTGCTCACGCAGAAAAGAATGAGCACAAATGAAGGTGAAACAAATTGAAAAGAAAAATAGAAGGGTTATTACTATGGGCCACCAGCTTTCTTTATCAAATCCTAACAAGCCTTTCAACCCTGATTCTCTCAGCCTCAGAAATGTTTACTGTGATGAATCCAGCAGCTCTACCTCATAACTAGGGGTCTGGGTTGGTTTCATGAATGTCCACTCGTCAGGATTCATCGCCTTTGAACAAAGAGCTAGTGGCTGTGGAGCATTTGGTTTTCTTGTCAATTTCTATTCTATTCTTCATTTCTAAGGAAAAGAAAAAAATAGTTTGGCCTGACAAAACAATGAAGTGATATGCATAGCCCTATTCTCCTCATAAATTCCCCTGAAGTTATTAATCCCAGTTGCCAATTATCTCAATTATCTTTCTATATTACTAACCCTTTTTTTTTTTTTTCTTTGAGATGCAATCTCGCTCTGTGGCCCAGGCTGGAGTACACTGGTGCCATCTCGGCTCACTGCAATCTCCACCTCCTGGGCTTCAGTGATTCTCCTACCTCAGCCTCCCAAGTAGCTGGGATTACAGGCATATACCACCATGCCCGGCTAATTTTTATATTTTTAGTAGAGACAGGGTTTTACCATGTTGGCCAGACTAGTCTCAAACTCCTGACCTCAAGTGATCTGCCCTCTTCGGCCTCCGAAAGTGCTGGGATTATAGGTGTAAGCCACCACGCCTGGCCTCTTACCAAACTATTAAGAATCCAAAATGTTTATTTATTCAGATATAAGATCCCACCAGCACCTAGGAAGTCTACTTTTCCTCCAATATTATTTTCTTCCAATGTCACTGCCATCCTCTCAGTGCCAAGACTTGAAGCCTTAGCATTATTACTAAATTTTCCCTTCTCTAGCCCCAAAACTTAGTCATTTGACCCATCCTCTTAGTTACACTTACAAAGTGTTTTTGAAATTCACTCTACTTCACCCACTTCTGCTATCACTTCCCTACTTATCCTATAATACATCTTGCCTAGATCATCAAAATGAATGTTTTTTTTTCTCCCTACTTGGTCTTAAATACAGCTTAAATGCTTCTTAAATACAGCTTAAATGCTTCTTAAATACAGCTACCTTCAAAATAATCTCCCCAAAGTACATGTCACAGCTCTGCTCAAAACTTAGACTTCTTCTTTACCTACAGAATAAAGTCTGAGTCGCCTTAGCCTAGCATTAATATGACCTTGGCCTATACTTCTAAAACATATTGTTCATTAATTACTGGTTTTAGGTTAATTAGCCATGATGGTTAATTTTATGTGTCAAGTTGGTGAGGCCATAGTATCCAGATATTTGGTCGAACAGTATTCTAGATGTTTCTGTGAAGGTATTTTCTATTGGGTATAACATACACTATTTGGGCAACAGGTACACTAAAAGCCCAGACATTGCCTCTATGCAATATATCCATGTAACACAACTGCACTTGTACTCCCCTAGATGTCTAAACATTTAAAAATTATTTTAAACATTTAAATCAACACACTCTGGGTAAAGCAGATTACCGTCCATGATGTGACTCAGCCTCAACCAATCAACTGAAGGCCTTAACAGAAAAAAGACTGATCTCCCCATGCAAAAAGGAACTCTGCCAGCAGACTGCCTTTGGATGCAAACCGCAACACCAGCTCTTCCCTAGTTCTTCAGCCTGTTAGCCTACTCGGCATATTTTGTACTTGCCAGCCATCGCAATGTGTGAGTCAATTCCTTAAAATAAATCACTTAAAATCTCTGTCTCTCACTAACCATTGTTTCTGGAAAACGATAATTAAAACATTACCATATTGCAAAAAAAGATTTGGTGGAAAAATACACTCAGGAAATTCTAGTTTGAAAAAAATAGAATATGCTTCTTTATTATCTGTGTTATAAAATTTAATTGTATTCTAATGTAAACTCTGAAGCACCAAATCATGCCAGTTTGCATCCCCAAAATACATAGGAAAAAAATGTTGTCAATGATAAGCTGGTTGCAGTTTAAACCAGCTGGGAAAAGAAGATGACAGAATACTCTTAGAACCACCACTTTATCCAGGTAACCACATTAAGAGAACTGCTTGGGTATGAATAGCCACCACCTCCAGGTGTAGCTCAGATGTGAGAGGTTTAGGCAAGTTAAATTATTCCACATGAGACATGAATTGGAAATGTGGAGTTGTATTTTGCTGTTGGAGACAGCGACTTGAAGACCTTCTAGATAAAGTGAAACTGACAGTCGCAAGAGATTCCACCAAGGTGGGAGGCAGCGGTCCAAAGAGAAACATGGCCAATGTAATTCTAGGTACCCCTATTCCCAAGCCTTTGGGGAAGAAAGACAGAAGAATTATCATCCCAGAGTTCTGACCTTGAAATAAGGCCTAAGAGTTTCTTACAATTTTTTAAATAAACTGAGCTGAAAAATGTTGAGTGACTTGTTTAAATGAACACAGCCAGGGGCAGATCTAGGAAGAGAACATAGGTCTTCTGACTCCTATGCCATGCTGAACGCAGAAAGCTGAGGATGCAGAGTCTAAACATGGAGGAAGAGGTGAAGGGGCAAGTGAAAAGAAAGACTGGAGATCAAAAAAGGATATAGATGGGGCAAAGCCCAGAGGAAGGAGTTACCTACAACGTGAAAAAATTCACTTTGGAAAGTGAAGGGGATACAGCACCTCTGAGAAAAGAGAGAAGGCACTTGGAGGTAGAAAGGAGAGTGGCATGAAAGAAATAGTTTGAGGTGGAGAGGAGGGAAGTTGAAGAAGCATGTTAAACTGTTTCTTCTTCTTAGGAAAGTGAAAAGCTGAGAGCGAGGGGGAGAATACTTCAGATTCAGGTAGCCTAACGTGAATCCAGCTCTACCACCGGCTGTAGGTGCAACTTAAGTCAAGTAACTTTCCTCTGCTGTACGCAGGTAAAGCATGACATGTTATAAGAAGTCAATTAAGGTGTATTATAGTTGGTGTTATAATGAAGCTCATCTCGCTGATTTATTGAACAATTTATGTAGTGCTTACTATGTGCCAAGCACTGTTCAATGAGCTCTACAAACATCCTACTGAATCATCATAGCAACTCTATCAACAGGTAGCATTATCAAATCTCACTTTACAAATGAGTTTGAGGCCAGAGAGGTTACATGTCTTCTTTAAGGTAACAGATGGTACATAAATCAGATAAACATGTAAATCACTAGATGTGCTGGAAGTCAAGCGTCTTTATCCTCAACTGAAGTCTAACCAAATTTAAGCAGTTAATTGTGTACTCACTAGCAAAAGAACTACAGATATTAAAAGCAAATTATAATCCTCAAACTTGATAGCTAAAATTCAAAATACAAGTAGACATCTTATATTTTTAGCATTCTGTAAACAGTAAACCTCTCATAATATTATCTGTTATTCAATTTTCAGCAGTTTATGTTTCTAGAAATTTACAACATATTAAAATAGAAGCCCCTCTTTATGGTAACACGTAAGACAATGAAGCCTTTATCTTAGGACAAGGTATATGCTCAAAACTTCTTCAAGATGTGACACCAAACTATGGTTTACCTATGTGTAAGTTTATACATGCTGGGACCTAAAGAGTTTTAGAACAATTTCAGAAAATATTAACATTTGCAATCATTATAATCCTATGTGTTTTGTCACTGTAAAGGTTACAAGCACTTTCACATACACATTATGCTATTATCATCAATTCTATGGTGAAGAACGGCCATGGGACATTGTGGGAAGGGCACAACTTTGGAACGAGGGAAATCTGGGTTTGATGCCTCCTCTCCCTGATAGTGGCCTGCTCCTTAATCCTGAGACACTTTTAAAATTATTTTTTAATTGACACAGTGTAATTATACATATGTACAAGGTACAATTTGATATTTTGGTACATGCCTGCATTGTATAATGATCCAGTCAGGGTCCTCAGTGTATCCATCATGCATTTATCATTTCTTCGTGGTGAGAATCTTCAAAAGCCTTTTTCTAGCTACTGCGTAACATGCAATAATACAGTATTTTACTATTAACCATAGTCACCCTACTATGCAATTGGACACCAAAATTTATTCTTCCTATCTAATTTTAACTGTATACCCATTGGCTAACCTCTTCTCATTCTTTCTTTGTCTTTTTCCCCTCCCAAGTCTCTAGTAACCACTGTCCTACTCTCTGCTTGTAAGGTAATTTTTTTTAGATCACTCATGTGAGTAAGATCATATCATATTTGAATTTCTGTGCCTGGCTTATTTCATTTAACATGATGTCCTCCAGACTCACCTATGATGTCTAGTATTTTTCTGCATGTGGATATCCAGTTTTCCCAGCACCATTTACTGAAGAGACTATCTTTTTCCCAATGTGTGTTCATGGAATCCTTATTCAAAATCAGTCAGCTATAAAAGTGTGGATTTATTTCTGAGCTCTCTATTCTGTTCCATTGGTCCATATGTCTGTTTTTATGCCAGTACCATGTTGCTTTGGTTACTATAGCTTTGTGGTATATTTTGAAGTCAAGTAGCATAATGGCTCCATCTTTCTTCTCTTTGCTCAAGATTGCCTTGGCTATTCAAGGTTTTTTCTGGTTCCATAAAATTTTGGGATTTTTTTCTTATTTCTATGAAGAGTGTTATTGGTATTTTGATAGGAATTGTATCTGTAGATTACTTTGGTTAGTATGGCCATTTTTAATATCAATTCTTCTAATCCACAAACATGAGTTATCTTTCCATTTATTTGTGTCCTCTTCAATTTATTTCATAAAAGTTTTGTAGTTTTCAGTGTAGAGATTTTTCACCTCCTTGGTTAAGTTTATTATCTTTTTGTATCTATAGTAACTACAATTTTTGTCTTGACTACTGGATATTTCACTCTTAGTGTGTAATAATATTACTGATTTTTCTATATTGATTTTGTGTACTGTACTTTACTGAATTTGTTAATTAGTTTTTAGTGGGATCATTAGGGTTTTCCATGTATATGATAATGTCATCTGCCAACAGGGACAACTTGATTTTCTCCTTTTCAATTTAGATGTCTTTTTTTTATCTCCTGCCTAAGTGCTCTGGCAAGTATTTCTAGTTTTATATTGAAGAGAAGTGGTGAAAGTGAACAGGATTCTCATATTACAGATCTTAGAAGAAAAGCTTTCAACTTTTTGCCATTCAGTATGGTGTTGTGGGTTTTGTCATATATGGCCTTTATTGTGTTGAAGTATGTTCCTTCTGAAATGAGAGAAGTTCCCCCTTTTCCACTTGCAGGGTGTTCAACAGGGATGTGGCTCTCTTCTTCAGTGCCCCACTGCTCAAACCCCTAGGGGGGACATGCAGACAGATAGTTGCAGAGGTCATGGGGAACGTTTTTGGGCTCCAACCCCAAGGCAGTGTGTAGGGGTATTTACAGCTCCTGAAGCCCGAGTTGGCATGTGTTATGGTGCACTCTTTCAGCTTTGCCATGTGCAGGCGGCTAGTGTTAATCACCTCAATTAGACCCTCTGCCTTATCGCAAGGACAGAGGGTTTTCTGTATCCTGGGTTCTTGCCCTAGTGTACTGGAAAAAATCGGATCACATATGGGCTTGGAGAATGAGTGCAAGATTTTATTGAGTGGTAGAAGTAGCTCTCAGCAAGTTGGATGGGGAGCTAGAAGGGGGATGGAATGGAAAGATTGTCTTCCCCTGGAGTCAGGACGACCAGCAGCCGGACTTTCCCCCGACTGGCCCCAGCTGAATTCCCCTCAGTGTTAGCGTTGTTCTGCCGTCACTGACCTGCCAGTGTCTGCTGGTGTCTGTCAGTGTGTTCTTCTGCTCCTCTCAACATTCAGCTGCCTGTGTCTGTGCCCGCTAGGGTCTCAGATTTTTATGGGTAAAGGATAGGGGGCATGGTGGGCCAAAAGGCAACTTTTGGGGCATGAAAACAGAGATGCCTGTCCTCATTTAGGTCCATATGCACAGGCCCAAGAATGGAGCCCTCCATAGGGATCCCGCACTTCTCTAACCAGCACTTCCCTCCCCTCCCTCCCATATCATTTCTATCTCCAATTGATATTGAATCTTTTTGATGAAGGAATATTGAACTGTACTGAATGTTTTTTTAGCATGTGTTGAAATAATCACATGATGTTTTTCTTCCTGATAACATGGTATATCACGTTTATTAGTTTGTGTATGTTAAACCATTCTTGCATCCCTGGGATGAATCCAACTTCATCATAGTGAATAATCTTTGCAGTGTGCTATTAGATTGTTAGTGTCTTATTGAGAATTTTTACATCTATGTTCATCAATAGTGTTGATACATAGTTTTCTTTTTGTGTCATATCCCTACTTGGTTTTGAAATCAGGGTAATGCTGGACTTGTAAAATCAGTTTGGAAGTATTCCCTCCTCTTTAATTTTCTGGAATAGTTTGAGTAAAATTGGTATTAGTTCTTCTTTAAATGTTTGGTAGAATTCAGCTGTGAAGCCATCAGGTTCTGGGCTATTCTTTGATCAAAGACTTTTTATTACTGATTGAATTTTCGCACTTGTGATTGACATGTTCAGATTCCTTTTTTTCATAATTTAATTTTGGTAAGTTGTATGTGTCCAGGAATTTTTCCATTTCTTCTATTTATCAACTTTTTGACATACAGTTGTTTAGAATAGTCTCTAATGATTCCTTATGTTTCTGTGGTATCAGGTGTAATGTCTCTTTTTTCATCTCTGATTTTATCATTTTTTCTTAAATATTTGTCAGTTTTATTTATCTTTTTAAAGAGCCAACTCTTTCTTGTTTTTTATTTGTTTATTTATTTTTAGTCTCTATTTCACTTATTTCTGTTCCAAGCTTCATGGTTTTCTTCCTTCTCTCAATTTTGGGTTTAGTCTATGCTTGTTTTTTAGTTCCTTGAAGCATATCATTAGGTCATTTATTAGAAATCTTTCTTTTTTGATGTAGGGTTTTATTGCATAATATTTCCTTTAGAACTGCTTTTGCTGTGTCCCATAGGTTTTGGTATAATATGCTTCCATTCTCATTTATCTCAAGGAAAGTTTTAATTTTCCTTTTACTTTCTTCATTGACTAATTGTTTGATTCATTGTTTGGGAGCATGTTGTTTAACTTTCATGTATTTGTACAAAGTTTCTGAAGTTTTCCTTGTTGACTTCAGTTTTATACCATTGTGGTTGGAAAAGATGTTTAATATGATCCCTATATTCCTAAATTTGTTAAGCCTTGTTTTGTGGTCTAACATATGATATATCCTGGATAAAGTCTCATGTGCAGTTTAAAAGAATATGTATTATTTAGCCATTGGACAGACTGTTCTGTTACCTTCTGTTAGGCCCATTTATGGAACAATTTAAGTTCAACATTTCTTTGGTTTTTCGGATGATCTACTCGATGTTGAAAGTGGTACGCTGAAATCCTCTATTGTCATATGGCAGACTATCTCTTCCTATAGGTCTCCTATTTGCTTTATATATATGCATGCTCTAGAGTTGAATGCGTATATAACTATTATATCCTTCTGTTCAATTGATACTGTTATTATTATATAATGATCTTCTTTGTCTCTTTTTATGGTAACTTAAAAGCTATTTTATCTGCGATAAGTTTGGCCACTCATGCTCACTTCTGGTTCCCACTTGCATAGAATGTGATTTTCTATCTGTTTACTTTCAGTCTATGTTTGTCTTTAACACTGGAGTGAGTCTCTTGTAGGCAGCATATAGTTGGTTTTTTAAAAAAATCCATTCAACCACTCTATATATTTTAAATGAGTAATTTAATCCATCAACATTCTAGGTTATTTCCAATAGTGACGGACTTATTCGTGTCATTTTGTTAAGGATTTTCTGGTTGTTTTATAGGTTCATTGTTCCTTTTCTCCTCCTTTGTCTTTTACCTCTGTGGTTTGGTAGTTTTCTGAGTTGCTAAGCTTAGTTTGTCATTTGTTCATCTACTGTAATTTCTTTTCTTTTTGATTACCATGGAGTTAACAGAAAAAGTATTGTAGTTATAATAAACTATTTTAAGCTGGTAGCAACTTAACTTTGGTGATATCAAAATACTCTAGACATTTTACCACCACCCCTTACAATTTATATTTTTGTGCCTTAATACTTACTTATATATTATGTGTTCCTTAGCCACTAATTGTAGCTGTTATGGTTTTTAGTCACTTTGACTGTAAGCTTCTACACTAGAGAACTGAGAGATGTACATAGCACCTTTACATAAATGGAGGATTCTGACCTGACAGAGATTTTGCCAGGCCCTTGCTGCTCTCCAGCACACTTCTGTAGTTGCTCTGTTCAAAATACAGTTACTTTTTGTTTTGGTCCCCTTTTGTGGGAGGGACAAACACCACATAACTCTAGTCATTCATCTTGCTAGGGTCTCTGGCAGTGCTCCTCAAAAACTTCTGAAAATTCTCTATGGTCAAATTTTCTCATCTCCAGAAATAAGAAATGTAACTTCACCAAGTTTTATACAATTAAAATAATGTGTGTAAAAATTTCCAGCACCATGCCTGGTTTATTTTTGGGAAAAGGGCAACCACAATCTATGGAAGCCAAGTTCCCCTTGCCTGTCTTATCCAACCCATTTTCTCTGTGTCTAGAAATTTAAAATATGGACTGAATCAATAAAAATGTGCCCAACCAAACACTCAGTGATGATAAAGCCATTGTTCACATTGTTCGTGTTCTTGTGAGGGAAATAATATTACAGTCTTAAAATTTTATTACTCATGGGAAAGAAAGTACATATTTCACACTGACTTTTCCTTATACTGTCTTGACCCCTCTAAACATCTACTTAAAATTGAGATCAAAATTCGGTTTTATTCATCAAGGCTATAGATTTGACATTTTATATGTCAAAGGCCACTGAAAATAGGCCCTCGCATCACCTCTGGGCTGCATAACCAGTACTATTTGGATAGCATCTCTAAAAATATTGAGGGCCATGCAATATCCTTGATTGAATCTTGGAACAGAAGAGGGACATCAGTGGAAAAACTGGTGAAGTATGAGTAAAGTCTGTAGTTTAGGTAATTGTAATGTATCACAGTTAATTTTACTTCTGACAAATGTACCAGGATTCTGCAAGATGATAAACTTAGGGGAAACTGGGTGAGAGATGTACAGGAACTCTCTGCACTATTTTTGTAACTTATGTGTGTCTAAAATTATTTCAAAATCAAAAGTTATTTTTTAAAAATCACTGAGGGGAACCAAGTTTCATATAGCTGAAGGAAGGATTTACATATATGTAAATGGGAAGAGCTAGAATGTAATCTATGGTGTTGCATTGGAAATGGAGGGAGAAGACTTTATTCAGGAACACCATGACTTGTTGATTTTAAGGTCAGATCCAGATCCTGAAAAATGACCTTGTAAGCCATAGTAGAAAGTTGGAACTTTGTCGTGAGACAACTGCTCAAAGGCTGTGATAGTTTCCCAGGTCTTTTGTCTCTACCAGCAAATCATGCAGTGCTGGGCATACTTCTAAGACCATCTGGGTCTTACCTGCAAATTAGGAATAAGTTGGCAAGAACCACCACACTACCAGACAGAATCCTCCATGATTGAAGGTGTAGGGAGACTCCAAGTGCTGTGCCTAGCAGGAACCACAATAATAACAAACTGGGAACATGATCTTACCAATTACACAGAGTGGAGTAATACACAGGGTGGAGTGCAAAGTATAGATCAAGTCCATCTGATCAGGGGTTTTCTAGTAATATGAATGAGAAATGTGTACCAGTGGGCCCTAGAAGGCATCTCATAGCTAAGGGGACAGGAGAAGGCTCTTAATGAGCTGTGCAGAGCTGAACAATGCATGAAAAATCCTCACCAGTGACTGAAGGTCACGAAGCTTGTTGGACAAGCCAAAATCTCAGACTGGGGAAACACAGAATACTTTAGACATGCAGGGACTCATGTTCTCAACCAGGGTCCTTAATCCATCAGAGAGGCTTTCATCCTAATCCAAACTCGCCCACCCAAAGTTATTACGTGAATTCAAAGATATTTCACCTCCCTGCACCTCAGGTTGCTTCTTTTTAAACAAGGGCATTAGGCTAGTTCATCCTTGAAGTCCCTTTTAACACTGATTCTCTGTAATTCATACTAGACAGGCACATTTGTAAGACCCTGAAAAGATGTGTCCATAATACTTACACTTGGAGATACCAGCCACTTTTTTAGCACTTTACTTGCCCTAATTTAATGTGCATATGACCCTATGTAACTGCTACTTTATTATCTCCATTTGATAGATAAGCAAGGCAGAGTGAGATTAAAGAACATTCCCAAAGTTACACTGCTAGTGAGTCAAGGAACCAAGATATGACCATCAGCAGACTCAAGATGGTGAAAAGCGCTCAGATTCAATGTAAATTTCAAAGGTGGTCTTAACTGGACTTGCTGTTGGAGTGGATATGGAGAATGAGAGAAAGGTAATACAGATGATGAACTCCACCTCCCCTTCTTGACCTTGCTCCTGCAAATATCTTTTTGGGACGATATGCCCCAAGGCAGCACATTCACAATGAGGAAGCAGCTGTTCTTTAACTTTTCCTTTGTGAGCAAGGCAGAATATATAATTCCTCATTTCCTTCTCCAAATAAAGTAAACATGTAGCAAAGGGCTAGGCATACCAACTGCCTACTTTAGCAGAGGACTCAGTTTCATCACAATGGGCATTTCCATCTGTGTAGAACTCAATATTTGCAAAGCTTGCCTGTGGCTGTCAGATTAGGGCCTGGCTTTCCCCTGATGTACAAATATGAAGCACATGTAAGAGAGGTATGTATCCTTTCAGCATTGAACAAGTCATACTAGAACATAAAACAGCCCTTACTCTTACAAAAGTGTCTTATTTGTTGCTTTTCAATATTCTAAAAAAAAAAAAAGATTAAAAATCTAGATGATGAGTCTTACTATAAAAAAATTTCTAAAGTCACCACTCTGTTCTTCTAAAAAGGCACAAAGCACATTATACACCCAGGGGTGATTTCCCAGAACTCTTAGATGTTGGGAGACAGTTGAATGAAAGTCCTTAAAACATATTAATGGCTCAGAGTCAGCATGGAGCAGGGATGGAAAAGAGGTTTCATTTTGTATGCCATCTCCAAAGCTTGGTAATAACTGCCTAGAAGCTCAACGATAAAGCGCAATGATCAATTAGTAGTATCTGCCAAGATGTAGAAAGAAAGAATGGATACATGCATGTCAAGTATATCCATCTATCTTCCAAAAGGAGTATTCTAACAACTAAAGCTGTTGAAATAGTGTGTGGGCCACCTTGTGATAGAGTTTCCTTATTGCTGGAAGTGGACATTCAAGGACGTTGTCTCATCGGTCATTGTTAGTACTTGCTGTGACCCCCCCAGTAGATACTAACAGTGGATATCACTGTGGGTTAGGAATATGGGGCGATTTTAATGATCTTCTTTATATCTTCATGCATGCCCTGCATTTTTACAATACAATTATGTTATTTTGTAATCAGAAAACAGTCATTTCTGTTTATTTAAAAATTAAGTATTTGGAGGATAAGAGGGCTCTTGAAATTAAGTCTGACTGGGAAAATATTAGGGGGGCAGCAACCTCCTTCAATTTTGAATATTTCTTTTAACAAATTATTCAGTAAAAAGGTTTCATCTCTAAGACTTTTCATGAAATGTCATCCCACACATAGTATATAGGATCTGAAAGTCAACTCTGCAAGAGACACAGACAGACAGACAACAAACTAGGAGACAGAAACAGAAAAGAGAACCAAAGTAGAATTCTTGCAGTGAAACTTTAAGAGAAGCATAAAAAGCCAAGAGATGGTGAGGTCAAACTTGATGACCATCCTATTTTGTCAGGAGAGTACAAAATAAGAAACCTGGACTCAGGCAGGTCTGAGACAGCATAACCTACACACAAAGAGGTCATGTGAGCAACACTTAAGAGACAGCTCCAGAGAGCTCCTTCCTGATGTGTGACCTTGCATAAGCCACTTAATTTTTTTTGTGCCTCTTTCCTTGTCTGCAAAATGGGACAATGATTGCATTTATCTCCAAGCGCTGCTCTGATGATTAAATGAGTTAACACAGGTAAAGAACTTAGAACAGTGCCTGGTACATAGCAAGTAGAATACATGCTTACTGCATTTTAGGTTTTTTATTTTACAAAAGAATTTGATAATTAACTATTCATCTATAACAAGTAGATTGACATAAGTGATATTCAAAGCTTTTCCCATCTCAAACATTAAAAATACTCTGTTTCTGTGGTCAGGGTGGGACCTATGAGACAGATATTAACAACTGTACCACAAAATAAGAAAGTCTTTGAATAAGGAAGCAGAAACATAGACTATACTTTGAAAACACCTAAGCTGCAAATTATATGCAGCAAAGCTAAATGAATTTATAAACATCTTATTGAAAGCCAAAAAACTTCTAGCAAGCAAGCAAGCAAGAATAGGAGGACTTGCACATTAACCATTATCACTAAATTAGGATATGTGAAGCAATATTGTTACTTCTTTTGTTTTTGAGACAGAGTCTCGCCTTATCACCCAGGCTGGAGTGCAATGGTGCAATCTCGGCTCACTGCAACCTCCGCCTCCTGGGTTCAGGTGATTCTCCTATCTCAGTCTCCCGAGTAGCCAGGATTACAGGCGCGCACCACCATGCTCAGCTAATTTTTTGTATTTTTAGTAGAGACGGTGTTTCACCATGGTGGCCAGCCTGGTCTTGAACTCCTGACCTCGTGATCCGCCTGCCTCGGACTTCCAAAGTGCTGGGATTACAGGCGTGAGCCACCACGCCTGGCCTGTTATTTCTTTTTAATTAGACTTCCGTCCCAACTGTTTTAATTAATGTATAAAACCATAATAACTGTTTTCATAAGTTTACTCATGACTTGGGCCTAGCCCTATTCTTCCCACAATTCCTTCAGTATTTCTAACCATCTTCTCCTACCAAAAAAAGATTATGAAAAGAACTTTCATGGATGGGGTAGACTGAAATAGATGTTGAAGTCAAAATTTAAGTAATAAAGTAATGTAGTTTTTAATCCTTTATTTTTATTTTTAAATTAATTTTAAACATCCATTTCAATTCTATAGTCAAAAGACTCACCAGCAATCTCTAGGGACATTATTAATGACACTCTTTTAACAGACTTAAAAAAGTCAGAAACTATACTAGAACTTCTTCCAATTTACTGTCGACCTTACATTCCTCTCCCTGATTCCAAATCCAGATTTGTTTCTACAAACAAAGGAACTCTGGGTTAACTGAATTACTGTCTGGTGATCTCAGCTCAAATCTTAGGTCCACTTTGATTAGCCACATGAATCCAAGCAAGTTCTCAAACTTTGCCGCACCCTTTCCTTTTAATAGAGTTTTCTGTATATTAAATATAAAACATATTAAAACCTAACACATGTGAAAATTATATCAGGTCATGTATATAAATAAGACCAAAGATGTTGGATAAATGAAATATTGCATCCCCCACACTCTCCCAAGAAAACCTGAACACACTCAGGCTGAAGAGTAATGAAAACACACTTTTATTAGAGTATGTGAAAGTTCAGGGGAAATAAAAGGTAGTCATAAATAAAGAAGACTAGTCTCACATCCTTCATTTAACTCACTTCTAAAACTGTAAGACTGGGGAATTAAAAAGTGTTTAAGAAATGACAAGAAATTAAAGAGACTATCTCTTTTCCCCTTCCCCCTCCCATGCTGGGGTCTCTTACTACATTTCTTCCACCACCCTCTACACCTATCTAGACACCCTCACATCCTTTCCTTTCCCTTCATTTTGGTCAGAAGTCTTCTGTTGCAGACCATTCATCTTTGGAGAGTTAAGAGGAGCCAGGGTTGAGGTCAGATGAGAGGAAGGAGGAAACTAGCTGATTGAAACCTTCCCCAGGCTGCAGAAAGAGAGGTAGAGAAGACCTGTGAGTCAGTGAGGGCTCAGTCAGACATTTCAAACAGAGCAGGATTAGTGCAGTGAAATAACTCATTACTACATTTTTGGAAGTGTAAATTAGACAGGCAAGGTGATCGACCCAGAAATCAGAAAACTGTGGGAAGCTACAGCTAAAGCACAGCTGTCTACATCCCCAAAGCTGGAGACACCACGGGGTCATAGAGCCCAGGAAGCTGCTGCCATCATTGCTGGTACCCTTGCTACACTGCCTCCACCACAGCCAGAGGAAGGATCCTCTCTTCCCTCCTTACTTCCAAACATCACACAAGTATCTCTCTCTGCCCTGCTGGCAAATGCAGTTCCCAGGATTACAACACAGTGATTGAGGAAAAAATCTAAAATGAACAGGCATTGTGTTAAAGGTCAAGAAACAACAGCTGGTACATCCCCATTTTTCATTATTTCACTGTAGTCATTTGTTTTGTTTTTTCTCTCTAGCTTAACCCAAAAGGATAATAAAGAAGTCTGAAAATCAAGGTAAAAAGTCTATGCCTTGGCTGGAGTGTCCCCTGTATCATGTATCTCAAGAGCCTAAACATGGTGGGCAAGGCACAAGAAGGCCTGGGACCTGCCCCAACACCATAGTTAAAACTTAACATCACATGACATTTTGGTCCCAATGGTGGAACAGTGAGGGAAGCTCACTGTAAATTGCATCACTTTTGAGGAAACAAAAGACTATACATTGCTTTGCCTTGATCACCTTTACATTCCTCACACCTATCATATAGTTCTAGGAACCTAGTAAATAAATGCACAGTGTTTCCTTATTAAACCTTCTTTTTTTTTTCTTTTTGAGATAAAGTCTCGCTCTTGTCCCCAGGCTGGAGTGCAATGGCGCGATCTCCGCTCACTGCAACCTCCGCCTCCTGGGTTCAAGCGATTCTCCTGCCTCAGTCTCCTGAGTAGCTGGGATTACAGGTGCGCGCCACCATGCCTGGCTAATGTTTGTGTTTTTAGTAGAGACAGGGTTTCTACTAAGCGTTTCTACTAAATGTTTCTACATGTTGGTCAGGCTGGTCTCGAACTCCTGACCTCAGGTGATTCGCCTGTCTCGGCCTCCCAAAATGCTGGGATTACAGGCGTGAGCCACTGCACCCGGCCTATTAAACCTTCTTAATCAGGATTATAGCCAAGTGGGACTTGGAAATAAGACTTGGTATCCCTGAACATAGTAATATATGAGTAAGCCCAGCATGATGTGGTCTCCAAGTTATAACATCATCTTGCCCTCTTCCATCTATTCCCCCATGGAGTGTCAGCATAATCCTTTAAAATAGGCTTCAGATCTCTCTCTGTCTAAGGTAAGAACCCTCTAACAGCCACACATCTTTCTCAGAGTCAGGTTCAGTGTCCTTCCAATGGCTCCTGTTATCTCTGATTCATCTATTTTTCCAGATGATCACATCTCTCTAATCCTATTGGCTCCTTACTATTCTTGGAACATGTTGCAATGGCTTTTTAAAAATATACCAACTGGCGAGACTACAGTCCCCGATTATTCAATCAAACTCTATTCTAGGTGTTGCTGTGAAGGTATTTTGCACATGTAATTGAAGTTCCTAATTGTTTGACCTTAAGTAAGAGAGATTATCCTGCATAATCTGGTGGCCTAAATTAATCAGATAGGATTTAAGAGCAGGGCTATGGCTTCCTCCAGTAAGAAGAAATTCCACCTGTAGACAACAGCCTTGGCCTGTGTCCTTGGACTTAAAGCCTGTTCATACTATTTTCTTCCTGACTGCCTGCCCTATACATTTCTGACTTGCTTAGCCAGCCCCCTTCATCACCTGAATACATTCCTCATCACTGACCTCAGTGCATGTGTACTTCACTGGCTGAACCCTCACTTAGCACACATGCCAAGTATTCTCCCACCTCAGAAACATTTACACTTCTCTCTTCCTGAAAACCCTCTGATAGGTTTGGATGTTTTGTCCTCTCCAAATCTCATGTTGAAATGTGACCTCCAAGGTTGGAGGTGGGCCTAGAGGGAGGTGTTTGGGCCATGGGGGCAGAGCCTTCATGAATGGCTTGGTGCTGTCCTTGCAGTAGTGAGTGAGTTATTACTCTATGAGTTCACACGTGATCTGGTTGTTTAAAAGAACCTGCCAAGTCCCCACTCTCTCTCTCTTTCCATGTAACACATCAGCTCCTGCTTCACCTTCCACCATGATTGTAAGCTTCCTGGGGCCTCAGCAGAAGCAGATGCTGGCACCACACTTCCTGTGCAGCCTACAGAAATGTGAGCCAAAATCAATGTCTTCCCTTTATTCATATCCAGTCTCAGACAATCTCTTATAAGAGTGAAAACTAAATACATCCTCTTTCTCTAGATTGATGCACGGGTCACTTCCTCACCTCCTTCAGATATTTGCTCAAAGGCCACATTCTCAGAGACACCCTCTCAAGCCACTCTTAAAACTGCAGCTTCTACACCTTGATATTTCCTATCTCCGTTCAGCTCTATTTTTCTTAACAGCACCATGTAACACAGTCTATGCTTTATCAGCTGTCTTCCCCTGATAGAATCCAAGCTGCACAAGGATAGAGATTTTTGTCTCTTATAGTCATTGGTATTTGTAGTACCTGACATATAGCAGTTGCTCAGCAAATATTTAATAAATAAATGAACAAATACAACTATGAATTAGTTCAGTTGATAGAAATGGTCCTCTGCCTTCATGGTCCAGTTAACACTTCAACTCCTCTGTTGGGACCAAAACCCAGCCCTAAACTCTAGCTGCCTTGGTTGGAAACTTAAGACTAACATTTGTCAGCAAGCCACCCAAAACATGTCTGCTAATTCTCATACCCAAAATACAGGTTTGGTTCTTTCTCGAGCAGGAAGACAGTCCACAACACCACCACCAACACTTCTGCCACTGGTGAGCTCACAGACCTACTGGGCCTTCCTCATAAAAACATCTGACCAAGTATGTTTTCTATTCACTGGATTGTCTTGGGCCAAGGTTGCTATGCTAGAATCAGATATGTTTATCTTCTCCCGATCATAGTATGCTATAGTTACTTCTTCCTTCTCACTGAGCTCTCTGAGAAGTCAAATTTCTCAGTTTTAGACCAACTACTAAACAACTTATATTTTTAGGAGTTTAAGATTGTTTTATGTATCTAGAAATAAACAAACACTATTTCTTGGATGACTCAGCCTTTGAATTTGGTTTTTAAATTTTTAAGTCAAGTCTAGTTAGGTTTTGTTCCCATTCATAGTGAGAATATGGGGTGGAAAATGAAATTTACTTTACATCCTGTGGTTAGATAACGTTCAGTAGGGGCTGATAGCTAATCCAGTATTGACACCTGAAGTTGTGAACAAAACCTCTCCTAGAAAACCTAGAAGGCCGGGCGTGGTGGCTCACACCTGTGTTCCCAGCACTTTAGGAGGCTGAGGCAGGCAGATCACTTAAGCTCAGGAGTTTAAGACCAGCCTGGGCAACATGAAAAAACCCTGTCTCTATAAAAAATACAAAAATTAGCCAGCTGTGGTAGAGAGTGCCTGTAGTCCTGGATGCTTAGGAAGCTGAGGCAAAATAATTACTTCAGCCTGGGAGGCAGAAGTTTCAGTGAGCGGAGATCACACTACTGCATTCCAGCCTCGGTGAGAGAGTGAGACCCTGTCTAAAAAAGAGAGAGAGAAGAAAAAAGAAAGCCTTGAAATAATTTATCCTCTTTATTGACTACTATACAAAGGAAAAGCCAAGCAGTTAAATGTAGTACCTAAAAGGTACCTCACAGCCACTAAATCTGAAAATAATACAAAGTGCTTCTACATCTCTCTGGAACTCCTTTTTACTGAAGAGTTCTTTCAAAGTAGAACAATTCATCAATTTCACTCACTAATAGAAAGACATTTAATTAGTCCTTAGAAACAGGTGGATAATGTATAATTGTTAATTCTCTTTATGTCTTATTCCCACATATTCTATTTTATATGTGCTAATAGGTATTAATAGGAATTCTACAGCTTTGAAAATGAGTTGAAATATCCATATTAGTTTCCAGCTCCACTGGTGGAATGAGGAATATGGTCATGTCAATAAACACACATTGGGGTAGGTAAAGATCTCTTAAACATATTCCAGAACATGAATAATGGAAAATATTGATGTATTTTATGACATCAAAATTGAAAATTTTGGAATTCACTATCAACGAAGTTAAAACTGAAGTGATAGATTGGGTGAAAGCATGTGTAACACAGATAATAGAAAACCGTTTCTCAGGAATGCATTTCTAAAACTCCATGAATGTTTTTAAAAGATAAACAAATAGAAAAATGAATGCAAAATGAGAACAGGAAATTCACAGAACAGCTCAAATGATAAACATGTAAAACTATGCTCAATATCACAGTATTTAGGCAAATGTAACATTAGTAAAATGGCCCTAGTTTTGTCCATCAGTCTCACCAAAATTCAAAAGCTTGATAATACTAAGTTTGACAAAGGTGTTAAGAAATAAGTATCCTCATTATTTGAGGAAGTATAAATGGGAACACTTTAGAAAGCAATTTATCAGTATCTATTGGCATTTTTAATGTATATTCTTTTTGACCTAGAAATTCCACTTCTTGGTATCTATATACTCGCATGTGTTTGCAAAGAGACTTTAATTTCTGTATTCTTGGAATGGCTAAAGAAAAATATACATAGGGGAATAGTTAAATAAATGATAATATACACATTCTGTGTACTCATAACAATGGAGCATGAAAAAGCAGATCTAGAACACAGAGTTAAAAACACAGTATGTAGTGGTCCTATTTGGATTTAAATACATACAACAAACCTCAGCTTTTCTGTGTTTTCAAATGAATATAGAAAAGATACCAATGACACTGATTACAGTGGCTTGTTCTAAAAACAAAAAAACACTCAGATTGAAGCGGCCTAGGAGGGACAGTTTCTAAAAAATGAATGTTCATTTTATTTATTCCTGCTGAAATTCTCACAGTGACAGATCAGTCATATTACTTTTATAATTAAAATTTGTTGCCAAAAACTAGAGAAAATATTTAAAAAGCAAACTCTTTCCACCTTGACTGGATATAAAAAGGTATTTAATTGATTCTCCTATTTCCTCAGTACCTTACTAACTCCTGTTCAACAGTCTAGCTCATGTGTAATGTAATTTATAAAGCCTGTCTTGACTGATCCCTAATCATATATATTCTGCTCCCAATTCTGTATTTATTCCTCTAATATGGTTTTTTAACTCATTGTTTTATATAAAAATTGATTTACCCCTAATTTGAATGGCCCCTAAAACAATAAGCCTTTCAAGAACAAGAAATCTGCATCTATGGTCTCTAACATGGGGACCAGCTAATGACTGAAGGAGTGAATGAATGAAATCACACTTTCTATAGCTCCTCTTCACTTAAATTTAATTACAAGCAGCCCTTGTCTTCCTAGATGCCGAACAAGATTTTTGACTCAAGTCTTGCTCCTCTTGTCTGTCAAACTTAACCTTTTAAACTCTGTTTAGACCCCCAGTCCTGGGTAGGTCCTATTTGTACTCTTACCCTCTCCTTCAGCACATCCTTCACTCTCTTACTTGATCCTGGAGGAATGAGAGAGTATTGTATGATGGCGTTAGAGAGTCACTAAGGAAATCGTTGAAGACAACAGCTAAGTCAAACAAATCTTTGAATCTCCCACATCTATTGCAGCGTCTGTCACTTGGTAACTGCATGGTGAATGAGTGAGCGAGCGAATGAATGAATAAAAAATAGCTCAGGTCAAGTACACACAGCCCCAAAGTCATGAGACGTACCACTTTCTCAAGGAGGTCCTCCCTGATCCTCAACCTAGAGGAACACCCAACAACCCAAAACTTATATTCTGCAAATAAGAGCTAACAATTCTTTTGCACTAGTAATATAAATGTCACAAATTGCACAAAGTGAAATAAATTTAAGTTGTAGAGACATCACCTAACCCTTCCTGAAAAACTATTACCTTCATTTCATGTACAATTTGAGCAGAACAACGTAATAAATTTTATGGATTCCAGAGTCAGACACCTTTGAGTTTGAATCTTTCATTTACTGATTGTACCACTTTATTTGAAGAGTCTATTTACTCTTTATGCCTTCTTTTTTATCATCTGAATGAAATGTAAATTCAAGCACCTTTCTCAAGGACTGTTGTGGGTCAGTGCAGACAAAGTATATAGCACAGTATCTGGCACCTGTTCAAGTGAAACCTGCTATTTTTTCTGTTACTTGGTTTTCTGTTTCACAACAGAATAAAAGCAGAAAATTAGAAGGAAGGGGTGTAAACACGTAAGAGAAATCAGTGACCAAGGATAGAGAAGAAATTGTTACAATTAATCTGGGGCTGCTCTGTATAGCTCCACAAATTTAACAGTCCCGAAGTGCTGAGAGCTACAGCACAGGACAGCACTGCCGTCAGCATTAACATCCAAAAGAAAACAACTAGCATTCTGCTTACACTGTTTGAAAAAGCAGGAAGGTATGTGTGACAATACATTTTTAAATTTGTATTTGAGTGACTATTATAATTCCTTCTCTTAGGAAGAGATATGTTGAGGAAATGTGTACATTGTTCCAATAAGGATACGTTAGTTGCTAGAGGTCATGGGTTTCTGCTGGGCTCTGGACTACAGAGTCATGTAAGACAAAAACAAAACCTACTCTTTTCAACAGAAAGAGAAAGTTGTTCCTGATTGGGAGGTGACACAAATGGGGAGTGATGGAAGGGAGAAGGCAGAAAAGTGAGCAAGATTGTGGACCAAGATTATGCAAAGAACTCCTGAGATTCTCCCAATCTTCAATAAAGTCTACAAAAATCAAATACGTTATGTAGCTGAATGTCCTCTGAAACTGGCAAGGCTTTACTTTCTAAAATTGGAAGATGCAAAAGCTGGGATTTTTAGAAATAGTGGCAAGACCCTGCTTTGCTCAGCTATATAAATTGTGAAGGGACTAAAATTTCAATGAAAACACAAGAATAGAGTATCACTCCCCATAAACATAATTTGAGATAACCTACATAATAAAGTTGTCAAAGATCTCCATCAAAAAATGATTCAAATTCCTTTCAAAAGCTCTTGGAAAATTAGCCAGGCAGGGTGGCATGTGCCTAGCTACTCAGGAGGCTGAGATGGGAGGATCACTTGAGGCCAGGAATTTGAGACTGCAGGCAGCTATGATCACACCGTTGCACTCCAGCCTGGGCTACAGCACATACCTGTCTCTTTCTAAAAAAAAAAAAAAAAAAAATTTAAAGATAGACTAACTTTTTCAGAATAATTTCCATGTTGCCAGGACATAGTAAAAAATACTACTAACTCCTTCTGAGCATGATTTTCACCACAAAGGAGTGGCAGTCTCTGGATATAATGTTCCTTTCCCAAGACGTGGCTTTGTTCTCACATCCTAGCTCACACTGGGAACACAGCTGTGCGTGTGAAAAGGGCTTCGCATTTCCTAAGTTCCGTGAAGATCAAGGCTTGTCTGTGTGTTCCCTTTCACATTGACTGTGAAAGTGAGCAACACGCATGCCCTGAAAGTCAGTAACACTAAGAGGAATGGACTCTAGGATATGAGGACATGTGTCTCTGCCTCAGGCTCCTTTTAATAGCTTCTTTCCAGAAAGAACCTCTCAAGCCATTGCAGGTCACTTTGTTTCCAGGCTGCTCTAGGGGTCAATACCACAGAAAAAAAAAAAAAAGAAGCCAATTTCCTAAGTCATGTTCCAGCCACCTTTGCCTCTCTATCCTCTGCCCCTAGTGGTTCAGATTGTCTCCATCTATGAGTGAGGTCGAGACTCCAGCAGCTGAGCCCCTTTTCTGGGCATGGAGTTACCTGAGACCCACAGGCCACACTGAAGCAGCAGAAGCTGTTGCTGTCCACGTCAGCACTCCAACTGCTGCCTCCTCCCAAAAGCACCTAAACACAGGCTGAGAGCTCTGTGTTCTGGGAGAGGGGAGCAGCAGGAGTTTCTCCAGTCTTCATGACTTCTCTTGCTCCCTTGACAAAGGCCAACTGAACAAACATTTATTGAGCACTTACTATACATAAGGTACTTTGCCACGCATTTAGCATATTATCTTATGAAATCCTCACAACAAATCTGAGTAGGGGTTTTGCTCCCATGTTAGAGGAAAGTCTGTCCTTTACAAGCCCTTCAACACTGCAGAAAAGAATTCCCAACTGACAGTGGTTTGAAGATTTTTGATGTAATAGTTAAAGCACAGGCTCTTAAGACAGTATGCATGTTTTCAAATTCTTTTTCCACTTAGTACATGTAACCTTGGGCAATTTACTTAAAACACTTTATGCTTCAGCTTCCTTGGTTTTATATTGGTAAAGAATAGTACTGTCATCCTAGGACTGGTGTGAGGATAAAATAGGTTAACACCTGTAAAGATTGGGGCCTGATTAGTACAAGTGTGAGGTGAGGGATGACCGTACTAGGTTTACTGCTTCTGTGATGTCAGTGAGGACTAAGAGTTTCCCTTTATTTCATGCTTCACATTTTAAGAAGGAAGAAAGCCTTCCTCAGACCATAGAGAAGCTGACAAAGCAAATACCAACATTCTCAGACTCTAGTAAAGTAAAAGCTCAATGAGTGCAAAGAATGACTGTTTTTTAGACCAGTAACAAAGTAAGGAAACTGATTTTCAGAACTGTTAAGCTGCTTAAGGTTGCACAACTTATTCCATGGCAGAGCTGGAATGTGAAAAACAAATCTGATACCTCTGCTAAGATGCCACTTCCCAGATGGCTTCATGCAGGTTATATTTGTTTGCTATGACTGTTGCAACAAAGTACGACAAACTGGCTGGAGCTTAAACTGCAGAAAGTTATTGTCTCAGTTCTTCAAGCTACATGTCCAAGTTCAAGGTGTCAGCAGGTTTAGTTCCTTCTAAGGGCTGTGAGGGAAGGATCTATCTCGTATCTTTCCTTTCTGATGGTTTGCTGGCAATCCCTGGCATTCCGTGGCTTGTAAAAGCATTACCCCAATCTCTGCCTTCATCTTACATGGCATTCTCCGTGTGTGTGTGTGTGTGTGTGTGTGTGTGTGTGTGTGTGTGTGTGTCCATGTCCCCCTATTTCCCTTTTATTATGACTAGAGTCGACTCTAATGACATCATTTTAACTTAATTACTTTTGTAAAGACTGTCTCCAAATAAAGTCACATTCCGAAGTACCAAGAGTTAGGACTTCAACATAAAAATTTTGGCGGGGGACACAATTCAACCCATAACACAGGTGCAACCATTTTACATAAAGACCAAGAATCCACTGGTGTAATGTACATACAGTCTTGGCAGAAAAAAACAAAAAAACTAGGGGATAAGGGTGTGACATTGTTCTAGTTATCCAATTGTAAAAGAATGAACATAAAAAGGCTGATTGAGACAAAATCATTCCCAAACACACTACAGGGGAAAAGTACACATTAATTGAGGTCAAAAATAGGTATTCCTTCAACCTGACTGGTAACTATTTTGAGGAGGAGAAAAAATGCTTTTTGTTCCTTTGCATCTTCCTTGTCTCCAAAAAGGCATAATGCATTATTCAGAAAGCAGTTATGCTTTGCTTGATGGAAGTACTTTT
The DNA here is from genome assembly GCF_000001405.40 of Homo sapiens. Classification (NCBI taxonomy): domain Eukaryota; kingdom Metazoa; phylum Chordata; class Mammalia; order Primates; family Hominidae; genus Homo; species Homo sapiens. Next base: position 54,842,961 of record NC_000015.10, read on the forward strand.
AACTGAAACCTTCAGGGAAAGAAAACACGAGATACAAAATATTCTCTTCCTTCTTACTTTTATAAGGGAATAGGTCAAAATGTAAGGATTCTAAAATTTAGCCCACTAAGGACAGAAGCTTTGTTCTTAAATTAACTCTTATTTTGGGTTCCTCTTCCTACTAAGCAAAGGCATGTCATTGGTCACTAGCAGATGAGGAAAGAACTGAAAGGGCCACAGTTGGAAAAATCAATTTCCATGTTTCTCAATGCTGAGATGACTGTAGCAGCTAATATTAGAGAAGTGAAATAAGTCAGTCATAGAAAGACAAGCACTACATGATTCCTCTTGCATGAGGCACCTCAATTAGTCAAAAGTACATAGGTAGACAATAAAATGGTGATTCATAGGGAATGCAGAGAAGATGATATAGAGTATTGTTGAATGTATATAAAGTTAGTTATATGAGACGAGTAATTTCCAGTGATCTGCTGTACAACATAGTGCCTACGGTTAACAATAAGGTATTGCACATCTAAAATTTTGTTAAAAGGGTAGATCTCATGTTAAGTATTCTCACCACCACAAAAAAAAGGGGAGGAAGACACAAGGAAACCCTTGAAGGTAATGGATATGTTTATTGCCTGAATATGGTGATGATAACATTAATATAGGCATCTGTTCAAGCTCAAATTATATACATGAATTATACGCAGGCTTTTGTATATCAACTATTCCTCAATAAAGATAGGAAAATTAGTATGAAATAAGCAGTTACTGTGTGCTAGGCACTATGCTAAGCAAAGCAAGACACTTTGCATGGGTTATTTCACGTATTGTTCACACAATTTAATGAGAAAGGAATTATTTCCATTCCCATGTTATAGGTAAAGAGGGTAAAACATAGAAAGATTGTTCAAACTAATTACTTACTCTTCAGTGGCAGAGCCAAGGGTTTGAACCCAGGTCTGCTTGACTTCAGAGCTCACACTCTTAAAAGAACAAGCTTCACACTCTTGAAAAGAACAAGCTGTCATCTGGACTAAATACCAAATTCTAATTTTGCTACTGGTTCTGAAACTCTGGGAAATCTTTTGGCTATAAAAGCTACATAAAACCTGTCTACCTCAACATAGGGAAAAGCTGCCATTTTCCCTCAGACCTCTTGCCTTTGGATCAAAATCATTTTACTGTACACGTCCTTTGTCTTAGTATGAGAAGTAATTGATTTTCGTTCCCACACCACCACGTAAAGACTCGCTGTCAAAGTAAGAGTTTTTCCTGAGATGCATGCCTTCAATGGTAGCCCCTCTTATATTCATCTTAGATTTTCCTCACCAGTTATGTCTCAGCTCATAAAAGAAACTCAATCACCATCTGCATCCAGCCTCCTTTGTGCTATTTTCGGCTTAGGATGCTTTCACATTCAGGTATTTTATTCACCTAGGGGGCACCCTTATATGTGATGTCAGCTTAGTTGTTTTCCATATTATGAGCCCATTTTCCCAAACATGACCTACTAAATGATCTGTTCTTTCCCCCACAGATTTGTGGTGTCACCATATGTACATGCATCTGTCTTGGAGTTTTCTACAAATTCAATGGTGCATTTCCCTGTTTTTGCCCCAATATCATATCCGTTTTACTACCATGACCTTGTAATACATCTTAATATCTGGTAAGGCAAGTACACCTTCTTTCTTCTTTTTTTTTAATCATTTACCTAATATGTGAAGGAAAAATTAACTCAACTTATGTTTTTCTTCTGTCCTTACGCCACAACAATCAACACAAAAGATTTCTGGGACTAAACGTATGAAGATTTCTCTCCACACACCAAGCAAGCAATCAGTTCTTCAGATGACACCTGCTGTATGTCCTCCAACTCAATCCAGTTCTAACACTGTCTACCTGGAGATATCCTCAGACAGCACAGGGCAAGGGCTCAGTCTTACAAGACTGCCCCCTCCCTCCTAGCAGTCACAGGTCTGGGCCTCTGAAAATTCTGACTAACTGGCTACAAGTTGGGCTTTCCACAATCCCCACTTTGGGTTCAATTAAATTGCTACAGTGGCTCACAAAACTCAGGAAAATTTATCTACATGTATCATTATAAAGGGTATCGCAAAAAATACAGACGAAGCCATGCATAGAGTGAAGCACATGAAAAGGGATGTGGAACTTCCATGCCCACCCCAGGCTCACCCTCCAAGAACCTCAGGTGTTCAGCTATCTGGAAGCTTTTAGGATCTTGTCCTCTTGGGCTTTCTATAGCTATGGACTTCGTTTGATAGGCATGATTGACAACCATGCATAAATGTGGCTGGACAAAAAGGATATGAAACATTAACAGACCAGTGGGGAAACCCAACAAGGCCTGTCTGTTCAGGTTCTTCTTGACCTCTCTGTGCACCATTCCTTCCTTGAAGGTATGGAAACAGCCTCTTCTGAAATGGGGATCTTACAAGCAGACAAGTTAGGCCAGAGAATTTCTTTACGGCCAGCTTCAAGACAAAGGCTAGGGAAGATTCCCGCCTTGGGGAGAGAAAAGAGCAGGAAAAGGAGGCGGGAGAAGGTCAGAGAGACAGACTGTTTTCTGAGCCCTGCTTCTGAGGACTAAAGCACTCCAACATTATAATAAAAGATACTAACAAGGGCTATGGGAGTTACCAGCCAGGAACTGTGGATAACAACATATATATTTTACACCTAGCCATTTGTGGACCATTATTTCTCCATAGAATTTTGAATAGACTTTGTAGCTTATTCTCTTTCTGTATGCTGGAGCAACTTTATGAACTAACAATTGACCTTGAAGCTATGCTAAAAGTCATTTAGAAAACCATCCTGGGCGCTGCAGCTCATGCCTATAATTCCAGCACTTTGGGAGGCCAAGGTGGACAATCACCCGAGGCCTGGAGTTCAAGACCAGCCTGGCCAACATGGCAAAACTCCATCTCTACTAAAAATACAAAAAATTAGCCAGGCCTGGTGGCAGGTGCCTGTAATCCCAGGTACTAGGGAGGCTGAGGCAGGAGAATTGCCTGAACCTGGGAGGAAGAGGTTGCAGTGAGCTGAGATTGCACCATTGCACTTCAGCCTGGGCAACAAGAGTGAAACTCCGTCTCAAAATAAAAAAAGAAAAGAAAAAGAGAGAAAGAGAAAGAGAAAAAGAAATCCATGATGGCTAGGTGTTTATGGTGTGGGAGGTTCTAACTATCTAATTTCTTCAATATTTATTGGTAAAAGTTCTGTATTTTCTCTTGCACGTATTATAGAATATGTGTTTTTCTGGAGCTTATCACTTTTATTTAATTCTTCAAAATCATTGCAACTCTGACTTGATATTTTTATCTTTTTTCTTCAAATTCTTTTGTTTACATTGCATAGTTTTTTCATGTTCCATTTTGACAGATGTCTACCTATAATATTCATTCTTTCAAGGAATTAGCTTTTGGGTATCTTAATCTTCTCTCTGGCTTAGTGTTATTCCTGTTCTCTAATTCACATATTTCTTCTAGTCTTTATTTTCATCTTTCCTATTTCTTTCAGTTTGTTTTGTTTCTTTCTTCTAACATAACATTGAATGACTAGCTCATGTTATCATATATTAAATATCATTAATGTTTATATGAATATTATTAATTCTAAGTAATAATTTCCATTCATTATTTCCCCTTAAACTCAAGGTTATTCTGTAAAATTTTATTTTAAAACATATGGGCTTGTTAAACTCTTTGAAAAGTGATTTCTCATTGTATTGCATTATAATCACAAAACCCTCTGTATTATATAGATCCAGTGAAATCAAATGAAGCTTTTATTTTTATTTATTTTTTTTTTTTGGAGATGGAGTCTCACTCTGTCGCCCAGGCTAGAGTGCAGTGGTGTGATCTTGGCTCAGTGCAACCTCTGCCTTCCGGGTTCAAGCGATTTTTCTGCCTCAGCCTCATGAGTAGCTGGGATTACAGGCACCCGCCACCATGCCTGGCTAATTTTTGTATTTTTAGTAGAGACAGGGTTTCACCATACTGGCCAGGCTGGTCTCAAACCCCTGACCTTCTGATCCACCTGCTTCAGCCTCCCGAAGTGCTACAATTACATGTGTGAGCCACCGCACCTGGCCAGAATTAAACGAAGCTTTCTTAGGTGGCTATTTTATTGTCTATTTTTGTAACTGTTCTGTATAGGCTCTACTGCAGTAACTTCTAACTGTTCCTCCTACACACACGCTGGTCAAAAACTAGTCTGTCTCCAGAGTGCAGAGTTTTAACGTTTATACAAAACAGAGTTCTTAACACAGAGATCTGTACTAAAATCACCACTTCCTCAATCCTACCTGTCCTCTGCCTGTCTAAAACTCTTCATTGGCCTCTCACTGTTTCTAGGATAAAGACAACGTGGCTCGAAACCTGTGCCCTTCTCTGCAGCCTTATCTCCCCACCATGCCCACTTCATGCCTGATACTCCAGCTACAACACATTTTAAGTTCCACTGCACGAGACTCTTTCCATGAGGTCTACGTTTTCCTGAGGATATATATGATTTAGCCACTCATAATTATGATAGTTGACACACAATAAACCATGATTGATGATGTGGGAAAGTAAGTGCATGCCTCAAAGTTTAACAACAAAAAAAGATGACCCTGGTTTCATAGAAATAATGTCCTAAAGGAAGTTTAGTGGCCCTCTAAAAAAATCCAGGGTAAGAGCTTTCTGGAGAAGAAGGAAAGTAGTGAACAAAACACGCAGTATGTCTGATTAAACAGAAGGATTAAAACTGTTGTGTCATCCATGATGCCCAGAAAACTTTGTTATTGTCAAATTGACTCCTGAAGTTCTGTTTTCTGCCATAACTTCCTTTCTTTACCCTAGAGAGGTTATACAAACATCATGGCCTAATATTTATAAACATGTCCCCTTGTTGGTGACTCTGATCTCAACAGCAACAAACAAAAATCAGTGAAGGCCTCCTTCAAGCTCTTAGAATGTCTATTCGTAAAGAAACCGTAGAAGAATTTGGCTTTTCCTACCCAAACAGAACCAGCTGGGATGAACAGAGTGTAGTGAACTATTATCACCAAAGCAATGTGCTTTTCCTTTCTGTGCCCACAACCACCACACACACACACATACACACACACACACACACACACACACCCATCAATATTCCCCAAAGCATAGTGATTTGTATAAAGATAAACATTGCCAGGCAGTGACTTCTCTGAAGGAATGTGAAGGAGGAAAAGCTGGGCCTTGTCACAATACATTTCACATTGTGCCTCTAACCTTTAATGTCAAAAGTCACATAATAATCAAGGAATAGTAAATTTCTTTAAAAAAAAAAGCCATCTTCCTTATAAATCCAATTAAAATAACTCAACTCTGAGTTCTAGAACTAGAGGATATTGACAGCAAAAGCTCACTTGCAGGTGGTTCTTTCTCCTCCCCATCCCCCTTATATGGAGTCTTCTTCCCTAGGCTGTATTACTAAGAGTCATACACTCATCTCATCTGACCCTCTACAGAGTTGTTAGGCCTTTGGTCCTGCATGTTATCTGTTCAAAATGTGAAAGCCTCACATTTCTTTTATTTCTAAAAATGTCTATAGTGCCTCAAAGCTTCTTTGTTCATGTACACAATTTCTAAGCTATTAAGGGACCCAAGGAAAAAAAAACCATAATCTAGGCAACCCCAGGCACATCAAGATTGAACAGAAGAAAGGTGTCATTTCCTGACCCCATGTATCTGCTTTTGGAAAGGTTCAATCACTTAACTTTAGCATGGTATTTAGGTCTCTGCTATTATTGAGGGTCAGATAAAAGATGAGAGTCAGGAAGTCAAACCTTGATGTAAAATTAATGGAAACTGACTAAGTCAAGAGGGTATATTTGGTGGGAAAATCTTGTAGCAAGAAACCAGGCAGCTGCCCAGGAGCTGGATGAGAGAGTGGAAGGAACACTGAAGTAGAAGTCTAAAAACTTGGGTTCAATCCCAACCCAGCCAAGAACAAGCCCATGTGACTTTGCAAAGATCATATGACTTCTCTGAAAGTCACTTTCTTTATTTTTAAAGTGGGAATAATAGCATTTACCTTGACAGTTACTATATGGATGAAATAAGATTATTGATGTAAAAACTCCAAGCATATAATAAACACCCAGTATATGTTTGGGAATCTGAAACTATCCTCCTAGTGAGCCCCCAGGTTTCACACACAGGTCAAATACCTAGTCATCCAACTCTGTGGTATCAGAACCTGGCATCAGGGCAATGTGTCAGGCCTCCTAAAGAATCTCTCTGCAGGCCATACTTTCTCAATCTGATAAGCCTCACAAGTGTTTTTCATAAATATGCCATTCCCAAACTAGGTGACAACCAGATTCTTCACTCCTTTGTAGCATTTACAAGACTTAGAATAATACTAGGAGCACAAGTTGTATTTTGATACACATAAGAAATATATAAAAATATTTAAGGGAAAATTAACAGAACCTTGTTACTCAATATATTGAGCTAACAATAGTGGTGAAATATTCAAGCCAATCAAATTTTTTGCCTCTTAGTCATGAACTCCTTGCCAAGTACAGTTCACGTGTTCAAGTAAATAGCACACTTTTCTAGCTAACTGGGAAATAAAGTATTTCTTAAAAAGTAAAAGAGATCTTTTCTGCCTGGAATTAGCTATCTAAAATAATATTAATAAAAACAAATAGGTATGTTGTACTAAACAGAGGTATTAATAAATGTAGTACATTCTACATTTTTATAAATTGAATCCTCTTTTTTCTAAGAATTTATCTGAGACATCATGGAAGTCCCTTTTTTTTTTTTTTTTTTTTTTGAGACTGAGTCTCACTCTGTTGCACAGGCTGGAGTGCAGTGGTGCGATCTCAGCTCACTGCAAGCTCCACCTCCCGGGTTCATGCCATTCCCCTGCCTCAGCCTCCTGAGTAGCTGGGACTAGAGGCACCTGCCACCACGCCTGGCTAATTTTTTTGTATTTTTAATAGAGACGGGGTTTCACTGTGTTAGCCAGGATGGTCTTGATCTCCTGACCTCGTGATCTGCCCGCCTCAGCCTCCCAAAGTGCTGGGATAATAGGCGTGAGCCACCGTGCCCAGCTGGAAGTCACTTTTTAAAAAACAATCAGATTTCCAGTTATAAAATACAGATTTCCTTTCAGAAATTCCAAATCAAGTAATTCAACTAACACAAACGATAACATAATACAACACCAAGTAAACATCAAACAACAAAAGGTATGAATAAGCTTCCAAAAAAACCTAAGGTCAAATGAGTATGGAAAAAGATACTGAGATGACATCTCAGGCTACAGTCTCAAAGCTGGCAGAGTTCATGTCCTCAAATAGGCGGCACACCCAAAAGGCAAAGCCAACAATATCTGGAGTTTAACAATAGGGAAGGAATGCAGACAACCTTCTCTAAATCAACTTTAACATTAAAGAAAAGCAAGGCTGAATTGAGATAAAAAAAAAGGAGACGGACCCTTGCCAGACCCTACAGCTTCGCATTCTTGATGGCTAGAGAGAAATAAAGGCCAAAAGAACTCCTTTCACACACACCAGTGTATTATGGGAAACTTTTGGCAAGTATAAAATATAACCTAGGTTCTTTCCCAGTCTGAACCACCTGCAAATACATGGTCTGGAAATAACTCACCAAATTCAAAGATGACAAATAAAACGAAACCAGGCCCAGAACTATACAAGCATGTTATTATTATTTTTTTAATGTTAAGGGAAAAGAATCAAAAGATCAATGGTGGAGGTGGCAGGCAAGATGGCTGAATATGAACAGCTCTGGTCTACAGCTCCCAGCAAGATCAACTCAGAAGGTGGGTGATTTCTGCATTTCCAACTGAGATACCCACCTCATCTCATTGGGACGGGTTAGACAGTAGGTGCAGCCCATGGAGGGCAAGCCGAAGCAGGGTGGGGCGTCGCCTCACATGGGAAGTGCAAGGGGTCAGGGAACTCCCTCCCCCAGCCAAGGGAAGACATGAGGGACTGTGCCATGAGAAATGGTGCATTCTGATCCAAATATTACACTTTTCCCACGGTCTTCGTAACCCGCAGACCAGGAGATTCCCTCGGGTGCGTATACCACCAGGGCCCTGGGTTTCAAGCACAAAACTGGGTGGCTGTTTGAGCAGACACTGAGCTTGCTGCAGGGGTTTTTTTTTCACACCCCAGTGGTAGTTGGAATGCCAGCCAATCAGAACTGTTTACTCCCCTGGAAAGGGGGCTGAAGCCAGGGAGCCAAGTGGTCTATCTCAGCAGATCTCACCCCCATGGAGCCCAGCAAACTAAGATCCACTGGCTTGAAATTCTCGCTGCCAGCACAGCAGTCTGAAGTTGACCTGCGACGCTCAAGCTTGGTGGGGGACACCCCGTGTCCGCCATTACAGAGGCTTGAGTAGGCAGTTCTCCCCTCACAGTGTAAACAAAGCCATGGGGAAATTGAAACTGGGAAGAGCACACTGAAGCTCAGCAAAGCCACTGTAGCCAGACTGCCTCTTTAGATTCCTCCTCTCTGGGCAGGGCATCTCTGAAAGAAAGGCAGCAGCCCCAGTCAGTGACTTATAGATAAAACTTCCATCTCCCTGGGACAGAGCACCTTGGGGAAGGCATGGCTGTGGGCACAGCTTCAAAAGACTTAAACGTTCCTGCCTGCCAGATCTGAAGACAGCAGCAGATCTGTCAGCATAGCACTTGAGCTCTGCTAAGGGACAGACTGCCTCCTCAAGTGGGTCCCTGACCCCCATGCCTCCTGACTGGGAGACACCTCCCAGCAGGGGTCCACAGAAAGCTCATACAGGCATCTCTGGCTACCATCTGTCAGGTGTGCCTCTGGGAGGAAGCTTCCAGAGGAAGGAACAGGCAGCAATCTTTGCTGTTCTGCAGCCTCTGCTGGTGATACCCAGGCAAAAAGGGTCTGGAGTGGACCTCCAGCAAACTCCAACAGACCTGCAGCAGAGGGGCCTGTTAGCAGTAAAACTAACAAACAGAAAGGAATAGCATCAACATCAACAAAAAGGATGTCCACACAGAAATCCCATCTGAAAGTCACCAACATCAAAGACCAAAGGTAGATAAATCCATGAAGATGAGGAAAAAACAGCACAAAAAGGCTGGAAATTCTGAAAACAAGAACGTGTCTTCTCCTCCAAAGGATCACAGCTCCTTGCCAGCAACAGAGCAAAACTGAATGGAGAAGGAGTTTGATAAAATGACAGAAGTAGGCTTCTGAAGGTGGGTAATAACAAACTCATCCAAGCTAAAGGTGCATGTTCTAACCCAATACAAGGAAGCTAGGAACCCAGAAAAAGGGCTAAAGGAATTGGTAACAACAATAAACAGCTTAGAGAAGAACATAAATGACCTGGTGGAGCTGAAAAACACAGCACAAGAACTTCCTGAAGCATATGCAAGTATCAATAGCCAAAGCAATCAAGTAGAAGAAAGGATATCAGAGGCTGAAGATCAACTTAATGAAATAAAGTATGAAGACAAGATTAAAGAAAAAAGAATGAAAAAGAATGAACAAAGCCTCCAAGAAATATGGGACTATGTGAAAAGACCAAACCTACATTTGATTTGTGTACCTGAATGTTACGGGGAGAATGGAACCAAGTTGGAAAACACACTTTGGGATACTATCCAGAAGAACTTCCCCAACCTAGCAAGACAGGCCAACATTCAAATTCAGGAAATACAGAGACCACCAAAAAGATACTCCTTGAGCAACCCCAAGACACCTAATCGTCAGATTCACCAAGGATGAAATGAAGGAAAAACGTTAAGAGCAGCCAGAGAGAAAGGTCGGGTTACCCACAAAGGGAAGTCCATCATACTAACAGCGGATCTCTCTGCAGAAACCCTGCGAGCCAGAAGAGAATGAGAGCCAATATTCAACATTCTTAAAAGAATTTTCAATCCAGAATGTCATATCCAGCCAAACTAAGTTTCATAAGCAAAGGAGAAATAAAATCCTTTACAGACAAGCAAATGCTGAGAGATTTTGTCACCAAAAGGCCTGCCTTACAAGAGCTCCTGAAGGAGGCACTAAATATGGAAAGGAAAAACCAGTACCAGCCACTGCAAAAACATACCAACTTCTAAGGAACATCAACGCTATGAAGAAACTGCATCAACCAATGGGCAAAATAACCAGCAAACATCATAATCACAGGATCAAATTCACACATAACAAAGTTAATTTTAAATGTAAACAGGCTAAATGCCCCAATTAAAAGACACAGACTGGCAAACTGGATAAAGAGTCAAGACCCATCGGTGTGCTGTATTCAGGAGACCAATCTCATGTGCAAAGACATACGTAGGCTCAAAATAAAGGAAGGGAAGAATATTTACCAAGTGAATGGAAAGCAAAAAAAAGAAGTGGTTGCAATCCTACTCTCTGATAAAACAGACTTTGAACCAACAAAGATCAAAAAAGACAAAGAAGGGCATTACATAATGGTAAAGGGACCAATGCAACAAGAAGAGCTCACTCTCCTAAATATATATGCACCCAGTACAGGAGCACCCAGATTCATAAAGCAAGTTCTTAGAGACCTACAAAGAGACTTAGACTACCACACAACAATAGTGGGAGATTTTAATACCCCACTGTCAATGTTAATCAACAAGACAGAAAATTAACAAGGATATCCACGACTTGAACTCAGCTCTGGACCAAGCGGACCTAATAGACAGCTACAGAACTCTCCACCCCAAATCAACAGAATGTACATTCTTCATTCTTCTCAGCATCACATCGCACTTATTCTAAAACGGACATCGCACTTATTCTAAAATTGACCACATAATTGGAAGTAAAACACTCCTCAGCAAATGAAAAAGAATGGAAATCCTAACAAATAGTCACTTAAACCACAGCGCAATCAAATTAGAACTCAGGATTAAGAAACTCACTCAAAACCGTACATCTACATGGAAAGTGAACAACCTGCTCCTGAATGACTACTGGGTACACAACAAAATTAAGGCAGAAATAAGTAAGTTCTTCGAAATCAGTGAGAACAAAGACACAACATACCAGAATCTCTAGGACACAGCTAAAGCAGCGTTTAAAGGGAAATTTACAGCAGTAAATGCCCACAGGAGAAAGCAGGAAAGATCTAAAATTGACACCCTAATATCACAATTAAAAGAACTAGAAAAGCAAGAGCAAACACATTCAAAAGCTAGCAGAAGGCAAGAAATAACTAAAATCAGAGCAGAACTGAAGGAGATGGAGACATGAAAAAATCCTTCAAAATATCAATGAATCCAGGAGCTGGTTTTTCAAAAAGGTTAACAAAATAGATAGACTGCTAGCCAGACTAATAAAGAACAAAAGAGAGAAGAATCAAATAGACAAAATAAAAAATGATAAAGGGGATATTACCATTGATCCCTCAGAAATACAAACTATGATCAGAGAATACTATAAACGCCTCTATGCAAATAAACTAGAAAATCTAGAAGAAATGGATAAATTCCTGACACATACACCCTCCCAAGACTAAACCAGGAAGAGGTTGAATCCCTGAATAGGCCAATAACAAGTTCTGAAATTGAGGCAGTAATTAACAGCCTACCAACCAAAAAAAGCCCAGGACCAGATGGATTCACAGCTAAATTCTACCAGAGATACAAAGAGGAGCTGGTACCATTCCTTCTGAAACTATTCCAAACAATAGAAGAAGAGGGACTCCTCCACAACTCATTTTATGAGGTCAGCATCATCCAGATACCAAAACCTGGCAAAGACAAAACAAAAAAAGAAAATTTCATGCCAATGTCCCTGATGAACATCAGTGCAAAAATCCTCAATAAAATACTAGCAAATCAAATCCAGCACCACATCAAAAAGCCTATCCACCATGATGATGTCATCTTCATTCCTGCGATGCAAAGCTAGTTCAACTTAATAAACATAATCACCACACAAACATAAACATCATCAATAAACAAATCAATAAACATAATCCATCACACAGACAGAATCTATGAAAAAAACACATGATTATCTCAATAGATGCAGAAAAGGCCTTCAGTAAAATTCAACAGCCCTTCATGCTAAAAACTCTCAATAAACTAGGTATTGATGGAATGTATCTCAAAATAATAAGAGCTATTTATGACCAACACACAGCCAATATCAAACTGAATGGGCAAAAGCTGAAGCATTCCCTTCAAAAACCAGAACAAGGATGCCCTCTCTCACCACCCCTATTCAACATAGTATTGGAAGTTCTGGCCAGGACAATCAGGCAAGAGAAAGAAATAAACGGTATTCAAATAGGAAGAGAGGAAGTCAAATTGTCTCTGTTTGCAGATGACATGATTCTATACTTATAAAACCCCATCATCTCAGCCAAAAATCTCCTTAAGCTGATAAGCAACTTCAGCAAAGTCTCAGGATACAGAATCTATGTGCAAAAATAACAAGCACTCCTACACACCAATAATAGACAAACAGAGAGTCAAATCATGAGGGAACTCCCATTCACAATTGCTAAAAAGAGAATAAAACACCTAGGAATACAACTTACAAGGGATGTGAAGGACCTCTTCAAGGAGAACTAAAAACCACTGCTCAAGGAAATAAGAGAGGACACAAACAAATGGAAGAACATTCCATGCTCATGGATAGGAAAAATCAATATTGTGAAAATGACCATACTGCCCAAAGTAATTTATAGATTCAATGCTATCCCCATCAAGCTACCATTGACTTTCTTCATAGAATTAGAAAAAACTACTTTAACTTTCATGTGGAACCAAAAAAGAGCCACATAGCCAAGACAATCCTAAGTAAAAACAACAAATTTGGAGGCATTATGTTACCTGACTTCAAACTATACTACAAGGCTACAGTAGACAAAACAGCATGTACTGGTACCAGCCAGGAGCGGTGGCTCACGCCTGTAATCCCAGCACTTTGGGAGGCCGAGGCAGGCCGATCACGCGGTCAGGAGTTCGAAACCAGCCTGACCATCATGGTGAAACGCCGTCTCTACTAAAAATACAAAAATTAGCTGGGCATGGTGGTGTGTTCCTGTAATCCCAGCTACTCGGGAGGCTGAGGCAGGAGAATCACTTGAACTCAGGAGGCGGAGGTTGCAGTGAGCCGAGATCACACTACTGCACTCCAGCCTAGGTAACAGAGTGAGACTCCATCTCAAAAAAAAAAAAAAAATTAAATAAAAATAAATAAATGAAACAGCATGTACTGGTACCAAAACGGATACATAGACCAATGAAACAGAAAAGAGCCCTCAGAAATAATGCCACACATCTACAACCATCTGATCTTTGACAAACCTGAAAAAAACAAGCCATGGGGAAAGGATTTCCTTTTTAATAAATGGTGTTGGGAAAACTGGCTAGCCATATGCAGAAAACAGAAACTGGACCCCTTCCTTATACCTTATGCAGAAATTAACTCAAGATGGATTAAAGACTTAAATGTAAGACCCAAAACCATAAAAACCCTAGAAGAAAACCTAGGCAATACCATTCAGGACATAGGCATGGGCAAAGACTTCATTACTAAAACACTAAAAGCAATGGCAACAAAAGCCAAAATTGACAAATCGTATCTAATTAAACTAAAGAGCTTCTGCACAACAAAAGAAACTATCATCAGAGTGAATAGGCAACAGACAGAATGGGAGAAAATTTTTGCAATCTATCCATCTGACACTGGGTTAATATGCAGAATCTACAAGGAACTTAAACAAATTTACAAGAAAAAAAATAACCCCATCAAAAAGTGGGTGAAGGATATGAACAGACACCTCTCAAAAGAAGACAATTATGTGGCCAACAGACATATGAAAAAAAGCTCATCATCACAGGTCATTCGAGTAATGCAAATCAAAACCACAATGAGATACCATCTCATGCCAGTTAGAATGGTGATCATTAAAAACTCAGGAAACAACAGATGCTAGAGAGGATGTGGACAAATAAGAACACTTTTACACCGTTGGTGGGAGTGTAAATTAGTTCAACGATTGTGGAAGACAGTGTGGCGATTCCTCAAGGATCGAGAACTAGAAATACCATTTGACCCAGCCATCCCATTACTGCGTATATACCAAAAGGATTATAAATCATGCTGCTATAAAGACACATGCACACGTATGTTTATTGCAGCACTGTTCACAATAGCACAGACTTGGAACCAACCCAAATGCCCATTAATGATAGAATAGATAAAGAAAATGTGGCACATATACACCATGGAATACTATGCAGCCATAAATAATGAGTTCATGTCCTTTGCAGAGACATGGGTGAAGGTGGAAACCATCATTCTCAGCAAACTAATACAGGAACAGAAAACCAAACACCCCATGTTCTCACGCATAAGTGGGAGTTGAACAATGAGAACACATGGACATGGGGAGGGGAACATCACAGACAGGGGCCTGTTGGGGGTTGTGGGGGTAGGGGAGGGATAGCATTAGGAGAAATACCTAATTTAGATGACAGGCTGGTGGGTGCAGCAAACCACCATGGCACGTGTATACCTATGTAACAAACCTGCATGTTCTGCACATGTATCCCAGAACTTAAATTATATTTAAAATAAAAGGTGAATTGTAGGAAAAAAAGACAAAAATATTGCTATCAAGACAATAAAAATCATCAACAAACATAGCAACTGAATTAAAAAATATTGAAGCAAGTACCTCCTTAAAAATACCTCACAACATAGATGATTAACTGCTACGGAGTTATGTCAAAGACAAAAGCAAAAGAAAAAACACATGCTTAGTTCAAACTAATGTGGGAAAGAAAACTAAAACCACCACAGAGATGAAAACGACATTGAAAAAGACACAAGGCAGGGTCGATACTGCTAAAAACAATACCAGAGAATTGAGAAAAACAAGCAAAATAAAATGACCAAAAAAATAAAATAAAATAAATCCAAAGAGTTAAAAATGATAGAAGACAGTCAACATAAAAGCAAATGAGATTCAATGCCTAACTTTCGTCCCTGAAGAACAGAACTGCAATCATAGGTCAGGAAAAATAGACCATGATCTATTCATCTATAATGAGTAGACGGATTGATGTGTGCATGTATAAGGGACTGTGTACCTCAAACTATCTGTGGTGAAGTGCTACACTTTACTTTTTCAGTCCATTTCAGGCTGACACTTTTATTTCAAGTAACAATGATGATGACGATGATGACACAGTGATGTTAAGTAACTATAAAACTTTCTAAACGCTTACTCTTGTTTTGTGCATTTATCTTAGGAACATCTCAGCACTGGTCTATGAACAACACTAAGATGATCTGATTTACACAGACCTGAGTAAATTGTCCACATTGCAGTACAGAGAGATAAAGATAGAAAATATAAAGGATGATAGTGAACAGAACGAGAAAGACTTCCACTAAACTGAGTTCCTAAAGGAGAGAATATGGTGAAGAGGGAATATTTGAAGACATACTACCTGAAAATTTTTCAAGAATTAATGAAACATGAATTTTCTGATATGAATCACAAATCTAAAGCAAATGAATAACAAGAAACCTACACCTAGCTGCATTTCAGTGAAAAATGCACAATACCAAAGACAAAAAGAATACCATAAAACCATGCAGATTTTTTAAAAAGATATTTGAACAGTAAGAAAACACCATGATTAAAAAATGGGCCAAAGACCTGAACAGACACTTCACTAAAGGTATACTGATGACGAATACATATGTGAAAAGATGTACTATATCATATGCCATCAGGGAAATTCAAATTTTGTAAAAAATGAGATACCATTACACACCTACTAGAATGGCCAAAATCCAGAATTATGACAACAAATGCTGGTGAGCATGTGAAGCAACAAGGACTCTCTTTCATTGGTAGTGGAGATGTAAAATGGTGTAGCCACTGTGGAAGACAGTACAGTGGTTTCTTATAAAACTAAATATACTTGATCATCGTGGATGACATCAGCAAGATGGCAGAATAAAAGATCCTCATGCATCACTCTTCCCACAAAAGTAAAAATAGAAATTATTCAAGGACAATAACATTACCCTTAATTTACCAGAACTTGACAGAGAAACAGAGAAACCCTTGGGCCCACCAAATTGGAAGAAGGAACCATCATTTTAGACTATACCACACCTCGTCCTCCTCCAAGCCAGCATAATGTCACTCTCAGAGAATTTCCCTAGACCCATGGTTGCCAAAATGGGAAGAGAGAATTGGAGGTGGACGTTCAAGCTCCACACCAGTCTTGGAATCTTTGCAGGAAGCTCACTTCAGTCCCATCCCATAGGAACCACTGAAAGTGCCAGGATGGCTGAATTGCAGACAAAAAAAAAATGGGGGCACGGATTGCAGTGACCAGCACATGGATCTTAATGGCTGATCTGTTTTCTGATCAGGAAGGATGCCATGCTGAGGAGACTGGCCAGCACTGCATGGGAAATGATGTGTAGGAAGGCCTGGATCCCTGGCCAGATTTCTCACAAAGCCCAGGTATTTTCATGGAGCTGTTTCCTGACCCAGAACTAACTAAAAGATTGCTGATTAAGTCCCAGGACTTGCTTAACTCTTTCCCAGACCTGGAAACAATGGCAGGGAAGCAATTTAGTTCCAGTGCAGCCTTTAAGTTCTGAGGTTCACAATAAGTCTTCCTCAGACTAGGAAACAAGGAAAGGGCAGCAATTTTTTTCTGGTGCAGCTGCAGGTTTTAAGCTTTGGCACTCATTATAAGCCTTCCCCACAGTAGCAAGCAATAACAGTTAAGTAATTAAGCTCTAATATTAAGTAAGTAGCAAAGACTTGATATCACTAAAGAACACCTGCAAAAGTTGGAAGACATGGCTGTCTCCTCAAAAGTGCAGATGTCAATGTAAAGACACAAGGATTATGAACTTTCAGGGAAATATGACACCACCAAAAGAAACCAACAAAGCTCCAGTAATGGACCTGGAAAAACTGGAGCTCTATGAAGTATTTCCCAAATAATTCAGAATAATACTCTTAAAGAAGTTCAGGAAATCACAAGAAAATACAGATTGAAAACTAAATAAAATTTAAAAAACAATCCAGAAACAAAATTCAAAGGTTGACAAAGAAATACAATTTTTTTAAAGCAAACCAAAATTCTAGAAATAAAGCATGCAATAACTGATCTGAAAAACTCATTAGAAAGCTTCAACAGCAGACTTGATCAGACAAAGGAAATAATCAGTGAGCTCAAAGACAGAACATATGACATTATCCAATCAGATGAACAAAAGAAAAAAGAACAAAGGAAAATGAAGAAGGCCTACAAGATTATGGGATACCATCAAGCAAACTAACCTCCATATAATAGGAGTTCCCAAAGAAGACAGTGAAGAAAGGCCTGGAAAGAGTAATTTTAAATTACTGGTTGAACATTTCCCCAGTCCGTAGGAAAATGACAGCATCCAGATACAGAAAGCATAGAGGTCACCAGTAAAATTCAACCAAAAGAGAAAATCTCCAGGGCACATCATAATCAAATTAACAAAAATCAGACAAAGTAGCAAGAAAAAGAAACATATCACATTCGACAAAATCCAATATGGCTTTATGTGGATTTCTCAGCAGAAACCCTACAGTCATAAGAGAATGAAATGATATATTTAAAGTGCTTTGAGAGGGAAAAAATGCCAGGCAAGATATTACACTGAGCACAGGGATTCTTCAAACATGAAGGAGAGATAAAAGCTAAGGTAATTCATCAGCAGCAGGTCTGTCTTACAAGAAATGCTAAAGAGGTTTATTCAATTAACAAAAGTAGGCTAAAATATAACAAGAAAATATCTGAAGGTATAAAACTCACTGTATAAAAGACTACAGACAAATTCAGAATACTCTAATATTATAATTATGGTATGTAAACCATTTATACCATAACTAGGAAGACTAAAAGACAAAACTATTAAAGACAATAATAACTACAATAATTGGTTAATAGATAGGAAATACAAAAAGATGTAAATTGAAACATCAAAAAGTCAAACAGTGGTGGAGGAAATGGTGTTAAAGTGTAGAGTTTGTTTTTTATACTTTTCTTTGCAATTGAAGTGGAGTTGTTATTAGTTTAAAATAACGTAAGATATATTTTATAAGTCTCATAGTAACTAACCATAAAGCAAAAGCCTATAATACATACACTAAAAATGAATAGCACAGAATCAAAACATACTACCAGAAAAACATCACTTACGCACAAATTAAGAGTAAGAGAAGAAAAAAGAAAAAAAGAGATCTACAAAACAACCAGAAAACAAGTAGCAAAATGGCAATACTGAACACTTATCTATAAATAACCTTAAATGTGAATCATTTAAATTATCTATTTAAAAGACAGAAAGTAGGACAACAGATGAAAAAGCCCCAATTATATACTGTCTACAAGAAACTCACTTAACCTATAAAGAAACACACAGACTGAAAGTGAAAAGATGGAAAAAGATATTCCAGGTAAATGGAAACCAAAAAAGAGAAGTAGCTATAATCAGATAAAATAGACTTTAAGTATTTAAAAAAAAAAAGGCAAAAAGGCCACCATATATTGATTGAAGGGTCATTATAGCAAGAGAATATGACAATTATAAATACGCATGCACCAAACAGTGGGGACTCAATCACATAAAGTAAATTTTAATAGACCTAAAGAGAAACACTGAGTATCATACAATACTAGTAGGGGACTTCAACACTCCACTTTCAGCAATAGACAAATAATTCAGAGAGAAAATCAACAAAAACTGCACTCTAAATCAAATGGACTTAACATTTACAGAACATTGTACCCAATAGCTACAGAATATACAGTTTTCTCAACAGCACATGGAACATTTTCCGGAAAAGACCATGCTAGTTCATAAGTCTTCACAAATTTTTAAAAATCAAGTTTATATCAAGAACATTTTATAACCACAATGGAATAAAATTAGAAATCAATATCAAAAGGAAATGGAAAACTGTACAAATTCATGGAAATTAAACTACATGCTCCTGAACAACAAATAGGTCATGAAGAAATTAAAAAGGAAATTTAAAAATTCTTGGAGACAAATGAAAATAACATACCCAAACCTATGGGATACAACAAAAGCAGTTCTTATAGGGGAAGATTATAGCAATAAATGCCTACATCAAAAAGTAGAAAGATATCAAATAAACTATCTAACATTGCATGTCTAGGAACTAAAAAACCAAGGACAAACTAAATCCAAAATAGCAGAAAGAAATAATGAATATCAGACCAAAAATAAGCAAAATAGAGATTTAAAAAACATTATAAAAGATTAACAAAACCAGGAGTTGGTTATTTTAAAAGATCAAAAGTCAACAAACCTTCTAGCTATACTAGGAAAAAAAGAAAGAAGACTCAAATAAAATCAACTGAGAAAGAAGATAATACAACTGATACTAGAGAAATCCAAAAAGATCACAAGAGACTATTATCAACAACTATATGCCCACGAATCTAATAAAAGAAACAGGTAACTTCCTGGACACATACAACCTACCAAGCCTGAAATGAAGAAATAGAAAACCTGAACTGACCGATAATGTGTAACAGGACTGAAGCAGTCATAAAAAGTTTCCCATCAAGGAAGAACCTAGGATCTGATGGCTTCACTGTTGAACTCATTTAAAAAGTAACACCAATTCTCTTCAAACTATTGCAGAAAATTGAAATGGGGGAATATTTTCGCACTCATTTTAAAAGGTCAGCATTACTCTGATTCCAAAACCAGACAAGGATATAACAACAACAAAACAAAACTACAGGCCAATATCCCTGATGAAAACAGATACAAAAATTCTCAAGACAAAAAACAAAATCCAACAGTACATTAAAAAGTTTACTATGATCAAGTTGGACGTGTCCCAGGGACACAAAAATGGTTTAACATTCACAAACTAATAAATGTGAAATACCACATTAACAGGAAGACAAATGAAAACAACAGAATTTTAATACATGCTGAAAAAGCATTGGATAAAATTCAACATCCCTTGATGATAAAAATTCTAAACAAATTGGGGATAGAAGAAACAAACCTCGATTAGGAGATCGTGGCAGACGGGAGGCAGGACTAGATTGCAGCTCCGGGCAGAGCAGCAGCCGACAGCTCACATTGTGAATTTTAGCTCCAGATGGACTGCAAGAACAAACCAGCAATCCCGAGAGGATCCACAGACCCTCTGAAGGCAGTGGACTGCTCCTGCAGGACCCAGGAGACTCCCCCAAAAACTGTGTATTCCCCAACTGCAGAAGTGAGAAAGGGAGACCCTCCCCTCCCTAACACATACCTCCACTGGAGAAGCTGAATGTCTGTTTGAGGGAGAAGTTTCTGACTTTACCTGGAGCTGACTCAATTTGGAGAGGCAAGTGAAATACAGGGGTAGAGGAAGCAGCAGAAAGGCCCTGAGAGCTCACTGGGTACCCAAGCAGGCCATTCCTGCCTGGCACCACAGGGATGCATCAGGAGGATGATCAGAGAAGCGGGGGGCAAAACTCCACGGGGAGAAGGAACTCTCTAGCTGAACTTCGTAACAATTTGTATAGGGCAAGAAGCCTCCTGGCTAGAACTTGGAGGAGGGAGCAAGCATCCAATGTGTTTCTTAAAAATGCTGCCATTATTCCTTTGCTTTATTTATTGCTTCTGAGAAGTCTAATAACAGTATAATAATCTTGGCTTTGTAAGTTACTTGATCTTTTTTCTTGGAAGCACTGAGAATTTTTTCTGAGTCATTAAAGCCTAGTGGTATACTAGGATATGCTTGGAGCCAATTGATCATGGTAAATCTTCCAAGGTTCCCTATAGACCCATTCAATGTGTAAAGTCATGCCTTCTGTTATTTCTGAAAAGTATTCTTGATTTATAATTTCATTATTCCATTGTTTTCTCTGCCTCTTAGACTCCAATTATAGATTTATTCAATCTCCTTTTCGTGATTTCCATTTCAACCACTTTCTAAAACATGTCTATCTCATTTTCATTTTGTTGGTTGTTTTTGCTAGCTTTCTTCAATGCCACTTGTTAAATTTTTAATTAAACCAATTATCTCTTGGATACCTTATAATTTAGACATTTCTGACATTTTTTATATCAATTTCTTGCCTGAGTCCAATCAATTCTTATCTTGATTTCTATCCAGTTACTAATCTTTAGATCACTGATTTGATTATTTTACATGTGTTATTTGAGAATATTTAATTTGGTTTGGAGTGCTATGATACCATTTTTTTCTGTTTAAGAGGTTGGTTTTCAGGAAATTTATCAATCCGTAAGTTTTAATTCTCATTTTCTGTTTTCTTCTTGGATAGTTTTGTATAGATAAGACTTTGCATTTCTGTATTGCATAGACGTGGCTGGCATTTGGGGTGGCTTACACATGGCTATTTCAATAATTACCTTTTCTATCTGTGTGTCAGTTTCCTTAATTCATCGCTTTTCTAAGGAATCAGGGAAAATGATTTTTTGTCCTTTAAACTTTTAGTTTTCTTTTGTCTTGAAGGAGTCTAAATTTCCCATTCCTTTCTCTTTTCTGCTCAGTTCCTAAAGGGCAATTTCCCCTTCATTTGTATCCTCTTCCTGAAGTATTTCCCTTCCAAGATTTCTTCCTTAAGCCCTACATATACTTTTAAATCCTTTCTCTGTGTCAGTGTTCTGACTTTATTTCCCGGGACTCTCTTTTACCATTATCATGTTTCAGTGTAAACACCCAGAACTTTCTCTTTCTGGAAGTGGTTTTATATCAATATCCTCTTCCTTTTCCAATATAGTGTTTCTAGATAGTTCGCCTTTCCACAAAGACCTGGGGTAGGAGCTTAAAATATGATCCTACTGTAAATTAGTGTTTATTTTTGTACTTATGGGTAACGTGCAGTTTTAATGTCCTCTGTCTTCCAGGTATTCTGAAGGTGTGTGGTTTTAACTTTATCTGCTTATTGACTTATGTAACTGGGGGACTGGGTAGGTATGGAGAGATTCAGATTTCCAACAGCTGTTATTACCTCAGCTACATCTACACTGACTTTTGGCAAGTATTGCCAGAAATTTATACTAGATTGGCTAGCACTTCTGTTTGTTAAAATAGAAAAAAAAAATGCTTGAACTGTACGTATATTACTTGTAGCATTGCTTTTGTAATATTTCATACTCGTAGAAAGAGGCTAAAGCAAAGCCTATAGACATCTTCTAGAGTTTTCTGAAATTTTTAAAGTTTATTAAAATAGTATGAGGTTTAAAAGAAAAAAAAACACTTTTGCCATTAGCTTAGAGTTGTCAACATGTTTAAGCTAAGATTTTAAAACAATCACTATTATCACACTTTTTAATCCCAAAAGCGCAACAAAATATCAAAGAATAATCCTTAGAATGAAAATGTTTTTCAAATGTCCTTAATATTTTTACCTCTACCTATGACTACTTTATCATAGATAACACTAATCTTGGACTGTATTTTGGAACCACTAGAGTATACATCTTTCATAAAGTAACTGAGACCCAGAAAGACTAAGTAACTTACCCAAATTAATCTAAGAGCTATGACCAGTCCAGGGTCTTTTCTAATGTATCATGCTGACTTTTATATGTTTTAGTAATAGCAGTGAAAACCTTTTACAAGGGCTACATGTTTGTTTGTATTTTGTTTTATTTGTTTCTGGTTCTTTTTTGGTTCCTCATCTGTATCATAAGACTATACTATGTTGAAAAAACACTTGTTTATTTGCCCCACGAACACTATTGTATTACTGACAGTCTTACTGGAAAATTTCATGAGAAAAAATTTTCCTACTTTCCTCAGGATTCTTTTTTTTTTTTTTTCTGAGACAAGATCTCACTATGTTGTCCAAGCTAGAGTGTAGTGGCTATTTACAATCAGAGCCATAGTGCACTGCAGCCTTGATCCTCCTGCTTCAGCCTGCCAAGGAGCTGAGGTTACAGGTAAGTGCCTTACTTTTCTCAGTTGTAACCAATGGGCTAGAACCATAAACTTCAAATTCTCAATGTAAAAAGGAAATTCTGTCATTTAAATTTTCACAACACATTATAACACGGTATTTAACTTAAAGTGTATGAAAGATACTTGCACCAAGAGTTAGTACTAAGATGCCACTCTGAATTATTGATGTAACATTGTTATTTGTCAATGAGGAGTAAAAATATTAAGGTTTTTTTCTGTACTTTCTGCTTTGCCCTCTATTTTTTATAGGTATGCTGTATGTCTCATACTAAATCTGTGAGTATCAATTGTGCATTTTTCTATATTCATTATAGCCACTAGCACAGAGACTGACAATCAGTTCACTTGTAAAAATCAATTAATTATTAAACTATGTAAGAAATAACACTGAGAGAAAAATAGACTATATTAGAATGAGTGGTGAAAGCACCATCAGGTACACAGGCAAATGGACACATAGCTACCAACACACATTCAGCAGAGGGAAGAGAGGAGTCCAGAGACTAGGATGGAGGCACTTCCCATCCTAGAAGAGCCACAAAGGCCCACAGAAAGATATACACAGGTAAATAACTGGGATTTGCAGAGGATCCATTAGAAAAAGGGTTGTTCCTCCATGGGGATGGTTAAGAGATCACAGGCAAAGATCTAGCAGGACTTCATCTTACTGAAGGCAGAGGGTTCAGCTCTGAGTAAAGGGAGTGACAGTCAGGGAGAAGGCAACTCCACACCAGGTAGGGACCCAGCCCTAGACGCTGAGATCGAAGGAGGACAGGTGAGAGGCACAGTAAATCAGCATCCCCTTCTCCCTTCAGGCTTTCCTCCTCTTTCCTATTAATCTCATTTAAGCCTTTTTTCTCCTGCCCTAAACTTTTATTTTCAGACTCTTCTAAATTTTCTCCAAACCTCTCATTCTCGCACAACTCTGTGGTCCTTTTTGTTGTTGTTGTTCACTGCCGTGTCAGCCTCTAAATATTTAAGCTTACATCACAATCTGAATACTATTTATATTTTATCCTACCTACATATAGGAGAAAAAGCAAGCAATAAAGGAGATACACACAAAAAGTAGCTAGGCATGGTGGCTCACGCTTGTAGTCCCAACACTTTGGGAGGCTGAGGCAAGAGGATTGCTTGAGCCCAGGAGGTTTAGGCTGCAATGAGCTATGATTGCACCACTGCACTCCAGCCTGGGCAACAGAGTGAGACCCTGTTCCTAAAAACTAAAAACAAATTTGTAGAAGAGACACTTAGGAAAAGTACAAGTTACAAAGAACCACAATGTTGCTGAGAAAAACACTCAAAACTTTTAACAAATTAAAAATTCAACCTATAACTTCCATGTAAATAACATCAGAAATTACAGAAGAAACGTTACAATTGATACCACAAAAATATAAAGGATAAGAAAATGCTATGAAAAATTATATGCTAACAAATTGGATAATCTAGAAAAAAATGGATAAATTCCTAAGACATATAATAA
The DNA here is from genome assembly GCF_000001405.40 of Homo sapiens. Taxonomy (NCBI): domain Eukaryota; kingdom Metazoa; phylum Chordata; class Mammalia; order Primates; family Hominidae; genus Homo; species Homo sapiens. The sequence goes on from NC_000015.10 coordinate 54,867,460, forward strand.
CTTACCAAGATTGAAACAGAAAGAAATAGAAAATCCGAACAGACTAGTAATGAGTACGAAAACTGAATCAGTAATATAGACTCCCATTAAGAAAAGACTATGACCAGACGGCTTCACTGCTAAAATCTACAAATATTTAAATAAGAACTAATACTAATTATTCTCAAACTCTTTCAAAAAATTGAAGAGGGGGAAATACTTTCAAATTCATTGTATGAGGCCAGCATTACCTTACACCAAAGCCAGATGACGATACTAAAAGAATGGAAAATTACAGATAAATATCCCTGATTAACACAGATGCAAAAGTCCTCAAAAAAATACCAGCAAATCAAATTCAACAACACATTTCAACAACAGATTAAAATGATCATACACCATAATCAAATGGCATTTATCTCTGGGATGCAAGGATGGATCAACATACTCAAATCTATAAATGTGATCATCACTCTCACAAAATGAGGGATAAAAATTATGATCATCTCAATAGATCAGGAAAATCTTTGACAAAATTCAACACTTTTTCATGATAGAAACTCTCAATTGATTAGATATAGAGGGAAAATACCTCAGCACAATAAAAGATCACATATGACAAAGTCCTGGCTAACATTCTTAAAGGTGAAAAGTTGAGAGGCTTTCCTCTGAGGCTAACATTCTTAAAGGTGAAAACTTGAGAGGCTTTCCTCTGAGATCAGGAACCAGACAAGGATGCCCGGTATCATCTCTTCTTTTTAACATAGTACTGGAAGTCCTATTCAGAGCAATCAGGCAATAGAAACAAAGAAAATGCTTCCAAAACGGAAATGAAGTAGTTGAACTATCTCCAGTTGCTGATAACATGATTTGTATACAGAAAACTCTAAAGACTGCCAAAACAAAACCTGTTGGAACTGATAAAGTCAATAAGATACAAAGTCAACAAAGAAAAATCAGTAGCATTTCTATACACTAACAAAAAACTATCTGGAGACAAAAAAAGGAAATCTCATTTATAAAAGCCTCAGAACATTCACAGGAGAAAATTTAATCAGGAGGGTAAAGATCTCTATACTAAAAACTATAAAATATTGAGCAAATAAATTGAAGATTACACAAATACATGGAAACATATTCTTCATGGATTAGAAGAATCAATATTATTAAAATGTCCATACTGGCCAAAGCGATCTACAGATTCAACACAATTCCCATCAAAATTCTAATGGCATTACCCTCAGAATATTTTTTTAATTCCAAAAGTCTTATAGAAACACATAAGACTCTGAATAGCCAAAGCAATCTTGAGGAAAAAGGAACAAAGTTGAAGGCATCATGATAATGGATTTCAACATATTTTACAAAGTGATTGTAATCAAAACAGCATGAGTGTGGTACAAAAACAAACATATTAACAAATCAAACAGGACAGGAAGCTCACAAATAAACCCATGCATTTACGGTCAATTGATTTTTGAGATAGGTACCAAGAATACAAAATGGGGGTAGGACAGTCTCTTCAATAAATGATGTTGGGAAAAGTAGATATCTACATGCAGAAGACTGAAACTGGACCCTTATCTTACACCATATTCAAAAATCAATTAAAAATAGATTAAAGTTTTAAATATCGTACCTGAAACTGTAAAACCACTAGAAGAAAACATGGAAGAAAAGGTCCACAACATGGGTCTGGGAAATGATACTTTGGGCATGACCTCAGAAGCACAGGCAACAAAAGCAAAAATAGATAAAAGGGATGGCATCAAACCAAAAAGCCTCTGGAAAAGAAACAACAAAGTGAAGGGCCATACAACAGAATGGGAGAAAATATTTTCAAACTATTCATTCAACAAGGGACTAATCACCAGAATATACAAGGAACTCAACAACTCACTAGCAAGAAAATAAATTACCTGATTTAAAATGGGCAAAGGGCCTAAACTGACATTTCTCAAAAGATATTAAGTGGCCAACAGGTACATAAAACAATGCTCAGGCTCATAATCCTCATGGAAATGCAAATTAAAACCACAATGAGAGGTCACCTGACACCCGTTAGAATAACTTTCATCAAAAAGATAATGTGTTGATGAGTATGTGGAAAAAAGGGAACTCTCATACATTCTTGGTGGGAATGTAAATTAGTATAACCAGTATGGAAAATGGTATGGAGGCTCCTAGAACAACTAAAAATAGAACCACCATATGATCCTGTAATCTCACTTCTGGGTGTATATCCAAAGGAAATGAAATTGAGTCAAATTTCAGAATGTCAAAGAGATATCTGTACTCTCACGTTCATTGTAGCATTAATCACAATGGCCAAGATACAGAATCAACACAAGTGTCCTTCAGTGGATTAATGGATAAAGAAAATGTGGTACATGCATGCAAGGGAATACTATTAATACAGCCTTTAAAAGGAGGGAAATCCTGCCATTTTCAACAACATAGATGAATCTGGAAGACATTATGCTAAGTGAAATAAGCCAGGCACAGAAAGACAGATACCACATGATTTCACCTACATGTGGAATCTAAAAATGTTCAACTCACAAAAGTAGCATAGACTGATGGTTACCAGAGGTCAGAGGAGCTGAAAAAAGAGGGAATAGGGAATTGTTGATCAAAGGGCAGAGTTTCAGACAGAAAGAACAGGTTTTGAAATCTATTGCACAGAACAGTCGCTATACTCAGTAATAACGTACTAAATCAAATGTCTGACCCTAAGAAATCATAGGTAATCAAATTGATGAATGCTAATTCGGTTGATTTAATTATTCCACATTCTATGCATGTATCAAAACACTGCATTTCACCCCATAAATGTGTATTTGTTAATTAACAACAATAATAAAAAATTAAAAATTGAACCTAGGACTTCCAGGTAGCTGAAGAAAATGACAGCTGTCTAGCTACCTGTTTTTCCATGTTTTCTCCAAAAGCAATACGCAACAAGAAAGGGGAAATAAATCTCCACAAAAAACATACACTGAGCATAATTTAAAGACAGAATGCTGATACTACAAACTAGCACTTAGAAAAGAGAAAAATCATCAGGTCTACACTATCTACACAATTTCTAATGTTCCTGCCCCACTCTTGCCTTTCCTTCAAACTTTGTGGTGGGCAAAGGCAGACTGAAAAAAAACCTGCCAGGGATACAGAAGAGAGAAGCTAGCAAAAGGACATAGAGTGGACCTAAAATCACCTGTAATAATAAAGCATCCTAGCCCTCATGTATACAAACAATAAACAGAAAATGGCATTACAAAGAAAATGCTGCTTACAACAGGGACAAAGACTACATGCTTAATAAATGTGCATATTTAGGCCGGGCGCGGTGGCTCACGCCTGTAATCCCAGCACTTTGGGAGGCCGAGGTGGGCAGATCACAAGTTCAGGAGATCGAGACCATCCTGGCTAACATGGTGAAACCCCTTCTCTACTAAAAATACAAAAAATTAGCAGGGCGTGGTGGCGGGCGCCTGTAGTCCCAGCTACTCAGGAGGCTGAGGCAGGAGACTGGTGTGAACCTGGGATGCAGAGCTTGCAGTGAGCTGAGATCGAGCCACTGCACTCCAGCGTGGGCAACAGAGTGAGACTCCATCTCAAAAAATAAAATATAAAAATAAAAAAAAATGTGCATACTTAATATACAAAAATCTATGAGAATAATTGTTAAATACCTATTAAATACATAAAAATAGAGTTGAACAACTCCGGAAGTGATGACAACAATTTAAGGATGTAAGGTCCTCCCAAGTTAGTTTATAAACTTAACACTACCACAACAAAAAATACTAACAATCTTCTTATGGATAAACATACAAATAAATATAGATACATGTTTGTGCATGTGTTATTATTTATACATACATTACCTAGTTCTGTCTGCTGACAGGGCCTAAAAAGAATGTTACCTCAGAAGCCATAAGCAAAACTATCACCCAGATCTTGGGTTATAAATACCAGTTTTTCAACAGAGTCAGAAATCCTTGGAAAAATTGTTGGATTTTTCCAGATCTAAGAGTAAGAAAATACAAAATAAACCTGAAATATCTTGTGGTGCCAGAGAGTAAGGAAGTGCCCCCAAACTGACAGGCAACATTGATGGAAAACAGGAACCAATTTTAAGATCCTAATAGCAAAATCTGAGATAATTTGAGCAATAAAATAATGGCAACTTGTACCATAGCACACAGAACAAATATCCATGAATCCATACTGATATAAATAAATTATTGAACAGGATGGTGGCAACCAAGATGGCCGAATAGCAACAGCTCCAATCTACAGGTCTGAGCGTGAGCAATGCAGAAGACGGGTGATTTCTGCATTTCTATCTGAGGTACCGGGTTCATCTCACTAGGGAGTGCCAGACAATGGGCACAGGTCAGTGGGTGCAGTGCACCGTGCACGAGCCAAAGCAGGGTGAGGCATTGCCTCACTCGGGAAGCGCAAGGGGTCAGGAGTTCCCTTTCCTAGTCAAAAAAGGGGTGACAGACGGCACCTGGAAAATCAGGTCACTCCCACCCTAATATGGCACTTTTCCGACGGGCTTAAAAAACGGCACACCAGGAGATTTTATCCCCCACATGGCTTGGAGGGTCCTACGCCCACGGAGTCTCGCTGATTGCTAGCACAGCAGTCTGAGATCAAACTGCAAGGTGGCAGCGAGGCTGGGGGAGGGGCACCCACCATTGCCCAGGCTTGCTTAGGTAACCAAAGCAGCCAGGAAGCTCAAACTGGGTGGAGCCCACCACAGCTCAAGGAGGCCTGCCTGGCTCTGTAGGCTCCACCTCTGGGGGCAGGGCACAGACAAACTAAAAGACAGCAGTAACCGCTACAGACTTAAATGTCCCTGTCTGACAGCATTGAAGAGAGCAGTGGTTCTCCCAGCACGCAGCTGGAGATCTGAGAAAGGGCAGACTGCCTCCTCAAGTGGGTCCCACACCCCTGACCCCAGAGCAGCCTAACTGTGAGGCACCCCCCAATAGGAGCAGACTGACACCTCACATGGCCGGGTACTCCTCTGAGACAAAACTTCCAGAGGAACGATCAGACAGCAGCATTTGCAGTTCACAAAAATCCGCTGTTATGCACCCACCACTGCTGATACCCAGGCAAACAGGGCCTGGAGTGGACCTCTAGCCAACTCCAACAGACCTGCAGCTGAGGGTCCTGTCTGTTAGAAGGAAAACTAACAAACAGAAAGGACATCCACACCAAAAACCCATCTGTACATCACCATCATCAAAGACCAGAAGTAGATAACACCACAAAGATGGGGAAAACACAGAGCAGAAAAACTGGAAACTCTAAAAAGCAGAGTGCCTCTCCTCCTACAAAGGAACACAGTTCCTCACCAGCAATGGAACAAAGCTGGACGGAGAATGACTGTGACGAGTTGAGAGAAGAAGGCTTCAGACGATCAAACTACTCCGAGCTACAGGAGGTAATTCAAACCAAAGGCAAAGAAGTTAAAAACTTTGAAAAAAATTTAGAAGAATGTATAACTAGAATAACCAATACAGAGAAGTGCTTAAAGGAGCTGATGGAGCTGAAAGCCAAGGCTCAAGAACTACATGAAGACTGCAGAAGGCTCAGGAGCCGATGCCATCAACTGGAAGAAAGGGTATCAGTGATGGAAGTCTAAATGAATGAAATGAAGCGAGAAGGGAAGTTTAGAGAAAAAAGAATAAAAAGAAATGAACAAAGCCTCCAAGAAATATGGGACTATGTGAAAAGACCAAATCTACATCTGATTAGTGTACCTGAAAGTGACGGGGAGAATGGAACCAAGTTGGAAAACACTCTGCAGGATATTAACCAGGAGAACTTCCCCAATCTAGCAAGGCAGGCCAACATTCAGATTCAGGAAATACAGAGAACACCACAAAGATACTCCTCAGGAAGAGCAACTCCAAGCCACATAATTGTCAGATTCACCAGAGTTGAAATGAAGGAAAAAATGTTAAGGGCATCCAGAGAGAAAGGTCGGGTTACCCACAAAGGGAAGCCCATCAGACTAACAGCGGATCTCTTGGCAGAAACTCTACAAGCCAGAGGAGAGTAGGGGCCAATATTCAACATTCTTAAAGAATTTTGAGCCCAGAATTTCATATCCAGCCAAACTAAGCTTCATAAGTGAAGGAGAAATAAAATACTTCACAGACAAGCAAATGCTGAGAGATTTTGTCACCACCAGGCCTGCCCTAAAAGAGCTCCTGAAGGGAGAACTAAACGTGGAATGGAACAACCGGTACCAGCTACTGCAAAATCATGCCAAATTGTAAAGACCATCGAGCCTACGAAGAAACTGCATCAACTAATGAGCAAAATAACCAGCTAACATCATAATGACAGGATCAAATTCACACATAACAATACTAACTTTAAATGTAAATGGACTAAATGCTCCAATTAAAAGACAAAGACTGGCAAATTGGATAAAGAGTCAAGACCCATCAGTGTGCTGTATTCAGGAAACCCATCTCATGTGCAGAGACACACATAGGCTCAAAATAAAGGGATGGAGGAAGATCTACCAAGCAAATGGAAAACAAGAAAAGGCAGGGGTTGCAATCCTAGTCTCTGATAAAACAGACTTTAAACCAAAAAAGATCAAAAGAGACAAAGAAGGCCATTACATAATGGTAAAGGGATCAATTCAACAAGAAGAGCTATCTATCCTAAATATATATGCACCCAATACAGGAGCATCCAGATTCATAAAGCAAGTCCTGAGTGACCTACAAAGAGACTTAGACTCCCACACAATAATAATGGGAGACTTTAACACCCCACTGTCAACGTTAGACAGATCAACAAGACAGAAAGTCAACAAGGATACCCAGGAATTGAACTCAGCTCTGCACCAAGTGGACCTAATAGACATCTACAGAACTCTCCACCCCAAATCAACAGAATATACATTTTTTTCAGCACCAAATCACACCTGTTCCAAAATTGACCATATAGTTGGAAGTAAAGCTCTCCTCAGCAAATGTAAAATAGTAGAAATTACAACAAACTGTCTCTCAGACCACAGTGCAATCAAACTAGAACTGAGGATGAAGAAACTCACTCAAAGCCGCTCAACTACATGGAAACTGAACAACCTGCTCCTGAATGACTACTGGGTACATAACGAAATGAAGGCAGAAAAAAAGATGTTCTTTGAAACCAATGAGAACAAAGACACAACATACCAGGATCTCTGGGACGCATTCAAAGCAGTGTGTAGAGGGAAATTTATAGCACTAAATGCCCACAAGAGAAAGCAGGAAAGATCCAAAACTGACACCTTAACATCACAATTAAAAGAACTAGAAAAGCAAGAGCAAACACATTCAAAAGCTAGCAGAAGGCAAGAAATAATGAAAATCAGAGCAGAACTGAAGGAAATAGAGACACAAAAAACCCTTCAAAAAATTAATGAATCCAGGAGCTGGTTTTTTGAAAGGATCAACAAAATTGATAAACCGCTAGCAAGACTAATAAAGAAGAAAAGAGAGAAGAATCAAATGGATGTAATAAAAAATGATAGAGGGGATATCACCACCAATCCTACAGAAATATAAACAACCATCAGAGAATACTACAAACACCTCTACGCAAATAAACCAGAAAATCTAGAAGAAATGGACAAATTCCTCGACACATACACCCTCCCAAGACTAAACCAGGAAGAAGTTGAATCTCTGAATAGACCAATAACAGGCTCTGAAATTTTGGCAATAATCAATAGCTTACCAACCAAAAAGAGTCCAGGACCAGATGGATTCACAGCCGAATTCTACCAGAGGTACAAGGAGGAACTGGTACCATTCCTTCTGAAACTATTCCAATCAATAGAAAAAGAGGGAATCCTCCCTAACTCATTTTATGAGGCCAGCATCATCCTGATACCAAAGCCGGGCAGAGACACAACCAAAAAAGAGAATTTTAGACCAATATCCTTGATGAACATTGATGCAAAAATCCTCAATAAAATATGGGCAAACCGAATCCAGCAGCACATCAAAAAGCTTATCCACCATGATCAAGTGGGCTTCATCCCTGGGATGCAAGGCTGGTGCAATATACGCAAATCAATAAATGTAATCCAGCATATAAACAGAACCAAAGACAAAAAACACATGATTATCTCAATAGATGCAGAAAAGGCCTTTGACAAACTCAACAACTCTTCATGCTAAAAACTCTCAATAAATTAGGTATTGATGGGACATCTCTCAAAATAATAAGAGCTATCTATGACAAACCCACAGCCAATATCATACTGAATGGGCAAAAACTGGAAGCATTCCCTTTGAAAACTGGCACAAGACAGGGATGCCCTCTCTCACCACTCCTATTCAACAGAGTGTTGGAAGTTCTGGCCAGGGCAATTAGGCAGGAGAAGGAAATAATGGGTATTCAATTAGGAAAAGAGGAAGTCAAATTGTCCCTGTTTGCAGACGACATGATTGTATATCTAGAAAACCCCATTGTCTCAGCCCAAAATCCCCTTAAGCTGATAAGCAACTTCAGCAAAGTCTCAGGATACAAAATCAATGTACAAAAATCACAAGCATTCTTATACACTAATAACAGACAAACAGAGAGCCAAATCATGAGTGAACTCCCATTCACAATTGCTTCAAAGAGAATAAAATACCTAGGAATCCAACTTACAAGGGATGTGAAGGACCTCTTCAAGGAGAACTACAAACCACTGCTCAATGAAATAAAAGAGGATACAAAGAAATGGAAGAACATTCCATGCTCATGGGTAGGAAGAATCAATATTGTGAAAATGGCCACACTGCCCAAGGTAATTTATAGATTCAATGCCATCCCCATCAAGCCACCAGTGACTTTCTTCATAGAATTGGAAAAAACTACTTTAAAGTTCATATGGAACCAAAAAAGAGCCCGCATCGCCAAGTCAATCCTGAGCCAAAAGAACAAAGCTGGAGGCATCACGCTACCTGACTTCAAACTATACTACAAGGCTACAGTAACCAAAACAGCATGGTACTGGTACCAAAACAGAGATATAGATCAATGGAACAGAACAGAGCCCTCAGAAATAACGCCGTGTATCTACAACTATCTGATCTTTGACAAACCTGAGAAAAACAAGCAATGGGGAAGGGATTCCCTATTTAATAAATGGTGATGGGAAAACTGGCTAGCCATAGGTAGAAAGCTGAAACTGGATCCCTTCTTTACACCTTATACAAAAATTAATTCAAGATGGATTAAAGACTTAAACATTAGACCTAAAACCATAAAAACCCTAGAAGAAAACCTAGGCATTACCATTCAGGACATAGGCATGGGCAAGGACTTCATGACTAAAACACCAAAAGCAATGGCAACAAAAGCCAAAATTGACAAATGGGATCTAATTAAACTAAAGAGCTTCTGCACAGCAAAAGAAACTACCATCAGAGTGAACAGGCAACCTACAGAATGGGAGAAAATTTTCACAACCTACTCATCTGACAAAGGGCTAATATCCAGAATTTACAATGAACTCAAACAAATTTACAAGAAAAAAACAACCCCATCAAAAAGTGGGCGAAGGACATGAACAGACACTTCTCAAAAGAAGACATTTATGCAGCCAAAAGACACATGAAAAAATGCTCACCATCACTGGCCATCAGAGAAATGCAAATCAAAACCACAATGAGGTACCATCTCACACCAGTTAGAATGGCAATCATTAAAAAGTCAGGAAACAACAGGTGCTGGAGAGGATGTGGAGAAATAGGAACACTTTTACACTGTTGGTGGGACTGTAAACTAGTTCAACCATTGTGGAAGTCAGTGTGGTGATTCCTCAGGGATCTAGAACTAGAAATACCATTTGACCCAGCCATCCCATTACTGGGTATATACCCAAAGGACTATAAATCATGCTGCTATAAAGACACATGCACACGTATGTTTATTGCGGCACTGTTCACAATAGCAAAGACTTGGAACCAACCCAAATGTCCAACAATGACAGACTGGATTAAGAAAATGTGGCACATATACACCATGGAATACTATGCAGCCATAAAAAAGGATGAGTTCATGTCCTTTGTAGGGACATGGATGAAATTGGAAATCATCATTCTCAGTAAACTATCACAAGGACAAAAATCCAAACACCGCATATTCTCACTCATAGGTGGGAATTGAGCGATGAGAGCACATGGACACAGGAAGGGGAACATCGCACTCTGGGGACTGTTGTGGGGTTGGGGGAGGGGGGAGGGATAGCCTTAGGAGATATACCTAATGCTAAATGACGAGTTAATGGGTGCAGCACACCAGCATGGCACATGTATACATATGTAACTAACCTGCACATTGTGCACATGTACCCTAAAACTTAAGGTATAATAATAATAAAATAAATAAATAAATAAATAAATTATTGAACAGATAAAAGTTGGGGAGAAGATACCATGATTCATTACAGAAGAATTCCAGTTAGAAGGAATGGTGGAATTACAAAATCACCATCAGGCAAACACAGTAATAGTTATTGCAGGCAAGGGCCACCAATTGGAGGACAAAACTGAGATGAGAAACAGTACCTTCACATAATCAACAAGAATTTTCCCGTAAGAACGTGTTAACTACATAGGATAAATCAGCAACTTCACAATGAAGAAACCTGGCAGTCACCTTCTTGACCAGGTGATCAAAGTTGACGTCACAGCAGTGGGACTTATCAATGTCACAGACCCTATGAAATGACCCACAGAGATGGAGGAGGTAGTCATATCATTTTTGTGGTATTTTTGCCAAAAATGCATGTCCTTGATGTAATCATGAGAAGGTATCAGAAAACCCAAATTGGGTAACAGTCTCCAAAATGATCAGCATTCCTCAAGTGAATCAAGGCTATGAAACACACCCACACAAAAAAATAAAAACGACAAGACTGAGAATGTGTGTATGGAGTCTCAAGACTAAGGAGACCTGATAACTACATGTAATATGGAATTTTAGATTGGTTCTTGAACAAATCCATGGCATTGGTAAGAAAATCAGTAAAATGTGAAGAAGGTCTATATATTAGTTAACAGTATTACATGAATATTAATATGCTGGTTTCAATGATTATACTTCATGTAAGATGTTAACATAGGGAAAGATATTTTAAAGGTTATAGGAACTCAGAATAGTTGTAACTTTACTTCGGTTTACAATTAGTTTAAAATAAAAAGATTTTTAAAATAGAGGCAAGAAATGTAACATAAAATGAAATTTTCTTCTGCCAAATTTTCTACTAAAATACTGCCAAATGGGGTCAAATTTAATAATTTTCTAACAGATATTTCTGGGCATTGACTATTTACCAGGCACTATCTGATGAGAGTAATACAGTGAAGAACAAGACAGAAAATCCAAGTCTACAGTCAGTAAACAATCCTATTTTAAAGGGGTTCAGGGGAGACAAAAGAAAGAAATACATACATAAATTTAAAAATATGAGCTAAGAACAATGGACTGCAATGCAGGCAAATGGAAGAGCGAATGCAGTGCCTCTGAGGTAGGAGTATGTTTCAGGATACCTGCATTTTTCTTACTTCACCATTTTCCCATGGGAAAATTAACTTGCACCATCCTCAAATAATTCTGTTCCTACCAGGTAAATGCGCCAGCATTTAATGGCTTTCATAAATCTTTGTCAAGCAACCACCTGTCAACAATTCCCATGTCAACCGTAACTGCAAAACCCTGGTCTGATCCCACAGCATCTTGTGATATGAGGATTGTGCTAACTTGGTACTATCAATGTTCACAGCCCTGTGATCTTTTCCCAAGAGATTTTGAAGAATCTACTGACATCTTATCTAAGAATGTAGCATCCGAGTACATCTATGCAATTCAGAGAGGCTGTTTCTCCAAAATGTTGAGAACTCTCTCACAACCCTACATAATAGAAAGATTCTGCTCTTTGCATCTAGAACGGAAAAAGTATGAAATCAGTAAATCATGTAGTCTTTCACTGTAAATAAATAAACTTTATGTGTGCTGTACTGGCACAGCAATGCGGTGAGCAAAAACTGATACTCTAGAAACAACATAATATAGCTGTTCCTAGGCCACAAATTTATTTGCACAAATAAAGTGATATAAACAACTACAAGCCAGATTTCCTACCATTGCGCTTATGTGGTTATGAAAAATATCCATGTTCCAAAAATCTCCCCCTTCCTGGTTCCCAATATTTCAGGAAGTGCCTCAGGGTGTTTAACATACAAAAGCCAATCTATCAGCAACAGTCACCCTAAAACAGCAGCCATGACTTTTCTGCTCCCTTACAGTGGATGTCCTCTGCTCAGTAAGCTCCATGACAGTGGCTCAGGCTTCTGCTGTTGATCATCCCAAACCTCAGAGAATGCCATTATCTCTGCAAGGGTGCTGCCCGCTCCATGTCTGGAATAGTTCTCCTTTCTGGGATCAACAAGTAAAAAAAAAAAAAAAATGCCTGTGGGGCTGATTCTTTTGGTCCCCTCTATTCCTATCCTCTCTAAAAGCTGAGAAACACAGTATCTTTTCACATGCTGTATAAAGAAAAATACATAAACATCTCCTCCCTATTCCTTTAAACATCAGACACAATTACCCCTATGATCTTCATCTGGGGCCACCTACCATCCCAGCTAACAGAGCTTCCAGACACTTTACAATTACAATTAGCTACAAACTATTTGTTACTACTTTTTGTTTGTTTGTTTGTTTTTTGGAGAGAGAGTCTTGCTCTGTCACCCAGCCTGGAGTGCAGTGGCGCGATCTCTGCTCACTGCAACCTCTACCTCCCAGGTTCAAGCGATTCTCCTACCTCAGACTCTGGAGTAGCTGGGATTACCACCATGCCCGGCTAATTTTTGTATTTTTAGTAGAGACGGGGCTTCACCATGTTGGCCAGGCTGGCCTTGAACTCCTGACCTCAGGTGATCCACCCGCCTCAGCCTCCCAAAGCCCTGGGATTACAGGTGTGAGCCACCGTGCCCAACTGACTCATTTATAAAAGCACCTTGTAAACTACAAAGCATGCTACAAATATTAACTGTTAGGATTTGATTGATTCCTTTTGTATTTTTTCTAATTTGGTCATGAGGTTTTTTTCAAGAAAGTAACTACTAACTATCCCTTCCCTGATGGAGAGTCACGGATTTGGTGATGGTGATTACAGTGGGTCTTTCACAGGATACTTCTTTATCATGGCAGATGGCCTAATACCTAAGTGTCTGACCAGTGTTCAATTGTCCTTCTCACAGAAAAATCATTTCTACTGGCAGACACCCTTGTGGCTCTAGTCTGACCTGTGTCCGGTTTACCTCTACTAAGACAGCCACTCTCTAGGAGAGCCCCAAGCAGGAAAGAAGTTAGGTTCAGATGTGGTAGTCCCGTGAAACACAGAGGAGGCAACTCAACAAGACACATGAAGTAAGAAAAGCAATGTATTACTTATAGATCACGGAGAAGGCCCCATGCTACATAGGACCAACAAGAAGTAGGAAGCCATCTGGGGCATGGACACTCAATGAGTACGTGGGGAGGAAGAGAGAGAAGGACCTACATGCCAAAGCCATTACAGGGGTCCAGAGCATTACCCAAGCAGGCTTCTAGCAGGCAGTTGTGATTAGTGACTTTAGAGCAGGCTGACACAAGTTCTCTTGAGTCACACTGTGAAGGAGAGGTGGTCACCGAAGCATATCTGTGCAGTCTGTGCAGGTTATGGGGTCAGCAGAGTAAGTCAAATAGGTTGAATCTAGCTGTCCCATAAAGGAGTGGCCACCCAGAGGTGACTGTATAAGACAGATATCTGGATCAACTATATTAGGGAACTGGAGAAGGCAGAAATGGGAAACCAAGTCAAGGTTGACTAAGGTCTCCTTCTGAAATGAGAAATTTAAATCTATATTCACAATAAATGCAAAGACAACATAAAATTATAAGAATTTACTACAATTATTTCTCAAAGTTTAGAAGAATTGGTGCTCTGGGTTCCATTTCCTGTATTATTTTTCAATAGCTAAAGTTATTTTTTCCCAAGCAGAAGGAAAGTTATTTTTATTTAAAAAAAAAAAATTATGCCTGATGCAACGGGAGTGTTGTCTTTGTTTTCAAGGAGGCTTGGTGCATTTTCGTGGATACTGGCGTAGGCAATAGCAATGATACATATTTTTAAAAGTAAACCAAAGTTATGTGTTGAGTGGGCAGGATACGTAATAGAGTGGATTATATTCACGTGTTCTCCCACTTCACTTTGGACAAATCTCTATTAATATAATAGTAATCATATTATATGATTACTCTTACCTGCTTACATGACTAACCCTATAGAGCTGGGCTATACTCTTCTTTGTATCCCTACATCTAGGCAAAGTTCCAAACATATGCTATCTACTCAATAGGTAGTTGATAGATAAGAGGAAAAAATATTTTAAGTTAAAAAATAAAGTTGGTCTAGATCATACACCTTAAATCAGTAGGTCATAGACAAGATCTTGACCTCACTTGAAACACATTTACCAATTAGAAAAGCTGGCTGGGTGCCGTGGCTCATGCCTGTAATCCTAGCACTTTGGGAGGCCAAGGTAGGCAGATTGCTTGAGCCCAGGAGTTCGAGACCAGCCTGGGGAACATGGTGAAACCCTATCTCTACAAAACAAAATACAAAAATTAGCTGGGCATTGACTTGCATGTCTATAGTCCCAGCTACTAGGGAGGCTGAGGTGGGAGGATCACCTAAGCCCCGGAGGTCAATGTTGCAGTGAGCCGTGATCACGTCACTGCACTCCAGCCTGGGCAAAAGAAGGAGACCTTGTAACAACAAAAGGAGGGAGGGAGGGAGGCAAACAAATTAGAATGGCTTATCTCCAATATTTTTCAGCTTTTCTTCAAACACCAGCAACACTGCTTTCACATTCCCAACATGGCATCAGTCAGCTGGAGGTAAATTGCAGCTACCCCCATTGGTATATCACAGCTCATCACTAGCTCACTTTACTCACTACCATAATCCAGTGGACCTGACATTTGATTTTATGAATCCTTGACCAGACGATCTATATGGTTACTTCTATTATATGTTTTATTAACCCCTATCTTCTTGCACATACCCTGGGCTTCTCCAGAAGACAACTGCTCTGTCTTCCTTTTGAAATCCCACATTGTTCAGTGTGACTATACCCACAGCAGCTGAGTCCTGCCGCACAAAGCACACTATGCGCACAAGTAGAAAGTGTGATTCATTTCTGTCCATTCTGGAATCTGAATCATTTTGTAAAATAAAAAATCAGGGATCTATAGACTTTATGTAGAAATTGATGCCTTGTTACTCCTTGTCTTTCCAAAAGAGGGAAAAACAATATCTTATGTAAGATCTTCTTGGAAAGAATCTGATACTTAAGCAGCTAGCTACTTAGAAAAAATATAAAAAATAGTTAAGGTACTTAAATAAGAATTATGTCTATAACTTACTTTAGAATTTATGCTTTTCAGAGAGCTTTCACATCCATTACCTCATTTATTCTTTACAGCAACGTGTTCCTAACTAGACAAAATGAACGTAAAACTCTCCTCACTACAATAATACCTAATACTCAATGCACTAAATGAATGATTAAAGTCAGATGAACACCCCAAATAGGCTAAGAGACTAATTGTTCTACATCTCTAAGAGACCTCAGGTACTATCTAGTTTTTAAGAACAGAAAACAGGTGCCAGGAAAGCCTCCAATTTGCCCAAGGTCACACATATAGCTACCAACACAGGAAAGAGAAGAAGTCAGTTTTGTCTTAACTTGGTGTTTCCATAAAGCCAAAGTGTTCTTCATCCCATTACACAAGGTTAAATTTGCAGGACAGTCTTATTGGTTAGATTTTTTAACTACATGGAAGGTTGATGGAGGTGGCTGAACGTTCCCATATTATGAAGAACAAATCTAAATTTCCCTCAAAGATAAAAAATACATTAAAATTCTCACTTGTAAGTAGGCATGTCAATCAGCCTGTCACAGAAGACAGCCAGACTGAATCAGAGAAAAGGTCCCAGCTTTGGGGAGAAAATACAAATGATACACTTTAAATGTTCTCACCGTCTCTAGCCTCAAAACTCACCTGGCACAGACAGGTGAGCTCTCAAAAAAAATATCCTCCTAACCAGTTGATGGATTTTTATTAAGGTTTTTCTCTAATGGCATTTTTGAGGCTTGAAGATAAATTAATAGCTCATTTCTCATTCAACACATTCACAAAAAAATTCCAAATATCAGGAAATATATTGGTCAAAAAAAGTGGTTATATATTGTATATGTATTTGGATAGTGTGGAACCCAGGTTACATGTTTAATTTAAAATCACAGTTTCTCAAGGCTTCAGAGGGAATGATTATGAAAAATATGGACCTAGAGTGGCTTTATCACTAACTCACTGTATGAACTTGAATTTACATCTGTTTTCTTACTTGTGAAATGAGTTCACAAGTGCCTTGCCCAGTGTTATTGTGAGAATCCAACTCGATTTTCCCCATCTGATTCTCATGCATTTACATTGCTATTAGGATCAGGAAAGTTGATGGCAAGCCTGATCTTGACCGCAAGGATATGTTACTTCCCTCTCCGGGACCCTGTTCTCTTATCAATAAATTAAGGGACGGTAGAGGGGAGGGGTGGACTAGGATGTTCTCCCTGGAGTTCCTCACAGCACTGATATTCTATGGGCTACAAATCAGTATGACATGCTAAGAATAAGACATCAAAACTACTGAGGACACAGACAGAAACAAAAGCATGCTAGACAATGAGCTACAGCTCTTACCAGCTGTGCAAGTGTCAAAGACAGCAAGACCAACTTTACAGAATAATTCTCAGAGGCTTTGGAAGAGACTGCTAACAAAAGACTTCATGGCAGTCCCCCCATCCATAAGAATCTACAGTGGAGAAGGCATGTCCCCTCCAGGACAGCTCTTAGTACAAAAGTATATTCCAAAGAAGACAGAAGAGTGTGGATGAGTAGAATCATGAAGGGGAAGTACTGGAGACGAAACAGGGAAGTGAAATATACTAGGATGTCCAAGTGGAGCCAAACATGACTTGCATTTTTGTGTAACTAGTGAAACCTTAAAAACCTCCCTGGAATCTCTCTGTATGAGACAGTATTATTAAATTCTCTGTGTGGGTTTGTTTTCTAACTTGGAAAATCTGGATGAGAGTGGGAAATGAGGATAGACCAGGAAAAGAAATTGCTCTCCATTTAGGCCTTAGCACTGGTTTCAAACATCAAAGGGGAGCTGGTTTAGGACTAAAGTAAGAAAGACTATGTGAGCTGCTGACAGTAGCTGGGATGTTGCTCAGGAACAAGACCACGCAATGCAACAGAACAGAAAACAGTTATCTTGATGGAGATTCCCCTCAATAGCTCTTAGAACACAGGGGAAAAAGCACTCTGTGCATAAACAATGTTTGTACTTATGTTTGTGCAATGTTGTCCTTATGTTCCAGTTCAGGCAATACTGAAATCCCTTTAAGTGGATTTCAGGGTAGCAGATGTCAACATGATGCTAAAACAGGAACACAAAGAAGGTCCTCCATAGGATTACACATGACAGGCTGTTTTCAGAGGAATTCCCAGAAGTCCTAAGAAGACCTGGAAGAGACTGAAAGTCTCACATGATCAGATGGATAACTGACACTAACAGGTCATTTATAATATTAGGCTTTACAAGAGTTGGTTCTTCTTTCCATTTCTGATTTATTGATGTAGTTTGTTTGGGGACAACCACACAATGATGATGCCTCCAAGGTGTCTAGTGTGGTATCATGGGATGGAGCTTGCAACTAATTATAAGCCCCCAGATTCCTCCTATTATCTGACCTATAACTGGCACTACAATTCATCTCCTAACTCTAGAGTTATACTAACTCCTTTCTTACCACCTACATGCAGTTATCAAATTTAGTTATTTTATTTGTTTTATTTTTAACTTATGGACACATAATGTGTGTGTGTGTGTGTGTGTGTGTCTGTGTATGGTGTACATGAGGCATTTTGATACAGGCATATAATGGATAATAATCACATCAAGATAAATGGGATATCCATCACCTCAAGCACTTATCTTTTGTGTTACAAACAATCCACTTATACTCTTTTAGTTATTTTTAAGTGTGCAATGGAATTATTAGTGAGCTATATAGTAGAACTATCAAATACTACATCTTATTAATTCTTTCTAACAATTTTCTGTGCTCACTAACCATTCTCACTTCCCCCTGCCACCCCCTACCGCCACTACTCTTCTCAGCCTCTGGTAAGCATCATTCTACTCTCTGTCTCCATGAGTTCAATTGTTTTAATTTTTAGCTCCCACAAGTAAGTCAAAACATGCAAAGTTTGTCTTTTCTATTTCTGTGAAGAATGCCATTGGGTTTTTGTAATAGGAATTGCAATAAACATGTAGACTTCTTTGGATAGTATAGTCATTTTAACAATATTGATTCTCCAAACTCATGAACATAGAGTATCTTTCCATTTATTAGTGAATTCTTCAAATTTTTTTATTAGTGTTGTATAGTTTTTATTGTAGAGATGTTTCACTTTTTTGGTTAATTCCTAGGTATTTAATTTTATTTTTAGCTATTGTAAATGGGATTACTTTTTAAATTTCTTTCTCAGATTATTTGCATTGGCATATAAAAATGCTACTGATTGCCATAAAAAAGGATGAGTTCATGTCCTTTGTAGGGACATGGATGAAGCTGGAAACCATCATTCTCAGCAAACTATCGCAAGGACAAAAAACCAAACACCACATGTTCTCACTCATAGGTGGGAATTGAACAATGAGATCACTTGGACACAGGAAGGGGAACATCACACACCGGGGCCTGTTGTGAGGTCGGGGGAGGGGGAAGGGATAGCATTAGGAGATATACCTAATGTAAATGACGAGTTAATGGGTGCAGCACACCAACATGGCACATATATACATATGTAACAAACCTGCACATTGTGCACATGTACCCTTGAACTTAAAGTATAATTTAAAAAAATTAGATTCCAAAAAAAATGCTATTGATTTTTGTATGATTGTGTATGCTGCAACTTTACTGAATTTGTCAGTTCTAACAGGTTTTTGGTGAAGTCTTTAGGTTCTTCCAAATATAAGATCATATCACCTATAAACAGAGGTAATTTGACGTCTTCTGAATTTTGGATGCCCTTTCTTTCTCATCCGATTTCTCTAGTTAGGACTTCCAGTACTATGTTGATTAACAATGTCCAAAGTGGGCATCCTTGTGGTGTTCTATATTATAGAGGAAAGGCTTTCAGTTTTTCTCCATTCAGTACTGTGGGAGATTGATCAGAGTGGTGGGAGAAATTATAGGAATAGAAGCAAACCTTCTTGGAAGGCCAGGGGGTTTTGCAAAATCTTTGAAAGATAACTTGGCTGAAGGCAGCCAGATTCTCTTTTCAGGAGCCTGACAGCTTAGGGTGTAGATACAAAGAAATGTAGAGGAGTTTACCTAAATAGCTTGTTTACTCATATTGTCCTAAAACTGACCTTTGATCATTCGCGTGCAGAACTGCTCTCTACTTGGAGGGTCAGCAATATTATTTACCTACAAAGAGTGTTGACTCAAGCCTTTGTCATTAAATCTGTACTAAATAAATGCCCATAGCACCAGCTAGTCAGGGCCGTGGCTGCTACAACTCTTCCTGTGAACGGCCTGGTCCCCTAGCCCACCCTTTCACTGGATACCTGTGCCTGAGTACATTCTGCCATCCGTCGTTCAGCCAGGGTCTGCGGGTCGGACCCGGTAGGTGGTGCCCCATGAGAGGAATGCTGCAACAAATTGTGATGGAACCCTCAAAAACAAAGGTGAAGAAGACTGTGCAGTCAGTAATCAGCAAATCATTGGTGCCCGCTCGGGATTTCCAAGTTCGAGGGAATTGTTCAGGCTAGGGTTTCATCATGGGACAATAGTTATCAGCTCAACAGAAACAGTATTTAAAAGTATTGAAACAGCTGCTAAAGCTAGTGGAGCCTCGCTTTCACAGTCTCAATTAAAGGACCTAATCCAAACTTTTGTATCCCATAACCCATAGCTCCCTGAAGAAGGTATGCTAGACATACAGCTCTGGGAACAAGTGAGGAGAAATCTTAAACAACATCACATGCAAGGGCAATGGGTCCCAGTAACATCTTTAATGTTATGGACTTAAATTAGGGCAGTTTTGGTCCTGTTATACACAGAAGAGCCTAAGAAGGGGAGGGAGGAAGAACCTACCTTACTGCCTCCTTAACCCTCAGCCCTGCTATCACCAGGCCAAAATCACAAAGAGGAGATGGAGGTTTTGCCTGAGCCCCCTCGTCTAGTAAATTAGAAAAAAGACATGGGATAGGCTACAGCTATGGGACCCTGTCTTAGGCAAGTGGCATTAGAAGGGGAGCTCTTCGTCTGCCCAGTTATGCTAGATCAATAAGGCAAACAGATAAAAAGGGGCATTAGAGAAGATGAAGCCACTAGCCCATTTACAAGAGGGTTAATTGAGGTCACTCTGCAGACCTCTTTCTGATAATGGCCACCGTTATTTCTCCCCTACCCCTGATGTGGCTCTCTTAAAATCCTATTTGAGTAAAACAGTGGCCTTTAAAGGGAGAGAAATTACAAAGAGCCCATGAATTAGTTGAGGAGCAATTAAAAGTCGGCCATATAGAACTGTCAAACAGCCCTGGGAATTTGCCCATTTTCGTCATTCCCAAAAAGTCTGGTAAATGGAGACTTTTGCATGACTTACACGCTATTAATGCTAATTTGCAAACTATGGGGCCCCTTCAGCAGGGGCTCCCCTCCCCTACGGCGATTCCTCAAGACTGGTCTATAATCATTATTGACTTAAAAGACTGCTTTTATACTATTCCACTTGCAAAGCAAGACAGAGAAAAATTTGCATTTACAATACCAGCTATCAATAATGAAAGGCCAGCTTGCCAATTTCACTGGAAAGTGCTTCCTCAAGGAATGCTGTACAGTCCTACCATGTGTCAGTATCATGTAAATCAGGCTTTGCTCCCCAGTAAAAAAAAAAAAAAAAAAATCCTAATTGCAAGATTATTCATTTTATGGATATTTTACTAGCAACCCCAATGCAGCCAATGCTTTTAAGTTTATGTACGTCTGTCATGAAGAATACACAGTTAAGAGGTTTAATCATAGCACCTGAAAAACTACAAATGTCCTCTCCTTGGAAATATTTTGGATACATACTAACTTTCCAGTCAGTAAGACCTCAAAAGGTTAAATTAAATACTAGCAACTTACACACCTTAAATGATTATCAGAAATTACTAGGCAATATTAACTGACTTCATCCCACCTTGGGCATAACTACTGATACAGAACCTCTTTTTTATCTTAAAGGGCAATACAGCCCTAGACTCTCCTAGATATTTAACTCCTGCAACACAAAGGGAAATGGAAGAGATAGAACAAGCTATCTCTCAAAGGCAACTAGAACACATTGACCCATGGTATTCAGTACAATTATTTATGTTTCCTACCAAACACTCCGCTACAGGGTTAATAGGACAGATGGCCCCAGAGCTATGCTTTCTAGAATGGGTTTTTTGTTCACATACCGGGACTAAGACACTCTCTCCCCATATCCAGTTCGTCAGTAAAGTCATCTATTCAGGCTGCAGAAGATGCAATCAGTTGCTAGGTTATGACCCTGATATCATCAGGATTCCTTTAAGTAAAAGGCAATTTGAAGCAGTATTGCCCTTATCTGTGGACCTGCAAATAGCACTCTCTGATTACACAGGTCATATAGAGCATGCCCTTCCTGCTGACAAACTCCTTCAGTTCTTATCTCACACTTTTGTGGTTTTGCCTAAAAAAAAATTCAATCCCCCATACCTAACGGCTTTAACACTGTTTACTGATGGCTCGCTTAAACATGGAAAAGTGGCTGTCTGGTGGAGGCCACAGAATTTCCTCACTGGTTCCGGATTTACTAACATTCAAAGAGCTGAGGTTGGAGCCTTAATATTGGCTCTGGAGACTTTTTCCACTCAGCCCATCAATATTGTTAGTGACTCTGCTTACTCTGTTTATATTTTGCAGAACCTTGAGACAGCCCTCATTAAGTCCACTCTGGAGCCCACCCTATGTGCTCTTTTTCTCTGACTTCAGCATTTGCTAGATCAACATACACATCCTATTTTTATCAGACATATTCAAGCCCACAGCTCACGGCCTGGCCCAGTGGCTTATGGCAATGATCAAGCAGACCTACAGGTTATGACATCACTGCTTGACCAAGCCACCCAATCGCATCAATTTTCCACCAAAACTGGAGAAACTTATCTAAACAATTTCAACTTACCCAGAGACTAGCTAAACAAATCATCCTGCAATGCCCAGATTGCCAGCTTACAGGCACATCCCCCCCCTTCAACAGGTGTTAACCCTAGTGGACTGGAACCTAATCAGTTATGGCAAACAGATGTTACTCACATCCCTGAATTTGGAAAACTTAGATATGTACATGTATCCATTGATACCAATTCTCACTTAATCAGCACCCATGCTTTGCCTGGAGAATCCACCTGATATGTTGTTAAACATCTTCTTTTAACTTTTGCATTTATGGGGTGGCCCACAAAAATTAAAACTCATAATGATCCAGCTTATGCCAGCTCACAATTTTAACAATTTTGTCACACGTGGAACATCCAACATTCCACAGGCATCACATATAACCCCCAAGGACAGGCCATACAACGTGTCCATTCCACTCTTAAAAACATCCTCAAAAAACAAAAATGGGGGAATATGAGTAAGGACCCTGCAACACTATTGGCACAAGCCTTATTTACCCTTAATTTTTAAAATGTAGATGATAAATTTCAATTAGCTGTAGAAAAGTACTTTGCTAAAACCTTTCAAGACATAAAACCCACAGTTTTATGGAAAGATGTAAACAGTAATGTATGGTGTGGTCCAAATGAATGCTTAACATGGGAAAGAGAATATGCTTGTGTTCACAACCCCTCAGGTCCTCTTTGGATTCCAGCACGATGCATCAAACCATACCATGGTGTGGCTAGGACCCAACCTGGTACCAGAAATGAAGAAAATGACCCTATGGGACCCATAGCCCCAGACGATGTGGCTTCCTCAGATGACACAAGCCCCAGACATCACCTGATGGATGCTGAAGAAGACAACTCAAAAGGCCCAACACATCCTGCTCTAGATACAGACACCGTTTACTCCAGATAACATGTTCCTTTTTATGCTCATTTTGCCTGCTACCTGTACCTACACTTTATTAAGCCCATCTTCTAAATCCACCTTTTTTCAGCCCTGTTACTTAGGCAAACACCCGCTCCCAGCAACTGACAACGTGACTGCTTGGCTAAGAGGAATTAACATACCCCCAGTGGGGTTCCTCAGCAACAGCCATATGAAAGGATATGCAAAAACATCTCTCTTGGATAGACCTCCCACTCCTAGGGGTCACTCCTCAATTGGAAAAGAATGTTGCTAATTATACTCATGTTTGTTTTATGTTACTTAATAATTCTAGGATGCAAAGCCAGAGTACAAGTTATAACCGCTGTACCTGACAAGCCTGTTGCTGCACACATTTGCACTCTTCAATCAACAAAGCCTAATGCAGAAAAACAGAAAAGGGGGAGATGTGGGAGATCATTCACGGTAGTGGGAGAAATTACAGGAATAGAAGCAAACCTTCTTGAAGGGCTGGGTGTGGGTTGCAAAAGCTTTGAAAGATAATTTGGCTGAAGGCTAAATAGTTTGCTTACTCATGTTGTCCTAAAACCAACCTTTGATCATTCATGCACAGGATTGCTCTTTACCTAGGGGGGTTGGCAATATTATTTACCCACAAAGAATGTTGACTCAAGCCTTTGTCATTAAATCTGTACTAAATAAATGCTCACAACACCAGCTAGTTGGGGCTGTGGCTGCTACAACTCTTTCTGTGAACGGCCTGGTCCCCTATGCCACCCTTTCACTAGATACCTCTGTCTGAGTGCATTCTGTCATCCATCATTCAGCCAGGGTCTGTAGGTTGGACCCAGCACAGTATCATACTAGCTGTGGGTATCTGGGCTTTTATTGTGTCGAGGTATACTCAGTTTGACAATTTTTTATTATGAAAGGATATTGAATTTTATCAATGCTTTTTCAGCATCAATTGAAATGATCATAAGGCTTTTGTCCTTCAGTCTGTTGATATCATGTATCACAGTGATTGATTTGCATATGTTGAATCATCCTTGCATCCCTGGGATAAATTCTACTTGGTCATGATGAATGATCTTTTTAATGTGTTGTTAAATTTGGTTTGCTAGTATTTTGTTGAGGATTTTTGCATCAATGATCATCAGGGATATTGGCACATAGTTTTGTTGGGATTTTTTATGCATCTGTCTGGTTTCAGTATCAGGGTGATGCTGGCCTCGTAGAATGAGTTTGGCAGTAATTCCTCCTCCTCTATTTTTTGGAATAGTTTCAGTATGATTGTTATGAATTTTTTAAATATTTGGTAAAATTCAAGAGTGAAGACATTGGGTCATGGGTTTTTCTATGCTGGGAGACTTTATACTACAACTTCAATCTTGTTACTTGTTATTGGTCTATTCAGGTTTTGGTTTTTTTATGGTTGAGTCTATGCAGGTTATATGTGACTGGGAATTTATCTGTTTCTTCTAGGTCTTCCCATTTATTGACATAAATGCCAATTGGCATATAGCAGAGCAGCTCTATAATGATTCTTTAGAATTGCTCAGAGCAGCCTCTAATTATTCTTTGAATTTCTGCAGTATTGATTGTAATATCTTCTTTTTTCATCTATGATTTTGTCTTTTTAGTTAGCTTGATTAAAGGCTTGTCAATTTTATCTCTTCCAAAAAACAATTTTTTGTTTCACTGATCTTTTGTATTGTTTCCTTCATTTCAATTTCATTTATTTCTACTCTAATCTTTATTATTTCTTTTCTTCAGCTAACATTGGGTTTGGTTTGCTCTCGCTTTTTAGTTCTTTAACTGCATTATTAAGTTGTTTATTTGAAGTTTTTCTCCTTTTTTGATGTAGAAACTTATAGCTTTTGAATGTTTTAAGACTTGTTGGGTGGCCTAATATATGCCTATCCCTGAGAATGATCCATATGGTCTGGAAAAGCATATGTATTCTGTAGCTGTTGAGTGAAATGTTCTGTAAATATCTTTCAGGTCCATTTGGTCTATAGTGTAGATTAAGTCTGATTTTTTTGTTGATTTTCTGTCTAGGTGATCCATCCAATGCTGAAATTGGGGTGTTGAAACCTTCAGCTTTTACTGTATTGGGGTCTACTTGTCTTTAGCTCTAACAATATTTGCTTTATATATCTGGGTGTTCCAGTGTTGAATGTGAACATATTTACAATTGTTATCCCCTCTTGCTGAATTGACCCCTTTCTCATTATATAATAATACTCTTTGTGTCTTTTTATATTTCTTTTCTTGAAATCTATTTTGTTTGATATATATATTGCTACTCCTGCTCTTTTGTGGTTTCTATTTGCATGGAATGTGTTTTTTCATTCCTTTATTTTCAGTCTATGTGTGTCTTTATAGGTCAAGTTTGTTTCATGTAGGCAGCAGATCATTGGGTATTGTTTTTTCATCCATTCAGCCATTCTATTTCTTTTGATGGTAGAGTTTAGTCTATTTATATTTAATGTTATTATTGGTAAGTAAGGACTTACTTCTGCCATTTTGTTGTTTGTTTTCTGGTTGCTCTGTGGTTATTATCTTCTTTCTTTCCTTCCTTCCTGTCTTCTTTTTAGTGAAAGTTATTTTCCTGATAATATCATTCAATTTCTTGCTTTTTATTTTTTGTGTATTTGTTGTATGTTTTTAGATTTTATGATACCACGAGGCTGGCAAATAATGTCTTGTAACTCATTATTTTAAATGGGTAACACTGATTGCATAAACAAACAAACAAGCCAAGGGAAAACTAATAAAAAAAACTCTACACTTTAACTTTGTCCCCCTGTTTAACATTTTATTGTTTCTATTTATAACTTAGTGTACTATGTCTTGAAAACATGTTTTAGTTATGTTTGATCAGTCTGTCTTTTAATCTTTCTACTTAAGATATGAGTAACTTACAAACCACAATTACAGTTTTATACTATTTCATGTTTTTCTATGTACTTACCAATACCAGTGAGTTTTGTACCTTTAGATGATTTGCTGTTACTTGGTAACATCCTTTTCATTGACAGTTAAGAACTCCCATTAGCCTTTCTTGTAGGACAAGTCTGGTGTTGATTAAATTCCTCAGCTTTGATTTGTCTGAGAAAGTCTTTATTTCTCATTATTTTTTTCCAGATATACTCTTCCAAGGAAAAGGGTTTTTTCCTCAGTACTTTATGTATGTCGTGCCAGTGTCTCCTGGCCTGTAGGATTTCCACTGAAAAGTCTGCTGCCAGACATATTGGAGCTCCATTGTATGTTTTCTCTGGCTGTTTTTTTTAATTCTTTTTTTATCCTTGACTTTTGGGAGTTAGATTATTAGATGCTTTGAGGTAATCTTTGGGTTAAGTCTGCCTGGAGTTATATAATCTTCCTGTACCTGAATATTGATATCTCTTTCTCTAGGTTTGGGAAGTTCTGTTATTATTCCTTTGAATAAACTTTCTATGCCTATGTCTTCCTCTACCTCCTCTTTAAGGCCAATAACTCAGATTTGCCCTTTTGAGGCTTAGATCCTGTAGGCGTGCTTCATTCTTTTTTGATTCTTTTTTCATTTGTCTCCTCTGTCTATTTTCAAATAGCCTGTCTTTAAGCTCACTAATTCTTTCTTCTGTTTGATCAATTCTGTTTTTAAGAGACTCCGGATGCATTCTTCAGTATGTCAATCATATTTTTCAGCTCCAGAATTTCTGCTTAATTCTTTTCATTTCATTCTCTTTGTTAAGTTTATCTGATGGGATTCTGAATTTCTTCTATGTTATTTTGAATTTCATTGACATTGCTCAAAACAGCTATTTTAAAGTCTCTATCTGAAAGGGCACATATACCTATCTAAGACTGGTCCCGGCTGCCTTGTTTAGCTCATTTTGCGAGGTCATGTTTTTCTGGATGATCTGGATGCTTGTGGATGTGGCATTCAAGAGTTAAGTATTTATTTTAGTCTTCACAGTCTGTGCTTCTTTATACCTACTCTTCTTGGGGAGGCGTTCCAGGTATTCTCAGGGACTTGGGAGTTGTTATCTAAGTTTTTGGTCACTTCCACCTCATCTGCATTAAATGGGGACACCCCTAGACCAGTAATGCTATGCCTCTTGCAGACTCATAGAGGTATTTTCTTGGTAGTCTTGAATAAAATCCAGAAGAGTTCTCTGGATTACCACACAGAAACTCTTTTTTCTCCTCCCTTACTGTCTCCCAAACAAATGGAGTCTCTAAGTGCTGAGATGCCTGGACCTGCAAAAGTGGTGACACAAGCCCTCCTATGGCCACTACCACTGGACTGCACTGGGTGAGACCTGAAGCCAGAATGGTACTAAGTCACACCCCAGGCCTGGTGTATTCACTGCCTACCTACTGCCTATGTTTGCTCACAGACCTAGGGCTCTACAATCAGCTGTGGCAAAGCCAACCAGGCTTCTATTCTTCTGTTCAAGGCAGCAAGTTCCCCCTGGTTTTGGGCAGGTCCAGAAATGCTGTTCCAGAGCCAAGGCCTAGAGTCAGAAACATTAAGAATCTACCTGGTGCTTTACTGCAGCTGAGCTAACACCCAAACCACAAGATAAAGTTCTTCCCAATCCTCCTTTCCCTTTACACAAGCAGAGGAGTCTCTCCCCATCTCCTTCACTGCCCCAGGTCCACAGCAAGTATCATCTGGCTACAGCCAACATTCATTCAAGGCCCAAGGGCTCTTCACTCAGCTTGTGGTCAATGTTGCAAAGCCTGGGACACGTCCTTCAGGGCAGTGAGCTCCTCTTTGGCCCAGGGTACATCCAGAAATGCTATCCAAGACTCAAGGCCTGGAATCAGAAACCTCAAGAGGCTGCTTCTTGCTCTACCTCACTGTGACCAAGCTGGTACCTAAGCTGCAAGACAAAGTCCCCTTTGTCTTTCTCAAATAGGAGTCCCTGTTCTTTGCCACCACAGCTGGCAATGTGCTAGGTTACACCTGAAGGCTGCACATCTGAGTTTTACCCATGGCCCACAGTAAGAACTACTTGAATACTGCTGGTAATTACTCAGGGCCCAAGAGCTCTTCAGTCAGCAGGTGATGAATCCTGCCAGGACTGGGTCCTTCCCTTTAAGACAGTGAGTTTTCTTCTGGCCTAAATTATGTCTGGATATGTTGTCCAGGAACTAGGTCCTGGAATGGAGGCCTTAGAATTCTGCCTGGTGCCCTATCCTATAGTGTCTGAGTTGGTATCCAACTTGCAAGACAAAGTCTTCTTTACTCTTCCCTCTCCTCTCATGTGGAAGAAAGGAGCCTCTCTTAGAGCTGTAAGCTGCACTGTGCTGTGCTGCACTGCACTGCCCAGGGTTAGAGAAGGTGTGATGCAAGCACTCCTTGGATTGTCCCACCTGGTGTCTCACTAGGTCACTTGCCCCCCAAGTCCACTGGCTCCAATCCCAGAACAGTATCAGGACTTGTGCAGAAACTGCCATACTTGTGGCCTTTCAAGTTTATTTAGAACCATAGAGCACTTTAGTCCACTGTGGCATGGCCTGCCAGATCTCAGTTCTGACCACTGGGATGGGCTATTCCTCTCTGGCTAGGGCTCGTATAATTACTCCTTCCATGACCACCAGCAAAGTTCTGCTTGGTATTGCTTTCCACTGTAAGAGCACAGCACTGTTTCTATTCATAGTCCTGGAAATCACTGTGCTCTCCATCCCCTAAGCAGACACATTCTCCATGCCACCTGGCCACTGCCAAAGTATAGGGTATGGATGGCATCAGCAAGTCAAGACTGTCTTTTCTACCCTCTTCAGTGCCTCTTTCAGTGATATTAAGTTAAAACCAGATGCTGTGATTCCTCACCTGGTTTTTGGTTCATATGAAGGTGCTTTTCTTTGTGTGGACAATTGGTAGAGGCTTGTCTTTGGCCATCTTGTTCTACCTCCTCCTTGGTTTCTTTTTACGTAACTGTCAAGATCCTCCCATCCTCTAAGTCTCACTCATCACTTCTTACAGTAGTCCATTGATCTCCTAGTTGGTTTCTCTATCTCAAGCATAATATCTACATTTCATCTTTCACTTTGTTGCCAGAGATATCATTCTTCTCTTTAAAATCTTTTGGAGATACCTAGTTGTCTTTAGAATAAAATTCAAATTACTCAGTGTAACTATGTTCTAGCTCCTACCTACATTTCCAGTATTAAATCCAGGTTTATCTTCTTGCACTGTGCTCTCTTACATGTATGCGCCTTTTACTCCTGCTGCTCACCTTTGCCTACCCCTTGCCTCACCCTCCCAACTCCAACTGTTCAGTCAAACCTCACTCATATGCTTACCCACCCAAGGAAAACTAGTCTAACTCCATATCTTGGGTAAAGGCACCATCTTTGTGCTTCTAGAAGATCCATCTGTGGCTTCATCTATCTTATATTACATGTTGGCACTACCTTGTCTATGTTCCCACCAGAGAGAATGCATTTTTGGGGGCAGATTCTATGCTCTGCACCTCTAAACTTTTAGTACATACAGCAGAATCTGGCATACAATACACATTTTCTAAAGTTGAGAAAACAAAACAGTGATTGAAGGAATGAATGCATAAATGTCATGACTTTCCAATTCATCATGAGTAAACTAGGATTAACAATCTGTTTCACAACATCCTTCTAACAATCAAATATGATAATTTTTAAACATTTTGTTGGAAGTTAAAATGCCAAAGAATCAGTTATTATTAATAAAAAGTAATGATTACTATTATACGTATAACTGTCAATTTTCTTGGCCCCTGGCCCTTCTACTCCACCTTCTCTGCCAGTCTCCAGCTTTTAAGTCCCACTGTCCTTTTCCTCTGCTTCTATTTCTCTCCTATACAGTCCTACTGGAAAAAAAACTTCATAAACAAACTGATTAGCTCCATTATAAATTTGTGATCTCCAAACTCAGCTGGATTCTCAATGCTTGTCAGCATTAATCTTTAATTAATTCCTTTTCCATTCCAAATAGCAGCTGTTAAAACATTTACCATCCTCTAATCCCATCCCTCATCCTCGATGAATAACCAAGATTCAAAATTCACCAAGACATTAATTTGATCAACTGTCATCTCCTCAACATCTAATTTCCAGTATCATTTTTCTTTCATAGTGCTCTGAAATTTAGATCTTTTAATCATTTCCAAACTTAACTCCTCTATTGATTTAATAGAAATATTTTAGCTAATTTTTTCTACTCCTAGATATATGTGCTGACACACGTCAGCTGGTATGTAAATTGAAAAAAAAATGTAAAATCTTCATTGAAACCCATTCTCCAATCAAATCAGGATGGATGCTTTCAGCTGAAACTAAAAAAAGAAAAAGTCAACTCAAACTAGCTTATACAATTTTTAAACATCTAATTCATTAAAGGGGAAGTCTATAAGTAGGACAAGATTTAGAAATGGTTGATCTTGCATTTTATTCACATCACCCAAGATGTACATTCTTTCTGTTTCTCCACTATCATGCACAGCTTCATCTTCATTCTGGTTCCCTTGTGATTATAAGTCATTAAGTTGGGGCTAATTGGTTCCTAATTTATACATGATGGAAGAAAAACCAACTTCTTATGAGGCTGTCTGAAGAAGAAAACCTTCGCAGAAGCCTCAGTAAACTTTTCCTCATATCTCATTACATCACATGTCCCGTTCTAAACCAGTTATTAGCAAGAGGGATAAAAATACTTTCACATCATTTGAACCCACCACTACAGCTGAGCACAATTTTCAAACCGCATTAGGAATGGTAGAGATGCCATCGAGGAGCCAACCACCATATCCATTATGCCATCCAAGCTGCTCTCTCGCACACTTGGGCATTCCACCTGTAGCTGGTCCCTTGTGGTTTGGTAAATAAGATTTCCTCCCGTGTCACCAGGTTTCCGCTCTTCTTCACTTGAGATACACCTTTCACAAAGCCCTGAAGAGGAATATAGCACCAATGCCATAATGCCAATATCTTCTAGAACAACGAGAATTCTCTGCTAAGATAGGTAAATTCTAAAGCCACAAACCTGTATTCTCTTCAGT
Organism: Homo sapiens; assembly: GCF_000001405.40. Lineage (NCBI taxonomy): Eukaryota > Metazoa > Chordata > Mammalia > Primates > Hominidae > Homo > Homo sapiens. Next base: position 54,898,757 of record NC_000015.10, read on the forward strand.
CATCTTTACACCTGAATATTCCTGTACTCCATGCACAAGTACAGCAAGTAGGGCCATCTCCTCAATCCTGGGTTGTGCTTTTCCAACTGAAAATCTCATTCCCACAGCCAGTATGGGTCTCTCTGGGAACCCAACCTGGGCCAGACAACAGACAAAATACTGTCCTTATTCAGCTTATCTCCCAAGCAGTCTTATTTGAATTTCTTGCTTCTTCAGACACAAATTTTTCATGCAAATATCTCATGCAAATAGACTCCATTTCAGCCTCTTCACTAGTGTTCTCTTTAACTGCTCAAACTTACCTGTGCCACAATAGTGGACAAGGCCTAGGGAAACTAGCAGGTAGTAATGGGATATGATAAGCTTTGGAGTTAGAGAACTTCTGGTGCAAATATACACTCTACAATGTTTTTATCTCAGCTTTAGTTTTCTTACCTGAAAAACTGGATTAATAGCTAACTTCACATAATTCAGTCATTTTGGGTAAGTTACTTTACCTCTTTTGGTCTGCAATTTTCTCTACTGTGAAATGTGGTTTATAGGGCCCATAGCTGCATGAGTATCAAATAAGATAGTGAACAAATATCTAAAAGGATTCTTGACTTATAGTAAGTCATCCATAAGTGTTTTCTCCCCAATTCGTTTTATCCTTCAGTTGGGTAGGAATGTGGTAGGGGTGATGTAATAATAGTAAGTTATGGGGTGACTATGTACTAGGCACTGTGCTAAACTCTTTATACTCCTTATCTTAGTCTTAGCAAGAGCGGCCCATCTTGTTATTAAATGTCCTCTATTTTAGATGAGAAAACTGAGGCCAAGAAGGGACATGGTTACACATCTATAAGTGACAGAGCCAAGATTGAAATCTAGGGCTCTCTGATTCTGATGTTTGTACTCTTAGCTACTACAACATCAGCCTCACTAGCATGGCTTCATGTGGGACAAGGCAGGTAAGATAAAATAATGGCAACACTGGGACTCTTATGCGAATGTATTAAAAAAAAAGAAAATTTGGCTTGTCAAAAAATAAGAAAATACCCCCTCAGTGGACCTTGTCCCTGAGAAAGGAATTGGAGTTTTGCATTTAACCTTCTCTCTCTATTGCTTTGACCAACTGTTCTTGATCTATCTGCCTGAATATTTCCTTTCTGAATTCTCTTATCAAGTTGTGCAACTTAAATAAGTTACAATGTCTCTGCGTTTTATCTCTTCATCACTAACATTGGATATCAACAGTATTTTTCTCATAGATGATAGGATAACATATTTGTAAAGCACTTCACCCAGTGTGTAGTAAGTTCTCAAAAACAACTATTGTTATTCTTGAATCATATGTCAATGTCACCTGAGGTAACCAGGTGTCTTAAAAATCTAGCTAAGACTAGCATGAACTTCCATTTTTACATTAGTAAAAAGTCTCATGACCTCCCCAATATTTGTGCAAACTCCTAGAAAATCAGGGAGTGCTTACATTCTTGTTACATCTGGCTCTAAGAGCTCCTGAACTACTGTAGCGTACAGATTGTTTTGCTGTCCTCTGTACGCTATTCTTATTTCTAATTCCACCTTCTAGACATGAGACTCAGTTCCTTAAACTGTTTAACATTCATCCTCTCTCTCTCACACATACACACACACACACACACACACACACACAGCATGCACCTGCATCACTTTGCAAGTCTTTTCTGTGTGAATACCACATAGGATTTATATGAAGCAAACTGAACTTAAAAAGTCAGGAAACAATAGATGCTGGCGAGTCTGTGGAGAAATAGGAAGGCTTTTACACTGTTGGTGGGAGTATAAATTAGTTCAACCATTGTGGAAGACAGTGTGGTGATTCCTCAAGGATCTAGAACCAGAAATGCTATTTGACCCAGCAATCCCATTACCCAAAGGATTATAAATAATTCTACTATAAAGACACATGCACACATATGTTTACTGCCATACTATTTACAATAGCAAAGACTTGGAACCAGCCCAAATGCCCATCAATGATAGACTGGATAAAGAAAATGTGCCACATATACACCATGGAATACTATGTAGCCATAAAAAAGAATGAGATCATGTCCTTTGCAGAGACATGGATGAAGCTGGAAGCCATCTTTCTCAGCAAACTAACACAGGAACAGAAAACTAAATGCTGCAAGTTCTCACTCCTAAGTGGGAGTTGAACAATGAGAACACATGAACACAGGGAGGGGAACATCACATACCCAGGCCTGTCAAAGGATGGGGGCAAGGGGAGGGATAGCGTTATGACAAATATCTAATGCATGTGGGGCTTAAAACCTAGATGATGGGTTGACACGTGCAGCAAACCACCATGGCACATGTATACCTATATAACAAACCGGCAAGTTGTACCTATATATTCCAGAACTTAAAATAAAAACAAAAGATAAAAAATAAAATTATCCCTAACTGGAATAGATCCACCAGCCTTCTCTACATAGCACCATTGAAGTTACTGCAGTTCCCAGAGGACCGTGTCTTGCTGATGTATTTTCGAAAGAAAACATCACAATTCGTAGCAGAGGATGAAACAAACAGTACTATGGGAATTGAAAACAATTAGATCAAGAATTTAAAAAATACAAGTCATATGTTTTATAATATCTGCCCTACTGAATGTGTGATCCAAACATATAATCAAATCCTATCATGTCAAACAGAAGTTAGCAACCAAATCATTCAGGTACTTCCAAGCAATGTTAAAATCTGCACTCATAATTTCAAGCTCTCGATTTGAAATATTCAAGAGGTGAGAAGATGAATTAAATGAACCTAAGCATCCACACAAAACAACCTACCCCTGCCTAACTATCTCTACTATCTCATCTTTCTTCATATTCTGTGCCAGCTACTCAATGGCCTTCTACTTTCCCCAATTCCCAATTTTAGCAAACCTCATTATCCAAATCAGTTTCGCTGTCAATCAATATCCCTACCCTGGGACTACCATCTACCCACACAATTTCCATGCTTCTCAAGGCTACTTCCCACCAACCATCATGCTTCCAAGTATACTGAGAATTTTCAAATTCTGGTCTGTTCTTCTTCCCACATGACAAACCCAACTTCTTCCAACTCATTTCTCAATTATTACCAACACAGACTGTCAATCCTCAGGCCATCAGCTTGTTAAGTGATGCCCCAGAGCAGAGCTTACCAAGTTAGCCTTCAGAAGAAGGCAGAAAGAAATTAGCCGGGTGTGGTGGTGCATGCCTGTAGTCCCAGCTACTTGGGAGGCTGAGTCAAGAGAATTGTTTGAACCCGGGAGGCTGAGGTTGCAGTGAGCCGAGATCACATCACTGCACTCCAGCCTGGGTGACAAAGCGAGTCTCCATAAAAAAAAAAAAAAAAAGGCAGAAAGAGCAATTCTATTAAGTAGATGTTAATAAAGGGCAGCAGGAATGAAATTCTTCAGGCTACCAGGGGAAGGACTACAGGACTATTAGTAAATCTGGATTGAGAAACACACCATTCTGCCCATTATTATCCTGTAGGTAGAAACAAAAATGAATCAATGTGCATGCCTACGTGAATGGTCTTGAAGATAGAGATAAATTCATGTGATAAAATGCTTTCTCATTAATCTATTTCATTATTCCTATGGAAATCAGAATTGACAAATAACACTTTGGACCAAAAAAGAAATACTTTACTTAAAAAAACCCACTGTGTTTCCTAGCTCTAATTAAGTCAGTTTAATTGGGAAGAATGTGTCACTAAAGGTCATCTGGCTAGAATTTCTGAACTTTTCTCCAAATTCCACTTATTATCTCCCTTATATGTCTTATGTTCTTCAGTATTTTTTCTAACAAACAAACTAACTGCATTATGCATTAGCGTTAGGATTTTTGAAGTACTAGAAATAGCCTTCAGACATCAATTACTACCTTTGAAGACTCTAGGTTTTCTACCATTGATCTAATCTATCCCCTTCCTCTAGACAAAATATTGCTAGAACAAGACCGTTTCTTACTTCTAAGGATAAAAGGAAATGAGATGAAGCAGAGCTGTCCTGGCCAGCTGTTTAAGCCACTGACTAAAATAACAAGAGCAAGAAGTTGAAAATACCTGGTCTACTTTCTCAAATAAATTGTCCTCCTTTGTCAAAGATCAATAGCTGTAGATATTTGGCTTTATTTCCAGGTTTACTTTTCTGATCAATTGATCTGTGTGTCCTTTTTTAACCAATACCATGCTGTTTTGGTAACTATAGCCGTGTAGTATAATTTTAGGTCAAGTAATCTTGTACCTCAGGCTCTGTTCTTTTTTGCTTAGTATTGCTTTGGCTATTTGAGCTCTTTTTGTTGTTATTGTTCCATGAGAATTTTAGGATTTTTTTTCTAATTCTGTGACAAATGACATTGTATTTTGATAGGGATTGCATTGAATCTGTAGATTGTTTGGGGCACTATGGTCATTTCAATATTAACTCATCCAATCCATGAGCATGAAACATTTTTCCATTTCTTTGCATCATCTTCAGTTTCTTTTATGAGTGTTTTGTAATTTTCCTTGTAGAGATTTTTCACCTCCTTAAATATATTCCTAGATAATTTTTTGTAGCTATTGTAAATGATATTGTCTTCCTGATTTGGTTTTCAGCTTGACTATTATTAGTGTATAGAAATGGTACTGGTTACACTGAGAAAAGTCCACCCTTTTCAATAAATGGTGTTGAAAAAATGTATTGCCATATGCAGAATAATGAAACTGGACCCCTAACTCTCAACATATACAAATGTTCAATTCAAAATGTATTAAAGCCTTAAATTTAAGATCTGAAACTATGAAAATACTATAAAAAACCTAGGGAGATCTCTTCTGGACACTGGGCTAGGCAAAAAGATTATAACTAAGACCTCAAAAGCAAAAGCAACAAAAACAAAAACAGACTAACAGGACTTCATTAAACTAAATAGCTTCTGCACAGCAAAGGAAGTAATAAAGAGTGAAAAGACAACTTGCAGAATGGGAGAAAATATGTGCAAACTATGCATCCAAAAGGGGACTGATATCTAGAATTTACAAGGAACTCAAGCAGCTCAACAATAATTTAAAAACCCATTAAAAATAGATAAAAGACTTGAAGTGGCATTTTTCAAAATAAGACATACAAATGGCCAATAAGCATACAAAAACTGCTCAACATCATTAATCGGAGAAATGTAAACTAAAACCATAATAAGATATCATCTTACATCAATCAGAACGGTTTTTCTTCAACTTTTAAGTTCCAGAGCACATGCGCAGGATGTGCAGGTTTGTTACATAGGTAAACATGTGCCACATTGGTTTGCTGCACAGATCAACCCATCACCTAGGTATCAAGCCCAGCATTCGTTACGTATTATTCCTGATGCTCTCCCTCCCAGCTACAACAGGCCCCAGTGTGTGTTGTTCCCTGCTATGTGTCCATATGTTCTCACTGTTCACCTCCCACTTGTAAGTGAGAAATGTGGTGCTTGGTTTTCTGTTCCTGCATTAGTTTGCTAAGGATAACAGCTTCCAGCCCCAACCACATCCCTGCAAAGGACATGATCTCATTACTTTTTATAGCTGCATAGTATTCCATGGTGTATATATATATCAGTTTCTTTATCTAGTCTATCACTGATGGGCTTTTGGGTTGATTCCATGTCTTTGTTATTGTAAATGGTGCTGCAGTGAACACACACGTGCATGTGTCTTCATAAGAGAATGATTTATATTCCTTCGGGTATAATGCCCAGTGATGAGATTGCTGGGTCAAATGGTATTTCTGCCTCTAGGTCTTTGAGGGATCACCACTCTGTCGTCCAGAAGAGTTGAACTAATTTACATTCTCACTCTGCAACCTCGCCAGCTCTGTTGTTTCTTGACTTTCTAATAATCGCAGAATAGCTATTATTAAAAAGTCAAAAAGATCAGATGTTTGCTGGGACCAATCTAAAAGTCCATCAATGGATGAGTATCTGTTGTGCTATATATACACAATAGAACACTAGTAAGCCTTAAAAAAGAATGAAATCACAGAGTTTTTTACAGTAACATAGATGGAACTAGAGGCCATTATCTTATGTGAAATAACTCAGAAACAAAGTCAAATGCTACATATTCTCAATTACACATGGTAACTAAATAATATGTAGACATGGGCAATGAGTGTGGAATGATAGACATTAGAGACTTGGAAGAGGGGTAGGGAGCAAGGGATGAGAAATTACTTACTGGGTATAATGCACATTATTTGAGTGATGATCACACTAAAAGCCCAGACGTCACCGCTATGCAAGATATTCATGTAACAAAACTGCACTTGTACCCTTAAATTCATATAAATTTTTTTAAAAGTTTCTTCATACACTAGAAAGCACATGTGTCACTCATTGACATCCTGTTTACCTAACAAGTCCAGCAACTTACTTAGAAATATGACTTATTATTGCATGGACTCAAATGTACCTTTGTCAAATCACATTTCCCAAAACCTAACTATGTACAAGAAGGAGCTAATAGAAAGAGCTGAGTTGGCTGGGCACGGTGGCTCACGTCTGTAATCCCAGCACTTTGGGAGGCCGAGGTGGGTGGATCACGAGGTCAGGAGATTGAGACCATCTTGGCTAACCTGGTGAAACCCCATCTCTACTAAAAAATACAAAAAAAAATAGCCAAGCGTGGTGGCGGGCGCCTGTGGTCCCAGCTACTCGGGAAGCTGAGGCAGGAGAATGGCGTGAACCCGGGAGGCGGAGCTTGCAGTGAGCCGAGATCGCACCACTGCACTCCAGCCTGGGCGACAGAGCGAGACTCCGTCTCAAACAAAAAAGAAAAAAGAAAGAGCTGAGTTAGCCTGAAATAAGCGTAACTTTCATCTTCCAACACCAAAAGAATTTTTTGTATTTTTTCTCAAATCTTGCCATTTACTTGTTTGACTATTAAAGTTGGTAGGTATTCTAAAGCACTAATGGTGCAAATGGAGTAAGCTCTCACTGGGTATTAATGAGAATTCTTTTTATAGAAGACAAAAAGTCATTTTAAGTAACTCAAGCACATAGGAGACCACAACCGTTCATGTCATCAAACCCTAAAAACCTAAGTAGTGTTGGCTTTAAGATCAGATGGATCCAAAGACTCACAATGTATTAGGGCTCTCCCTCTTTCCCCCTTTCTTCTTCTGCCCTTCTCCCCTGACGCCTCGCACCACCTTCTCAGCATCTGTGTGCTGGTCTCTTTCTCTCAGGCACAGAACACAGCTGCTGACCACTCTGAAGTCACATACTAGGACCTCACAGTCTAAAGAGTGAAATATTCCTCCCAATTCAGCATGATAAGCCCCACAAAGGACTCTAATTAGACAGGCATGAAGCATGAGTTCATGGCTTAAAAGAGGAGGGGGTTATAGGTTTAGTGTGATTGAAAGGACTTACCAGGGATGACAATTCCTCAAAGGAAAGCATCTTTCTGCTGCTACCAGAAGGATGGGGAGGAGAAGGAGGAAATCTGCTGGGCAGAGGAAAAATCCATCATAACAATTTATTCATCCGTGGCCTCACATCAGGAAAGTCAGGTGTGATTACCTGCACAGTTAACATGAATTTTCCCATGATCTTCCAAAACTGATACACATGCAAAATAAAAATTTAAAATAAAAAAAATTGGTGTCTGTTTGATGACATGAACTGTTGTGGTCCCCTTTGTGCTTAAGTTAAAGAACTTTTTGTCCTCTGCAAAAAGAATTCTGATTAGTACCCAGTGCAAGCTTATTCCATTTGCACAACTAGTACTTTGGAAATATTATTCTTCCTGCTCTGAATGAGCCCATCAATCATTGCACACTTAAAATAGTTTTAATGGCTGGGCATGCTGGCTCATGCCTGTAATTTCAGCTCTTTGGGAGGCCGAGGTGGGAGGACTTCAGGCAAGGAGTTCGAGACAAGCCTAGGCAACATAGCGAGACCCCATCTCTACAAAAAAAAAAAAGAAAAAAAATTAGCCAGGCTTGGTGACCCACACCTATAGTTCCGGGTACTCTGGAGGCTAAGGTGGTAGAACCATTTGAGCATGGGAGGTCAAGACTGCAACAAGCCATGATCATGCCACTGCCCTCCAGCCGGAGCAACAGAGTGAAACTGTGTCTCAAAAAATATGCATACATATTTTCTTAGTTCTTCCTCCGAGCCTAAATAGAATTTCTTTCTAGCACTGGACTTCTTAAATGGGTATCTTGTATTCAGACATCTTCATGAACAAATGCAAAGCTTTAGGCGTATTTTGAATCTAAGAAAAAGAAAAACTGTCCTGAATAGTTCGTCCATAACTTAGTAGATTTTCTCTGCTTTTTCTTAGATGATGTTAGAGAAGCCACAGTTTAACATTCCAAAAGTTTTGGGTTGGTTGTTTTCCTCTAGCGTTTTGAGTTCTAAGAGATTGTGCATCTTTCCACCCATTGTCTGGCAGAAATAGAGAAAGATGGACAGGTACAGAAAGCAGAGCTTCCTGAAATTTGCTAAATATCACACTTACCTTGAGAAAAGTTCTTCTTACAAGGAACATACAAACAGACTCACTTAGAGCACTACCTTCCTCAGCACTGGAATATGGCTCTCAATAATTCTTGATCTCAAAGGCTATTTGCCTTCACCTAACAATTTCTGTAGTTATCTACTTAATGATCAGTTATTTTGAAAACATGCTTTTCATAACCCTAGTTCTTAACACATAAACAACTTTGCATATAATGTATTGAAAGGTCTTATAACCCCTTTTAACAAGGTATAGCTTAAAGAAATAGCAAAATAGTGAGCTGTAATAATTATTTCTAACACCATGATTTTAGGGAATAAAATATACTAATATTCCTCATAAGAATGCAACTCTCAGTCACGCACGGTGGCTCATACCTGAAATCCCCAGCACTTTGGGAGGCCAAGGCGGGCGGATCACCTGAGGTCAGAAGTTTGAGACCAGCCTGACCAACACAGAGAAAGCCCGTCTCCACTAAAAATACAAAATTAGCTGGGCGTGGTGGCGCATGCTTGTAATTCCAGCTACTCGGGAGGATGAGCAGGAGAATGGCTTGAACCCGGGAGGCGGAGTTTGCAGTGAGCTGAGATCGCACCATTGCACTCTAGCCTGAGCAACAAAAGTAAAACTCTGTCCCCCAAAAAAGATAAAAGAAAAAAAAAATCCAACTCTCTTCCACATGCAATTCCTATTTGCATCAGGAATAGTTCCTCTAAAGTGAATTTATATACCTCTAATTATTGGATGAAAGCTTAATCTTTTCTGCAAAAGCACTTCTAAGTTGATTCATGATTTTTTTGTCTACTAGGACTAGAATAAAGGCAGGGGAAATGAATTTTCTAGTATCTGTCACAGAAAGTATCTGTTTATAGAGAGTCCTATAAAACTTCTATTTTAGCAGAACCCTTTGGGATATTCGTGCCCAGTCTCTAAAAACTACCACAAGAATTTGAAGAACTGGTGCTATTTTAAGTGAGAAGTAGGTACCTTCTTAAACCTTTCCCTAAACGACTATACTTAACATATACATACTTGGAAATATAGGGTTTTTTAATGATTTAGCATTTTATTTGATTGTATATACTGTATTTCAGCCCCAGAACAATTGCAGAAAAAAACGCCATTTTAAATGCGTAGAATTGGGCTTGCCAATGACAGCCCAAAGACACTTAATAGAAAAAGATAAACTTGCTTCATAAGATGCAAAAATCAGGCGGGCTCTTGGGATCTCTGATTCCAGGACTTGATTCTTGGATGGCATTTCTGGACCTGCCCTGGGTCAGAGTGGAGCCCACTTCCCTGAAAGGTGGATCAGACCAGACAGCATTCACCACCAGCTGACTTAAGAGACTTTGAGCCTTAAGGGAACATAGCTGTTAGTCTGGAAATACTCCTTGCGGCCCACAGTGGCAGTAGCTATAGGGCAAGGCTCCTGTGCCTTTGGAAAGAGGAGGGAAGAGGAGGAAAAACTGTGTCTTGTGGTTTGAGTTCCAGCTCAACTGCAATATCATAGATCACCGGGTAGACTTCTACAGTTTTTTACTCTAGTCCTTGACTCCCAGACAGCACTACTGGACCTACCTGAGAAAATGGGGACTTCATCACCCTGAAGGGAAGGACAAGGCCTGGCTGGCTTTGCCACCTGCTGATTGTAGAGCCCAGGGCCTTGAGAAAACACAGGCAATAGACAGGGAGTGATTACAGCAGCCTTGGGTGAGACCCAGCACTACACTGGCTTCAGGTCTGACCCCAGTACAGTCATAGTGGTGGTGGCCACAGGGGTGCTTGTGTCACTCAGTCTCCAGCTCTAAGTGGCTCAGAACAAGAGAAAGACTGTAAGTTTGGGAGAAATAAGGGAAGAGAACAAGAGTCTGTGCCTGGTAACCCAGGGAATTCTCAAGGATCTGGTCCAAAGCATCAATGCAGTACCTCTATGAGTCTGCAAGAACCACCGTGTTACTGGGCCTAGGGTGCCCCTAAAGCACAATCAGCTTATATCACAACACTCAAGTCCTTTCAAATATCTGAAAAACTTTTCCAAGAAGGACAGGTACAAATCAGTCCAGACAGTGATACCTAACTCCAATGTCCAGACACTGAAGAACATCTACTAGCATTAACACCATCAAGAAAAACATGACCTCATCAAATGAACTAAATAAGGCAACAGGGAAACAATCCTGGAGAAATAGAGCTATGTAACCTTTCAGAAAGAGAATTTAAAGTAGCTGTGTTGAGGAAACTCAAAGAAATTCAAGATAAGACAGAGAAGAAATTCAGAATCTTATCAGATAAATTTAACAGAGATTGAAATAATTGAAATGAATCAGGCAGAAATTCTAGAGCTGAAAAATACAACTGACATACTGAAGAATGCATCAGTCTATTAATAGCAGAATTGATCAAGAGGAAAGAACTAGTGACCTTGAAGAGAAGCTATTTGAAAACACACAGAGGAGACAAAAGAGAAAAGAATAAAAAACAATGAAACACAACTATGAGATCTAGAAAATAGCCTTAAAAGGGCGAATTTAAGAGTTCTTTGCCTTGAAGAAGAGTTAGAGAAAGAGATAGGGGTAGAATGTTCATTCCAAGTGAGAATAACAGAACTTCCTAAACCTAGAGAAAGATTTCAATATCCAAGTAAGAGAAGGTTATAGAACACCAAGCAGAATTAACCCAAAGAAGACTACCTCAAAGCATTTAATAATCAAACTCCCAAAGGTCAAGGATAAATAAAAGATCCTAAAAGCAGCAAGAGAAAAGCAACAAATACCATACAATGGAGCTGCAATATGTCTGGCAGCAAACTTTTCAGCTGAAAACTCACAGGCTAGAAGAGAGTGACATGATATATTCAAAGTGCTAAAGAAAAATAACTTTTGTGTTACAATAGTATATCCAGCAAAAATATCCTTCAAACATGAATGCAAAATAAAGACTTTCCAAGACAAACAAAAGCTGAGGGATTTCACTAATACCAGACCTGACCAACAAGAAATGCTAAAGGGAATACTTCAATCTCAAAAAAAGGAATGTTAATGAGTGAGAAATCATCTGAAGATACAAAACACACTGGTAATAGTAAGTACACAGAAAAACACAGATTATATCACCGTAGCTGTAGTGTGTAAACTACTCTTATTCTAAGTAGAAAGACTGAACAATAAGCCAATCAAAAATAACTACAACAACTTTTCAAGACATAGTAAAATAAGATATAAATAGAAACAATAAAAAGTTAAAAAGCAGGGAGATGAAGTTAAGGCATAGAGTTTTTATTAGTTTTCTTTTCACTTGTTTATGCAAATAGTGTTAAATATTATCAGTTTAAAATAATGGGTTATAAGATAGTATTTGCAAGCCTCATAGTAACCTCAAACCAAAAAGCATAAAATGGATATACAAAAAATAAAAAGCAAGAAACTAAACATACCACTAGAGAAAAATATCTTCACTAGAGGAAGACAGGAACAACATAAAGAAGGAAGAGAAAACCAGAAAACAAATAACAAAATGGCAAGAGTAAGACCTTGCTTGTCAACAACAACATTGACTGTAAATGGACTAAACTCTCCCATCAAAAGACATAGACTGGCTGAATGAAACAACAAGGCCCATTGATCTGTTGCCTATATGAAACACATTTCACCTATAAAGACACACATAGGCTGAAAATAAAGAGACAGAAAAAGATATTCCATGCCAATGGAAACCAAGGAGCAGGAGTCACTATACTATATCAGACAAAACAGATTTCAAGACAAAAACTGTAAGAAGAGACAAAGAAGGGCACCATATAATGGCAAAGGGGTCAATAAAGCAAGATAATGTAACAATTTTAAATATGTATGTACCCAATAGAGAAGTACCCTGATATATAAAGGAAATATTATTCCATCTAAAGAAAGAGATAGGTCCCAATACAAGAATAGCTGGATATGTCAAAACCTCACTTTCAGCAGTGGACAGACCATCCAGACAGAAAATCAGCAAAGGAATGTCAGACTTAATCTGCATCATAGACAAAATGCATCTAACAGATATTTAGAGAACATTTCATCCAAGAGCTGTAGAATACACATTTCTTTCTCAGCACAAGGATTATTCTCAATGACAGAGCATATGTTATGTTACAGAACAAGTTTTAAAACATTCAAGAAATTGAAATAATATCAATATCAAGCATCTTCTCTGATCACAATAGAATAAAACTAGAAATTAATGACAGGAGCAATTTGTAAACTATGCAAACACATGGATACTAAACAATATGCTCCTGAATGACCAGTGGGTCAATGAATAAATTAAGGAGGAAAAGGAAAAATTGCTTGAAAATAATAATGGAAATGCAACATACCAAAACCTCTGGGATACAGAAAAAGCAGCACTAAGAGGGAAGTTTATAGCTATAACTGCTTACGTCCAAAAAGGGGAAAAACTTCAAATGAATAATATAATAATGCATCTTAAAGAACTAGAAAAGCAAGAGCAAACAAAACCCAAATCATTACAAGAAATGTAGAGCACAGCAGAAATAAATGAAATTGAAATTTAAAAAATAGAAAAGATTAATAAGTTTGCTTTTTGAAAAGTTAAAAAAAATTCACAAACCTTTAGCCAGACTAAGAAAAAAAGAGAGAAGATCCAAATATATCAAGCCTGAGATGAAAAAGGACACATTATAACTGATACTGCAGAAACTCAAAGGAATATTAGTGGCTGCTATAAGCAACTATACACCAATAAACTGGAAAACCTAGAAGAAATGGACAAATTCCTAGATACATATAACCTACCAGGGTTGAACAGGAAGAAATCCAGGGCAGAACAGACCAATAACAGGTAACAAGATTGAAGCCATAATAAAAGCCTCCAAGTAAAAAAACAAAAATAAAAACCTGGGACCCGATGGCTTCACTGCTGAATTCTACCAAACAGAGAACTAATACCAACACTATTCAAACTATTCTGAAAAATAGAGTAGGGAATACTTTCAAACTCATTCTACAAGGCCACTATCACTCTGATACAAAAACCAGACAAAAGCCCATCAAAAAAAGAAAACTAGAGGACAATATCGCTGATAAATATTGATACAAAAATCCTCAACCAAATACTAGCAAACTGAATTTAACAATGCATTAGAAAGATCATTCATCATGACCAAGGGGGATTTATCTTAGCGATGTAAGAATTGTTCAATGTACACCAATCAATCAATGTGATTCATCAAATCAACAGAGTGAGGGAAAGAAACCATATGATCCTTGTCATTGACGCTGTAAAAGCATTTGATAAAATTTCACATCCCTTCATGATGAAAATCCTCAAAACAATGGATATAGAAGGAACATACTTCAACATAAAAAAAGCCATATACAACAGATCCACAGCTAGTATTATACTGAAGGGGAAAAACTGAAAGCCTTTCCTCTAAAATCTGGAACACAACAAGGATGCCAGCTATCATTACTGTTATTCAACATGTTACCAGAAGTCCTAGCTGGAGCAATCAGACAAGACAAAATTATAAAGGACATCCAAATTAGGAAGGTAGAAGTCAAATTATCCTTGTTTGCCGATGATATCATCTTATATTTGGAAAAACCTAAAGACTCCACAAGAAAACTATTAAAGCTGATAAATGCATTCAGTAAAGTTGCAGGATACAGGAATCAACATACAGAAATCAGGAGCATTTCCATATGTGAACAGTAAACAATGTGAAAAAGAAATTTTAAAAGTAATCCCATTTATAATAGCCACACATAAAATTAAATACCTAGTAATAAACTAAACCAAAAAATTGAAAGATCTTTATAATGAAAACTATAAAACGCTGATGAAATAAATGGACGAGGACACCAAAAAATGGAAAAATATTCGATGTTCATGCATTGGAAGAATCCGTATTGTTAAAATGTGCAAATTACCCAAAGCAATCTACAGAGTCAATGCCATTCCTATAAAATAACAATCACATTGTTCACAGAAATAGAAAAACATCCTAAACCTTATATGGAATCACAAAAGACCCAGAATAGCCAAACCTATCCTAAGCAAAAAGAACAGAACTGGAGGAATCAAATTACCTGACAACCAATTTTACTACAGAGCCATATAGTAACCAAAACAGCATGGTGCTGGCATAAAAGCAAACACATAGACCAATGGAACATAATAGAGAACCTGGAAACAAATCCACACACCTACGGTGAACACATTTCTGACAAAGGTGCCAACAACATACACTGGGAAAAAAACAGATTTCAGTAAATAGGGCTGGGAAAACTGGATATTCATATGCAGAAGAATAAAACTTGACTTCTGATCTCTTGCCATATAAAAAAATCAAATAAAAAAATGGATTAAAGACAAATCTAATACCACAAACCATGACACTACTACAACAAAACATTGGGGAAAATCTCCAGGACATTGGTATGGGCAAAAATTTATTCAGTAATACCCCACAAGCACAGGCAACCAAAGCAAAAATAGGCACATGGGATCATATCAAATTAAAAAGCTTCTCCATAGCAAAGAAAACAATCAACAAAGTGAAGAGACAACCTACAGGATGGGAGGAAATACTTGCAACTACCCATCTGATAAGGGACTAATAACCAGAATACATAAAGAGCTCAAATAACTCTATAGGAAAAAAAATCTAATAATTCAATCAATAGATAGGCAAAAGATTTGAATAGACATTTCTCAAAAGAAGACGTACCAATGGCAAACAAGCATATGAAAAGGTGCTCAACATCATTGATCATCAGAGAAACAGAAATCAAAAATACAATGAGGTATCATCTCACCCCACTCAAAATGGCTTATATCCAAAAGACAGGCAATAGGAAACACTGGCATGGATTTAGAGAAAAGGGGACATTTGTTGGTGGGAATGGAAATTAGTACAACCACTATGGAGAACAGTTTGGAGGTTCCTCAAAAAACTAAAAATTGAGTTACCATGTGATCCAGCAATCCCACTCCTAGGTAAATAGCCTAAAGAAAGGAAATCAATATATCAAGGAAATATCTGAACTCCTATGTTTCTTGCAGCTCTGCTTATAATAGCATAGATTTGGAAGTCACCTGTGTCCATCAACAGATGAATGGATAAAGAAAATGTGGTACAGATACACAATAGAGTACTATTCAGCTATAAAAAAGAATAAGATCCAGTCATTTGAAACAATATGGATGAACTGGATATCATTATGTTACATAAAATAAGCCAGTTGCAGAAAAACAAACATCACATGTTCTCACTTATTTGTGGGATCTAAAAATCCTGACAATTTAACTCATGGATTTAGAGAGTAGAAAGATGGTTCCAGAGGCTGAAAAGGGTGATGGGAGACTGGGACAGTAGCTGGGGGTGGTGGGGATGGTTAATGGTTACAAAAAAATAGAATGAACAAGACCTACTATTTGATAGCATAGCAGGGTGACTATAGTCACTAATAACTGTACATTTTAAAATAAAGAGTGTAAGTGGATTGTTTGCAACTCAATAGATAATTGCTTAAGGGAATGGACACCCCATTTTTCATGATGTGCTTATTTCACACTGCATGTGTATATCAAAGAATCTCATGTACTCCATAAAGACACCTACTGTGTAACCACAAAATTTAAAATAATTTTAAAAATTAAAAAATAATCAAATTTATGTTTTTATTTCCAATGTCACTAAAAAAACACATTTGAAGTATATTTAAGAAAAATGTTATAGTAATACCTGTTTTGTCCTTCTTGGTTTATTTATTATATCAAATAGATCTAGAATCATGATTTTCTAGGGGAGTAGGCATGGAACCATGATGGGGTAGGAAAGAAGAGGAGGAGAAAGAGAACAAAAGCTCTTGCTATATCTGGGGAGAGATGGTTTTGAGTTTGATGAATTTACAAAACATTCAGTAATTTCTTAGTGGATCATTTGGTAAGGTACTGAATTAACCAATTATAGCTGTATTTAGACACAATGATCAGGTAAGTTTCCTAAACATAAAATTAATCTCATAATTTAAATAATATTTTAAAGAAATTGAGCCTAAAATTTTACATTTAAGAAGCACAAAAAAATTCCTATACCTGGAACATTTCAACTATAAGGTGTACTTTCCTGGAAAATTACCTTTGCTACAGTAGCTTGTCAAAACAGTGGCCTATAAAAAAGAGTCTAATAAAATGTAGAAAAACACATTATATCAAATCTGCCAAACAAGATTCTCATGAGTTTCTGCTGACTAACCACTCAATATTGCACAAGGTTTTATGCTTACCTCAGCATTTGCACTAAATAAATATAACACAAAAGTGACACCTATTATCAATACTTAAATGCATAGAGGAACAAGTTTAAAAAAAATCTCATTTTCAAAAGCATCAGAATCAGAGAAGATGTGATAAATGTGTGGCCCAAATCTCATATCTTAAAACCAAAATCACAGAAACCCAGAAAATTGTGTTTCCATGGCCCTGAGCCCTCTTAATTCCACTAGCTAATTTTGCTAGGTTTCTGAGTGTGAGTTCTTTATCTTTCCTGCCTTCCTGAAGGCTTAGCGCACCTCAAGTATGACAGTGATGATCTGAAGCCAGTCTGAATACCAGAGTGGCTGTCAGTAGGGATCTGCCCCAATCTGCAACAAAAGAACAGATAGGTGATAAGCCAAATCTCCAGGGCTTGTCCGGAGAGTAGCCAGTTGTAGGCATCCCCAAGCAGAGTAACCCTTGGTCCACAATCTCTCCTTCCCTAGATTCCCTGCCTAATCAGTTGGCTTCTGCCAACGTCCATGGAGGACGTTAGGAAATCGGTGGGCCTTCCAGTCAAATGCCCTATACATACATGCCAAGGATTAAAGGACATCAAACTTGTAAAGGCCCTCTCTGCCTTCTAGCTCAAAGTTTCCCCAGCACTGTGATCTCATATTCTTACAGCCAGGACATCAAAATGTCAGTATTTGTAAAAGTAAGCTTTTTCATATCACGCTGCTGGGATTGTAATGTGGTCCGACCTTTCAAGAGGATGCAAGATATGCAAGCACTTTGACACAGTAATTCCACATTAAGAAATTTATTCTTAGGCCGTTATCAGGGATTTGATCGGAGCCCTATGTAAAGGGCATGATTTGGACTATGATTTAGTAAATCAAAGACTTACAAGTGATTCTAATAAAACTAGAGAAATGGTCAAATAAATTGTACTAGGTCAACAAAATTCAATATTATTAAGCATGAAAAATACACTTCTGAACAATATTTAACATCATGAGTGTTCATAATTCAACTGGAAAAAAATCATCATATAAAATTCAACATATAGAACTGTGCTTTAAGAAACATTTATAAAATGCATGCGCATAAGCTAAAGACTAGAAGAACATACAAATTTTAACATTGTCTACCTCTTCATGATGGAATTCAGTGATTTTTGTCTTTGTGCTTTTTCAGCATTTTCCAAAATATTTTAAATAAACATGAGGAATAACTAACATATATTTTCTTTCAAAATGTATTGAACAAAAACAGAAGTTATTTTAAAATCAAGAAAAAAATGACCATCGGAAAATAAATCACAGTCCAAAATTTCATGCTTTCTCCATAAGTTTTAGATACTGAGAGGCTGTAGTGGAGTGTCTACCTGAATTTGAAGGGAAAATCCAGAAGCTGGGCAGAAAAGGAGGGTGATTCTTCTAACCTCATCAAATCAAGATGTCATAGACTCTGTGATGCTGTTTCCATCACCACCACCTCCCACTTAAGTTCCCTGAGAGCCTCTATGTATCATCTCTCCAATCTCAGCACCCAGAACTTCACAGCATCTATGAATTCTAGAAGAGACTGCTGCTAAAATTACAGTATCAATCACTGCTCTGAGATTACTTTTTCAAGGATAATGTAAGATTGTAAACAGCAACAGAACTTCAATAGCAATACACAGACCCGCCACTTACATAGTTAAAAGTGTAGAGAAGATAATTGTTTACCTATCACAGGATATCTTTGGAACCAGGAATGCATTGAATGCATTGAAATAAAAATCATTTGCCATTGAATACTAGATTACAGCTGTCCAATTAGATTTCTGTGCTGTTGGCCCAACTCCAGAGCCAGAAAAGACCTCAGGAAGCTGAAAACTCCTTAGAGGTACAAGTCTGTATTCAACCAGGAAGTCTGTACTAAGTGATAAAGACTTGTGGCATGTCCATGTAATCACAGTCTAGGGAAGCCCCTTTGGAGGCTCTTGAAAATAGTACTCTCTGAGCTCATGTCCCTTAATCCCCAGCCCGCAGCACAGTTCCAGGAATTCTAGGTATAAAATTTAATCAAAGATATATGATGACCTAATGAACCCAGGAACCTTCTGGATCTTCAGAAATCACAGAATATACAACTCTTCCCTTCCTCCACCCACACCAGGCTTCCTTGTACTTCCAAACAACTATACCCAACCAAACTGTTGGTGGCTTATGCCTGTAATCCCAGCACTTTGGGAGGTCGAGGCAGGCAGATCACCTGAGGTCAGGAGTTTGACATCAGCCTGGCCAACATGGTGAAACCCCATCTCTACTAAAAATACAAAAATTAGCTGGGTGTGGTGGCAGGCGCCTGTAATCCCAGCTACTCGGGAGGCTGAGGCAGGAGAATTGCTTAAACCCAGGAGGCGGAGGTTGCAGTGAGCCAAGATTGTGCCATTGCATTCCAGCCTGGGGACAAAAGAGACTTAATCTCAAAAAAAAAAAATCTGTACTGGTCTATCCAAAATTAATCCAAACTTTGGGCATGGCTTCAGTGGTCCTAGATACTCTAGGGACAACCAAAGCAGTATTCTACTATATCCCTGGTACTAAGCTACATGCTAAAGGGCACACACATTTCTCTGACCACAAAATCAAAGAATTAGACATATCATCTGGGAACAATCACAAATCAAGACCAATCCTAGACAAAATTTCACAAAGGTGAAGTTTCTTTGGGTCCTGTACATTTTTCTCTTAGTTCCTTGCCTTCAATTTTGTACCTTCTCTACCTTCCCCCAACAGAGACAAGCTGGACTAAGTACTCCCTCAGGAAATTCTTCTCAACAACTCCCCCTTGGGCAGCATTTCTCAAAATGCCTTTCCAAAGCACTCCTTGGCCAAGTGATTTGGTGAAACTCAGCAAACTGCATCTTCCTCCTGGAGATCAATATTTAGCCTTAACATATTTAAGACTGAAAAATGTTACAGTAAAAGTTTTGTTTAATCCTGCATTTGCCAAACATACTTGCTCATAGAACTACTGGTCACCCCATCCCAACATAATCAATCTCTCTTAGCTCCTAGTGGAACTAGTATTTTGGAGATTATTATTTGGGATGTGCTTTAGGACACAACCATTTATCTTTTCAATAAATGTGTTAGAGGATCTTTTAATTCATTTTTACATTGACATATCAAATTGTACTATTTATCCCATATAACATGACAAAGTATAGCTACACCGTGAAATGAGGAAACCTGGCTAGTTAACATATTCATTACCTCACATAGTTATCATTTTTCATTCACTTTTAGCATTTTCCAAAAATATAAACAATAGTCACCATGCTGTACAACACATCCCTTAAACTTATTCCTCCTGTTTAACAAACATTTTACATCCTTTGGCCAGTATCTCCAAAACCACGCCAGACCCTGGTAACCATCATTCTATTATTTACTTCTATAAGATCAACTTTTTTAGATTCTACTTATGAATGAGATCATGCAGTATCTGTCTTTCTGTGTCTGGCTTATTTTACATAATGTCCTCCAAGTTCATCCACATGGTTGCAAATGACAGAATTTGTTTTTTTTTTTTTTAATGGCTGAATGGAATTCCATTGTGTATATGTAACACATTTTCCTTATCCAGTCATCCACTGAGGAACATACAGGTGGACTTCATCTCTCCACTGTTGTGAATAATGCTGCAATAAACATGGGAGTGCAAATATGTTTTCTACATACTGATTTCATTTTCTTTAAATATATACCCAGTCATGAAATTGCTAGATTATGAGATAGCTGTATTTTGATTTCTTGAAAAACTCCATGTTTTCTATAACAGCTGTTTGTAAATAGAATTGTCTTATTGATTTTTTTTTTCAGATAATTCACTATTAGTGTATAGAAATGCTATTGACTTTGGTATGTTAATTTGGTATCCTGCAAGTTTACTGATTTGTTTCTTAGATCTAATCATTTTTCTGACGTGGGCTTTGGAGTTGTCTATATTTAAGATCATGTCATTTGCAAACAGGGACAAATTAATTTCATTTCTGATTTAGATGACTTTTTTTTTTTTAAGACGGAGTCTTGCTCTGTCGCCCAGGCCAGAGTGCACTGGCATGAACTTGGCTCGCTGAAAGCTCTGCCACTCAGATTCACACCATTCTCCTGCCTCAGCCTCCTGAGTAGCTGGGACTACAGGCACCTGCCACCACACCTGGCTAATTTTTTTGTATTTTTAGTAGAGATGGGGTTTCACCATGTTAGCCAGGATGGTCTCGATCTCCTGACCTCGTGATCTGCCCACCTCGGCCTCCCAAAGTGCTGGGATTACAGGCGTGAGCCACCGCGCCCGGCCATTTTCATTTCTTTCTGTTGCCTAATTGTTCTAAGATCTCCAATACCATATTGAATAAAAGTGGTAAAAGTGGATACCCTTGACTTATTCCTGATCTTAGAGAAAAAGCTTTCAACTTTCCCCCTAGGTATGTTACCTATGGGTTTGTCATATATGACCTTTAATGTGTTGAAGTATATTCTTTTGTTGTTTCCATAGGTTTTGGGGGAACAAGTGGTGTTTGGTTACCTAAATAAGTTATTTAGTTGTGGTTTCTGAGATTTTGGTTCACCCATCACCTGAGCAGTGTACAGTGTACCCAACTGTAGTCTTTTACTCCTCACCACCCCCACCAACTTCCCCTCCCTCGAGTCCCCAAAGTCAACTGTATCATTCTTATGCCTTTGCAACCTCATAGCTTAGCTCCCACTATGAATAAGAACATACAATGTTTGGTTTTCCATTCCTGAGTTACTTCATTTACAATAATGATCTGCAATTCCATCCAGGTTGCTGTGAATGCCATTATTTTGTTCCTGTTTATGGGTGAGTAGTATTCCATGGTGTGTGTGTGTGTGTGTGTGTGTATGTATATACGTGTGTGTATATATATGTATATATAGTATGTGCATATAAGTGTGTATATATATAGTGTGTGTATATATGTGTGTGTGTATATAAATATGTGTGTGTGTATATATATAGAGTGTAGATTTTTTTTAAAGTCCCTTCCTGATTTCACTATTAGTGTAATACTGGCTTCATAGAATGATTTAGGGAGGATTCCCTCTTTATCTTGTGGAATAGCGTCAATAGGATTGGTACTAATTCTTCTTTGAATGTCTAATAAAATTCAGCTGTAAATCCATCTGGTCCTGCCTGGACTTTTTTGTTGGCAATTTTATTACCATTTTAATCTTGATGCTTGTTTTGGTCTGTTCAGAGTTTCTATTTCTTCCTGGTTTAATCTAGGAGGGTTGTATATTTATAGAAATTTATCTATCTCCTTTAAGTTTTCTAGTTTATGCACATAAAGTTGTTCATAGTACCCTTGAATGATCTTTTGTATTTCTGTGGTATCAGTTGCAGTATCTCCTATTTTGTTTCTAATTGAGCTTATTTAGATTTTCTCCCTTCTTGTTTAATCTCGCTAATGGTCTACCAATTTTATTTATCTTTTCAAAGAATCAGCTTCTTGTTTCATTTATCTTTTGTATTTTTGTTGTTTTTTTTTTTTTTTCATTTCATTTAGTTCTGCTCTGATCTTTATTATTTTTCTTCTGCTGGGTTTGGGTTTGGTTTGTTCTTGTTTCTCTAGTTCTTTGAGGTGTGATCTTAGACTGTCTATTTCTGTTCTTTCAGACTTTTTGATGTAGGCATTTAATGCTATGAGCTTTCCTCTTAGCACTGCTTTTGCTGTATCCCAGAGGTTTTGATAGATTGTGTCACTATTATCATTCAGTTCAAAGATTTTTAAAATTTCCATCTTGATTTCATTGTTGACCCAGTGATCACTCAGGAGCAGGTTATTTAATTTCCATGTACTTGCATGGTTTTGAGTCTTCCTTTTGAAGTTGATTTCCAATTTTAGTCCACTGTGGTCGGAGAGAGTACTTGACATAATTTCAACTTTCTTAAATTTACTGAGACTGTTTTGTGGCCTGTAATATGGTCTATCTTGGAGAATGTTCCATGTGCTGATGAATAGAATGTACGTTCTGCAGTTGTTGGGTAGAAAGTTGTATAAATATCTGTTAAGTCCATTTGTTCTAGGGTAGAGTTTAAATCCATTTTTCTCTGTTGACCTTCTGTCTTGATGTCCTGTGTAGTGCTTTCAGTGAAGCACGGAAGTCTCCCACTATTATTGTGTTGCTATCTCATTTCTTAGGTTTAGTAGCAACTATTTTATAAATTTGGGAGCTCCGGTGTTAGGTGCATATATATTTAGGATTATGTTATTTTGCTGTTTGGCTAGTCCTTTTATCAGTTCATAATGTCCCTCTTTGTCTTTAAGTGCTGTTGCTTTATAGTTCATATTGTCTGATATAGGAATCACTACTCCTGCTCACTTTTGGTGCCCATTTGTATGGTGTATCTTTTCCACCCCTTTACCTTAAGTTTATGCGAGTTTTATGTATCAGGTGAGTCCCTTGAAGACAGCAGATAATTGGTTGGTGAATTCTTATCCATTCCGTTATTCTGTATCTTTTAAGTGGAGCATTTAGGCCATTTATATTCAACATTAGTATTGAGATGTAAGGTACTATTCTATTAATCATGCTATTTGTTGCCTAAATACCTTGGGGGCGGGGTGTGTGTGTGTGTGTGTGTGTGTGTGTGTGTGTGTGTGTTTTATAGGTCCTGTGAGATTTATGCTTGAAGAAGGTTCTATTTTTGTGAGTTTAAGGATTTGTTTAAAGATTTAGAGCTCCTTTAGCAGTCTTGTAGTGCTGGCTTGGTAGTTGCAAATTCTCTCAGCACTTGTTTGTCTGAAAAAAGACTATCTTTCCTTGGACTTACAAAGCTTAGTTTTGCTGGACACAAAATTCTTGGCTGATAATAGTTTAAGGAGGCTGAAGATAGGGCCCCAATCGCTACTAGCTTATAGGGTTTCTGCTGTTAATCTTGTAGGTTTTACTTTATAGATTACCTGGTAATTTTGCCTCACAGCTCTTAAGATCATTTCCTTCATGTTAACTTTAGATAATCTGATGACTATTTGCCTGGGCAATGATCATTCTGCAGTGAATTTCCCAGGTGTTCTTTGAGCTT
This sequence comes from Homo sapiens, assembly GCF_000001405.40. Taxonomy (NCBI): domain Eukaryota; kingdom Metazoa; phylum Chordata; class Mammalia; order Primates; family Hominidae; genus Homo; species Homo sapiens. The sequence goes on from NC_000015.10 coordinate 54,922,655, forward strand.
CTTGTATTTGGTTTTCTAGATCTCTAGCCAAGGCTGGGGAAGTTTTCTTCAATTATTCCCTCAAATATGTTTTTCAAACTTTTAGATTTCTTTTTTCCTCAGGAACACCAATTATTCTTAGGTTTGGTCATTTAATATAATCCCAAACTTCTTGGAGGCTTGTTCTTTTTTTGTTGTGGTTTTTTTTTTTTTCCATTCTTTTGGGTTTTTTTTTTTTTTGTCTTTGTTGCATTGGGTTAATTCAAAAAACCTTGTCTTCAAGTTCTGAAGTTCTTTATTCTGCTTGTTTGATTCTATTGCTGAGACTTTCCAGGGCATTTTGCATTTCTCTAAGTGTGTCCTTTATTTCCAGAAGCTGTGATTGTTTTTTATTTGTGCTATTCTACTTGATTTTTTCCTTTCATATCTTGTATCTTTTTTGATTTAATTAAGTTAGACTACAACTTTCTCTGGTGCTTCCTTGATTAGCTTAATTATCTGAATTCTTTTTCTGGCAATTCAGAGATTTCTTCTTGGTGTGGATCCATTGCTGGTGAGCTAGTGTGATCTTTTGGGGGTGTTCAAGAACCTTGTTTTTTCATAATACCAGACTTGTTTTTCTGGTTCCTTCTCATTTGGATAGACTATGTCAGAGGGAATATTTGAAGCTCAAGCGCTGCTCTTCATATTCTTTTGTCCCATGGGGTGCTCCCTTGATGTAGTGCTCTCCCTCTTTTCACAGGGATGTGGCTTTCTGAGAGCTCAACTGTAGTGATTGTTGTTTCTTTTCTGGATCTAGGCACCTAGTGAAGCTACCAGGCTCCAGGCTGGTACTGGACGGTGTCTGCACAGAATCATATAATGTGAACTGTCTTCAGGTCTCTCAGCCATGGATAGCAGTGCCTGCTCCAGTGGAGGTGGCAGGGTAGTCAAATGGACTCTGAGGGTCCTTGGTTGTACTTTTTTTTTATTGCACTAATTTTGTGCTGGTTGACCTCCTGCCAGGAGTGGGTGCTTTCAAGAGCACATCAGCTCTGGTAGTATAGGGAGTATCAGGTGGTAGGTGGCATCCTAGAGCTCCCAAGAGGGTATGTCCTTTGTCTTCTGCTACCAGGGTGGGTAGAGAAAGACCATCAAGTGGGGGTATGGTTCAGCATGTCTGAGCTCAGACTCTCCTTGGGTGGGGCTTGCTGCAGCTGCTGTGGAGGACAGGGGTGTGGTTCTCAAGCCAATGGAGTTTATGTTCCCGGGGGGATTATGGGTGCCTCTGCTGTATCGTGCAAGTCACCAGGGAAGTGGCGGAAAGCTGGCAGCTACAGGCCTCCCCCAGCTTCCACAGGCACTTATTGCTGTAAACTCAGTTCTTAGAACTACTTCGCTGTGTCCCACAAATTTTAAGTTGTGAATCAACTTGTCTCAAAATTTCTTTAAATTTCTCTAAAATTTCATTATTGACCCATTGTTTGTTCAGGAATACATTGTTTAATTTCCATGCATTTGTGAATTTTCTAAAGCTTCTCCTGTTACCGATTTCTAGCTGTATAATGCTGTCATCAGAAAAGATACGTGATGTAATTTTAGTCTGCTTAAATTTGATAACACTTGCTTTGTGGCCTAACACATGATCTTGGAGATTTTTCCATGTGCAGTTGAGAAGAACATGAATTCCACAGCTGTTTAATGGAATGTTCTGTACATGTCTGTTAGGTCCATTTGGTTTAGAATGTAGTTCAAGTTCAATGTTTCCTTGTTTTCTGTCTGGATGATCTGTTCATTGCTGAAAGTGGGTTGTCGCAATCTACCATTATTATTGTATTGCAGTCTATCTCTCTTCAAGTCTATTAATATTTGCCCTATATATTTATGGGATAGAATGCTGATTGCATATATATTTAGAATTCTTATATCCTCTTGCTGAATTGACCCCTTTATCATTACATAATGATCTTTGTCTCTTTTTAGTTTTAGACTTTAAATCCATCTTTTCTGATGTAAGTATAGCTGCTCCTGCTCTCTTTTGGTTTCCATTTGCATGAATTTCTTTTTCCATCCCTTCACTTTCAGTCTGTGTGTTTTCTTACAGGTGAAGTGAGCCTCTCATAGACAGCATACAGTTGGATCTTTTAAAAATATATTTATTCTATATCTTTCACTGGAGAATTTAACCCATTTATATTCAGGGTTTTTTTGTTTTGTTTGTTTTTGTTTGTTTTCTTTGAGACAGGGTTTCTCTCTCTTACCCAGCCTGGAGTACAGTGGCGCAATTTCGGCTCACTGCAACTTCCACCTCCCAGGTTCAAGCAGTTCTCCCCCACCCTCAGCCTTCCAAGTAGCTGGGATTACAGGCGCACACCACCACATGCAGCTAATTTTGCTATTTTTAGTAGAAATGGGTTTTCACCATGTTGGCCAGACTGATCTCAAACTCCTTATCTCAGGTAATCCACCTGCCTTGTCCTCCCAATGTGCTGGGATTGCAGGCGTGAACCACCACACTGGGTGATTTTTGATAAGCAATGACTTATTACTGCCATTTTGTTCACTTTGTAGTCATTTGAAGATCTTCATTCCGTTCTTCCTCTCTTGCTATCTTCCTTTGTGGCTACCGATATTCTCTAGCGGTATGTTTGGAATCCATTCTTTTTATTTTTTGTGTTTCTACCATAGGTTTCTGCTTTATTGTTACCATGATGTTTACAAAAAAAATCTTGTGATTATAACAGGTTATTTTAAGTTGATGACAACTCTGATAACAATGACACTGTTATTCTGATCCCTTTTCCTGACATTTTGAATTTTTGATGTCACAGTTTATATCTTTTATATTGCATATTTCTTAACAAATCATTTTAACTATTATCTTTAGTAATTTTGCCTTTTAACCATCAGACTAAAGATGTGATTTATACACCATTATTACAGTATCAGGGTATTCTGAATTTGATTGTGTACTTTTACACGTTTTTGTATTACTCATTAGCATCCTTTTCTTTCAGCTTGAACAAGTTCTGTTAGCATTTCTTATAAAACAGGTTTTCTAGTTATGAACTTCTTCAGCTTTTCCTTGTCTGGGAAAGCCTTTACATCTCATTCACTTGTGAAGAACCACTTTACTGGGTATAGTATTCTTTACTGACAGTTTTTTCCCTTTTGGCACTTGTGCACATTATCCCACTCTCCTATCCTGTAAGGTTTCTGTTGACAAGTCTGATGCTAGCCATACTGGAACTCCCTTATGGTATTTGCTTCTTTTCTCTTGTTGCTTTTAGTATCATCTTTTTGTCTCTGTTGTCTCTGATCTTTGACAATTTGATTATAATATGACTCGGGACAGGTTTTATTTGGATTAAATCTGATTAGAGAAGTTTGACCTTTCTGTTCCTGGATAATTACCTCTTTTTTTTTTTTTTTTTTTTTTTTTTTTTTTTTTTTTATTTTTTTTTTTTTTATTATACCCTAAGTTTTAGGGTACATGTGCACATTGTGCAGGTTAGTTACATATGTATACATGTGCCATGCTGGTGCGCTGCACCCACTAATGTGTCATCTAGCATTAGGTATATCTCCCAATGCTATCCCTCCCCCCTCCCCCGACCCCACCACAGTCCCCAGAGTGTGATATTCCCCTTCCTGTGTCCATGTGATCTCATTGTTCAATTCCCACCTATGAGTGAGAATATGCGGTGTTTGGTTTTTTGTTCTTGCGATAGTTTACTGAGAATGATGGTTTCCAATTTCATCCATGTCCCTACAAAGGATATGAACTCATCATTTTTTATGGCTGCATAATATTCCATGGTGTATATGTGCCACATTTTCTTAATCCAGTCTATCATTGTTGGACATTTGGGTTGGTTCCAAGTCTTTGCTATTGTGAATAGTGCCGCAATAAACATACGTGTGCATGTGTCTTTATAGCAGCATGATTTATAGTCCTTTGGGTATATACCCAGTAATGGGATGGCTGGGTCAAATGGTATTTCTAGTTCTAGATCCCTGAGGAATCGCCACACTGACTTCCACAATGGTTGAACTAGTTTACAGTCCCACCAACAGTGTAAAAGTGTTCCTATTTCTCCACATCCTCTCCAGCACCTGTTGTTTCCTGACTTTTTAATGATTGCCATTCTAACTGGTGTGAGATGATATCTCATAGTGGTTTTGATTTGCATTTCTCTGATGGCCAGTGATGATGAGCATTTCTTCATGTGTTTTTTGGCTGCATAAATGTCTTCTTTTGAGAAGTGTCTGTTCATGTCCTTCGCCCACTTTTTGATGGGGTTGTTTGTTTTTTTCTTGTAAATTTGTTTGAGTTCATTGTAGATTCTGGATATTAGCCCTTTGTCAGATGAGTAGGTTGCGAAAATTTTCTCCCATTTTGTAGGTTGCCTGTTCACTCTGATGGTAGTTTCTTTTGCTGTGCAGAAGCTCTTTAGTTTAATTAGATCCCATTTGTCAATTTTGGCTTTTGTTGCCATTGCTTTTGGTGTTTTGGACATGAAGTCCTTGCCCACGCCTATGTCCTGAATGGTAATGCCTAGGTTTTCTTCTAGGGTTTTTATGGTTTTAGGTTTAACGTTTAAATCTTTAATCCATCTTGAATTGATTTTTGTATAAGGTGTAAGGAAGAGATCCAGTTTCAGCTTTCTACATATGGCTAGCCAGTTTTCCCAGCACCATTTATTAAATAGGGAATCCTTTCCCCATTGCTTGTTTTTCTCAGGTTTGTCAAAGATCAGATAGTTGTAGATATGTGGCATTATTTCTGAGGGCTCTGTTCTGTTCCATTGATCTATATCTCTGTTTTGGTACCAGTACCATGCTGTTTTGGTTACTGTAGCCTTGTAGTATAGTTTGAAGTCAGGTAGTGTGATGCCTCCAGCTTTGTTCTTTTGGCTTAGGATTGACTTGGCAATGCGGGCTCTTTTTTGGTTCCATATGAACTTTAAAGTAGTTTTTTCCAATTCTGTGAAGAAAGTCATTGGTAGCTTGATGGGGATGGCATTGAATCTGTAAATTACCTTGGGCAGTATGGCCATTTTCACGATATTGATTCTTCCTACCCATGAGCATGGAATGTTCTTCCATTTGTTTGTGTCCTCTTTTATTTCCTTGAGCAGTGGTTTGTAGTTCTCCTTGAAGAGGTCCTTCACATCCCTTGTAAGTTGGATTCCTAGGTATTTTATTCTCTTTGAAGCAATTGTGAATGGGAGTTCACCCATGATTTGGCTCTCTGTTTGTCTGTTGTTGGTGTATAAGAATGCTTGTGATTTTTGTACATTGATTTTGTATCCTGAGACTTTGCTGAAGTTGCTTATCAGCTTAAGGAGATTTTGGGCTGAGACAATGGGGTTTTCTAGATAAACAATCATGTCGTCTGCAAACAGGGACAATTTGACTTCCTCTTTTCCTAATTGAATACCCTTTATTTCCTTCTCCTGCCTGATTGCCCTGGCCAGAACTTCCAACACTATGTTGAATAGGAGCGGTGAGAGAGGGCATCCCTGTCTTGTGCCAGTTTTCAAAGGGAATGCTTCCAGTTTTTGCCCATTCAGTATGATATTGGCTGTGGGTTTGTCATAGATAGCTCTTATTATTTTGAAATACGTCCCATCAATACCTAATTTATTGAGAGTTTTTAGCATGAAGGGTTGTTGAATTTTGTCAAAGGCTTTTTCTGCATCTATTGAGATAATCATGTGGTTTTTGTCTTTGGCTCTGTTTATATGCTGGATTACATTTATTGATTTGCGTATATTGAACCAGCCTTGCATCCCAGGGATGAAGCCCACTTGATCATGGTGGATAAGCTTTTTGATGTGCTGCTGGATTCGGTTTGCCAGTATTTTATTGAGGATTTTTGCATCAATGTTCATCAAGGATATTGGTCTAAAATTCTCTTTTTTGGTTGTGTCTCTGCCCGGCTTTGGTATCAGAATGATGCTGGCCTCATAAAATGAGTTAGGGAGGATTCCCTCTTTTTCTATTGATTGGAATAGTTTCAGAAGGAATGGTACCAGTTCCTCCTTGTACCTCTGGTAGAATTCGGCTGTGAATCCATCTGGTCCTGGACTCTTTTTGGTTGGTAAACTATTGATTATTGCCACAATTTCAGAGCCTGTTATTGGTCTATTCAGAGATTCAACTTCTTCCTGGTTTAGTCTTGGGAGAGTGTATGTGTCGAGGAATGTATCCATTTCTTCTAGATTTTCTAGTTTATTTGCGTAGAGGTGTTTGTAGTATTCTCTGATGGTAGTTTGTATTTCTGTGGGATCGGTGGTGATATCCCCTTTATCATTTTTTATTGTGTCTATTTGATTCTTCTCTCTTTTTTTCTTTATTAGTCTTGCTAGCGGTCTATCAATTTTGTTGATCCTTTCAAAAAACCAGCTCCTGGATTCATTGATTTTTTGAAGGGTTTTTTGTGTCTCTATTTCCTTCAGTTCTGCTCTGATTTTAGTTATTTCTTGCCTTCTGCTAGCTTTTGAATGTGTTTGCTCTTGCTTTTCTAGTTCTTTTAATTGTGATGTTAGGGTGTCAATTTTGGATCTTTCCTGCTTTCTCTTGTAGGCATTTAGTGCTATAAATTTCCCTCTACACACTGCTTTGAATGCGTCCCAGAGATTCTGGTATGTGGTGTCTTTGTTCTCGTTGGTTTCAAAGAACATCTTTATTTCTGCCTTCATTTCGTTATGTACCCAGTAGTCATTCAGGAGCAGGTTGTTCAGTTTCCATGTAGTTGAGCGGCTTTGAGTGAGATTCTTAATCCTGAGTTCTAGTTTGATTGCACTGTGGTCTGAGAGATAGTTTGTTATAATTTCTGTTCTTTTACATTTGCTGAGGAGAGCTTTACTTCCAACTATGTGGTCAATTTTGGAATAGGTGTGGTGTGGTGCTGAAAAAAATGTATATTCTGTTGATTTGGGGTGGAGAGTTCTGTAGATGTCTATTAGGTCTGCTTGGTGCAGAGCTGAGTTCAATTCCTGGGTATCCTTGTTGACTTTCTGTCTCGTTGATCTGTCTAATATTGACAGTGGGGTGTTAAAGTCTCCCATTATTAATGTGTGGGAGTCTAAGTCTCTTTGTAGGTCACTCAGGACTTGCTTTATGAATCTGGGTGCTCCTGTATTGGGTGCATAAATATTTAGGATAGTTAGCTCCTCTTGTTGAATTGATCCCTTTACCATTATGTAATGGCCTTCTTTGTCTCTTTTGATCTTTGTTGGTTTAAAGTCTGTTTTATCAGAGACTAGGATTGCAACCCCTGCCTTTTTTTGTTTTCCATTTGCTTGGTAGATCTTCCTCCATCCTTTTATTTTGAGCCTATGTGTGTCTCTGCACGTGAGATGGGTTTCCTGAATACAGCACACTGATGGGTCTTGACTCTTTATCCAACTTGCCAGTCTGTGTCTTTTAATTGCAGAATTTAGTCCATTTATATTTAAAGTTAATATTGTTATGTGTGAATTTGATCCTGTCATTATGATGTTAGCTGGTGATTTTGCTCATTAGTTGATGCAGTTTCTTCCTAGTCTCGATGGTCTTTACATTTTGGCATGATTTTGCAGCGGCTGGTACCGGTTGTTCCTTTCCATGTTTAGTGCTTCCTTCAGGAGCTCTTTTAGGGTAGGCCTGGTGGTGACAAAATCTCTCAGCATTTGCTTGTCTGTAAAGTATTTTCTTTCTCCTTCACTTATGAAGCTTAGTTTGGCTGGATATGAAATTCTGGGTTGAAAATTCTTTTCTTTAAGAATGTTGAATATTGGCCCCCACTCTCTTCTGGCTTGTAGGGTTTCTGCCGAGAGATCTGCTGTTAGTCTGATAGGCTTCCCTTTGAGGGTAACCCGACCTTTCTCTCTGGCTGCCCTTAACATTTTTTCCTTCATTTCAACTTTGGTGAATCTGACAATTATGTGTCTTGGAGTTGCTCTTCTCGAGGAGTATCTTTGTGGCGTTCTCTGTATTTCCTGAATCTGAACGTTGGCCTGCCTTGCTAGATTGGGGAAGTTCTCCTGGATAATATCCTGCAGAGTGTTTTCCAACTTGGTTCCATTCTCCACATCACTTTCAGGTACACCAATCAGACGTAGATTTGGTCTTTTCACATAGTCCCATATTTCTTGGAGGCTTTGCTCATTTCTTTTTATTCTTTTTTCTCTAAACTTCCCTTCTCGCTTCATTTCATTCATTTCATCTTCCATTGCTGATACCCTTTCTTCCAGTTGATCGCATCGGCTCCTGAGGCTTCTGCATTCTTCACGTAGTTCTCGAGCCTTGGTTTTCAGCTCCATCAGCTCCTTTAAGCACTTCTCTGTATTGGTTATTCTAGTTATACATTCTTCTAAATTTTTTTCAAAGTTTTCAACTTCTTTGCCTTTGGTTTGAATGTCCTCCCGTAGCTCAGAGTAATTTGATCGTCTGAAGCCTTCTTCTCTCAGCTCGTCAAAATCATTCTCCATCCAGCTTTGTTCTGTTGCTGGTGAGGAACTGCGTTCCTTTGGAGGAGGAGAGGTGCTCTGCGTTTTAGAGTTTCCAGTTTTTCTGTTCTGTTTTTTCCCCATCTTTGTGGTTTTATCTACTTTTGGTCTTTGATGATGGTGATGTACAGATGGGTTTTCGGTGTAGATGTCCTTTCTGGTTGTTAGTTTTCCTTCTAACAGACAGGACCCTCAGCTGCAGGTCTGTTGGAATACCCTGCCATGTGAGGTGTCAGTGTGCCCCTGCTGGGGGGTGCCTCCCAGTTAGGCTGCTCGGGGGTCAGGGGTCAGGGACCCACTTGAGGAGGCAGTCTGCCCGTTCTCAGATCTCCAGCTGCGTGCTGGGAGAACCACTGCTCTCTTCAAAGCTGTCAGACAGGGACACTTAAGTCTGCAGAGGTTACTGCTGCCTTTTTGTTTGTCTGTGCCCTGCCCCCAGAGGTGGAGCCTACAGAGGCAGGCAGGCCTCCTTGAGCTGTGGTGGGCTCCACCCAGTTCGAGCTTCCCGGCTGCTTTGTTTACCTAAGCAAGCCTGGGCAATGGCGGGCGCCCCTCCCCCAGCCTCGTTGCCGCCTTGCAGTTTGATCTCAGACTGCTGTGCTAGCAATCAGCGAGATTCCGTGGGCGTAGGACCCTCTGAGCCAGGTGTGGGATATAGTCTCGTGGTGCGCCGTTTCTTAAGCCGGTCTGAAAAGCGCAATATTCGGGTGGGAGTGACCCGATTTTCCAGGTGCGTCCATCACCCCTTTCTTTGACTCGGAAAGGGAACTCCCTGACCCCTTGCGCTTCCCAGGTGAGGCAATGCCTCGCCCTGCTTCGGCTCGCGCACGGTGCGCACACACACTGGCCTGCGCCCACTGTCTGGCACTCCCTAGTGAGATGAACCCGGTACCTCAGATGGAAATGCAGAAATCACCCGTCTTCTGCGTCGCTCACGCTGGGAGCTGTAGACCGGAGCTGTTCCTATTCGGCCATCTTGGCTCCTCCCCTCACTATAGCATATTTTTAAGAGTGAAGACTGGAACAATCTAAGCATCCAGCAATAAGGAAATTGACAAATAAAATGTGGTATATTCATGTGATGGACTTCTATAAAACAGCTAAAAGAAATGAATCGATAATTACCTCTTTCACCAGGTTTATAAAGGTTTCTGCCTTTTTTTTTTTTTTTTTTTTAGGACGGAGTCTCACTCTGTCACCCAGGCTGGAGTGCAGTGGCATCATCTCGGCTCACTGCAACTCTGCCTCCCAGGTTCACGCCATTCTCCTGCCTCAGCCTCCCAAGCAGCTGGGACTACAGGCACCTGTCACCACACCCAGCTGATTTTTTGTATTTTTTTTTTTTTTTTAGTAGAGATGGGGTTTCACTGTGTTACCCAGGATGGTCTCAATCTCCTGACCTCGTGATCCACCGCCTCATTAAATAAGCTTTCTACTCATTTACCTTTCTCTTCTTGAACTGCTATGACTTAAAAATTTGCTGTTTTGATGCTTTCCTATAAATCCAATAGATTTCTTTTTCAATATTTTACTTCCTTTTTCAAATAATCTTTCACATTCTTTCTTCTGCTTGATCAATTTTGCTGATGTTCTTTATTACATTTTTTATTTTGTTCATTTTCTTATTCAACTACAGGTTTTCTCTGTTATTTCAATCTCCCTTTTAAATTTTTTATTCTGAACACTTGCTGTTTTCCTCCTTTTGAATTGATTTTCTATTCTATTGAAATTCACTGAGCTTTTTAAAAACAATTATTTTGAATTGTTTGTGAGGCAGTCCATTTTCATTTCTTTAGGGTCAGTCACTGGCACCTTACTTTGTGCATTTGGTGATGCATGTTTCCCTGAACATTCTTGATCTTTGTGGTCATGCACTGATCTCTGTATACTTGAAGAAGTAGGTAATTATCTCAACCTTCACAGACTGGCTTTGTCTGGGAAAGTTCTATGGCATGCTCAGTGCTGGGTATGCCAGAAGCCTAGTGAAGTTTCAGCTTGTCTAACCCTTCCAGGAAGCCTGGGTCCCACTTTGGCAAGTGGAACACTAGGGCATATTAGAAGCCTAGGGACACTGAGGTCTGCCTGCTGCTGAGGGCCATTCAGAGCCAACCTGGCAGTGGCGAAGGCCAGAAATCAAGTTTACCACACAAGCCTGAAGTTTGGGGCTGTCTGGTCTTACCTGGCACTGAAGCAACTCTAGAGTCTCAGTCCACAGGTATAAGCCATGGGGCCATCAGGGCCTTCTCAGTACTGGCATTTACTGTGGTGGGCCCAGAGTTCAGGTCCAAGGCAAAGTCTCACTTCCTTCTCTTTTCCTCAAGTGAGCAGTATCTCTTCTCTACACTGCTGCCTGAAGTTGGAGGAGGGCTGAGGTAGGTGTATTAGTCCATTCTCACATTGCTATTAAGTATCTCAGACTGAATAATTTTTAAGAAAAGAGGTTTAACTCACTCATGGTTCTGCAGGTTGCAAAGGAAACATGGCAGCATGTGTTTCTAGGAAGATCTCAGGAAGCTTCCAATCATGGTGTAAGGCAAAGGGGGAATGATACATCTTGCATGGCAGGAGAAGGAGCAAGAGAGAGAGAAGGGGTAGGATGCTACACATTTTCAAATGACCAGATCTCTTGAGAACTCACTATGATGAGGACAGTACCAAGGGAAGATGGTGCTAAACCATTCATGAGAAACCCACCCCCATGATCCAATCACCACCCACCAGACCATACCTCCCAACAGTGGGCATTACAATCCAACATGAGATTTTGTGGAAATACAGATCCAAATCGTATCAGTGAGTAATATAAAACTGTCCTTCCTACTCTCTACAGTATGTATTTTACTACATGTCTTCCTTCAACTAGGTACTGTTATCTCTCATCTCATTATCTTAGCCCTTGTGAAATCATTTGCATGTACAGCTAGTGGTTCAAGTTGATGTTTCTGCTGGGAGGTGGGGGACAATATCTAAAATTCTATCCCATAATCTTGTACCATTCTTCTAAGATTATTTTAGAAAAGAATATGACTTTCATATAAACACATATTGTACATTTTGTTTAATTAATTAACAAGGAAGTCTGTAAGATGTGGTTTCATTTAATATGTGGGAATTCAAAATGACGACACATATATAGGGAAGAAGAAACTCTGAAATGAGTTCACAAATGCAAAATGGGCTATCCACAAGCAATAAATGTTTAACTACACACAGTAAGTGTGTACTTCACTAGCCAATCATTTGTATTATTAGGTTTCTACAATTTTCAAAATTGTAACGTAACTCAAAGCAATGAAAGACAAAAAGAACCCAGATGGATGAGTTAGGCAAGACACTCATTCATCTTTCTTTTGTCTTTCACAGTTTTTCCTGACTGACGTTTTCTTTTAAATCTAGAACTTCTAGATAACCAAAATAAGAAAACACATGTGGGAAGTGGAAAAGATTTAAATGCAGGTCTCTAAAAATTTTCAGATTGTATAATCAAGCAGCTAGATGTCTTATTTTCTGAATAGTTACTTACATCAAGTAGATGGGACTCTCATTGTCCTAGTTTTAAAAATACCCATAGAATTGTTATATCTTGTTTAATAAATGCCTTTATCATTATATAATCACCTTTTTTGTCTTTTTTTTTTAATTGTTGTTGACTTAAGTCTGTTATCACATGTAATAGCTACTCCTGCTTTTGGTTTCCATTTGTGTACAGTATTTTTTCCACCCCTTTATTTTAGGTCTATAACAATTTTTACCTGCTAGGTGGGTCACGTGAAAACTGCAGATATTTGTATGTGTTTTTTATTCATTCTACCAATCTATCTTTTAAGTGGAACATGTAGACCACTCATATTAAATGTTGATATTGATATGTGAGGCATTGTTCCAGTCATGATGTTTTACCTAGTTGCATTGTTTTCTTCATTTTGTCATTGTTTTTGTAAGCCCTGTGAGTTTTATGCTTTCAAGTGTTTTTATACTGGTGTTTACTGACCTTTTGTTTAGATAGTTTTTATACTGGTATTTATCTACCTTTATCTTTTATCAGTTCTTCTAGGCCTTGTCTACTGGTGATGAGTTCCTCAGCATTTGCTTATCTGGGAAAAACTTTATTTCTCCTTCATTTATGAAACAGTTTTGCTGTATACAAAATACTTGGCTGACAGTTATTCCACCTGAGGGCTCTAAAGATAGGACCTCAATTTCTTCTGGCTTGTCAAGTTTCTGCTGAGAATTCTGCTGTTAGTAACACAGGTTTTCCTTTACAAGTTATCTGATGCTTCTGTCTCACTGCTCTTAGAATTCTTTCTTTCATGTAGACTTTAGATAGCCTGATGCCCGTATACCTTGGTAATGTCCTTTCGGCAGTGAATCTCCCGAGTGTTCTTTGAGCTTTTTTAATGGATGTCCAAATCTCTACCAAGACCAGCAAAGTTTTCCTCAATTAATTCCTCAAATAGGTTTTTCAAACTTTCTGCTTTTCTTCCCTCCTGTACCTATGATTTTTAGTTTTGGATATTTTACATAATCTCATATTTCTTAGAAAATCTATTCATTTTAATTTTTTCTCCAGTTTTGTCTGATTGGGTTAATTTGAAAGGCTTGTCTTCAAGCTCTGAAATTCTTTCTTCTATTTGGTCTAATCTATTGTTAAAACTTTCCACTACATTTTGTAATTCCCGAAATGCATCTTTCATTTCTGGAAGTTCTGTTTGGTTTTTCTTTAAAATATCTCTTTAGAAAATTTTTCATTCGTATCCTGAATTTTTTTTATGTTGGTTTTTTACTTTCTTATGGACAACACTGAACCAATTAATAACATTCTGAATAATTTATCTGGTATTCTGAAGATTTTATTTTAGTTTGGATCTACTGCTGGAGAGTTAGTGTAACCTTTTTGCAGGGTGCTATAGAACTGTTTTTTCATATTGTCAGAATGATTTTCCTGGATCTTTCCCATTTGGTTAAACTGGAGGTCACTATCCTAACTGTAGTAACTCAGGAAGTGGAAATCAAATACCTCACATGCTCACTTATAGGTGGGAGCTAAGCTATGGGTACACAAAAGTATAGAATGATATAATGTGTTGACACTGAAGACTCAGAATTGGGGATGAGGGAGAGAGAGGGATGAATAATTACCGATTGGGTACAATGTACACAATCCAGGTGATGGGTACTCTAAAAGCCCAGACTTTACCACTATATAATTCATCCATGTAACCAAACACCATTTTTGCCCCTAAAGCCATTGATTAAAACACTAATTTTTAAGTCAAGCTGGATTATATAGAAGAACTAGAAATAAAAACACAACTACATCATAGGATAGATCAACAGGCAGACTTACTAACACACACACACACATACACATTCCTGTATAGACTAAAGACACAACTAACTCAAAGTGACTGGATAATCTATTAAGCTAGCAGGTCTTATCTACATTTAAATGCATACTCTGCTTTTAAGCAAACTGTTCTAATTTTATTGTGGTTGTTGGTTCCTTAAAAATTAATATAAAAAACACCCATAGTACTCACCGGTGTCAAATTCCTTTTCTCTGGGCTACGTTTTGCCTTTCTCCCCAAATGATTATTTCCTCAAGTCCTCTGGGATAGCAGAGTAACTTCAGATATTTGAGATCAATATCCCAACATGCTCCAAATATGCATATTGTAACCAGATTCTTCTGAAGTGTTTCTAGTAACATGGAGGTTACTACTATATATGGCCACAAGGGACTTTTTATTATTACACTTTAAGTTCTGGGATACATGTGCAGAATGTGCAGGTTTATTACATAGGTATACACGTGCCGTAGTGGTTTGCTGCACCCATCAACCTGTCATCTACATTAGGTATTTCTCCTAATGCTATCCCTCCCCTAGCCCCTGACCCCACTACAGGCCCTGGAGTGCGATGTTCCCCTCCCGGTGTCCATGTGTTCTCATTGTTCAACTCCCATTTATGAGTGAGAACATGCGATGCTGGTTTTCTGTTCCTGTGTTAGTTTGCTGAGAATGAAGAGAGAGACTTTTAATAGAAGCATTAAGTAGGGAAAAAATTTATTTTAGGACTATAGACATCTGCTGAAACAGAGGATGGTCTAACAAAGCACTGAATAAGATTTTTGCTGTGCAATGCATTTGAAAAGAACAGGAAGATTTCATAAAGCAATTGTCACTTCCTTTGTGTGTCCTGAGGGTCCCAGAGAGACTGCATACGCTGTATTGCCTCCCACTCAGCTGTAGCAGAAACCTTATATGAATAACTCATGGCATTTCAAGCTGCAATAGCTGCAATTAATTGTTCATGTTGAATAACTATGGTTTCCACTTGTTGCCAATGATATGTTAACTTCATTTTCACTCAATTAAACCCAAGCACTAAATTCTTTGATCAAGTTGAATGGGGCTTCAGTTAGTGTAAGAGCGAAGTTCATAAGTTGGAAAATCTTAGTCTTTCTTAGCATAAAGACTCTGTAAATGTTTAAAATGACTGGTTTTGTTTTATTTTCAGAACATTTTCTAGGGTGTTAGCCTAGTTTCCCTTTTAGGCCTTAACTTGAATGTCTCTGCTTGGAAACACTCCTGTCCCTTCTGGGTACATCCACCAGAATATAACTTCCTTAAGGGAGGGAACTAGGCCTAGCTTATTTCCTGACTGTATCTGCAGGGCCTAGCAGAGTAGCTAGGATGTAGTATTCACACAAATATTTCTAAAATTAGTTAATGGTAGAAGATACACATGCACATATTATAAACAAGGATAGACCTGAAACTTCAGGATCAGGGATGGTTAAGAATACCTAATTCCCTTACAAGAGCTACTTTATATTCCTCTACAATCTATAGAACACTCATAGGGAATGAGAAGAGACAAGGAAGGGACTGCAAATGTCACCCAAAGATTAAGACTTGAGAATGATAACAAACAATCTATGACGAAAAACATCAAAAGCTCTATGCCCCAAGGATTAAGGATTAAGACTTGAGAATGAAGACAATCTATAAAGAAAAACATCAAAAGCTTTATGTCCATTATGTCATTCACTGTTTTTAAGATTTTTTTACTCAATGTTATTTCCAATAAATCAGAATTATAGCACATGAAACATCAGGAAAATGTATGATGAAAATGCTAATCCTCTTCCCACAAACCCTCATTTGAGATAACCAATGATAATAATCTAGCATGTGTCCCTCTATATCCTCTCCTTACTTGCACAAGTATTTGCATTTTCATTTGTCACTTTATCAAATTTTTTTGCTTTTTAACTAAAACAGAATCATAATCCCCTCTGCTATTGCTCAATATGTTTTCTCTAGTATTATTTCATGCATATTTCTGGTCACACCAAACCTATTTTTTAAATTTACTTATGTATATACCCAGATAACAGAAAAAGGTAGAAAACCCCAAAATTTGTTTTATGATTTTAGCATTTACGGTTTTCTTTTTGGCCAAGTATATGGTCAATTTTTAATATTCCATGTTTTTAGAAAAAAATGTATATTCTCTTTTCAAGGACTGTCAAGTTCTGTATATAGAAGATATATATATATATCATGTTAGGTTTTGTATTACAGGTGACCCTTTAACAATGTGGATTTGAACTGCACAGGTCACTTATATCTGGATTCTTTTATCCAAACACAAAAGGAAAATACAGTATTCACAGGAAGTAAAATTCATTTTTACAGAGAGCCAACTCTTCATATGCACAGGTTTTAAAGGACCAATTGTGGGACTTGAATATGTGTGGATTTTGGTAAATGTGGTGGTCCTGGAAACAATACTCTGCATATACCCAGGGATGACTGCATTCAATTTCTCTGCCTTTTTGTTTACTATATTTGATTCTGAAAGAAGTATAGCAAAATCTCCCACATTGTAATTGTATTTCATCAAGTTTTTCACACACAACTAATAGCTCGTATTTTATATATTCGGCTGCTACACTGTCAGGTACTTACAGTCCATGACCATCAGGTCATCTAAACATGGCTTGTTAATATTACCTTGTTAATATATTTAACACTAAATTTCAGTTTGTTTGATGTTAATATTTTCACTCACACTTTGTTTGTGCTTTTCTGGGATTTTTCTGTCTATGTCTTAATTTTTGCTCCAAGATTCAAGGTAAAATTTACATATAATATAACTCACCTTTCTTAAAGTGTATACTAATTTTGACGAACAGTCATAACAATCACCACAATCAAGATACAGAACATTTCCTTCACCAAAAGTATTCCCTCATGTCCCTTTATACTTAGTCCCTCCCTCCCCCGATCCTGACAGCCACTGATGTGTTGTCTGCCATATAAATGGAATCATACAGTACATTGCTTTTATGTCTGACTTTTTTCACTCAGCAAAATGCTTCTGATATTCATCTATGTTGTTGCATGAATCAATGTTCTTTCTTATTGCTGAATGATATGCTCCATTGTGCGGATATATAATAATCTGTCAATCACTCATTGATGACAATTCTGTTGTTTCCAGTTTGGGGCTATCACAAGTAAAGCTACTACTAACAATTATGTACAAGTATTTGAATGGACACACTTTCTCTTAGGTAAGCACCTAGGAGTGGATTAGGGATTGTGAATAAAGCTACTAAGAACACTTTCATATAAGTTTTGTCTGCACATATGTTATAAATTCCTTTGGAAGTGAAACTGCTGAACCATTTGGTTAAAATTATGTTTAACTTTATAAAAAAAACTACCAAAGTTTCTCTAGGTAGCTGTACCATCTTGCACTTCCACCAGTCATCTATGAGAATTGCAGTTGTTCCACCTCCTTGCTAGAACAAGATGTTGTCACTCTTAAATTTTAGCTATTTTATCAGTGGGCCTATCAGAGGGTGGATTTCCTAGAGGACACATCTTGCTTGCTCAGACAATCTTTGAGAACAAGTCTGGTTTTTTACAACTTCTCCCATTTCAACCAATGAACCAAACTGGAGATATAGCATAGTCCATGGTATAGTGCCAGAAGGCCCATTATCATCACATGCACCATCAGCTGCCTCTCATCAAGGGTATTCTGCCTTGGGACCTAGAGCCCAAGTATAGGAATAAGTGTGTTCAGTGCTACCTCTACATGTGCCTTCTGTACCTACTGCCTATGCACAAAAACCCAAAACAAGCATCTTTCCTCTTATTTAGTGCCTGCTGTTTTGTTCAAATAAGTGGGAGGTTGTGAGTGGGCTAGAGAGAATGTGAGTCATTCTTTAATTTCTCTTGCCAATCAAAAACGCATTCTGTAATACAAATTTAACAGAAAAAGAGTGGTAAGATTAACTACAGAGCACTCAAAAACATTGCTTCTTTGCTGTAGGGACTTATTTAGCTGTCCTAAAATGAGGAGCCTTATAATATATTAAGGTCTTCATACATATCTGAAATACTTTTTTTAAAAAAATTGTTTTGTCAAATGTTTGAGTAGCATAATCAAGTCAGATGGATTTCTAATATAGGACTAGACAGATTCCTCAATATGCTAATTTTGAGCATATAGAAAGCAGTTTTAATATGTAGTCTTTTGTGACAATGGCACCTTTTTCCCCAGAATACCTATCAACATCTCATTTGGGATACAAATAATTCATCGATCAGCTCTGAAATGCTGCTCTGGAGACTCCAGTTCATTAATATCCAACCTAAAGTGTGTTATCTGGAACTGAACACAATACTCTAGATGTTTTCTTGCTATCTCACAGTATAGCAGGGACTATCACCTCTCCATTTTATGTGTCATACTTTTATTAATGCAGCCTAAAACAGAATGAAACTATTTGGTGATGATATCACCCTCTTGGCTTACTTTGAGCTTTTTCATCAACTAAAATCTCCCAGACCTTTTTCTCACAACTACTGAGCAACAAATCTATAATTCTATTATAGCATTTATTTGTTAAAACAAATGCAAGAATTTCTGTATGTCTCTATTAATTTTCATATTATATGTTTCACCATTAGTTTCTGACAGCATTCTCTGACAGGTTTCTAAAATAGGTAGAAGTCCCTCTGCATGGTTCACCTGGAAGTTTAGCAGTGAGTAGCAAATAAGCAGCAGTGGCATTCCCCTACCATCAGCCAACCTCACTCAGGGAGTTTACCACAAAAACCCCACTTGGCCTCTTATTCCTATTTAGAGCCTTTACCATTAGAAATGCTGCCAGAGCCCACCGGTGTTCCCAGGAACTCCCAAATGTGTAGGAAAAGTGGTGCCTCATCACGAAAATTGAGCTGGAAGAAGAGTAAGAATCTTCGAAGGAACTCGTCTTCAATTCCAAGTCCCGCTCTACTTTTTAATTTCAATCATAATTACTTGGGACCTCTGGTGTGATTGTCTCTGACTATCCTGCCTTTGAGGTAGAAGAAGCATAATTGGCTCTGAGTGCCAAATAGTATTCCCAAAACATGTGTGCCAAGTACTGCCATTTCCATTTATCCCTGAAGGAAGCTTCAGTGTCCAGAAAGTGACTCAGAGGTCACACCGTGTTCCAGAGGCAGAGGTAGGATTTGAATTATATCCAAAATCAGCTCAAAATTGGCTGAATTCCATTTACAATTCTGTGAGTGTTCTGCCTCAAGAACACAGTAAAAAACTGAAATGACACCCAGATGTTGAAACAGTAAGACCGAAGTGCCCAACTCTTCTCAAAAATCACTCTTTATAATCATGTTTTAGACATATAAAATGTATAAAGACTATCATAACCCCTGTATTTCTACTACTCAGCTTATAAAGTAAAACACGGTCAACCTACGTGAAATCCCCCATGTGTTCCTTGCTAATTCATGACCCTCTTCTCTCCACCTCTACCATTAGAGGCAACTGCTCTCAGAATTGGATGTTCATTATACAGAAAAATGTAAAGAAATACACAGTAATATGTATGGATCTCTAGGAAATATAAGATTTTTGTGTGTAAATTTAAGAAGCACAAGTGCAGTTTTGTTACATGAATGTATTGTATAGTGGTATAGTCTGGGTTTTTAATGTAAACATCTTCCGAATAATTACATAATTTCTCATCCTTCACCCACCCGCCCAAGTTTCCAATGTCTATTGTTCTACAGGGAACACTTATACACCACTGGTGGAAATGTAACTTAGTACCACCTCTATGGAAAACATTATGGAGATTTCTCAAAGAACCAAACTAGAATTCCCCTTCAATCCAGAAATCCCACTACTGGGTAGTAAGAAAAGAAATTATTACATCAAAAAGATACTTGTACCCATATGTTTATTGCAGCACTATTCACAATAGCAAAGATATGTGTGAAAGGCAAATATGAACCTGGCACCACAATTCACTATGCCAAAGTGAAAAAAATTAAGCTGAAAACTGAATCATGCAAGAAGCTGCCTTTCCTATTCTTCCTAAGCAGACAGCTACAGATGGAAGGTTAAAAATCTCCATAGAGGCTACTATATGTTCACCTTACCTTATGAAAAGTGCCAATTTACTGAGCAAGAGCTGAAAACATGATTGACTCTTCCCGTACCTGCTCATTTTCTCTTGCAATGTATTAATTTGGTAATATGACTATATCCTCCCTCTTTCCCCTCCAGCCTGCTTTTTCCTTTTAAATATTGAAGCCCTCAAAAGCATCTTTGGATAAAGGCAAAGACTTGTCACCCAAATGCACCCTTAACCTTGGCAAAATAAACTTCTAAATTGATTTAGATCTGTCTCAGATATTTTTTGGTTTACATATGGAATCAACCTAATTGTCCATCAATGGATAGCTGGACAAAGAAAATGTTACACACACACACACACACACACACACACACTCTTGAATATCATTCAGCCGTAAAAAAATAATAAAATGTTTCATGCGGCAACATAGATGGAACTGGAAGGCATTTTCTTAAGTGAAACAACAATCAAATGCCTCATGTTCCCACTTACAAGTGGGAGCTAAATGATGTGTACAAATATATTATTTAGCATGTTGTTAAAGTCCGTATTTATGATATGATGCCATATGTATTGTCCTGCAACTTCATTTCTTTGGTCAACTTAATATTTACAAGCTTTATTCACTGCCCGATAGTATACTATTTTATGGGTATACCATAATTTAGTTATCCATTATCTCCCTTATGGACAATTAGATTGTTTCCAATTTTTGTCATCACAAACATAGCTTCTATAAATACTACTCTACTTATCTTCTGTAGCCCTGAGTGAGTTTCTCTAGGGTATATATCTAGAAATGGGATATATAGTTTCACGATAGGATAGGCACAGCTTCAACTCTTCTATGATTTCCAGATTGTACCCCATAAAGATTATGCCAATTTATATTTGCACCAGGATTGCAGAAGAGCTCCTATTGTTCTCCAATCTTACTAACATTTGTCATTCTGGTGGCTGTTAAATTGTATGCATGTGTAGCTTTATTTTGTATTTTCCTGATCAGAGGTGTCGAAGTAAAACTTGAATGGAGAAAGTTAAAATAAAGACTCTATTCAAGCCTATTCCAATAGTGAAGAGAGACTAAAATGCAGTCTGAACTCAACTTCCACTGGAAGAAAGATGATTTTTAAACATTGGGTGAGCTAATGGAAAAGAGAACATTAGGAATGAGGTCTATCAGTGGGATGTGTCAGGACATGGAGTTATTTGCGAGTTTGCAAATGTTTTTCTCTGTGACTAAGTCACCTGTGTTTGCTAATTGGTGCCCACTAAATTCAGGTTCCTACCCTTCCACAAAGACTGGCAGATAAGGGTGATCTTCCTTGATGATTACATTTCAAAGGGATAGCTCCCAGGTCCTTGGGAAAGAAATTCTTAGACTGTAAAACTCATGAGAGGCTTTTTAAAAGATTTGTATCTGAAAGGGACATAGGAAATAATTATAATTAGAAGTTTTCCAAGGTAAATGCTCTAAGAAAAGGGTAGTCGGGGGGCTTAGAATCAGGAAGAAGCCTGCCTAAAAGTTAGTCAGGCTGAGGGAAATGTTAAAACCATCTTGGTCAGAGGCTATTGGCCATTCAGTTGTCCATTTCTGATAATTCCTTGTTGATATCTTTTGCCCATTTTTATACTGAGTTGTTAGTCTTAATAATAAGAGTCCTTTAATATACTCTGGATACTATTGTTTCATCGGTTATATGCATTACGTATCTCTCAGTTTGCAGCTTACCTTTTAATTTTTATCATGTACCTTAGATTAAAAATAGTTGTTAATTTGAATGTATCTGAAGTTATCCAATAGTTTCACCTCTAAATTACACTTTGTGTTAAGACACTCTTCTGTAAGTCATAAAGCTGAACCCCTATTATATTCTAAATTCTGTTTTCCACATTTAGATCTTCAATTGATTCTTATGTCTGCTGCGTACGCCTTTGAAAACCATTTGTTATTTATCAAGTTTCCATATATGTGCTGGTATATTCACTGATTTATTTAATCTCATTGATCTACTTGTATGTACTTACACCAATTCCACAATGTCTCATACAACTAAAATAAACAAATCCTGACATTTAGAAGGCCAAGTCTCTCAACTTTTTTCCCTAAAATTTTCTTGCCTTCAACTATTTTTTAGCTTAACAGTTTGCTATTAGGTTCTAAATATCCCAAGGAAGTATTGACGTTTATTTTACCACCTAGGTACCAGCCCCAGTAGGGGCTGACTGACACCTCATACAGCCAGGTGCCCCTCTGAGATGAAGCTTCCAGAGGAAGGATCAGGCAGCAATATTTGCTGTTCTGCAGTATTTGCTGTTCTACAATATTTGCTGTTCCGCAGCCTCCGCTGGTGATACCGAGGCAAACAGGGTCTGGAGTGGACCTCCTGCAAACTCCAACAGACCTGCAGCTGAGGGACCTAACTATTACAAGGAAAACTAACAGACAGAAAGGAATAGCATCAACATCAACAAAAAAGGACATCCACACCAAAACTCCATCTATACATCACCATCATCAAAGACCAAAGGTAGATAAAACCACAAACATGGAGAGAAACCAGAGCAGAAAGGTGAAAATTCTAAAAACCAGAGTGCCTCTTCTCCTCCAAAGGATCACAGCTCCTCACCAGCAATGGAACAAAGCTGGACAGAGAATGACTTTGACAAGTTGACAGAAGTAGGCCTCAGAAGATCGGTAATAACAAACTTCTCAGAGCTAAAGGAGGATGTTTGAACCCATTGCAAAGAAGCTAAAAACCTTAAAAAAAGATTAAACGAATGACTAACAGGAATAACCAGTGTAGAGAGGACCTTACATAACCTGACGGAGCTGAAAACCATGGCACGAGAACTACGTGACCCACAAGCTTCAGTAGCCAATTAGATCAACTGGTAGAAAGAATATCAGTGATGGAAGATCAAAATGAAGTGAGAAGAGAAGCTTAGAGAAAAAAGAGTAAAAAGAAATGAACAAAGCCTCCAAGAAATATAGGACTATGTGAAAAGACCAAATCTATGTTTGATTGGTGTACCTGAAAGTGACGGGGAGAATGGAACCAAGTTGGAAAACACTCTGCAGGATATTATCCAGGAGAACTTCCCCAATCTAGCCAGGCAGGCCAACATTCAAATTCAGGAAATACAGAGAACACCACAAAGATACTCCTCAAGAAGACTAACCCCAAGACACATAATTGTCATATTCACCAAAGTTGAAATGAAGGAAAAAATGTTAAGGGCAGCCAGAGAGAAAGGTAAGATTACCCACAAAGGGAAGCCCATCAGATTAATAGCGGATCTCTCAGCAGAAACCCTACAAGCCAGAAAAGAGTGGGGGCCAATATTCAACATTCTTAAAGGAAAGAATTTTCAACCCAGGATCTCATATCCAGCCAAACTAATCTTCATAAGTGAAGGAGAAATAAAATCCTTTACAGACAAGTGAATGCTGAGAGATTCTGTCACCACCAGGCCTGCCTTACAAGAGCTCCTGAAGGAAGCACTAAACATGGAAAGGAAAAAACGGTACCAGCCACTGCAAAAACATGCCAAATTGTAAAGACCATCGAGGCTAGGAAGCAACTACATCAACTAACGAGCAAAATAACCAACTAACATCATAATGACAGGATCAAATTCATACATAACAATATGAACCTTAAATGTAAATGGACTAAATGCGCCAATTAAAAGACACAGAATGGCAAATTGGATGAAGAGTCAAGACCCATCAGTGTGCTAACTTCAGGAGACTCATCTCACATGCAGAGACACACATAGGCTCAAAATAAAGGGATGGAGGAAGATCTACCAAGCAAATGGAAAACAAAAAAAGGCAAGGGTTGCAATCCTAGTCTCTGATGAAACAGACTTTAAACCAACAAAAATAAAGAGACAAAGAAGGTCATTACATAATGGTCAAGGGATCAATTCAACAAGAAAAGCTAACTATCCTAAATATATATGCACCCAATACAGGAGCACTCAGATTCATAAAGCAAGTCCTGAGAAACCTACAAAGAGACTTAGACTCCCACACAATAATAATGGGAGACATTAACACCCCACTGTCAACATTAGACAGATCAATGAGACAGAAGGTTAACAAGGATATCCATGACTTGAACTCAGCTCTGCACCATGCAGACCTAATAGACATCTACAGAACTCTCCACCCCAAATCAACAGAATATACATTCTTCTCAGCACCACATAGCACTTATTCCAAAATTGACCACATAGTTGGAAGTAAAGCACTCCTCGGCAAATGTAGAAGAAAAGAAATCACAACAAACTGTCTCTCAGACCACAGTGCAATCAAATTAGAACTCATGATTAAGAAACTCACTCAAAATCAGACAACTACATGGAAACTGAAAAACCTGTTCCTGAATGACTACTGGGTAAATAATGAAATGAGGGCAGAAATAAAGATGTTCTTTGAAACCAATGAGAACAAAGACACATTGTACCAGGATCTCTGGGACACATTTAAAGCAGTGTATAGAGGCAAATTTATAGCACTAAATGCCCACAAGAAAAAGAAAGAAAAATCTAAAATCTACACCCTAACATCACAATTAAAAGAACTAGAGAAGCAAGAGCAAACACATTCAAAAGCTAGCAGAAGACAAGAAATAACTGAGATCAGAGCAGAACTGAAGGAGATAGAGACACAAAAAAAACCTCTTCAAAAAACATCAATAAATCCAGGAGCTGGTTTTTTGAAAAGATTAACAAAATTGATAGACTCCTAGCAAGACTAATAAAGAATAAAAGAGAAAAATCAAATAGAAATAATAAAAAATGATAAAGGAGACATCATCACTGATCGCAAAGAAATACAAACTACCATCGGAGAATACTACAAACACCTCTACGCAAATAAACTAGAAAATCTAGAAGAAATGGATAAATTCCTGGACACATACTCTGTGCCAAGACTAAACTGGGAAGAAGTTGAATCACTGAATAGACCAATAACAGGCTCTGAAATTGAGGCAATAATTAATAGCCTACCAACCAAAAAAAGTCCAGGACCAGATGGATTCACAGCTGAATTCTACCAGAGGTACAAAGAGGAGCTGGTACCATTCCTTCTGAAACTATTCCAATCAATAGAAAAAGAGGGAATCCTCCCTAACTCATTTTATGAGGCCAACATCATCCTGATACCAAAGCCTGGCAGAGACACAACAAAAAAAGAAAATTTTAGACCAACATCCCTGATGAACATTGATGCAAAAATCCTCAATAAAATACTGGCAAAACAAATCCAGCAACATAGCAAAAAGCCTATCCACCAAGATCAAGTTGGCTTCATCCCTGGAATGCAAGGCTGGTTCAACATACGCAATTCAATAAACATAATCCATCACATAAACAGAACCAAAGACAAAACCACTAGATTATCTCAATAGATGCAGAAAAGGCCTTTGACAAAATTCAACAGCCCTTCATGCTAAGAATTCTCAAACTAGGTATTGATGGGACATATCTCAAAATAATAAGAGCTATTTATGACAAACCCACAGCCAATATCATACTGAATGGGCAAAAACTGGAAGCATTCTCTTTGAAAACTGGCACAGGACAGGGATGCCCTCTCTCACCACTCCTACTCAACATAATGTTGGAAGTTCTGGCCAGGGCAATCAGGCAGGAGAAAGAAATAAAGGGTATTCAATTAGGAAAAGAGGAAGTCAAACTGTCCCTGTTTGCAGATGACATGATTGTATATCTAGAAAACCCCATCGTCTCAGCCCAAAATCTCCTTAAGCTGATAAGCAACTTCAGCAAAGTCTCAGGATACAAAATCAATGTGCAAAAATCACAGGCATTCTTATACACCAGTAACAGACAGAGAGCCAAATCATCAGTCAACTCCCATTCACAACTGCTACAAAGAGAATAAAATACCTAGGAATCCAACTTACAAGGGATGTGAACGACCTCTTCAAGGAGAACTACAAACCACTGCTCAATGAAATAAAAGAGGACACAAACAAATGGAAGAACATTCCATGCTCATGGATAGGAAGAATCAATATCATGAAAATGGCCATACTGCCCAAGGTAATTTATAGATTCAATGCCATCCCCATCAAGCTACCAATGACTTTCTTCACAGAATTGGAAAAAACTACTTTAAAGTCCATATGGAACCAAAAAACAGCACACATTGCCAAGACAATGCTAAGTAAAAAGAACAAAGCTGGAGGCATCATGCTACCTGACTTCAAACTATACTACAAGGCTACAGTAACCAAAACAGCATGGTACTTGTACCAAAAAAGAGATACAGACCAATGGAACCGAATAGAGGCCTCAGAAGTAACACCACACATCTACAACCATCTGATATTTGACAAACCTGACAAAAACAAGAAATGGGGAAAGGATTTCCTATTTAATAAATGGTGCTGGGAAAACTGGCTAGCCATATGTAGGAAACTGAAACTGGATCCCTTCCTTACACCGTATACAAAAATTAATTCAAGATTGATTAAGACTTAAATGTTAAACCTAAAACCATAAAAACCGTAGAAGAAAATCTGGGCAATACCATTCAGGACATAGGCATGGGCAAGGACTGCATGAGTAAAACACCAAAAGCAATGGCAACAAAAGCCAAAATTGACAAATGGGATCTAATTAAACTAAAGAGCTTCTGCACAGCAAAAGAAACTACCATCAGAGTGAACACGCAACCTACAGAACGGGAAAAAGTTTTTGCAATCTACTCATCTGACAAAGGGCTAATATCCAGAATCTACAATGAACTCAAACAAATTTACAAGATAAAAATCAAACAACCCCATGAAAAAGGGGCAAAGTATATGAACAGACACATTTCAAAAGATGACGTTTATGCAGCCAACAGACACATGAAAAAATGCTCATCACTGGTCATCAGATAAATGCAAATCAAAACTACAATGAGATACCATCTCACACCAGTTAGAATGGCGATCATTAAAAAGTCAGGCAACAACAGGTGCTGGAGAGGATGTGGAGAAATAGGAACGCTTTTACACTGTTGGTGGGAGTGTAAATTAGTTCAACCATCATGGAAGACAGTGTGGCGATTCCGCAAGGATCTAGAACTAGAAATACCATTTGACCCAGCCATCCCATTACTGGGTATATACCCAAAGGATTATAAATCATGCTACTATAAAGACACATGCACACGTATGTTTACTGAAGCACTATTCAAAATAGCAAAGACTTGGAATCAACCCAAATGTCCATCAATGATAGACTGGATTAAGAAAATGTAGCACATATACACCATGGAATACTATGCAGCCATAAAAAAGGATGAGTTCATGTCCTTTGTAGCAACATGGATGAAGTTGGAAACCATTATTCTCAGCAAACTATTGGAAGGACAGAAAATCAAACACCGCATGTTCTCACTCATAAGTGGGAATTGAACAGTGAGAACTCTTGGACCCAGGGCAGGGAACATCACACACCAGGGCCTGTCGTGGGGTGGGGGATGAGGGAGGAATAGCATTAGGAGTAATACCTAATGTAAATGATGAGTTAATGGGTGCAGCAAACCAACACAGCACATGTATACATATGTAACAAACTTGCACGTTATACACATGTACCCTAGAACTTAACGTATAATAAAAAAGGAAAATAAAAATAAAAAATTAAAAAATAGCCCTTATGACCTGTGTGAGATGCTACTTCATTGTGGTATTGATTTGCATTTCCCTGATTAGCAATGAACATTTTTTTCATATTTTTTGGGGCCGCTTCTATGTCATTTTTTGAGAAGTATCTGTTCATGTCCTTTGCCCTTTTTCTTAATGGAGTTGTTTTTTTATTGGTGATTTAAGTTCCTTGCTGATTCTGGATATTAGGCCTTTATTGGATGCATACTCTAAGAGTATTGTCTGCCATTCTGTACGTTTTCTGTTTACTCTGTTGATAGTTTCATTTTGCTGTGCAGAAACTCTTTAGTTTAATTAGATCCCACTTGTCAATTTTTGTTTTTGCTGCAATCGCTTTTGGTGACTTAGTCAAGAATTCTTGAAGATAGGAACAGGTTGTCTATGCTGTTCTGTGGGTCTACGTGTCTATTTTTGTTTGATTACCATTTTCAAGTAATTTAGATGAAGGTTCAGATGACATGAAGATTTAATTTGCAGATGACACAGCTGGAAGCAGAATCCAGATTCAGAAAGTCTCCCTCATTATGCCAGAAGCACTGACCAAAACCAACAGCAAGAAATTTAGCAGTAATGTGTGTAACTTTATTTGGCTAAAAAAAAGCATGTATAGCTGTTTATGTATTAAGAGGGAGAGAGACAGACCCAAGAAAGTTTTGACTGGAGTCTTTGTGTAGGTCAACAGCACAATCTGACTGCTGAAAACATTGATGTGATCTGGTTAATAGTGATACCCACCTGAAGAAAGATTATTCCAACATACCTTTTTCTGGTCAAGACCACATACTGTGTTCTTTGCTGAGTATCACAGTTTTAGAGGATAAAGAACAAACCAGAAAGCATGTAAAGAATAAATTTTGTGTAATCAAGAAATATAGAAGATATATTTTTAAGAGATCATTCCAGGGAAATTGGGTGTTTTCCTAGAGAAGAGAAGACATATGTGAAATGCTATTGAGTGGAAGATGAATTAGACCAACTCTGTACTGTTGCAGGGGGCAGACCCAGGGCCAGTGGAAAGAGGTTACATGGAGGCTAGTTTCAATCCAAATCAAGGAAGTACATGCTCACAATTTGAGCTCTTGTGCAAAACAATGGACTGCTTTAGAAAGCCCAAAGTTCCCTGGCAAAGAATCTAACCACAGTCTGGGAGGACAGCCTGTCAAGAAAATTAAAGAAATTTCTGAATTGGAGGAACCTTTTAATTCAGCATATTTTGAAATCTTTTTCACTGATACAGAATTGACACAATGTAAGAAGAAGAAAGAACCAGATCTTTAGTCTCAGCTTCACCACCATTATGACAGGTCATTAGCTGAGAGGGAGGCTTTATTCTACTCCACTTCTCTCATCTTGCACATGTAGAAAACCAGGTCCTGGGAATACAAGTTACTTGCCCAAGATCATACCATTATAAAGCAGCAGCTCTAGATGTCAAAATCAAGTCTGTGGAATAATGTGCATCTATTTATACTGGTGCCATTAACATTAGAAAAATAGCCACAGGTGATTTAATGTTAAGTAAAAGAAAGCACCATGTTTTCTTAGGGAAAAAAAATGAAATGGAATGGAAAGAAATCCCAATAGCTATAGCTTTGGGAGATAAAAATGGCCATTTTCTGAAAATTCCAAAATACCAAATTCCAAAATTTTTGTGCTGTGGGTATATGACTTTCATAATTAAGTCATTGAGCTCTTGATTCCCCTGTCTAGCAATCCTAATCCCTTTGAGTGAACTAACCCTACTTCGTGACAGCAGAAGGTAGAGATAATAATGAAAGCAGTAGCCTTCTGCTGGTGACCCAAGACAAGCTACTCAAGATACAAAGTTCCTCCTTTCCCCAAGGCCTTCCTTCCACACAGTGTGTTAACAATGTAATAGGTGAGGTGCTGTGAATTCTACAACACTTGCTTTGTGTACACTGCCTGCAGCCATCATAGTTGAAGAGATACTAGGACTGCAAAACCTAAGAAATGTTTGTGCTTGCTTGCTCAGAACGCTTTTTTTATTTTTAGCCCTGTGGTCTCACTCTTTGTCTACTGCAGGCAATTTCTCCAAAAATGGAGCTAGCTAGTGCTCTTCTCTAATATTTCATATGCATGTGGCTTGTCACATTATGAAGTCACCAACTGGAGGAAGGAGCATTATAACTGAGGCCATTGGAAGGATTGCCCACACAGTCCCATTAGGTGAAGCCTCTACTCCATTGGGTTGGATTCCAGTACTTTTCTTAGTTCACCCTCCATGGTTTCCCCCTTCTCCTTGAGTCACCTGAGTCTCCCAATATTTTGCTGAAAGAGATAGCTTCCTGAATCCACTGATTCAATGTTTTGCTTCTTTCCTTAAGTCTTTGACTCCCGAGTACACAGTCCACTTGTTATCAGTCCATACAAAGCTCCTCACCTCTCCCCTCCCCCAGCCAAAACACAGCTGCAGTCGTGTGTTAAGACTTGCTTCCAGACTGCTTTCCAGAATGGCTTCCCCATTCATCACTATTGTGCTGCACAAAATTTCCTGAGTATCCATGCCACCACTGGCACTAGGGATCATATGACTCTAATGTTTGCCCTACACAATGGGTAAAAAGCAGCATATCCTTGTTGTTTTGACTTGCATGTCCTACTAATGAATTTGAATCTCTCTATAGTATGATTACTTTCTAAAGCCCAATCTAAGATACTCTGATCCTAGAATACACTGGGTTTTCCTTCTGATAAGCACTACCCAGCATTCATATATTGGGCTTTCTCCCTCTAGGCTCTGTGTTCTCTGTACCAGATATTTTGTTGTAGAATAATACAGGAAGGAACTAGACTAACAGACGGTTGTCTTCTTCTATTCCTCCCTACTCCAGTCTTTCTCCACAAAGAGGTAAATCTAGATTGATTATTTGAACATTTGTTCTCAAAGACTGGTGCTCCCTAAACACAGAGACTGCAATTAGCATTGTTTTGACACTTTGGGAACATTGGTCAGAGACCGTAAAGATTCTGATTTCATTAGAAATAGGCAACCTTAATCTTATTGTCACACAAGACAATTCAACTCTTGACAGCTTTCCTATTATGCCAGAGAGATGCTCCTTTGGGTCCCAAAAGTTTCAGCTCCTTTTAACACCATTCCTTAGATTATTTCTGAAAAGACTATTGCAGTAGATTCAGTACCTAATCCCCTGCTCTCTCCCATCTTTTGTGCATTTTCTTTCTTAATCATTGTATACCTTGCTTACTCCTTGACACTTCAAAAGTTCCCTGGTATCATACTTGCATCAGTGAGACTCTCCCTAAATATCTTTGTAAAACAAGGCCTCTACAGGTCAGTTTCACACAGTCCATGTGAAAATGTATGCTGTGCCTCCAGCAACTTGAAGGATAGGATCTTCTTTTACATTTTAATTCAAGTAAAGGCATAGCTTCAAATTTTGAAGTCTCCATGTAGTATCCCAAAGGCGTGCTGGACTCAGAATTTCACAGCTTCAGACAATAATAGTGCTATACTTCTTCATTAAATGAAAAAGATAGAGACTCAGAGAGGTCACATGACTTACTCAATTTCTCAGGACATGTAGCATTAAACCAGAAACCTGACATGCAAGCTACTATTCTGACTGCTATTCCTTATTAGCGGGCAGGAAGAAAGAGTCCTTTAAAAAGTTACTGCTCAAGAAGATCTATTCAACTCCAAGCCAGCTTTCCCCAGACAGCCTGCAGCTTGACAAGAGTGGCTGTCAAATCAGGACCCACCAGGACCCCAGTTTGAGACAGATCCCAAGTGACCCTGCAGTTCTAGGGCCTTTGGGGTTGGTGTGAGACTGACCTGCAGGCCCTTTAACAGCAGAGAAAGTCTACTGCAGTGCCACACTAACTGCCTTCTTGGGACATCTCCCAAGCAGAAATCATTTGTGAAGCTACCCCAGACATTTTAACCAAATAAATCAAATGCCTAACATAGGTAGATCAGTTAGTTTTTAGGAGAAATTATACAGAATCAATCTCAGCCATGCTCTACTTTAACCCAAGGAGAACCTTCATAGGACTGTAAATGCTGCAGGTATCATGACCGGGCTTGAGTAGGCCACCTGCAGGTGGGTTTGCCTTGTTGTCCACTGACATGGCCTGGCTGTAAGCCTGTGAAACAGGTCACTTCAAGGCACATGGAGTTTTGGTTTTTTTTTAAAAAAAAAGGAACCCCTCAAATGCTTCCAGCTGCTAAATAGGAAGTTAAGCTCTCATCCTAGCTGAAACAATGTTTTGTTGTCTATAAGTATTCCTAGAGAAGATACGACGGCTTGCTCTATACCAGTGCTGTTTGGACTTTAATATACATACAAATACTGCTTGAGTACATCTGCAGTAAGGCTTGTAGTATACTTTTCTAACAGGTTTCTAAGTGATGCTGATGCTGCTGGTCCTCAGGCACACTTTAAATTGCAAGCCTCTATCTCATTTTGGGCTTCTGTGAAGGGGAATCTGTTTAAGGAAATGTAAGAACAAAAGAGATGACTTTTACCCAGTAATCAGGTGGTATGGTGTGGCATTGTTCCAATAGCCATAGCCCTACAGCTGTAACCTGAAGCAATCTCTAGTCACTGTGACCTGAAACTCAATATTTATTTCCAGTAACATCCCCATCAAAGTATGCTGCCTGAAAATTATGCAGTGTTGAATAATGCATCATGACCTGGCCTCCCTACTCATTTCCTTGCTCTCCTACCTGAGTCCCCAAACAAATCCTATAACCATAAGCATGATGTATAAGCTCTGTGCAATTTCTTCCTTAATTGTTGTATACCTTGCTGTATTTGTGAAACATCCACCCTGAAATATGCGCTTCATGAAAAAAAGATATAAATGCTTTGATTTCTGAAGGAAGATTTCCACAGATTTCCATAAGTCCAAAGCTGGCAAAACTGACAGAAGCAATACCGAGCTAAGACCAAAGAGAGTCAACAAAGTCCTTCTGTGGGAAGTATCCTAAGGTTGCACATGAAGTGCCAAAACTCTGTCCATTTGGAGGCTACAGAGACAAAATATTCCATACGTAACGCTTAAAACAGGGTCTCCAAACTGAATCCTGCTGTTTCAAAGTTTGTAGTAAAAATTGACTTGAACAATAGAGAAATTACCCCCAAGCAATAGCCCTCAGAGTGTTACTCTGAGTGGGTAAGGACACTGAGTGGATAAAGATTAATGATTATTCATTCCAGGATGAACCCCTGGCTTTCGGCCCCTTAAGGAAACCTGACACTCTGAAAAGCCACCCAAACAACACAGACACACACTGCAGTGCTTTAGGCACAACCAGCAGAGCAGATACCATCTCACTTGATGAAAGGGGAATTTAGAGAGTAATGCCTTATATCAGGATGATGAACTGAAACACCTAAAAATTTCTAATGAGCTATAAAATAAAAACAATGTTCCAAGTAAAGGAGAAGCTGTGGTGCATTTCTAAGTGCAGTGCTAAGACTAAAAACTGAATTTCTACATGGATTTCTGTTGATCTCATTGGGAAAGAAAATGGCACAATGAATCTTCTGCACCCCTTCAGTAAGAGTGAAAGCCCAGTGACTAAGAGAGTTTGATTCTATAAAGAAACTTGTGGAGCCAGTTTTAAGTTTTGCTCTCAATCGGTCACTGGTGAACCTTTACTTTTTAAAAAAGCAAAAACAAAGAAAAATAATGAAGTTTCAGAGCTTCATAGCTCTGTATCTGTCATGGTAACACAGGAGAAAATCCTGAACAAAGTAGAGAGAAAAGACAAATTTTTAGCCTTCGCCTTCTTCACTGCAAGTGATGTCGCTGTCAGGATAACAAATAGTGATGCTGGAAAACAGATTCTGAGAGCTATAGATAGTAAAAGATGAAAGGGTCAACCAACATAGGGAATGGAGAAGCAATAGAACCACTCCCAGCAGAGCTATTTCTTGTTGCTTTTTCAGGCCTTCTTGTGAAAAGGAGGGATAAATTTCATGTTTGAAGCCTGGTACTTTCTTAACCATCTTGCTCACACTGCAGCTCAGTTCAGGAAAGGAAACAAATTAATTTCTTTTCCAACTGCCATTAGTAAGACAAATGGTGATTCTAAGAAAGTACAACGTTATCCAAAGGAAATTAACTATTGAAAAGCTCAGATACTAGTAATGGATTCAAACAGCGCTGTGAAATTCTTCTAACACCAAGTCTTGGAGTAGCTAGAGTTCATGAATCACCAAAACTATCGGGATGTACTGAACTGTATGAAAGCCACTGGGGGCAATGAAGAGCTCCAGTTAAAAACCTTGGTCCAGAAAACTGGTGTTTTAAACTCTGTTGCAATTCAGAGACATCATGGAGAGAAGAGATGAACTAATAAGCAGGATACTTTTATGGGAGCTCATGAGTAAAAATACACGTCTTACAATGGGTAAGTTCACATTAGTCATTTTCATTCAATAATGTAAGTTGGAAAACCAAGGGCCTCAGAAAACGAATCTTGTTTCTGGCAGCAGATGAAAACAAATGCCCCAAAATGTGCTTGTCCCCATCTGCTGCCAGAAGTGACAATAATATGACCAAGTATGGTGGCCATTTAGTTTGGTTCCAATCTCTCTCTGGTGTTTTCATCACGGACTTTGTCAGAGGAAAACACAGGATGAAACTGAGAATGTTGTAGACTGGTTTAACATATTTCATAACATTATTACAAAAAAGGAGAAGGGACAGGCAAGCAGATCATGCAGATGCCATATCCATTGAGGAGAAACACGTTTTACATTATACGTGAAAAATCAGTAACTGGTTATTTGGCCTCAAGCCACACAAAATAGTAAATAAAATCTGTCATGACAACAGATTATGATGATGTCCCATGAGATGTTCTGAATTTGATTATGTGGACAAAAGGGACTACTAAGACAAAGTCATCTAATAAATCTAGTGATACAGTAGTAATTAACTATTAGCAGTCCTAAATGGCAGGTGACACATCATAAAAGTTAAATGTGTGATTCTGCAAGCCTTAAGTCTGTACTTGAGTGACTGAAATCCTGTTTATCAGTGAAAGCTTTAAACTTTATCTTTTTTAGCATAAACATTATCAAAATACACACAAAATCATGTAAGAAATATTTTGGCTTTTTAAAATTAATTGCATACTAGTTTTGTTAGAATCATTTTTTCCATTAGCCAAAATACATTTGAATTCTAATTCCTTTTGAAATAGTTATTTAGAAGGGTCTGATTGATTTTAGCTTAATTGGATATATTTAATATGTATCTCTAAACAAAGGATTCGTCTTCCTTCTGGTTTTGGAGCGTTTTTTTTTTTTTTTTCTGTCTTACATCACAAAACATATGGTCTTCCCATGTTTTTAATGTATACTTTACACAGCAAAAACTGTAATCGTTATTTCATTCTGTTTTTTTGGACCCTTCTCCTGAAGAGCTTGCAGTTGAAGAGGGGAAAACAGTCATGTAAAACCACCCAGAATAAAACAACTCACACTCTGAATACTTACAGCTCTTCAATCTTTCTAATCATGTAGAGATTTATCATGCATATTAATTTTAATTATATAAATATAGATGATTAGGTGAACTCATTCTCCCTCAAATTTGCTCTTGTTTTCCTCATTGTAAGAGAAGCTGCTTGAGACAAAGAATCTTGATTGAGTCTCAAGGTTTAATTCTCTGTATTATTGCCTTGCTGACTGCATTGTTTTTTCATCATGCTTACATAGGAAGCCATGCTTTGCTAAAGCCTGATGCATATTGAAATAACTTCTATCTTGCAAGATTCCCAGTGCCCTTGTCAAACTTTGATGAATCAGCTTAAGTTATTCAGATGCAAATAAGTTAGAAGAGAACAAACTTACTCTGAAAACCTATGTTTTAATGGCATTTACCTCTAGAAACCTAATTATATTCATTCCTTGCTCCTAGAAGCTCCATCACCACAAAGACCACAGGGGTCTTTGTTTAGTCCTGTCTTCCCAATGCCTCATACATTTTTGACACATAGTAGATACCAACATATACTTCTTGTTTGTACAATTAAACCTTGCATACTACCCAAGAAAATACAACTAGAAAGAATTCTCTAAGTCTACTTCCAGTCCTATGGATCTGGTCTTGATGGGTTTCTCCAGGTGTTGTCAGGCCCTTTAGATGTTCAAGTTGTCACAGCATGACCCATATTCCCTCTCAAGGCTCCTATGATTCAAGTTCATGTAAGAATTGTATTCCAGCTTTCAATTTTAGCTCTTATAATTCAAGTTCATCGAAAATAAACTGTATACCAGCAGAAACAAGAAAAATTTCCCCAAGGCCAATATTCAAGGGCTCAATTTAGTGTCTATTTCAAAGGAGGTAGGCTTTCTGATCTCTTTTGATTACTTATTCTAGGGCAGAAAATAGAGAAAGATGATAGTTAATTTTAGGTTTTGTTTTCTCATGCAAGGCACTGAGAGGAATTCCCTTTTACCACCATTTTGCACTGGAAACACTAATAGAGTAAGTATACATAATTTCTAAGCGGAGAGAAAATCATTTTAGATCATTTTAAAATATGGCACAATACAACGTCTTTTGGTTCCTTTCTCTTAAAGCAACAAATTTCCATTTTCTCCTGGCATGGAGTTTTCAGAGAATTAACATCCACACTTTAGGAACAACAGTTCCAATTTTCCAAAGAAAAGGAAGAATTATCAATGGCCAAGTTCAAAGGACTCTCAGCCCAATACCAAGGGTGTTCAAGGGTTTTTTGGAACATCTGAAGTAATTTTATGTCCTATATACTTATAAAACCATCTGAACACCTGACACTGTTTATGTCTACTTGTTCATAAGACACGAATCTTGAGGGGGGCGTGTATCTCACTCTTTTCCATAGCTCAAGTGCCTGACGCTCAGGTGTCATTTATTACATGAATAAACACATGTTTTAATCAATCCATCTCTAACCCATATAGAAAGTTAGAATCCTGAACAAGTTTCCAGTGAATAAACAACTTCATTCATGGATTGTCAATGGTTATTGTCTTCCATGTCAAAGAGATGCCCTTCCACAGTAGAATACCTTGTTCTTTCCTGAAATTTTTTCTTCTTACTTTTAACTTGCGCCTGTTTAAAACTGGCACATCAAATCAAACTGGATCATGGAAGGCCATTCCTATCACTTTAACTCTATGTTAAATTCATTTCCTGACTACAAGATTGGTCACTGCAAATTATCCTAATTCATCCTTTCCCTAAAATTTTTGAGTGACAGCTCAAGCTACATTAACAAATATTCATTAAGCATCTAGTAGAACACTTTGTAAGCATTATGAACCCTTTAAAATGAGATCATTGCACCCAAGGTACTTACAATCTAGCTAACTTTTGAAAACGTCAGTAACAATAAACATTTTCAATAAGACATTGAGACAATAGCTTTTCAGAACACAACTTTTGTCTTTAAAAAATCTTCTCCCCTCTTCTCTGCAGTTTAAACTCAACTCAAGAACAACTATCTGTAGGACGCTTTCCCAGTGTGTACAGAGTCATCTGCCACCATGCCCAGACTCCAGCACCTGGGAGGCTCCTCTTTGGATGATTTATTGGAGTGGAAAGAAGTCAAAACTCTGTACAAACAAACCTGAGTTAGAATCCTGGTTCTGCCACCCTAAGTCTATGTGACTTTGAGAAATCAATTTCTCTCAGCCTCAACTCTCTCACCTGTAAAACTGGCAAGATAATGTTTACCATACAAAGTTATTAAGAGACAAACTAACATTTTGACATAACCAGCACAAACATTTTTATAACTTCATGTTCCTTCATGTTGAGATGTGTTTCCTCAAGCCACTGAAAGTCCTAGTCATTTGTGTTAATGTTTTGGTTCTGTTTTGCACTAGATGCTATATCCATTAAAAAGGAAATAATCTTTTAACATCTCCAAAGTGCCTATGGCCAACTCCATCCACAAACATTCCCCCTCAGAAAAAAATTTAAAAGGATAAAACATTTCTTTTGATGTTGCTAGTGACAGCAATAAGCCCAGAAATTCAGAGAACAAAGTTCATTTTCATAACTATAGATAAAGTTGAAAAAACCAGCCCCCAGTGTGTCTTTATTTCTAGTAAACAACTTTTTCTCTGCTAAAGAACTCCATTTTCATCCCATTTTCACTTGTATTGCTAAGCAACACCATGTACCCCCAGTTCTATTTCTGGTTCTGCGTTTATAGTCACAGACACCTACAAAGTTACATCCCACATGCTGGAGTATTTTTAGGTTTCATTTGTGAGCAGTCATATGGGCTATCAAGTACCTCAAGTCACAATAACGATGTTTTGTACTTCTACAGAACTTACCTTCACTGGAAATCTCATCACAAACTCCTTCCTCACCAATTTTATGACTCCCAAACTGCCCCAGGAGGCTGCCTGTGGTGATCTCTGACTGTGAAAGGAGGTGGCTCACCTAAGGCCATGAACTGCAAAAGGGAGAGACTCCCAGCAAAGGCACGTCCCAAGTGTCTGGCAGCTCTGAGCCATCTGAATGTGATGAGTCTCAGTTTACTTACCTGTAAAATACAGAGATTTGGCTCAATTATTTCTATATTCTATGCATCTATGATTTATATAATAGCTAAAATTTTATGCCCCCATGAGAAATGTTCTTGCTTCCTGGTGACTCACAGCCTCCTTCCACCAACTAATTTTGAAAGTGAAAACAAATGGGAATGTGTCTTGTGTTTTATAAAACATATGAGCATAAATAGGAATCCAAGGAGATTACAGTATTTAAGGGAGTCCTTGAAAAAGACAGGATAGAGAATTAAAAGAAGGTGTTGTTGACTTAAAGCTTTCATTTTTACCTTTCATCCTCATTTGCCTAAGTCACCTTCCTAGGTATCTTTTAATAGTATTTAGAAGAAGCTGCCCACCAAGGATTGATAGCTATGGCAGGAGAGACTCAGAGAATCATAGGATTTTGAAGTAAAAAGAGACATTAGAGACCAAAAAGTAATGAGTAATAACCAAAGGAACATTTCAGAGGAGGGCAGCAGTTGGTGACTCAAGATCTGAGTGAGTTTGAGAAATGTGACCTAAAGGCCACACCAAAAGCCTCTACTCCCTCAGTGGTCCAAAGAGCTATGAAGGAGAGCTTCAGTTAGAGCTGGGAAATGGAACTGGAAAGAATAGCAAGAGTCTGAAATATCCACGCATCTGTAACTTTCCTAGTTTGTATATAGGTTATTTTATTTATTTATATCTTGTCTTGTTCCAAAAAAAGGTTTAAGGCAGTTTACAAAGAGTCATACAACATAGCAAGTTTAAATAAACTTTAAAAAGGCCGAGGAAATGCAATGGTAGGAGGCTTATCGTTTTAACTCAGATTCTCCAGCACGCCAGGGAAACACATATTTATACATTTTCAACAGTCAGACTTCAATGCTGTAGCAGGAAGCATGGTGCTTAGCACAGTGCCTGGCACATAAATACTCAAATTACAGTAATTACTATGCATGCAATTGTTGTTGTTATTTGTTATCATTGGCTCAAAAAGTTCATTGTCTTCTCTCCCAAAATAAGAGGTCAAACTTGTCCCCATGGAAAATTTCCTTCCCTGTTCTACCATTCCCTGCCCTCCCCCTTCCTTTTTGTCCCAACATGCCCTTTTACCTTTACAAAATGATAAATAAAAGCATAATGAGGCTTCAGCTTCAGGGTCTTGAAGCCAGAATCTACACCGTTGGCAATATAACCCACTCTTAGCAAAGCTGCAAAACTGGCAACATTTCTTATTTTTCCTGGCATCCTTTTTTTTCCTCTTTTCTCCTGCATTGTGTAGCCCCATTTATGGTATCCCTTCAACTCTGTTCTACATCGCCAGTATAAAAGACATTCCTTCCCCTGAAGTATAAATAGCTCACACTAAAGTTCAGTGAGGGCAACATTTTCAAATGAAGCAAAGCTTCAAAATAAAGAGATTAAGCTCCTAAAAAGGAAATTCAGTTGTCCATACATAAAGGAGTATAGGAGGCTTTCTTTTAAGGAAAAGGGCAGAAAGGAAATTCTAAGTCATTTTTTATTGACTATATCACAAAGGTAGAGTACCAACTGAAAATAAAACCCAAATATAGCTGAGGCCACAAATGGCATGGTTTTGATTACAAGAAAAATTTGATTCCTACAATTTTAAAAATGGAAATAAATTTAAATCTGTAGTGAGAGGTGTAACTACCTACACATAATATATAGTAAAAATCTTTAAGATGCTTTAGTCCATTTTGGCCATTCTTACTCTCCTCTTGATGGCAATGCTTCCCCCAAAGTTCTCTCACTCAATATAAGACAAAACCATTGCCAAAACATTGACTCGTTGGCCCCTTCTGCCTTCTAGGATTCCTTCGTCTCCTGCTTGAAATGTCTTGCTTTACTCCAAGTCTTCAGTTCTTTGTATCCATCAGCATGATTAACATAATGAAAGGCCAATAACCCAGCAGGTAGAGAAACTTCCTTTCAAAGGGTGACAAGGAGGAGGGAGAAAGAAGAGAGTATCTAGCCCTGGCCCAAAGGTGAAACTGATATTGCTACTGAAGAGAGGCAAAAAGACAAAGAAAGCCAGAACAGGGCCTCCCTGAACCAGGACCTCACAAGCTTTTCTACTGACAACCACTGGGGGTTGTGGTGGTGCTGGGGCAGCAGATGTGGGAATTGCTAACATCACTGAGGTCTCAATTTCATTTTTTAAAAAATGAAAATGAAAATCAATGGCCAATATTTGGAAAGGGCAAGTAGGCATGCTCTTTAGGGGAGGAGTATATATCGACATACCTGGGCTCATTTTTCAGGTAGTACACAGTCCAAAACATCTCTAAAAGCCAACATTAGAACTGGGGTTGTTATGTTTCCTGAAAATACTATCTCTGCATGTTCTAGAAACATTTATTCCAGGACCTAGTTCCAAAGACAACTTTGACAATGATGTTCATCTTGTCATACAGACTCCATGGTGCCCAGTGCTGCCTCCTTCTCAATGCATTCTATCCTTTTCCATCTGCACCTCACTCCCGCAGCCACCATGGGTGATTATGGGAGCCTTCAGCCAAGTGCTTGTGTCAGGTGGGCAAATAAAGATTATTCTTATTTACTAGGTAAGAAAGTCTTCCAGAGTTACCGCCCACTGACAAGGGCAAGAAATCTGAATATTTTAAGGACCACTTCGCATAATATAATACATAGCTGTAGCTAAATTCTTCTAAATTTATAAGCCTGGAAATTTTACTAATAAATAGTATTAGTTCCTTTGCCATTTAGCTGTAAGTATTCACAATTTTTACTTCCCTTTTTCTCCATTTTGACTTTCTCAAATTATGTTTTTGATGCCCACAGGCCACACAGAAGAATAATCTTTATTGCAGCAAAAACAACTCCTTGCTAACTTCACCCAAACATGCTATAGCATAAAACTACAGGAATTAAAAAAAATTCAGTAACCACTAACATTGAAACTAGAGAACCTCCAGGATATAAATACCTCTGGAGTTTAATAGCTATTTCTATTCATAAAGTCATGTCAAAACCTCCCAACCAATATTGAGTTTCACATCCAATTATGACAGAGAAGGAGAAGAACAAAACTCTCTCCTGTGGTAACAAGATAAACCCAGATTAAATAAGTTATATTTTTCTATAGGGCTACAAAGAGCTGTAAAAGCAAAGAAATGCTAATGAGCTGAATTCTAGAAAGAAAAGATGAATTTTTAAGTGAGCAGAGACCAGCAGCAGCTTCCATACCTGGGGGAAGGCATCTGGTAAATGTAGGAACAATGAGGAAATAAGCCTGCTTTAGCCTGGGTAGATTATGCAGGAATAATTAAAGCTTGGACGGCACTATAGGTTGGCAGTATAGATTGGAATCTAGTAGAGCCCAAAATGAAAAATTGCTTGACCAAATAATCCTCCCCACCCCAGAAGCAGCAGTGAATGAAGGGCCACAAAGCAGAAAAAAACTACACAATCCTACACATTCTTATACAGCCTGGATTTTAGGACCTTGCTAGCTTTTAATATAAAGGTGACAATAAACAATACCCAATACTACAGCCCAATCTTTTCTCCTGACCACATCAAAGAGGCAGTAGTGGTGCAGGAGGTTAGGCAGAGATTAATTCAATCTAGTTAAAGTTACTGCTTTCTTCAGCTCAAATGGGCCATAGGAAAAATCTAAATAATTAGCCCCCACCCCAACCACTTCATGAATAAAGACCTTCACTCTCTAGAAACAAAACAAAAAAATTATCAGTCTGTAATGTAAAATATCTAAT
The DNA here is from genome assembly GCF_000001405.40 of Homo sapiens. Classification (NCBI taxonomy): domain Eukaryota; kingdom Metazoa; phylum Chordata; class Mammalia; order Primates; family Hominidae; genus Homo; species Homo sapiens. Next base: position 54,964,550 of record NC_000015.10, read on the forward strand.
ATGTAATAAGAAGTTATGAGACATGGAAAGTAGGAAAATGTGACCCATAATCAAGGCAAAACAGTCAGTAGAAACTGACCTACAGATGACTCAGTCATTGGAATTAGCAGCCAAAGATTTTTGCATCAACGATTTCAAATACATTAAAGGATTTATAAGAAAATATGAATGTAATATGTGAAGAGAGTAATTTGGCAGAGAAATTGAAACTGAAAGATTATAATTCTAGAGCTTAAAATATCTGAAATAAACCCTCATTGGATAGCTGAAAAGCAGATTGAACACTACTTGTAAAAAGTTATGTAATTACACCTCTTTGTGATGTCACTTTACCACTCTTCTCATACATAGATGCAGACCTATTTCTGTATCTCTTAAATTTAAGTTGGTTTTGCTTCTTGCTTTAACTAAAAAAAAAAATGCAGCAGTAGTTATATTAGTCTTTATTTTAAGGCTGAGCCTTAATGTGAGAACAGACTTAAAGAGACACTGAGGTTATTACTTTGGCCCTCTTGGATTCTACATAGAGACTTTCATGACACAAAGAACCTGGAATAAAATACCATGTAGACAGAGTGATGCAACCATCTCAGCTGTCCCAGATGAGCTTAACTTCCAACCAACTTACCTCCTGAATACAAATACATGTGTGAATTTAGGTGCAACTAGCAGAAAAAAATACGCATTCAACTCACAGCCTGGTGACAAATAACTTGTTTTAAGCCACTACATTTTTGTGTGATTTGTAACAGCAATACTTGGGAACATCATTGTCAGATTATTGAAAAAGTTAAGGAGAAAAAAATCTCAAAAGGAAGGAAAAAACTCACATACATATTACATATTGGCAGATAATTTGAGGAAAAGAATTAATTTTCATCATAAACAATAGAGGCCAGAAGCCAATGTCAAGACAATAAATAGAAAAACACTTTAGCAGAAGTTATATATAAACACATATACACATATTTGCATTTCTCTGTATATGGCAGGTATATACCTTCAAAGGATTTTTAAGTTTTTCAAGTGTCAGGCTTATTGAGGTATAATTTACATAAAGTAAAATTCACTCATCTTTTTTGGGTATAGGGTTTGATGACAAACATTTAGAGTTACGTAACCTTCAAGTAGGTCACAATGTGAGAACTTCAGAAAAGTATAATTTCATTGACTCCCAAATTTTTATCCTTAGTGCTATTGTTGTCATATGTCTTACTCTGTATGTTTTATATCTACCATATGTTGTATTTACATTTGCAGAAATCAAGAGAGTGTGGTTCACTATAATCAAAATATAGAATATTACCATCACTCCAAAAAGTTTACTCATTCTCCTTTGCAGTGTATCACTACTCCCATCAGCAGCCCAACACTGATGTGATTTCTATTCCTATGGCCTGGCCTTTCCAGGATATTACTTACATGAAATCATATAGTATCTCAGTCTGTTCAGGCTGTTGTAACAAAACACCATAGACCAGGTGGCTTATAAACTAATTTATTTCTCAGTTTTGGAGACTATGAAGTCTAAGATCAAAACACTGGCAGATTCCATGTCTGCTGAAAGCCCACTTCCCTGTTCACGGATGGCCATCTTTTTGCTGTGTTTTCACATGATAGAAGGAGCAAGGGAGTCCTTTTATAAGGGCACTAATCATATTCATGAGGTTTTATTAAACTACATGTCACCTCCTAAACAGATATGCCACACACTGCTTTTACATTCCCACTTCTACCAGAGGCCCTGCTTCTCCTAACCTGCAATTTCGCTGGGTTAACTCCTACATGTCCCAAGATTTAGCCTTCCTGCCAATTCTCTTCCCCATCCACAAATCACTCTCTTCAACTCAATTCCACCAAATCTCATGTCACCCAAAAATGTGTTTAGAGACAGAACACTATAATCAGATTCTTGCAGCATTTGTTGAATATATCGTTCCTGAATTTTTGGCCAAAAAAAATATGCTTAAATCCTATTACTGATACTGTATTTCCTAGGAAAAAAAAAAGTATGCTTTCCTCTTTAAATGTAACTCATAGCCACAGTGAATTTTTTCACCATTGGCCTCATGTAACGGATTGTTGTGCTCAGACTATCATACACTTACCCTTTTTCCTTCTTTCTTTCCCACGGCTGAACAGTTAAAATATAAAATTCTTTTCAGATGAGTGTCTTTGGTAAGGTTAACAGTGAGATTGTAGGTTGAAATTAAGCTCTGCTTGTCCCTCTTTCCACAATGCATTGAAAAATTATTGCCAGCCGTCAGAAAAATTGCTAGGTCATGGACCCACCATGGACATAATAAAACCAGGATACCATTAAGACCTCTCATGTCAAGGATTGAATGAAGAGTGATACCAGCCATCCTTGAGCATTTATTCATCACTTACTACTTCTCTAAAACCCGAAGATGTTTATGTCACATCCCAATCCCCCCATATCCAGATGTCAGTATTTCTAGAGTCTCAAGGCAAAAGCCTGACCAGGACTTTGTCTGCAGGAGTGGTGGCAACAAATAGTGGTTTTTTGGTGCTTTGACTCTCACACCTCATCCTCACTGCATCTCCTTTAAATTCACAGGGAAGGATGCAGATCAGGATGTGGCCTTTGGCCCTTCCCCAATACACGATTAGACAAAATAGCTGACATACGCAGAAGAACATGAGATCGTAAGTGAAAACATCAAAATGACCGGAAAAGATAATTAAACAAAGAAAATTTTAAGAAACCCAACAATATATATGATCCGAAACAGAATTAATGAAACTGATTATTTTAAATAGGCCTAATACACTTAAGGTGATAAGGAAAAACATTACATAAAGTGGGGGTATTAACAATTACATACAATCTAAGGTGATTTACAGATTCAATGCAATCTCTCAAAATTCCCATTGAATGTGCTTTTTTTATATATAGAAACAGAAACATCAGTCCTAAAATTCATAGGGAACCAGAGACCCCAAAACTGGAGGCATCACACTTCCTGATTTCAAAAATATACCACAAAGCAACAGTAATTAAAACAGTATGGTACTACCATAAAGAAAGATGTATAGACCAAAGGAACAGAGTAAGGAGCCCAGAAATAAATTCACCCATTTGTAGTCAACTTGTTTTCAATGAGGGTGCCAATAATACACAATGAGAAAAGAACAATCTCTTCAGTAAGTGGTGTTGGGAAAACGACATCCACATGAAAAAGTATAAAATTGAACCCTTACTTTACACTGTACACAAAAATCTACTCAAAATGGATGGATTTCAACATAAGAAAAATATCTGCAAATCTTATATTTGATAAGAGGTTAAAATCCAAAATATAGTATATAAGGAACCCTGAAAGCCAAAAAACAAGAAAACTAATTAAAATAAGAAGACTTGAACATTTCTGAAAAAAAAAAAGATATATAAATAGCTAACAGTTATATGAAAGATGCTTAACATCACTAGACATCAGGGAAATGTCAGTCCAAATTACAATGAGATATCATCACATACCTCTTCAGATGGCTATTATGTTAAAAAATTAAAAATGAAAAGTATTGGACAGGATGTGGAGAAATTAGAACCCTTGTACATTGTTGGTGTAAGATGTTGTAGCCACTAAGGCAAATAGTAGGAAAGTTCCTCAAAAGTTAAAAATAGTGTAAAAGCTTTCCTATTTCTCCACATCCTCTCCAGCATCTGTTGCTTTCTGACTTTTTAATGATCATCATTCTAACTGGCATGAGATGGTATCTCATTGTGGTTTTGATTTGCATTTCTCTAATGACAAGTTATGATGAGTTTTCATATGTTTGTTGGCAGCATAAATGTCTTCTTTTGAAAAGTGTCTGTTCATATCCTTCATCTACTTTTTTATGAGGTTGTTTGTTTTCTCCTTGTAAATGTGCTTAAGTTCCTTGTAGATTCTGGATATTAGCCCTTTGTCAGATGGATAGATAGAAAAAATTTTCTCCCATTCTGTAGCTTGCCTGTTCACTCTGATGATAGTATCTTTTGCTGTGCAGAAGCTCTTTAGTTTAACTAGATCCCATTTGTCAACTTTAGCTTTTGTTGCCATTGCTTTTGGTGTTTTAGTCATGAAGTCTTTGCCCATGCCCATTTCCTGAATGGTATTGCCTAGGTTTTCTTCTAGGGTTTTTATGGTTTTAGGCCTTACATTTAAATCTTTAATCCATCTTGAGTTAACTTTTGTATAAGATGTAAGGAAGGGGGCTAGTTTCAGTTTTCTGCATATGGCTAGCCAGTTTTCCCAACACCATTTATTAAATAGGGAATCTTTTCCCCATTGCTTGTTTTGGTCAGGTTTGTCAAAGATCAGATGGTTGTACATGTGTGGTGTTATTTCTGAGGCCTCTGTTCTGTTCCATTGGTCTATGTATCTCTTTTGGTACCAGTACCATACTGTTTCAGTTACTGTAGCCTTATAGTATTGTTTGAAGTCAGGTGGCATGAGGCCTCCAGCTTTGCTCTTTTTGCTTAGGATTGTCTTGGCTATATGGGCTCTTTTTTGTCTCCATATGAAATTTAAAGTAGATATTTCTAATTCTGTGAAGAAAGTCAATGGTAGCTTGATGGGAACAGCATCAAATCTATAAATTACTTTGGGCAGTATGGCCATTTTCATGATATTGATTCTTCCTATCCATGAGCATGGAACGTTTTTCCATTTGTTGTGTCCTCTCTTATTTCCTTGAGTACTGGTGGGGTGTAAATTAGTTCAACCCTTGTGGAAGACAGTGTGGTGATTCCTCAGGGATCTGGAACCAGAAATGCCATTTGACCCAGCCATCCCATTACTGGGTATATACCCAAAGGATTATAAATCATTCTACTATAAAGACACATGCACACGTTATCTTTATTGCAGCACTGTTCACAATAGCAAAGGCTTGGAACCAACCCAAATGCCCATCAATGTTAGACTTGATAAAGAAAATGTCGCACATATACACCATGGAATACTATGCTGCCATAAAAAAGAATGAGTTCATGTCCCTTCCAGGGACATGGATGAAGCTGGAAACCACCATTCTCGGCAAACTAACACAGGAACAAAAAACCAAACACCACATGTTCTCACTCATAAGTGAGAGTTGAACAATGAGAACATCTGGGCACAGGGAACATCACACACTGGGGCATGTCGGGGGTGCAGGGCAAAGCAAGGGATAGAATTAGGAGAAATACCTAATGTAGATGATGAGTTGATGAGTACAGCAAACCACCATGGCGCATGTATACCTATGTAACAAACCTGCACATTCTGCACATGTATCCCAGAACTTAAAATATAATAAATTTAAAGTGTAATAAAAAATTTAAAAATAGATGTGTTTAAGATATGAAATGAAAAAAAGTTAAAAATAGAACTACCATATGCTCCAGCAATCACACTTCTCAGTATATATTCTAAAGAAATGAAATCAGAATCTTGAAGATGTATCAGTACTCTCATGCTCATTGCAGCATTATTTATGATAGCCAAGATATGAAAACAACCTAAAATGTTCATCAACAAGTGAATGGATAAAGAAAATGTGTTTTATACACACTGTGTTAGCGTTCTCCAGAGAAACAGAATCAACAGGATACACATAGAAATAAGAGGTGATCTATTATGGGAATTGGTTCAGTCAATTTTGGAGGCCAAGAAGTCCTGTTCTAGGTTATCTGCAAGCTGGAAGATGAGGAAAACTAGTAGTGTAATTCAGGCTGAGTCCGAAGGCCTGTAAATCAGATGAGTCAATGGTCTAACTCACAGTCTGAGGCCAAATGCCTAAGAATCAGAGTGGAGGAGAGGTTTCAAACCTAGTTTAAGTCTTGAAGTCCAAAGGCCCAAGAAGAATGAGCTCCAATGTCTGAGAGCAAGAGAAGATAGATGTTCCCACTCAAAGAATTCGCCCTTCCTCTACCTTTTTGTCCTAGGCTTTCAAAGGACTGGATGATTCCTGTGCACCTTGGTAAGGGTATATCTTCTTTACTCATTCTACTGATTCAAATGCTAATCCTGTTTGGAAACACCATCACAGACACACCCAAAAATAATGTTTTACCAGCTATCTGGATATCCTCTAATGCAGTCAAGTTGACACCAGTTAACCATCACACATACGATGGAATATTATTCAGTCTCAAAAAAAAAAAAGAGGAAAATCTTGCCATGTGTGACACAACATGGATGAACCTGGAGGACATTATGCTAAATGAAATAAGCCAGACACACAAGGACAAATACTTTATGAGTCCACTTATGAGATATCTAAAATAGTCAAACTCACAGAAATAAAGTAGAGGGGTGGTTACCAGGGGCTGGGAGAGAAAGAAAATGGGTAGTTACTGTTCAAAGGGTATAAATACAAGTTGAATAAGTTCTAGAGATCTCCTATATAACATTGTGCCTGTAGTTAACGATACTGGATCTTGCACTGAACATTTTGTTAAGAGGGTACTTCTCATGTTAAGTATTCTCACCACTATTTTTTAAAAGCTTTAAAAGGTACAAACAGGTGAAACTTTTAGAATAAAAATATTTGGAATGAGTAGTATTATAACAGAAACTGAAGAAAAAAATAGGTAGTTAGAAGCTCAGAAAACAGGAAAAGATGAGATTATACTTTCAAAAGAGGAAATGTATGTAAGACAGAAATGCCAACAAATGTATAGGGGAAACATTGTAGTCATCTCAGGAGATTCAAAAACAACTTTTGCTAAGATTCCGTATCCACGCATGAATGTAAAAGAAAACACTAGCGAACCAAGAACACAGAAAAATTTCTCAAATCTGATTGAAAGTATCTACAAAAACCTTGCAGAAAATATTTATGAAGAGGATGAGAAATAATCAGAAGAGGATGAGAAATAATCAGAACAGGATTCGCATTTGAATTAAAAGCCAAAGCAATCTTGAGCAAAAAGAACAAAGGCAAGACAAAAAAAAAATCAAGCTCGGTATCCATCAATAAATGAACACAGATAAAATGTGGAATATGTACCCAATGAAACAGTATTCAGCCTTTAAAAAGGAATTCTGTCATTTGCAACAACAGGGATGATCCTGGAGGACATTATCTTAAGTGAAAAAAGTCAGGCACAGAAAGACAAATACCTTATGATCTCACTTATAGATGGAATCTTAGAAAGTTGAACTCATAGAAGCAGAGAAAATACAATGATTACCAGGGTTGTAGGTGATAGAGATTAGAGAAATATTGGTAAAAGACAAAATTTCAGTCAAGCAAGAATAATAAGTTCAGGAGATCTATTGTACAACGTCGTGACTATAGTTAATAACAACATATTGTATACTTTAAAATTGGAGAGTAATTTTTATGTCTTCTCACCACAAAAGTTAAGTAGATGATGTAACGCATATGGTAGTTAGCTTGATTTAGCAATTCCACAATATATACACCTTAAAAATTATGTTGTACACCATAAATGTAATTTGTCAAAAATATTTTAAAATTTTTAAAAAACTATTAGAGTAAGGATATTCAATAAGTTTCTGGATACAAAAGTCAGCCTATGAAAAAAACAGTAGCATTTCTCTGAATTGCAATGGCCATCTAGAAAACATAATAGAAAATAAGTTATCATTTTCATTAACAGTGAAAACATACTACCCAGGTTTTAGCATAATGAAATGAATTCCTTTGTGGAGAAAACTTTTTAAAGCTAATAAAGGTTTGGCTGTTATAAATAAATGGAGATTTCTATAATCTCAGGTGAGAATAATCATTGTGAAATACAGTTTTATCCGCACTCATCCCCTCCCTACCGGGATTGTGAAGACACTAGCCATGTGAAAAATTAGCAAAGGTCTAACATATCAAAAGTCATGAAGGAAGTCCTATAAATCACTAAGATAAAATGCCAATGAAAAAAGGAGCAAAGGATATCAACAATTTATAGAACAAGGAACCCAAAAAGCTAATAAGCATATAAAAAGATGGTCATACTATTAGAAATTAGAAAAATGCAAATGAAAACAATACTATATTGTTTCAGGCCTACTAAACTAAGAAAAACAATTGCTTGATAAGGCCAAGTGTTCCTGGTAAGTGTGTAGATTGCTCTCTAGAATGTCTGCTTCAATCTGGCAGCACTTAAAGTAACTGTATACTCTGACCTCAAAATTCTACACCTGAGTATATATTGCAAAGAAATTCTCACACATGTCCATCATGGGGCATATTAGGTTGGTTTCAGATTTAGTGAAGCCTGATTATAAGTGCTGCTCTGTTTACTTTTCAGTTTATCTATCTATCTATGGCCTAGACTCTTAAAGAGACATTTTCGAAAAAAGTGAAATAAAAATCATCAACATTTCATTGTATTAAACAGTTTTTTCTACTCCTTTATTCTAGTATTGTTCTAGTTGACTATGCATGTTGCTTTAAAGTATGCATAAGATGAGTTGCACAGAAAGAAAAGGCAAATATAATACAATTTTCTTATTTTCAAGGCCAGGTTTGCTATTCATGTATGTTTACTTTCATATACATTTTATAACAAACATGAGTTCTCTGAATCCATTTGGAGTTTGGATTAGGCTTAAATTAAATTTATTGATGTGTATGAAGGTGTTGATTGCAGTTCTGTTGGTGATAGGAGAGAGAAGAAGGCAATCCAAGTATTGTTCCCACCCTAGGGAAGTGGATTCACATGTGATAGCTATGCCACTGGTACCATGCAGTAGTTAGTTAGAAGTAATGGGCTAGATGCACCCACCCACAAGCACAAGGATAGGTCACCAATAAACAGTGTTCAGTCATGAAATAAGATGCTATAATCATTTATTACAAACATAAGAAGTGATATCTGGAATTTGCTTCAAAATAATTCAGGTAGGGATAGGGTGAGTGGGGATTCAGGAGAAGTTATAGATAAAATAAATCAATCTATCAATTGATTATAATTGATGTCAATAACAAATATGAGAACGTTTACTATAATTCTCACTTTTAAGTATTTATATTTTTGTATAATTTTTAAGATATACAAAATAGCACCAATTTTATCAAAAATCATGGAAGACACAGAAAATGCACTAGAATGACTGCCTGAAGGAATGAAAGGCACGGTTAGGGAAGAGATATAAAAAGAAAAACAATAAAAGAGGTCTTATTTGGGCCAGTGATAATAATGCGCCAGCTGAGAAGTATGATTTATTCAACATTGGCAGCTGGGGTCCAAAATCAATACTGACTACTCAGCAAGCTAGGCTGGCAATGCAACAGCTGGGGCAGAACAGAAGCAACACCAAGAGGCACGAGCATCCATACAAACCAAACATAAGTTCACTTCAGAGAAGTCTCTAGGTCAGCAGCAGTAAAAGGATATTGTCATCATCTATCACTAATCGTTGGTCACTGCTTTCATTTGTCAAGACAAACTAAGATGAAACCTAATGTCCCTTAACTCAAAAATCAACTCAATACCATGATCTTTCCTGTAACAAGACTATTTCCAAAGTGTCTTCCTTGGCATATATTTCGTTATTGATTTACTATTACTGTTTAATATAGACTTATTTCCAAAATCGTTGGGTTTTTTTCCTCCAACTGTGATTTCAGACTGGGGTATTAAATATTTGCTCTTTCTGTGTAACTCATCTTTTGCATATTTTAAAGCAATACACATAGTCAACTAGAACTATACTAAAAGGAGTAGAAAAAACTGCTTAACTCAATAAAATGTTAACGATTTTTATTTCACTTTTTTCTCAAATGTCTCTTTAAGAGTCTAGGCCATGGATAGACCAAAAGACAAACTGAAAAGTAAACAGAGGAGCTCTTATAATCAGGCTCCACCAAATCCAAAACCAACCTAATATGGTATGCTGGTAGAATACTTTGTGTCTCCTGATACCTGCAAATGGGGAAATATGTACAGTCAGAATACAGCAATTATTTTGGGTCCCGAAGCATGGGTCCCAAAAGAGAAAAGGTGGGGGGGATGAGAAGTAGTACAATAAATGGTTCAATCAAGCTAGGGATTCTTAAGTGTGCACATGCATCAGCATCACCTGTGGAGCTTGTTAAGTCTGATTGCTGGGATCCCACCTCCAGGGTTTCTGATTCCAGTATGTCTGCAGGAGGCCCCAGTAACTACCTTTCTAACAAGTTTCCAGGAGGTGGTGATGACCATGATAGCCCGGGGCTAAGACTCCCAAATCACCCCTGTCCATATCCAGGGCCCAAATTCTCGACCACTGGAACATACCGCCTACCGCACAGAGATGAAGTTTTCCTTAAGGCATTATTCCAAACCACCAAAAAATATTTTTTATGTGTATCTATGAGGAAAGGTTTATTCTAACAGGATTCATTAAGATAATACTCCACTTACCAAGAAATTATACTTCCAGAAACTTCAACCTGCCCAAATATTGTGCCAAACATTTACAGTTCGTTCTTTCAACAAATGTTTATTAGGAACCAGTCGCGTGACCCAGCACTGTGCTAAGTATTGACACACAGGAGGAAAAGGAAGTTTCCACCTTCTTGGAACTTAAATCTCACATCAAGGATCATCACTAAGTTCCCAAAATAAAAGTTAAAACGAGGGCTCCACTAGTCCTTATGATGTCTTCCTGTGAATTAGACAAAGTTCCCATCCACCAACTGGAGCACTGGCTAGATTTTAACTTCTCCTTGACCCTAAGTAGGATCCCTTGTACCGTGCAAAACCTGGACAAACAGTTGCCCCAGGCTGGAGTGCAGTGGCGCCATCTCGGCTCACTGCAAGCTCCGCCTCCCGCGTTCACGCCATTCTCCTGCCTCAGCCTCCGTAGTAGCTGGGACTACAGGCGCCTGCCACCACGCCCGGCTAATTTTTTGTATTTTTAGTAGAGACGGGATTTCACCATGTTAGCCAGGATGGTCTCAATCTCCTAACCTCGTGGTCCACCCTCCTCGACCTCCCAAAGTGCTGGGATTACAGGCGTGAGCCATCATGCCCGGCCTGCCCTGAGACTCTTGTGATTAAGCACGTAGGGTTAAAGCTTTGTCTTATTTCTATTTAACACTCAATTTTCAGACTCATTTTTAGATTTTCTAATTCCACAGCATATTTCAAGGTTTTAGAGGCCTTTGCAAGGCAGCAGGTAGACCTCAGCTACAAAAATTAGTCATATTCCTGGGTCATTATTATCACTGATCCCTGCAAGGCTTTTCTTGCTTTATGTTTCCCCTCTTCATTAGGAGTTGTTCTCCTTCCCCACTTTCTTATAAGGTATACTGAGCTTAAAGCTAAATATTCAAATGTGTGTATAGGTATGTAGAAACATACAAAGACTATATAAAATCATTTGAATAAAATGTATTCATGCTATCTTGAGGTCAACGTGCTCTTAATTTCAAAAAAAATGCACTATACCATAGATTTTGCCCGTTTTATGTTTTTCACTTAACACTATGTTTTAAAGTTTTATCCGTACGCTTGCATGTACAGCTGGTTCATTGCTTCCAACTGGCAGTACATCTACCACATTTTGCTTTTCCATTCTCCTAGAGGACTATTTTAGACTGGAATAATAATTATGAGAAGTGATGGTTAAAACTAGGTGGAGAAAACAGAAAAACTCAAAACGTATGCAGAAAACAGTAATTTCTCAATGATGTTAGAGGAAATGTTGCTGGAGTTCTCTTGCATGGTAAGCAAAGAAAAAGCGACAAAAACAACTCCGAGAAACTGATAGAAAATGCTTTCTCACAGATGTGCTCCTGTAATTACCCAAAACTCTTGGACAGAGAAGAAACTAGAAGTAATGGAGTTGAGGATAAGCCACTTTAATAAAAGGAATTAGTTTGTAAATTTAGAAAACTGGTCGTGTTAACCTAACAAATATTATTTTAGTATCAACTGTGCAAGAAAAAAAGTAAGCCTTATCCCACTTCTAATATTGCCCAACTGCTTCTCTTCGTTTGTATAATTCTCATTCTAGTATAGTTTGAGGAGTCCTCAGAGGAAAAAATATTCTCACTACTTTGAGAAACAGACCCTCAGCAGTCATATTCACCAACAGTTCTCAAGGCTACCTGTGCTTTTGAATCACCTAATGAAAAATTCCAATACCAGGGCTCTATGCTGGGCTATTTAAATCAGAATTTCTAGAATTGAACTCAGGATTAGCATTTTTAAAAAACTTCTCACAGAACCCAAAAATGCAGACAGGATTGAATCACCACTGAGCTCAACAGTTTTGGCTACAAAGACTCTCTTAGGTTGTCAATCAGGATGATATTAGCTGCAAGTAACAGCAAACATTACCTCAAGTTGGCATAACCAGTAAGGGAGTTCATCAGCTTACCCTGTCACAAGTCCGTACAGCAGACAGGCTTCTATAAACATACATCCAGGTCCCCGCCATCCATCTTCAAAGCTCTGCCATGTCTACTTTGATAGCCTCAATCTCATGCTGGTAGCAAGATAGTTTACAGCTACTTCAATGTCACATATGCAAGCATATTCAGTAGCGCTTCTTGACGGCAATGAAACCTTTCCCAGAAACCCCCAACAGCTATCCGCTCACAGCTCACTGGCCAGAGCGGGTTCCGAGCTGATAAAGGCCATTGAATTACGAAGATTGGTTAAGGCTGATGGTTCTCAGCCATGAATGTACATTAGAATGACCTGGAGAGCTTGTTAAAACACAGCTCACTGAGCCCCACTCCCAGAGTTTCTTTTTCAGTAGTTCTGGGGCAGGGCCAAAGTATTTACATACTCAGCTCCCACGTGATGCTGATGCACTTTGAGAACCACTAATTTTTTTTAACTAACACATATTAATATATTTTCATTAGAATATTCTTTTTTTTAATTTTACTTTAAGTTCCAGGATACATGTGCAGAACGTGCAGGTTTGTTACATAGGTATACATGTGCCATGGTGGTTTGCTGCACCTATCAACCCATCGTCTAGGTTTAAGCTCCACATGCATTAGGTGTTTGTCCTAATACTCTCCCTCACCTTGTCCCCCACCGCCCCGGTGTTTGTTAGAGAACCACTAATTTCGACCAATGACAATCTACCTGCTGAGAATGTAATCAGCTTTTCCTAAAGCACATGACTATTCCAAAGAGAAGTAAACACCTGTGGTCATTTAAAGATATCCAGAAATTTTCTGACACTCATTTCAATTTCACTTCCTTTGAATGTCAGCTGGACTAAGTGATTCATCTCTGACAAACAGAATAAAGTGGACATGATGGTGTATAACTTAAACAGCAGGTCACTGCAGCTTCCATCTTGGTCAAGCTCTCTCCTGAATCTTTTACTCTGGGGAAAGTCAATAGCCATGCCATGAGGACACTCTAAGAAAAGGCCCATGTCGCAAAGAACTAAGTCCTCCAGCCAACAGCCATGTGAGCGAGCCCTCTGGGAAGCAGAACCTCCAGCTCCAGTCAAGTCATCAGATGACTGCAGCTCTTGCCATCATCCTGAGCCAGAACCTCCCAGCTCAGCTGCTCCTGAATTCCTGACCCACAAAACAACAAAACTATAAATGCTTATTGTTTTAAACCACTAAATTTTGAGGTAACTTATTATGCGGTGATAGATAATGAATACAATAACCAAACAAAATTAAGGAAAGGAGAGAGATCATCTTGAGTAATAAATAGTGTATGGTGCAGCTTGTTTCAGTTAATGAAGGTGTAGTATAAAAATACACATGCCCAGGAACTCAAGAAATCCAAATTGGATTTTAGGAAACAGAAACTTAAAGGTCTTTCTGTATCCAAGGAATCTAAGGAATCTCAGCATCAGAAGTTCAAAGATATTTACTGTAGCGCTGCTGCATCAGGTTCTCAACAAACATCTGTTCCATTCTCCTCTTACAGACTACCAGCCTTCTCATGTTTTATTCTATATCTTTTGTCGTTGTCCATCTCATAATCTGTGTTCCCCCATTCTGGCTTGTGCCTCCTCCCAGTGCTTCTCAGATTCTCTCATTGCTACTCAAAGTGTGCTCTGTGGACCAACATCACCAGCATGACATGAGAACTTAAATGCAGAACTTGGGGACTCGGGGGAAAGAGTGGGAACGGGGTGAGAGACAAAAGACTACAAATTGGGCACAGTGTATGCTGCTCGGGTGATGGTTGCACCAAAATCTCAGAAATCACTACTAAAGAACTTATTCATGTAAGTAAATGCCACCTGTTCTCCCAAAAACCTATGGAAATAAAAATAAAAAAGCAGAACTTTGGATCCTCCTCCAAACGTACTGAATCAGAATCAGCATGTAAGTTTAAGAACTGCTACTTTACATCATCACATGACATTAGGCTTAGGCTCCCACCACTTGCTTCAGTGGTTTCCAAACTTTCAATGCACCTTGTCAATTACCGGGGATCTTTAACAAATACCAATGCCCTGTTCCCACCCTACACATTCTGATTTGATGTGTATAAGGTAACAAAGTTCATTAGAAGTTTTAAACCTTCCAGGTGACACTAATGTCAAAAAAAAAAAAAAAATGGGAACCACTAGCTTACATCCTTCTTTTCTTGCTATTTCATAATCAAATTTCCAAAATGAGAGAATTTGAATAACCTGCCTTATCTTTTTATACAAAGGCAGTCCACGGGCCTTTAACTATTCTTTAGGTTGACTAGACTTAATCTAATCTAATCAATAATGGGGGAAAGGATTGCCAGATTATAACTCGAAACATAACCACTCCTATTCAGAAAGGCTATGGGGAATGTAGTTTCCTTTATTACAATACTTCTCAATCTTAGCTGCATATTAGAATAATCTGGGAAGTTTTTAAATCTCAATGCCTAATCCTCACAAAACAATTCATTCAGTATCTCAGGGTTGGACCCAGACAACAGTAGTGCATTAACCTACTGTCCAGATGATTCCAATTTTCAGCCAACATTGAAAACCACTTGTAAAATAGAGGGCATAGTGGTGAACATGTCTGTATAAACAGTATCCCAAAACAAATATGAATCACAAATCACAATTGTATTGGCTTTACAATCATGGTTGTTTATTTTTGACCTGAATCCAAAACTCACTTGAGTGAACCAAAGCATCATTTAAGGGCAAGAATATGTTTCATCAGAAAGACTTGAACATTAACCTAGCGGTTAAGTGGATTTGGGCAAACTTAAATATTGATAAACTGCAGTTTCTTCATCTATAAATGGAAGTAAAACCAACATTGTAGGTGATCAAATGTTAGTTGCTTCCTCCTCCATGTATGGGATATATTTTCTTTAAAAGTGTAATTCTGGGTATTATCAGATTTAAACCTCTCACAAATCCCATCGAATAGGTATACTGTTGTTATTCCAGTTTGACAGATAAAACTGAAGATTTTTTTTAATGGCTAATTGAGAAACAAAGCTGAGTCAAGCACAGGCTAATTAACCCCAAGCCCCAAATTCTTAACCATTCCACTTTACCGCCTCTCTAAAATAGCTACTGTCTTCCCTGTCATAAAACAAAGACCAATGTCCATGTGCATACGGCATGGAAATGAGGTGCTAGGAAGGGGGAGAACAGTGCTGTTAGTGATGTGGTATGGCACATGTGCTACTGGCATCCTGGTAATTGTCCTGCTCTTTCTCTTCCCTCAGGCTAAGTTACGAATTGCAGGCAGCTGAGTCCTGTCCTAGAAGGTCATAATGCAATTCTTCAAAGATGATACTGTCAGTAGATTTCTGAAAAATCACCAGAATGTGCTTCTTACAATTTTTGCCTGCATAAGCATAACACAGTCTGTACTTTTTCATAGACTAAAGAACGTTAGAGATACAAACCTATAAATAACCACTTCCAATTAACCTCCTCTACCCTCCCTGTCTTTCAGTTTGGTCCAAGTTAACGCTCCTACGGAAGCCAATTACAATTGTCACTTGTTTTTCAGATATATCTCTTTTCTTGTTTATAATGTTTCTGGTATCTTCTTGTAGTTAATTCCCATAAGCTCCCTGGATAAATTCATTAGCCAGGACGGTTTCCACTTTAACTAAATTGCATTTGTACTTCTTTGCATCTCTTCAAAACATTCGTTCTTCAGTTTAAGACACAGGAAAGACATCCATCAAGACTTAGATTTGGATTTAAGAGTTAGAATTGGAACAAGCCCAAATTCTGAATTTAAGTTTGTTTTTGGCATGCTGCACTTTCTGTCTTTAGTTTCTATAACTTCTCACTATTCAGACCTTTTAATCTGCTACTTTCCCTATTAAAATATAACTATTCCATACTAAAGCCCTCTTGGTTCTCTGCTAAATGATAATAATCTCCTCTTTTCTACCTTATCATTTTACCCCTCTCAAATGGATTATTCCTGCTGGCATACAAGCTTGTTCAAACATTTAACATCTAAAAAAAAAAAAAAAACACCTCTTCCTTGGGACCCCATTCCTTGGGACCCCATTACCTTAAAGTTACTATCCCACTTTTGTACATCACTTACAATAAAGTCAATCAAAAGAGTTGCTGATAATCACTCTCTTACTTCCTCACCATCTAGCCCTTTGGAAACCACTCCAAACTTTCACACCCACCACTCCACTGAAACAATTCTCATCAAAATTACCAACTACTCCTCTTGCTAAAGTCAATGGTCAATTCTCTGCCCTCATCTTCCTCAATCTCTCAGCAGCATTCTACAGTACTATTAGTACCTCCTTCCTGAAACATGTTCTTATCTTGACTTCCATGACAGCAGACTCCATATTTTTCCTTGCTGGTTGTTCCTTCATGGTCTCCTTTCTTGCATCTTTCCCTTCTGCCTAACTTCTGCGTATTATTCCTCACCAAAATTGTCTCCCAAAGGCAATATCATGAACTCACATGACTCTGAACACACTCTAGGTACTAAGCATTTCCAAATTTACACCTCCAACCTTGACCTCTCCTCAAGTTCAAACTGGCACATCTACTTCCACACTTGTTTAATGTATCTTATTGTATATTTAACAGGCATTTCAGATTTAACATGTCCAAAACAGAACTCTTGGTTTTCAAACCCATAACCTGTTCCTCTGCAATTTTCCCTACCTCACCTGGCCATTGCTCTTGATTCCTTGGCTCTTTTGTCCACACTTTTATCCTTGATTTGTCTCCTTCATTCCCTCCATGTCCCTACCTGACCCCCACATGCCATGCATCAACCCATCAGCTGATACTTTGGAGTCCACCTCTGAAACGTATTCCAAATCCAGCCACCTCTCACTAACTCCACTGTTACCACTTTAGTCCAAGTGATTGTCAGTTTACTCTAGGCTAAGTGTAATAGTCTCCTAGATTGTCTCTCTGCTTCTAATCTTGCTTTCCCCTACAATCCATTCTCCATTCGACAGATAGATCAAAGAAACATATCAAAAAGTATCTTGCCTCTGACTAAAACTTCCAGTGGCATTTAACTGTACTTGGAATAACATTTAGCTCTTTACCTCAGCCTACATTTTCAATGGTCTAATCCCTGTGTGGCCTTTATGGTTTTCTCCCTAAGATATACTCTTTCTTTGAATAATTAGCCTGAATGGGTTGTTCTCAAACTTGAAGGTTAAATGGCCTAATTCAAGGACTGGGACTACAAATGTATAGGATGAGCCTGGAGCATCTTGCCTTGCCATAAAGTGCACACACACACACACGCACTGGAGGGGGTATGTTAAAGAGGCATAGGAGCCAACTGAAATAACTCCCAATGACCAAAGCTAGAATCGGTTGAGGTACAAAATCAAGTAGTATTGGATTATAACCCAATCCATGAGTCTAAAAATCCATGACTCCATAATGATATAAATGACTGAATACATTAAAAAATGGAGACAAGAGACAAATCTCCCATGTAGAATTCCAAATAAATACAGATACTCTACCATAAAGGAGAAATCTGACAAACACTACTTCAACCAGGGTATCAAGGTCAGCATCAACATTCATAAATCATGGTGATGGTGTGTACTCTGGAAGAAAGTGACCGTTTAATTCTGTGGTCTTCCTCCCAAAAACCCACGGTGCCCATCTAATCATGAGGAAAACATCAAATTCCATTAGAGGGGTATCCTACAATAGAACCAACCAGTACTCAGAACTGTCAGAGTTCTCAAAAACAAGAAATCTGAGAAACGATCACACTTAAGAGGATCCTAAGGAGATCTAACAATTAAATGTAATATGGTTTCCTGGAACAGAAAAAAGACAGTAGGTAAAAATACAAAAATCTGAATAAACTTTGGACTTTACTTAATAATGTATCAAAACTGTTTTATTGACATAATGTCTATTTTTTTAATCTTAAAAAACAAAAAAAAAATAAAGACAAACCTTACGGGTGAATTTATAGACTTTTTGAGAAGACAGTGGACTGCTCCGGCGCTTGAAATGGGAGTTTGAGTGAATCTCATTCAGACCCCAAGTGGCTTCTGATTTACACCACAAACTTTCTAAGACTAGGCACTGCTTTAATGCTCCAAGAGTAAACACTGCTTCCCTCTCTCCTTCTCCTCAAAGGCACAGTAAAATTTGTCTCAGGTTTCCCAGGCCTTATTCATCTGAAGAAGTTCTGATGATCATTTATTTTTAACTTTTCCAAACATAGGGATAAGTCATAATTGTCAATAAATCTCACAAATTTACACTTTGTTTCTACCTTGAATGTATACTTAAAAGTTTAAAAAAAAATTAAGTGTACATGAGAATTACCTGGAGGGCTTGTGAAAACACTGATGACTAGAACTTACTCTCTGAGTTTCTAATTCTTGCATTTCTGAAAAGTTCTAAGGTAATACTAATACTGCTGTTCCGAGGACTATTTTTGAGAGCCACTCAGCAAAACCAAACTTGGTAACTGCATACTTATCAATATCTGTTTAAGCATGGGTAGGAGATCCAAACACAACCAACAATATATGAGAGGAAATTAGATGGGTTACTTCTGAAAAAAGGCTTCCTCACCAAAAAAAAAAAAAAAAAAAAAAAAAAAAAAAATGCACAGACCCCTTTCACCTGCATGTATTGTGCTTGAATTTACTATCTAAACCGACAGCAACCAACATGAGTTCATGAAGGGGCTGCCAAAAGATGGCAGAGCAAAGAGATGGAAACAATCCACATCTTTGATCATGTCTTTGAGCTATTGAATCAACCAACCCCGAAGTCTTCCCTATCTCCAAATATCCTATGTGAAATAAACTATTTCCTTTTTGTCTAAGCCAACTTGAGTCATACTCTTCCGTTCCTTATAGCTGAGATCATCCTGAGGCTACCTCTGAGATTCCAGTTCCTTCCACTCTCCCCATCATTTACGAACTCCAGCCTCACTGGCCTTCAGTTTCTCAAACCTACAAAGTTTATTCCGCATCAGCTTCTGCCATTGGTAGTCCCTCTACCTGAACACTCCACCCCCAGATCTCCCCATGGCTGGGTCCTTCTTGTCACTTGGGATCTTAACTCAAATGTCACCTCTTCAAAGATGTCTACCCAGATCACCAAATCCAAAGTGGAATTTTCTACCCTACTTCCAATACTCTTTATCCTATTACCACATTTTATTTTCTTCTGAGTATGTACATCCTAAATTATATCACAATATTTGTATGTTTCCTAACTTCCTTGCTCATTTTCAGCCCTTACCACATCCCTCTCTTTCTGCAATGTAAGAGACAGAAAAACTGTGACCATCTCTGTCTTGTTCATCTCTGTATCTCCAGTGCCTAGAAGAGTGCCTAGGAATGTGGTGGCTGCTTAACAAGTATTCATGTAATGAATAACTTTAAAAGGCTAACACATGCTCACTTTTAAATAAATTGGGTCTTTGTCCAAATGTGAGAATTTCAGAGGGACCATTGAGACAATGTGTTTAAAGGTGCATCTGAAAGATTCTCTTCAAAAAGAAATCATGCTGTGTAAAAAAGCATATATTGCATCTACACATCGTATACCCAGATTCTAAATTAAAGATTAAGCCAGCTGTCACCAGAACTCCTGGTGTAGACAGACAGTTGCCAACAGATCTACATACAGGGCTACAGCAATGCCAAGCAAAAGAAAGTGTGACAACTTTCTTTTTTTTTTTTTTTTTTGAGACAGAATCTCACTCTGTCGCCCAGGCTGGCGTGCAGTGGCACTATCTCGGCTCACTGCAAGCTCCACCTCCCGGGTTCATGCCATTCTCCTGCCTCAGCCTCCCGAGTAGCTGGGACTACAGGCACCCGCCACCTTGCCCGGATAATTTTTTGTATTTTTAGTAGAAACGGGGTTTCACCATATTAGCCAGGATGGTCTCGAGCTCCTGACCTTGTGATCCACCCGCCTCGGCCTCCCAAAGAGCTGGGATTACAGGTGTGAGCCACCACACCCGGCCAGGGTGACAGGTTTCTAAAGTCAAAAGTCAGCAAGAGCAGAGCAAAGACCCCATCTCTGGGCCAGGGAGCTTCCTGTTAATAAGATAAAGGATTATTTCATGTATTTGTATTTTTTAAATAATAGTTTATGTTTCAATATAAATCAAAGAGAGGAATCACTGAGCACTCAACCTGACGCAGAAAGTCAAGCCAGTTTCCTAGAAGAGGGGATCAGAGGTAGGTTTAGAAAGGAACGTGGGCAAGGGGAGCTGAAAAGCACGTCTCCTACTCGTTCTTCAGAGAAAAGCCCCATCCAAAGGGCACCCTGAGGACCATCTGGAGCCCAGTGGTGTGATCATTTGTTTCTTCCTCCAATATCTGCAAGTTCCCTGTTCTCTGGATTAATTGTCTACTCTGAACCCACTCACAGAAGGCACCCTGCCTGCCTCCTTCTGGAACATCATCCTATAGGTCAGACAAACTGTCTCTCCCCATATTGCATTTTTATCCTACTTTTGCAATTCCAAAAGCCCCTTTACTGAGGCCAGTCTGGCCTTATAGTTGCAGAATCAGCAACTACTGACTGAGATAGAATATATGGTTGAGAGACAATGTGTTTAACTCCCAAAATACTTCCTCAGCCACTGCCCATAATTAAACTTCACCCAGAACAGCACAACATCCTTTGAAAGTAACTCTTATTTTATACAGTGTTCATGTACTAACTTTCTTTAAGTGTCTTGCTTTTAAATTATTAAAAGCAATGATTAAGTTATTAAAATCATTAAAAATTATTTCAGTAATTATTTTAATAAAGAGCCAGGCACAAGTTCCTGGAGGACCATATCCAGTCACTGGAAGATATATTAGAATGACCTACTACATATTCATAACAAGTTTAAGCAAAACAGGATTTCCTATCTATGGTCTTTAACTGGTTGAATATTCAAAGGAAGAATTTCATTTTTTCTAAAAATTACTTTTTAAGCCCAAGGGATATCTTCTCAGTCTCCTTCTCTAGGAAAAAAAAAAAAAAAAAAAAACTAAACAAAACCAACAACAAAAAAAAGCACTCTCTTTTTCCCATTTATCATCCAAATAAATCACAATATGTATTTAAAGAGTTAGAAGCTAGAAAGCCCAAAGCATAGGGCTATCAAATATTTTTGTTCAGAATTATGAGTGTGGATAAGAACTCTTCTCACTATTGCTGCACGTTATCATTCACGCATGGATTCATAGACAGAATAATCAGTTATAAAAGGCTTTCTAAGTTAGGTTTGGCTTGTAAATCAATTTGTCCTAAATTTACTTTCATTTTTATTTGTTCCTGATTCCTATAAACAACCTATATTTATCTGGTGTAGTCTTTATATCTGATTGTAGACTGATTCAGGACTGTTTGTCCTGATTTTGCTGTTAATTATTCTGTTTCTTTATTTGCCTAGTTACTCCATTAAGGCTTAACAAAAGTCAAAAATCATTTTCAATTATTAGTCTTGTGTTAATTTGTAATTAGGACTGTTAGGGTGTGCCTTCACTCATTTATTTATAGTTACTAAATGCCTATATAACAGACTTTATACTAGGCATTATAGGAAAAAATAAAAATGAAGACAGTTTCTACCCATTATGTCAGTTGCAGTATGATAAGGAATCTATTAAGACAAGAGTTATATGAGGTAGAAAGTGGTAAATCTACCGCTTAGATTTAACCAAGGTTTCGTGGGGTGACACAGCTGGAACCCAGCAGAGGAAAGAGAAACCAGGCCCAAGAGAAACAGCTCATTAGGAAAGATTATGTAGTAAACTTCATTATCAAGAAAATACACACCTACAAGAAATACATATAAATTGAAGAATGAAAGGATGGCACAGAATATTTGGCTTTAGAAAAAATGGAGGGGGTGAGAGGAGTGAATTATTGCAAAACTGTGCAACAGACAACATCCCAGACTAAGAAGATATTTGATTAACAAGCAATATGCCAGACTAAAAAAATATATGATTTATTAAACTTTGATACAGATATAAACCTTATAAGTACAATTTATACATGTGATCTAAGAGATCAACAATCAGGACATCTCATTTGGGCAAATCCCACCTGAGAAATTCTAAACTTTCTCTCCAAAATGTATTTCTCTCTGAAACTACAGAAAATACCCTGCGAAACTACTTCTCTAATGGGGAATAAAGAGTTGGCTAGATGAAAATGTTAAAACCTTATGAGAAGCACATAAACTTGGATTTTGCAATAACTAGAAAAGGGGAATTTAGCCAAGTCAAGAATATACATGATCTGGACAGCCATATTCTAAGACTTTCAAAAGAAAAGTAAGATCAAGTCCATTCTCTGATCTCCAGAAAGGAAAATGAAAAATTGGAAGACTTTAAAAATAATTTTTATTATATAGCATCAAATCCTAATCAAATGATAAGAAATGTATTCAAATAAGTGTTGTATGAAATTATTTTCAAATGGGAACAAGTAGTAGCAAAGGCCACATAAAAAGGTACTATAATTGCCTGACAGGTAATTCCTGCACACTGCACAGACAAAAACCAGCTCACTGAGACTGTGGTATTGCAGCAGAGAAAAAGTCTAATTGATGCAAGGCTTGCGACACTGAAGAACTGGAGTTATCGCTCAAATCAGTTATCTCCAAGAACTCAGAGGCTAGGGTTTTTATGAATAATTTGGTGGGCAGTGGGCTAGGGAATGGGTCCTGCTGGTTGATTGGGGATGAAATCACAGGGGTATGGAAAACACTCCTCATGCACTGAGTCTACCTCTGGGTAGGGGCCACAGGACCAGTTGAGCCATGAGTCACAGTTCTGGGTGGGTTCAGTCAGTTTCCAGAATGCAATAATCTGAAAATCATCTCAAAAGACAAATCTTGGGTTCTACAATAGTGATGTTAACTATAGGAGCAATTGGGGAATTCACAAACCTTGTGACCTCTGGCCACATGACCCTTGAATAGCAAGGGATCATAGGAACTATGCATTTTAACAAAATTCAGGCCCCTCCCAAAATCCTAATTTCATGGCCTTTCGCTAGTTTTCGGTCCCCGAGCAAGGAAGGGGTTAGTTTTAGGGACTGATTATTATCATCCTTGCTTCCAAGTTAAACTAAATTCCTCCCATGGTTAGCTTGGCCTCTGCCCAGGAATGAGTGAGGACAGCCAGCCTGTGAGGCTAGAAGCAAGATGGAGTCAGCCATGTGAGATTTCTCTCACTGTCAAAATCTTTGCAAACAAAAGTGGTTTCAGGATCAATGTAGATGCCTAGATGGTCCTCTGCTGAGCTCAGAATTTTTTAAAATGTATAAAAGTTGGAAATAAGATGCATAGGCAATAAGGAAAAGTCTCATAATTAGAAAAAAAACTAGTGCAAGTTTGGCTAAAACCTTATGATAAACTGAGACTTGACGGAAATTAGAACAAAGGACTAAAGAATAAACATAGAAGGGAGGAAAGGAAGCCACATAATGAAATATTTTATACATCAGAGGGAAGACATCAATGAAATAATAAATTCAGCTGAAGCTCATAAATAAGGGAACAAGACTGAAAAGAGTACTGGGTTGGGCTTCTGTGACACTGGTTTTCCACCCCTGACTTTTCCACCTTAATTCCCTGAATTTCAGTTTCCTTCTTTATCCTAAGAGCTCTTTATGTTAGGGAATGTATTTGGATCTGTATGTGGGTAATCCACAGGCAGTATTTGGCCCTTCTCCATCTTCTCAGGACCTCATTTTCTGGGTGGATTCTTTTCTTTTACCATCTTAGCTCCTACATCTATGTTCAACCTTCTTGGGGTCCTCCTACTCTAGAGTGTTTAGGTGTGTAAGGACAAATGCAAATTTAAAATATGGCTTCATTCTCCATGTTGAAAACAAAGGAAGAGATTTTTCTTCCCCTCCTTTTTCTCAGAGCATTTACCATAGAAAGTTTGGAATTGTGAGTTCCTTCTCACCTTTTTGAAATGTATATAAATCTTTTTGAAGACTACATTGGCCTTTTGTCAGCTAGCCTTTTCTTCCCTTAATGACTGAGGAATGTCTTTCTCACAAATTTGGAGGACGACAGGAGATAGCATTCCTATACCCCAATTTCTATTGGAGGGTGGGACCCTAACTTTAGTAGGCTCCTTGTTCCAAGAGGCAAAACTACCTCTTGTCACAAAGAGATAAGTTTGTTTTTTCTCCAGATAAAGTTAATTAGCTAACACAGATGGTCACTCTAATTACCAGGTAAAGTTTGGATAAATTATCTGTGACAAATGGTGTTGTCAACCCCTCTTACTTGAGGACTAGTTATTGTTTATCTTGAAAATATGTATGCAACATCTATATAAAAAAGGGAGATTTCTGTTTTTGCAATCTCTTAGTGGATTGCTTGTGATGTGCATCACATTCTGGCTTAGTGCTTATTCAATCATTTAAAATGTTTTTTTTTTCTCTCTACTACCTTTGGGAAGAAGATTTCTAGGTGGGAAGACTGTTTTTAATATATTTCTCCAATAGGTGCCAACCATTCTTTTCCTGCTAACTCTTTGAAAATTAACATCTATAAATATACTTTGTGGCAGTATTCATAAGACAAATGTATGCTTATTGGGAAAGAGGTAAACTTACAATACACTTAATTTGAGAGGGTTGCTTTATTAAATCTCAACAGTTGACATTTTAAAGCTGCATTTGTTATTGTTGTACTAAAATTTTTAAGAATCGTTTTATGTTTGTGGGTTTGTCTGTTTTTTTGTTTGTTTGTTTTGCTTGATTCCATGTAAGTAAAGATCAGAATTGAACTTGAGTTTCTGCCTTGAAAAAAAGGTTATGATCCACTTAATAATGTTGAAATGGCATCTGGAAATTTTTCCAAATGGAAAAAACAGCACTTTTGGTATTTTTATTGGTATATGATATCTGAATGCTAAATATTTGCAGCCTACATAATGAAAGAATTGTCATGTTCTACTGAAACCATCTGTTTCATTGGAGGTCATTGAAACCATGGAAACCATTTGACAACATATTTTCTCCCACCAGCTGCTACAAATTGATAATAATTGGACTTTGACAGATATTTCCTGATGGAAATTATGTATCTGCCTTAAGAGACAAACAGTGATATTAGTCATTATACTAATTCATGGACAACAGCAAAACAAAGAAGGCCAGGTGGCAATGGATATACAGGAAATAGTGAGGGTTATGGAGGGCTAAGTTCTCTATGGTCAATAACTAATATGTTTTGGGAATACAGAAAGTTTATCAAAATTGTCAGAGATGTCATTGCAATGGTAAGACAGAGAATGTAGACAACATGTGAGTTTCATGTCACAAGCCATCTATAATTGGGAGTGACTGATTAGAGCACTGAGTTGAGGAAGATTCTGAGGCCGTGTCTGTCACAAGTGTAGAGGCAAAGAGTAGCAGCCTATGAGTGATGTATTTGGCTGTTCCTAATCTAAAAGCTCTTTTTGTGACTCATGCCTTGGTTAGACCTATTGACAGAGTATAGGCTGTCCTGGTCTGCAAGACAGAGTCAAGAAATGACTGCAACTGGTTAGATGAGAAGATCTGACAGACTATAGCATGAGGAATGACTGGTAAATTTTGACCAGGGAGGGCGGGGCCAAGATGGCCAACTAGAAGCAGTGGCGGTTGGAGGCTCCTATTGAAAAGATTCAAAACACAGTGCAAATCCTGCACCAGCAACCAAGGTATCCAGATTCTGTCATTAGGACAGACTAGGTGGCTGGCGTGACCCATGGAGAGGAAGGACAAACAGTGTAGTGCAGCGACCTACCTGAGAGCCACAAGGGGCACGGGAGCCCCTACCTCCAGCCAAGGGAGGTGGTGAGTTACCATGCTACCCAGCCTGGAAAACTGTGCCTTTTCCGTGAAACTGTGCAACCCACAGATTGGAAGATCCCACTCGTTAGCCCACACCACTGGGACCTTGGGTCCCAACCACAAAGCTGCACAGATTCTCAACAGCCACTCAACTAGAATTGGCCTAAACTTGCCGTGTTCCCGGGGGGAGGGGCGGCCATCACCACTGCTGCAGCTGCCTGCTGTCTAAGCAGACTGAACTCCTTGGGGGAGGGGCAGCAATCAACACTGGAGGAACTGCAGGAACTCCAACTCCAGCCAAGGGCTCAGGGACAGAACTCTGATCTCCCTGGGTCTGAACCCCTAGCGGGAGGGGAGGCGGTAGTCTCCATGGACCAGCACATTTAGTCTTTCCTCCTGCCAGCTCTGAGGAATCCAGGCAGCCCAGATGAGTGGGCTTCCCCCTAGCACAGCACATCCCCTCCACCAAGGGACAGCCAAAGTGCCTTATTAAACGGGTCCTGCTTGCCATGCCACTCAACTGGGTGAGAACCCCCAACAGGGGTTGTCAGACATACTATATAGGAGTGTTCCTACTGGTATCAGGTTGGTGCCCCCTCGAGGTCAGAGACCCCAGAGGAAGCAGCACGCACCCATCTTTGCTATTCCCCAGCCTCCTTGAGTGACATCTCCAGGCAGGAGAGTGAACCAGGTGAATAGGGCCTGAAGTGAGCCCCCAGAAAACTGCAGCAGCCCTACAGAAGAGGGGCCTAACTTGACTATTGAAAGAAAAACAAACAAACAGAAAGCAACAACAACAGCATCAACAAAATGGTCCCCACAAAAACCTCATCCAACGGTCAGCAGCCTCAAAAGTAGAAAAACACATGAAGATGATAAAGAGTCAACAAAAAAAAATCACTGAAAACCCAAAAGTACAGAGTGGCTCTTCTGCACCAAGTAATCACAACTACAGCAAGGGCACAGAACTGGACAGAGAATGAGATCGATGAAGTGACAGAAGTAGGCTTCAGAAAGTGAGTAATAACAAACTTCACTCAGGTAAAGGAGCATTTTCTGACCCAATGCAAAGAAGCAAAGAACCTTGATAAAAGGTTAGGGGAGCTGCTAACTAGAATAACCAGTTTAGAGAGGAACATAAATGACCTGATGGAGCAGAAAAACACAGCACAAGAACTTTATGAAGCATACACAAGTATCACTAGCCAAATTAACAAAGAAAAAGAAAGAATATCAGAGCTGGAAGACTATCTTGCTGAAATAAGTGAGGCAGATGAGATTAAACAAAAAAGAATAAAAAGGAATGAACGAAACCTCCAAGAAATATGGGACTATGTAAAAAGACCAAACCTACAACTGATTGGAGTAACTGAAAGAGACAAGGAGAATGAAACCAAGTTAGAAAACACACTTCAGGATATTATCCAGGAGAACTTCCGCAACCTAGCAAGACAGGTCAACATTCAAATTTAGGAAATACAGAGAACCCCACTAAGATACTCCATGAGAAGATCAACTCCAAGACACACAATCATCATTTTCTCCAAGGTTAAAATGAAGGAAAAAATGTTAACAGCAGCCAGACAGAAAGGCCAGGTCACCTACTAAGAAAAGCCCATGAGACTAACAGTGGATCACTCTGCAGCAACCCTACAAGCCAGAAGAGAGTGGGGGCCAATATTCGACATTCTTAAAGAAAAGAATTTTCAACCCAGAATTTCATATCCAGTCAAACTAAACTTCATAAGCAAAGGAGAAACAAAATCCTCTTCAGAAAAGCAAATGCTGAGTTACAAGAGCTCTTGAAGGAAGCACTAAATATGGAGAAAAAAAAAGAACCTGTACCAGACATTGCAAAATACATGAAAGTATAAAGACCAATGACACTATGAAGAAACGGCATCAACTACTGTGCAAAATAACCAGCTAGCATCATGATGACAGGACAAATTCACACATAACAATATTAACCTTAAATGTAAATGGGCTAAATGCCACAATTAACAGACACAGACTGTTGAATAAAGAGTCAAGACCCATCAGTGTGCTGTATTCAGGAAACCCATCTCACATGCAAAGATACACATAGGCTCAAAAAAAGAGATGGAGGAAAATTTACCAAGCAAATGGAAAGCAGAAAAAAGCAGGGGTTGCAATACTAGTCTCTGACAAAACAGACTTTAAACCAACGAAGATCAAAAAAGACAAAGAAGGGCATTACATAATGGTAAAGGGATCAATGCAATCAAGAAGAGATAACTATCCTAAATATATATGCACCCAATATAGGAAAACCCAGATTCATAAAACAATTTTTTTTGAGACAGAGTCTTGCTCTGTCACCCAGCCTGGAGTGCAATGACGTGATCTCAGCTCAGTGCAATCTCTGCCTCCCTAGTCCAAGCAATTCTCCTGCCTCAGCCTCCCAAGTAGCTGGGACTACAGGCACCCACCACCATGCCCGGCTAATTTTTTTATATTTTTAGTAGAGATGGGGTTTCACCGTGTTAGCCAGGATGGTCTCAATCTCCTGGCCTCATAAAAAAACAATTTCTTAGAGACCTACAAAGAGACTTAGACTGCCACACAATAATAGTGGGATACTTCAACACCCCACTGTCAATATTATGCAGATCAATGAGACAGAAAATTAACAAGGATATTCAGGACTTGAAATCAGCTCCAGATCAAGCAGACCTAATAGACATCTACAGAACTCTCTACCCCAAATCAACAGAGTATACATTCTTCTCAGTGCCACGTGGCACTTATTCTAAAATCAACCACATAATTGGAAGTAAAACACTCTGCAGCAAATGCAAAAAAACTGAAATCATAACAGTCTCTCAGACCACAGTGCCATCAAATTAGAACCCAACTCAGGATTAAGAAACTCACTCAAAAGCACACAATTTTATGGAAATTGAACAACCTGCTCCTGAATGACTCCTGGGTAAATAATGAAATTAAGGCAGAGATCAAGAATTTCTCTGAAAGCAATGAGAGCAAAGATACATTGTACCGGAATCACTGGGATGCAGCTAAAACAGTGTTAATGGGGAAATTTATAGCAATTAATGCCTACATCAGAAAGCTAGAAAGATCTCAAATCGACACACTAACATCACAATTAAAGGAACTAGAGAAGCAAGAGCAAACAAATCCAAAAGCTAGCAGAAGACAAGAAATAACGAAGATCAAAGTGGAACAGGAGGAGATAGAGACATGAAAAACCCTTCAAAAAAAAATCAATGAATCCAGCAGCTGGGTTTTTGAAAAAAATAAAAAATAAAATAGATAGACCACTAGCTAGACTAATAAAGAAGAAAAGAAAGAAGAATGAAATAGATGCAATAAAAAATGATATAGAAAAATATCACTGCTGACCCCACATTCTCTGATGATAGTTTGTAGAAATAGACTAGAAAATCTAGAAGAAATTGATAAATTCCTGCACACATACACCCTCCCAAAACTAAACCAGGAGGAAGTCAAATCCCTGAATAGACCAATAACAAGTTCTGAAATTGAGGCAGTAATCAATAGCCTACCAACCAAGAAAAGCCCAGGACCAGATGGATTCACAGCTGAATTCTACCAGAGGTACAAAGAGGAGCTGGTAGTTTCCTTCTGAAACTATTTCAAACGGTTGAAAAGGAGGACTCCTCCCTAACTCATTTTATGAGGTATCATCCTGATACTAAAACCTGGCAGACACACACACACACACACACACACACACACACACACACACACACACACACAAATTCAGGTCAATATCCCTGATGAACATTGATGCGAAAATCCTCAATAAAATACTAGCAAACCAAATCCAGCAGCACATCAAAAAGTTTATCCACCACAATCAAGTCAGCTTCCTCCCTGGGATGCAAATGGGTTCAACATACACATATCAATAAACATAATCGGTTACATAAACAGAACCAACAACAAAAACCACATGATTATCTCAATAGATGCAGAAAAGGCCTCCAATAAAATAAAACATCCCTTCATGTTAAAAACTCTCAACAAACTAGGTATTGATGGAACATATCTTAAAATAATAAAATCTATTTATGAAAATCTCACAGCCAATATCATACTGAATGAGCAAAAGCTGGAAGCATTCTCTTTGAAAACCAGCACAAGACAAGGATGCCCTCTCTCACCACTCCTATTCAACATAGTATTGGAAGTTCTGGCCAGGGCAATCAGGCAGGAAATAAAGGGTATTGAGATAGGAAGAGAGGAAGTCAAATTGTCTCTGTTTGCAGATGACATAATCCTATATTTAGAAAACCCCATCATCTCAGCCCAAAATCTCTGTAAGCTGATAAGCAACTTCAGCAAAGTCTGAGGATACAAAATCAATGTGCAAGCACATGTGTTCCTATACACCAACAACAGACAAGCAGAGAGCCAAATCATGAATGAACTCTCATTCACAACTGCTACAAAGAGAATAAAATACCTAGGAATACAGCTAATAAGGTATGTGAAGGACCTCTTCAAGAAGAACTACAAACCACTGCTCAAGGACATAAGAGAGTAAGAGAGTACACAAACAAATGGAAAAAAATTCCATCCTCATGGATAGGAAGAATCAGTATCATGAAAATGGCCATACTGCCCAAAGTAAGTAATTTATAGATTCATTGCTATTCCCATCAAACTACCATTGACATTCTTCAAGAATTAGAAAAAACTACTTTAAAATTCACATGGAACTAAAAAACAGGCCACATAGCCAAGACAATCCTAAGCAAAAGAACAAAGCTGGAGGCATTACACTACATGACTCCAAACTATACTACAAGGCTACAGTAAACAAAACAGCATGATACTGGTCCAAGAACAGACATATAGACCAAGGGAATAGAATAGAGACCTCAGAAATAAGACCACACATCTAAAGTCATCTGTTCTTCAACAAACCTGACAAAAACAAGCAATGGGGAAAGGATTCCCTATTTAATAAATGGTGCTGGGAAAACTGGCTAGCCATATGCAGAAAACAGAAACTGGACCCCTTCCTTATATCTTATACAAAAATTAACTCAACATGGATTAAAGATTTAAATGTAAGACCTAAAACCATAAAAGCCCTAGAAGAAAACCTAGGCAATACCATTCAGGACATAGGCATGAGCAAAGACTTCATGACAAAAATGCCAAAAGCAACTGCAACAAAAGCTAAAATTGACAAATGGGATCTAATTAATCTAAAGAGCTTCTGCACAGCAAAAGAAACTATCATCAGAGTGAACAGGCAATCTATAGAATGGGAGAAAAGTTTTGCAATCTACCCATCTGACAAAGGTCTAATATCCAGACTTTACAAGGAACTTAAACAAATATACAAGAAAAAAACAACCCCATCCAAAAGTGGGCAAAGTATATAAACAGACACTTCTCAAAAGATGACATTTATACAGCCAACAAACATATTTTAAAAAGCTCAACATCACTGATCATTAGAAAAATGCAAATCAAAACAACAATGAGATACCATCTCAGGCCAGTCAGAATGGCAATTATTAAAAAGTCAAGAAACAACAGATCCTGGCAAGGCTGTGGAGAAACAGGAATGCTTTTATGTTGTTGGTGGGAATGTAAATTAGTTCAAACATTGTGAAAGACAGTGTGGCGACTCCTCAAGGATCTAGAACCAGAAATATCATTTGACCCAGCAATCCCATTACTGGGTATATACCCAAAGCAATATAAGTCATTCTACTATAAAGATACATGCACATATGTGTTTACTGCAGCACTTTTCACAATAGCAAAGACATGGACCCAACCCAAATGCCCATCAATGATAGACTGGAGAAAGAAAATATGGCACATATACACCATGGAATACTATGCAGCCACAAAAAGGAATGAGATCATGTCCTTTGCAGGGACATGGATGAAGCTGGAAGCCATCATCCTCAGCAAACGAACACAGGAAAAGAAAACCAAATACCACATCTTCTCACTCATAAGTGGGAGTTTAACAATGACAACACATGGACACAGGGACGGGAACATCACACACTGGGGCCTGTCAGGAGTGGGGGTGATGATGGGAGGGAAAGCATCAGGACTAACAGCTAATGCATGTGGGGCTAAAAGCCTAGGTGACAGGTTGATAGGTGCAGCAAACCACCATGGCACACATAAACCTATGTAACAAACCTGCATGTTCTGCACATGTATTCTGGAACTTAAGGTAAAAAAATAAAAATAATAATACATAAATAAATAAAAATTAAAAAATAAAATTTTGACCATAAGAACCTAACTCACACAAAGTCACAAATTGGGAAAATTGAGAAGGTGAAATCTGTTCAACAGTTCTCCAAATTTAGGAGTTGAAGCACTTGGCTAAGAAAAAAAAATACATATAATCCAACTAACATTTAAAAAAGAAAAGGCGGGGGGAAAAAAGCAAAGGAGAGTACTCATTTAGGGCCATAATAACCATCTAGGACATTTTTAAGAGAGTCATATCTCTTCTTGCTGGTTGGTTTTTAGTTTTTCCTTCAAACCACAGCTTCCTATATTGATAAAATTCTGGACCTGGAAGGTATCTTGGATACTATAAAATACAACTTCCTCATTTTCCTAAAAAGGAAAGAAGGTGACACCCAGAAAGGTAAATTGTTTAAGATCACACAGCTTCTAAATGGCAGTGCCAGGACTAAAAGCCCTAAGACCAAAATAGTTCAGTTTTCTTTTTAGCTCACTATTTTGTGAGACTGACCCTCCTTGCCTTAATCTGGAGTTCCTGTCTTATGCAAACCTTCACCTCACACAAGGGCGTAACCAGGGCCCTGCATCTAGACCTGGAGGCATCTTTTAAGTAGACAGAGCTGAGCATAAACACCAACCTGGCTGAACTTCAAGGGCTTCTTCCATGATTCTTATAAGAATTAGGTACCTGCCATCCCTCCAGGTGCTCTTTGTAGATAACCAAAGTCTCACCAGAAGGTTGGGTTAGGCTTCCAATCTAGGAAAAGACTCCATCCCAAACCTACCATGTGACACCACACCCCAAAACAATAGGTGCCCCTCAAGAAATTTCCCCATTCCTTGAGGCCTGGAGTTCACCAGTTCCTCTATTATAATCTCCCATGAGTCCTCATCTCCTGTTCCTGAATGTTCCTGGACATAGACAGAGAAAATATGACTTGTTGATTGAGTTTTCTTTTCACTTTTAATGAGGCTGACTAAATTAAACACTTAGGACTTGGCACCCAAGTTTTAAGTCAAGACCTATGAAATGAAGCTCAGTGGTCAACACTGGAAACCCAATAGAGCCTTACCCCTTCTCCAAAACTGAGGAGAATGCTTTAACACACAGTTTCACAAACTCCTCTTAGACCAATCATAGCTTCTTAGCAAGCTGAGGACTCGTGGGACTTTGTGCTGTAGCACTCATTTCTACACATTAGGAGGAGACAACTCTAGAACATACCATTCCTCTTTTGGTCATGATCTGGGGTCAACCTGAGAGAGACCACTTAATAAATCTTCTCATGCTTTCTTTACATTTGTAAAATATTCTCCCCCAAGTATATCTAAAACACAATGCTATAGACCTATTATCACATTGTCCAGATATAGAATATTCCAGAGCACAAACCTGAAAATGTTGGCTAAAACATTTTACTACTACTCCTTAGTTTATGTTGGCCACTAAGACACCATGTGATTTTAGTGTATACAAAGACACCAACACCCACATAAATAATATCAGTAATGGGAACTCTCCTGGAAGGTGAACACTTTTAATATCTCATGGCGCACCGTGCCAGACAACAAAGTTTCCTCCACCTATATTTGGACCTTCTCAGGATATGTAATATTCTCTTGGAGTCCCCACAGAAGCACACTTGCAGTATGATATTCTCTAGGATACAACAAGCGGAGACCCTGGGTCCTTTCTACCAGGCTTCAGCATTACAGTGCCAGAACATCTTATCTTCCTAAGTTCACCCCAGCAAGAGAGCATCAGAGAGAACAAGCAGCTGTAGGAGTGCAGTAAAGAATTACAAGCAAACAGCTCTTCTACAGCTGCTAAGAGCCAGGGGGCTGATAAACTCTTTGATCTTTCTCTCATCTTTTAAAGATGCTTTGAAATCAAGAGACCAGGATATATCCTAGAGATCAGGACAGCAGGAAAACTTTTTCTCTTGCCCTTGCAGCCCATTAATAGAAGCCCAGACATCTTACCCCAAAACTGCAGGTTATATTGAGAGACATAAATGGCCATTAACTTTTTGAGCAGCTTGTTAGGAAGAGGGCCCCAGGACCATTCTCTAAAGGTCTGCAAGTCTTGAGAAGCAGAAAAGAAAGATTACCTAAAGTCTGCACCATGAGAAAGCAGCCACAACAGGAATTACATCAAAGGTGTGGATGACAAGAGCCATTTACAGGCTGACAACTTAAAGTCCCAACAGCAGGAGAAGAGGAAAGAGAGCGAGAGAGAGAGAGAGAGAGAGACCCTGCCCCAAGTAAAGATAGAGCAGGCAAGAAACTGCCCAAAAGAAAAGAACACATCAAGAATGAGTTCTGCAAGGAGGTCAGCAAAGCCACAGACAAAAAGACATTACAGAGGGATGCTATAAACTCCTGGCAAGACCCACAGGAAGATGACAGAAGAGTAGACATAAAGGCAGCTAGACTGATGCTGGCCTGGCCTTGACTGACCCAAGCACTTTATCAACTCTCGGTATAAGAAACGCTGTTGGTAACAACTAAATTCACCTTTATATAACATGTTCAAAGTAAGGTATATTCACTGAAATAATATTTAATTGTTTGACTGAATTTATTACTCACACTTTTCTCCCTAAAGAATAGGTATTTGGTATGCCTGGTGCCCCGTGGCTGATGGAAACCCACAGCTGTAGTCGCAACAGCTCACACCAGTATAACTAGATCCATCAAGTGGAGAGTCAACAGCACATTACAGGGAACACCGGAATGCAGAGAACTTATCTGCTTCAGTCAGGCCTGATTGGTGGAGTCATAGATTGTTGTCAGTTTTGCTGTAATCTTTTCTTTCCTCTAAATCAGAGGTTGGCAAACTCTGGTGGCATCTGGGTCAAATTCAGCCAACTGCCTGATTTTTTAAATAAAGCTTTATTGATACACAGCCACGCCCCTTCATCTACATATTATCTGTGGCCGCTCTCTCACTATAATGACAAACACTAGTATACTTTCCCCACTGTTTCCATCCTTTCTCCTTCTTGTCCTTTCTCTTTCCCTTTTTGGAGGTATTATCCAGCCATAATCAACTCCAGAAAGTGTCTGGATCCCCATCTAAACACACAGTCTGGAACTCAGCTGCCACCAGTGGTTTGTTCTAATTTTGTTTTGGAGTGGGGGTAAATTTTGTTGTTGATTTGATCTCATTGGATTTATTAAATTAAAAACATTGCTTTTGGTAGCAAGTCAAATACTATTGAGGTATCTAAAGAAAGAGTTAAGAATCTCTCCTTTCCCTCCATTCTACTTCTCGAAGTACAAAATGTTAATATTTATTCCTTCCACACTTTCTGCTAGAGGTGGCTTTTTAAAAAATATTTATTATCACAGTAAGATTGAGAGAAGAAAATACTTAATATTTAATATATAGAGCACATTAATCCACTCAATAAATATTTTTGAAAACCTCTATGTTTCACGCACTATGCTAAGTGCTGAAGAACCAACTTAAAATTCTCTAGGATAGATACCTAAATATCAAATAATATCAGCTGTTTCTTTTTATAAAATAAAGAGCCCCACTGTGCTTAATAAAATGATGATGGTTTGCACACACCAGCTAGCCAAACCAAGGATAGGTGGCGTTAGACACAGGAGGACTAACAGGTAGCTGAAAGTAATCAATTTTCCGGATCTAGAAAGACAATCAACTAAAAAGCCAGAGTATAAAAAGAATGAAACCATAGGTGTATTAGAACATTATTGCATTGCTATAAATAAATACCTAAGACTGGGTAATTTACGAAGAAAAGAGGGTTAATTGGCTGAGGGTTAATTGGCTCACTTTTCTGCAAGCCGTGCAGGAAGCATAGTGCTGGAATCCACTTCTGGGGAGACCCTATTAAGCTTTTACTCATGGCAGAAGTCAAGAGGGAGCAGGCAAGTCACATGGCAACAACAGGAGCAAGGAGTTGGAGGGAGAAATGCCACACATTTTTAAACCACCAGATCTGGTGTGAACTCAGAGTGAGAGCTCACTTATCATGAAGGGATGGCTTAAGCCATTCATAAGGGATCCGCCCCTGTGATCCAAACACCTCCCACTAGGCCTCACCTCCAACACCAAGGATTACATTTCAACATGAGATTTGTGTGGGGGAAAATATCCAAACTATATCATTCTGACCCAGCCCCTCCCAAAGCTCATGTTCTTCTCACATTTCAAAATACAACAATGCCTTCCCAATATTCCCCCAATGTCTTAACTTGTTGCAGCACTAACTCAAAATCCAAAGTCTAAAGTCTCATCTGAGACAAACCAAATCCCTTCCACCTATGAGCCTGTAAAATCAAAAACAAGTTAATTACTTCCAAGTTACAATGGGGATATAGAAATTGGGCAAACAGTCCGATTCCAAAAGGGAGAAATTGGCCAAAAGAAAGAAGCTACAAGCCCCCATGCAAGTTCAAAGCCCAGCAGGGCAGTCATTAAATCTTAAATCTCCAAAATAATCTCCTTTGATTCCATGTCCCACAGGTAGAGCATATTGGTACAAGGGGTGGTCTCCCAATATCTACTCCTGTGTCAGCTCCTGAGGCTGTTCTTACAGGTTATTGAATATCTGTGGCTTTTCCAGATATAGGTGCAAGCTGTCAGTGCATCTAACATCCTTGGGCCTGGAGGGCAGTGACCTCCTTCTTATACTCCACTAGGCAGTGACCCAGAGGTGACTCTGTATAGAAGTCCCAATTCCACATTTCTCCTTGGCACTCTCCAAGTAGAGGTTCTCTGTGGGGGACTCCACCTCTGTTGCAGGCTTCTGCCTGGGCACCCAGGCTTTTCCACACATTCTTTGAAATCCAGGCAGAGGCTGCCAAACATTCTTTACTCATGCATTCTGCAAATGACACGCTTACCACCACATGGAAGCTGCCAAGGCTTATGGCTTGCACCCTGTGGAGGTATGGCCTAAGCTGTACCTGAGACCCTTTGAGCCATGGCTGGAGCTGGAGCAGCCAGAATGTGGGGAGCAGTGTCCCAAGGCTGCAAAAGGCAGCCAAAGCTTCACAAGGCAGGTGTATTAGTCCGTTTTCATACTGTTATGAAGAAATACCCAAGACTGGGTAATTTATAAAGAAAAAGAGGTTTAATGGACTCACAGTTCCACATGGCTAGGGAGGCCTCACAATCATGGCAGAAGGTGAAAGAGGAGCAAAGGCAACACACGTCTTACATGGCAGCAGGCAATAGTGCATGTTCAGGGGAACTGCTCTTTATAAAACCATTAGATCTCTTGAGACTTATTCACTATCATGAGAACGGCATGCAAAAAACCTGCCCCCATAACTCAATTACCTCTCATTGAGTCCCTCCCACAACATGTGGGAATTATGGGAGCTACAATTCAGGATAAGATTTGGGTGGGGACATAGCCAAATCGTATGATTCTGCTCCTGCCCCTCCCAAACTCATGTCCTCTTATCCCAAAACTAATCATGCCTTGCCATCAGTCTCCCAAAGTCTTAATTCATTTCAGCATTAACTCAGAAGTCCAGTCCAAAGTCTCATCTAAAGCAAGGCAAGTTTCTTCTGCCTATGAGCCTGTAAAATCAAAAGCAAGTTAGTGACTTCCTACATAAAACAGAATTACAGGCATCGGGTAAACATACCCATTCCAAATGAAAGAAATTGGCCAAAATGAAGGAGCTAAAGGCCCCATGCAAGTCTGAAATCCAGTGGGACAGTCAAATTTTAAAGCTCCAAAATTACCTCCTTTGACTCCACGTTTTATATCCAGGTCACCCTGATGTAATAGGTGGGTTCCTATAGTCTTGGACAGTTCCACCCCTGTCTGTGGCTTTGCAGGAGACAGCCCCCCTCCCAGCATCTTTTACAGGCTGGTGTTGAGTGTCTGTGGCTTTTCTAGGCACACAGTGCAAGCTGTTGGTGGAGCTACCATTCTGGGGTCTGGAGGACAATGGCCCTCTTCTCACAGCTCCACTGGGCAGTGACCCAGTGGGGACTCTGTATGGGGGCTCTGACCCCACATTTCCCTTCTGCACTGCCCTAGAAGAGGTTCTCCATGAGGGCTTTGCCCCTGCAGCACACCTCTGCCTGGACATTCAAGCATTTCCATACATCCTCTGAAATCTAGGTAGAGGTTCCCAAACCTTAATTCTTGACTTCTGTGCACCTGCAGGTCCAACCAGTATCAGAAGAAGATTATTGGATAATGTTGGATATGTCCTCCTCAAAGATACATTAAAGCCCTAACACTTAGTACCTGAGAATATGAACTTATTTAGAAATAAGGTCTTTCAGATGCAATCAGGTTAAAATAAGCCATACTCAATTAGGTTGCACCCTAATCAGATATGACTAATGTCCTTACAAGAAGAAAAAACAGATAGACAGAGACATGGAGAAGAAGCTCATGTGAATACAGAGGCAGAGACTGGAGTAATGCATTCAAGCCAAGAAATACCAAGAATTGCCACACCAGAAACTAAGAGAAAGTCATGGAACAGAATCTCCCCTAAAGCCTTCGGAGAAAGCATGGACCTGCCAATACCTTGATTTTGGACTTCTAGCTTCCCCAACTGTGAAAGAAAAAAAATTCTGTTGTTTTAAGCCACTCAGTTTGTGGTAATTTCTTATGGCAGCCTTACAAAACTCATACAGTCTGTTCAGGATCTGTAAAGAATTAGCTCAAACTGTTTTTACCACACTGATCCCAGCACTCTTCTCCCACCTTGGGGGTATAAAAATGTTAAAATTGAAAACTGCAGGCCTTGTTTAATGTGCTCTGAGACTCACCCTCACCTCCCATCACTCAGAGTCTGATGAATGAATCAATGCAGAATGAGTCTATCTTCACTCCCTAGGTGACATGTAATCTCTTACCTGCTACCCTCATAACCAGCCCAAAACCCACAAAACTAGACTCACAGGATATTGGATCAAAATGTCTAGAAGTTAAAATTTCCAGGAAGGGATCCTCTTATTCAAGAGTCCTGAAAACATTTCCCTCAAGTACAAGAAAAGGATGTGGCTGATAAAGCTCCTAGGAGGAGCGTCAGCCACTCAGGAAAATGAGATTGTCAAGCAGCACTGCTGTAGCCAGATGCAGTGTTCAGAGGATCACAGAAGGAAAGTGGACCCAACTGGCCTCTCTCCAACCCCTGCACGTATCATCATTCACACCAGGCTGTACTGGAGTGTTTCAGAGCACAAAGACCCTTTAATTCTGAAAGAGAATTTAGCCATGGATTCTGAGGACTACGATAACAGAGACCTTGAGAACAAAGCACAAGCAGAAGCACACACAGAAAGCGGGGGGGAGGGTGACAAAGGAGAGAAGCCTGCTGATCCCTGAAAGCAACTCTGCTGCCTTAATTAGCTGCCCTTACTCAGGAGCCACCTACTTCACACACAGATGTTTAGTGGTACTTCAAATCTCTCAGATCCTCTGTGTGGGTGTGCGAATTGTGGTGTGTGGTGTGTGGAATGGCGTGGTGTATGGATGGTGCAGTATGTGTGTGTGGTTTGTGTGTGCATGAGTGTGGTAAGTGGAATGGTTCAGTGTGTATCTGGGGTGTGTGCTTGGGGAAGGCAGTGTATGGGGAAAAAGGGTTTGTGACTGAATGCCTGCTTTCAGGATTTCCTAGGTTCAGGTGGAGCAAAACCAGCCTGGGTATGTAGCTGCCGCATCAGCAGTGACTTGGAGCTGATCCACTGTCTGGTCTATTTTTAACAATGATGCACCATGACTTCGCACTCTTCCTTAATATAACTGACGGCAGCAGGATCCCATTGGGAAAGCAACTACAGCTAAGGCCTCTGCTTTCCTGATCACACAATCTCATAGTCCTTCAGAACAAATTATGAAGCATTTCTAGATCCTTGAGACATTTGAAACACTGCACACAACTTTCCAGAATTTGAGATGCAAAACAAAAAATTATTCAATATATCAACACTAACACTAACTCTATATGAGAACTTTTAACCACTCCCTCTAGTCACCATAAAATCTAGAATAAGTAAACAAATGCCAACGTAGTGCAAAATCATAATTAGTGTTTGCCTGAATCAATAAAAAAATGAAAATAGTACTGCAGTTGGTATGAATTTATTATCTTCTAGGCCCATTTTAAGACTATAGGACAGGTAGCTATTAAATAATGCAAATTATATAATTATATAATAGCTACTATATAATAGCTATAATATTATATTATATATTATTATATTATATTTATTATATAATATAATTATATAATATATAATAAAAATATATTATATAATATAAATTTTATTATATAATAGCTATTATGTAATTATATATTATACATATTTATATTATATCATATATAATATATAATTATATAATAGCTATTATATAATAGTTATAATTAGATAATTTAATGTCCTTTTATAAAAGGATGCTATATCACAGATATTATAAGAATTCATACTAAGATTAATAAAAGATAATAGTTGCCCTAGCAACCCTAGCTATTTCCTCTTCAGAAATGTAAGAAAACATTACAGACAAGTTTAGAAACTCCAGAATGTCAAATCTGACCCAAAAAAGTGAGTCTGTAATTCAATTAAATGATGAAAAGCAATTCAATGAAAAATTAGAAAATATCTATGAGAATCATGGATTAATCATGGAAACCTACAGAGACCTAGAGCTTGAACCTGCCATTTTACAGACATGGAAACAAATTGCCTGAGAAGTTTAATGACTTGCCCAAGATCACATCCTACCTGGCATCTCTTTAATTAATGTAAATCTCCTGACTTCTTAACCCCTATTTTTTATACTTTGTGAACTATCTTGGCACTCTATGACTGTCTCTATGCTAGGTGCTATAGATACCACAAAAATGAATGAAACCCAATGATGGTCAACCACAAGTTTAGTAGACTTCTCTTGCTACTATAGCCATTCTTAAAGAAACTACTCTGAGTTCAGACCTCCCTATTCCCCAGGAAGAATTGAAGTCAGCTCACCAGAATCTTCAAACTTTAGAAACAGTTGCACCAGTAGAACAAGATGGTGGCCACCTCCTGTTCCTAAGAGTACTTTTTTCTGGACCCTCTCACTCAAGGCCTAACCAATGAACTGGGATGCCCTGACAGTGCCAGCTAAGAGAGGAAGTTGACTCTGGGTGAAGGCAGGCCAAGTCTATAAATGACAGGTAAGAAGGAGAATAACTTGAATAGTACATAGTCCCTGCCTTTAGAGATCTGAATTAAATAACTAGTTAAACATAATAGGTACTACACCAGAAGTAGGTAATAAGCCCAAACCTGAGATTTTTTTTTAATCCAGTGAGTCTACCACTGAGGAATAGGAGAGAAGGAGAGAGATGTCAGGACTCATACAGGCCCCTTCTAGAAAACGTTCTTAGTTCATTGTCCGTCTCTCCCAGTCAAACCATTGGTAACTCAAAAGGCCACAGTGTTTATTTAACATTTCTTGTGCCAACTCATGAAATGTCATCATGCTCACTGATAAGACTTTCCAGTCTCTCCCCTGCAGACTGGGTCCATGTCAGCACTTGAGTCCATACCAGCATTAGGAATGGTATTCAGTGGCAGATCCTCGGTATCCTCTGCCGGACCCATGCCTGGTTTTCTAGCAAGGAGTAGGTTATCCGAGCTGCCTTTGTCACAGTATGTCAAGGGGAAACCAGAGGCCACTTAATTCTGGCTCCGTAACCCAGACACAAAATGTTCACCTAAACTAGGATTAGAAATCTGGGGAAAACATGTTTGTGCTACCAAAACTCATACGAGTCATATTCACACAAATGAGAGAAGCTAGCCAAGCTTACCAGGATTGTCAGACTCTGGGTCATTGAAGAAATTTATAATGTGCTAGGAATGGAAAAAACATAAGTCATCTTCCACTCAATGTTTTGGCCTAGAGAACTCCCAGATCTCTCTGCATCCATTTACACTTTAGGTTTCCTGGTAGTTTTATTTTAAAATCTGCCACTAGAAAAGAAAATTCTTGAAAATAATTTATTTATTGTAAATCTTTCATTTTACCCTTGGGAAACTGGAGGTCCCAGGCCGGGCGCAGTGGCTCACGCCTGTAATCCCAGCACTTTGGGAGGCTGAGGCGGGTGGATCACAAGGTCAGGAGATCGAGACCATCCTGGCTAACACAGTGAAACCCCCGTCTCTACTAAAAATACAAAAAATTAGCCGGGCGAGGTAGCGGGCGCCTGTAGTCCCAGCTACTCGGGAGGCTGAGGCAGGAGAATGGCGTGAACCCCGCGGGGCGGAGCCTGCAGTGAGCCGAGATCGCGCCACAGCACTCCAGCCTGGGCGACAGGGAGACTCCGTCTCAAAAAAAAAAAAAAAGAAACTGGAGGTCCCACACATGAAGGGGCTTGCTCAAGGTCACTCTAATACTGAAGATGGGCAGGATTCTGTCATAATAAAAAGAACTGCAAATATCCCAGTGGCTTCACACAGCAAAGATTTATTTCTTTCTCACACTACATGCCCCAAACATCTCTTCAAAATCCATCAGGGACCCAGACTTGATAGAGGCTCCATCTTAACATGTGCTTGCAGGGTTGCCACAACAAGGAAAAGGAAAGCTGACATCAGGCACTTTAGGGTTGATATCTCTATCCATAAGTGACACATGTGTCTTCCACTCACATTTCAGTAGCCAAAGGAAGTAGCACAGCCACGCCTGACTTCCCGTGGCTAGAGAGGTGCAATCCTGGTACCTAGCCAAGAGGAAGAGCGTAGCAGTGTTTGTGGACAGCACTGATGACAACCAGAGTCACATGGTTAGTGAAGGGCAAAGCCAACAATAGAACTCTAGCTTCCCAATTCCTTGTCGAAGTGTTTCTCTACTTCCCTGTCTTGGAAAGCCTAGATCAAGTTCCACCATCCTCACAAAGCTATCTCTGACTATGCTAACCAATGAAGTCTCATTGGTGTGAATATGACTCGTATGAGTTTTGGTATCACAAACCTGTTCTCCCCAGATTTCTACTCCTAGGTTAGGTGAACATTGTGAGTCTGGGTTACGGAGCTAGAATTAAGTGGCCTATGGTTTCCCCTTGACATACTGTGACAAAGGCAGCTCAGATAACCTACTCCTTGCTAGAAAACCAGGCATGGGTCCGGCAGAGGATACCGAGGATCTGCCACTGAATACCATTCCTACTGCTGGTATGGACTCATGTGCTGATATCGATGATATTTATTCTCATCTATCTGAATACCTTAGTAACTGTCCACAAATAAAACATAATTGTGCACTGAACACACACACACAAATCCATGTGCAGTTTTTAGGAGGACTCTTCATTGATTATGGATCCCACAGTCTCAAAAATCAGTGCTAGAAAGAGAAAGACCCTCCTCTCGTGGGCTCATGAGAACACAAAACAGGGAGAATTTAAATGAAAAGGCATAGCCCCAAGAGTAAAAGGAGGCAGTACAGACAGCCATGGAAAGCATTTTGACTCTCTGAAGCAATATTTACTAGGCTGGATGTTAATTAGTCTCTTGTTTTGTTTTGTTGTACAATCAGCATTTATTCCCTTCCCTCCTCTGCTCTCCCCTGTATCACACAGGGGCAGGATGCCTAGAACTATACTTCTCAGATTCTCTCGCCTGCAGAGGGTTGCGTGTGATTTACATTCTGTCAGCGGGATGCATTCGCATAAGGTTTGAAAAGAGGAAAGGAAACAGAGGACATTTTCTTCTTCCTCCAGCAGT
Organism: Homo sapiens; assembly: GCF_000001405.40. NCBI lineage: Eukaryota > Metazoa > Chordata > Mammalia > Primates > Hominidae > Homo > Homo sapiens. The sequence goes on from NC_000015.10 coordinate 55,008,719, forward strand.
GGCAACAGATAAATGAACTTTGCACAAATGAGTTTTTTTGACAGCCTCTGCTTTCCCCTGCCATTCAGTCATCACAGGATGTGAAAAAAACTGTGAAGTCAGCAGCAATTTTCTGCAGGTTCCTGACCCTTAGGTGACAGCACTCTGACTCTGGACCACCAGAGTGCGGCAAAATTGAAAATTGATGGCTGATCCCCTGACTTTCACTCTTACAGGCTTTGCAATGGCTTGTAAGCACCAAAATCCCTGAATCAAATTATATAAAATTTCTGTTTTCCTGACTGAACCATGACTGATACAACTTATCCCCTTTAATCATTTACTTCTAATTATAATGGTAATAGATGAAGTATAAGAAATAAATTTAAATCAACTATGACACCCACTCAGATATTACCCAGCTATTGATATATTTCATCCCACTTTCTTTTCTATACAACACTATTCCAGCCCTAATTCACTTCAACATACACATAGGATAATTTGACACCCTAGAGCTCCTCTCCTACAATTACTTTGTTCTACACCTTATGTCAGCCACTCACCCCCATGGCCATATCCACAATGACCTTGTCATTACCAATAACTGCAACCCCTCCATAAACTCACTTTCATGCATCCCACTCCCTGACCACCATCTACATTTCCAGCTTACAGCCCCTGATACCCAGGCTGGATCAGTATTAAGACCCTAACAGGACCTTCAATTCATTGGTCCTACAAAGTTATTCTCCCACACCCATTGATGTCTCCTCTTCCCTCTTTATCCAGCGTATTCTATGGCAAATAATATAATCAATTCACTTGCTTTTATACTCCCTAATCTACCTCTCTCTTACTTCAAAACCGCAACACTAATTAAATCCAAAGTTCCACTTACATTACGCCTACCCATGTATAGCTGAATGAAACTGGAGGAAAATATACAATCAACGATAACTAGACTCACTTTAAGTCAGTAAATATGATCTCAAACTACCTTCAAACTACATCCAGAGCCTGGTTCTCTCCCACTCTAATTACTCCTACATTCCTCATTCTTTCCCTTACCCTTATCTCATAATACTTACCACACTAACTTATGATTTAACTTATTTATTTCTTACATTTATTACTCATTGCCTGTTTTTTCCTACTGGAATACATGCATAATAAGATCAGGATTTTTTTTTTTTCAGTTTTGCTCACTGATGTACCTACCTCAAGTGCCTAGAAGAGCATCTTGACAGTGTTTAATAAATCTTTATTGAACAGCTTCACATTCATTTTGACATGTGTGCTTTTTGAGAGGGAAGGTAGCGACTTATAGCATGAGCAGGTCAGAAAATGAGAATCCACAATCCTTTTCTACCATCATTTCTCTTCTTCTTCAAGACACTCCCTTTTCTACCTTTAAAAGAAGAATGTTGCAGACACTATTGGTGCCTACCCATCAGCCATCCAGCACACACCTATGGTTTCTTACTGCAAGCACTCCCAAGACTCTCTGCCCAAAGGCTTTCCCTGGCCACAGAGGTAAATTTTGCTACACACAGAGTAGGCAAGAAGTGCCAAGGAGTTAAGACCTGGAGCAGTCCTCAATTGGTGTCTCACGGTGGTTGGTGGACAAATATCTCAGTTTCCTCTCCCTTCTAGTAGGTAACTCTGAGGCATGTTCTACACTGTCTTCCCACTTGCCCACGGTGGTATCCTAAGCATTGATGCACTCTGTGTCGGCTTCCTCCCCTTTCCTATCTCATTTTCCACTTCTCATTCCCTAGGATCACCATCCAAACAACTCGCATTCAAATCTTTGTCACAGTGTCTGCTTTTTGGGAGAATCCAAGCCAGAACAAGGCATTTAGATCAATGCTTGGCAAAACCATGTGTTACATAGGCCCCTAAGTTTCCACAGAGGTACTCGGGAGCTCACATAAAGTAGTAGAGACCAAAGAGTAGGAATTCAGAAGCATCTCAAAACCTACCCAATGTAGTTTTATTTCCATCTGTTTTATACATATTGTGCTTCCTCATAATATTTCTAGAAAATAAAACATAATGAAGTTTCCCCTGCAAAGTATAAAACTTTGGAAACTATGAGGCTAGATGATCTCCAGTGATCTTGGAGGCCCTTCTTATAGTTCTAATATTTGCTTCTTCTATCAACATTTTCATGAGTATTCAGACTCAAGGAAATTTTCCACATTTAGCTTTTGCTATAAGGTTGTTACAAGGTTTCTCATGGAGGTGTTCAAATTGGAAGGTTTTCCGTAAATTAGAAATGTATCCATCTGGGCTCTTTTCAGCATCCTCACACCTGGCTGGGTGCCACAGCCTGGAGAGGGTCGCCTCCCTTCTAAAAAGAAGAGTGCCACTGACACCCATAGGACCCGTTTCTCTCCCCGTGCCTCTTTCCCCACCCTGAGGGGCGATGATAGCTTGGCTGAAGGATGAATGGCTTGAAAGGAAAATCTCGCTCCCCTGCTTTTTCCCAGGTAGAAACAGGCCAAGTATTTGACATTTTGCTTGGGAGTTGAGCCACTAGTGACATCCCAAGGGGGAGTTGGCATTTCCAACAGGGTCTTATTGTGCAAGTGAGGGTTATTTGTTTGTAATAAACTAGATCAGGTTTAACTTGGCTGCAGGGTATACCAATATGGACAAAAATATTTTAATAATTGCATTCCCTACTCCTCAATACTAACAGCCTTGCTGCTGCTATCTGCTTGAATCCATCAGCACCAATCACATTAAGCCCTTTATCCCTGATGTTATCACTTACCCTAGGAAGCCCCAGGTTCCAAGATCACTCTTCATTGCCCACATTCTAATCTTTACAAAGCTCTACACACTCCCTGTTCTTTCCCCTTTTCTACCCATCCCCAACTCCTGAAACCAGTCCATCCACTGGGCTGTCTGGACTTCAGTCAGTCATCAGTGTAGTCCCCTCTCCCTCTCCCTCTCCATCTCCTTCTCCCTCTCCATCTCTGAGGCTTTCCTTACAATCTTGTTCTAACTGAAACCTGTCTGCTGCGAGAATACCACTTCCCTGAAGCCCCTCCAATGGAGCCTGATTTTTTTTCTGCAGCCATCACACCAATGGACCTGGAGTAAAGTGGGTGTCCTCCCTGCTCTTCATTACCACTTTTATTCTCCCTCCCTCTTCCCTAGAAATCTCCAGGTTTGAATTTCAAGTCATCATATTATATCACATGCAATCCCTTATTCTTACTGTCATCCAGCCCCTTCCTACAACCAACCCCATCTTGTTTCTCACCTTTTGGTTCACTGTCATTCTAATACTACTCCTGTTTTACTTTTTGGCAATTTCAACACACACATAAATGATCCCTCCAATACCCTGTCCAATATGTTCCTCAATTTAAAGTCTTCTCTGTAATCTTGTCCTCCATCCTACCTCAGCCACTGACTCCATGGTCATGTGCTAGACCTCGTCATTACTGATTATTGAAATACTCAGCCTCCAACTAACATATCATCCCACCTGACAGACAGCATCATCTCTACCTGCTGTATCTTCTCACTTATTAATAAACACAAACATATTCCTATCTAAAGCTAATCCCTCCCATTTCACACTAAACTCCATTCCCTTAGCCTATTCAAGGACTTCTCAGAAATTTCCCCCTCATCGATGTTTCTCCACCTCTACTGAATCTTTCTGATCAGAACAAAACATGCCATTATGTTTTCCATCTTAGAAATGCAAAAGCCGTATACTGACTCAATTTCCCCCTCAGTTATCACCCAATTTCTATCCATCCTTTTGCAGTAAAACGCTTCAAAGGAGTTGTTTGTAATTTATGTTTCTAATTCTTCTCTTTTTACTCTCGCTTACACCTACTCGAATCAGCTCCTCTTTGTCTATATCACACCACCATAACCAATCTCAAGTGGGTCACAAAAACCTCCATGTTACTGAGTCCGATGGTCAAATTTTAGACCTCATCTCACTTGACTCATCAGCATTTGACACAGTTTATCACTCTTTCTTCCTTGATACCTTCTTCACACGATTTCCAGGCTATCATCATCTCTTGATTCTCCTCCCACCTCACTGCTCCCTCCTTCTCAATATCTTTCCCTAGCTTCTCATTTTCTTCCTGAACTATTAGTATGGGGGTGGGGGACCAATGCTCAGTCTTTGGTGAAAGTCTCTATTCCATCGTTATTCATTCCTTTGGCAATCTTCCAAGTTATATCGTTTCTGAATACCATCTTTATGCTAATGGTGATCAAGTGAATCTCTCCATCTTAAGATTAACTGATTATCAACCCTAATTACATTTGTGAAATCCTTTGCCATGTGATATAAAATATTCACAGGCAAGATATCTCTTCATATTGATTGCCCCAGGATTAGGATAGGTGATATGGTTTGGCTGTGTCCCTACCCAAATCTCATCTCCAATCGTAGCTCCCATAATCCCCACGTGTCATAGGACGGACCCTGGGAGAGATAATTGAATCATGGGGGTGGGTTTTTCCAATGCTATTCTTATGATAGTGAATAAGTCTCACAAGATCTGGTGGTTTTACAAAGGGCAGTTCCCCTGCACACATTCTCTTGCCTGACACCATGTAGGATGTGCCTTTGCTCTTCCTTTGCCTTCTGCCATGATTGTGAGGCCTCCCCAGCCATGTGGAATGGTGAATCCATTAAACCTCTATTTCTTTATAAGTTACCCAGTCTTGCGTATTTCTTCATAGCAGTATGAAAATAGACTAATACAGTAGGAAATCCATGGAAACAGGGCATTTTTAGAACTCTGCCTCCTATACCTATTCAACATCTCAAACTCGGCAGGTCTACAACTGAACTCTTGCTATTCTGTCACAAAACCTCCCTCATCCTCAACTCTTCCCATCTCAGTTGCTCAGGTCAAACGCCCTGATGTCATTTTTGACTCCTCTCTCTCTCACATGCCACATCAAATTTATCAGCAAATCCTGTTGGCTCTATGCTCAAAACATATCTAGAATATGACCACTTCCTACCATTTCCATAGCTAATGCCTCTCTAACCATCCTCCTCTCTTGCCTTGTTTATGCAGTAGCACCACAATGGAGTCTCTGCTTCTTCCTTTCTCTCCACCATCTCTATACAACACATCAGCTGGAGAGATCCTTTTGAAACCCAGATCAAACCATCTTCCTCCAATTTGGTTAGATAAAAAGCCAGAATCCTTATAATCCTTATAAGGCTCTCCATGATCTGTACCTCTTTCCTTTACCTCTTTGACCTCATTGCTTATTACTCTCCCTCTCAGTAATTCTGCACCAGTCCCTTTGGTTTCTTTGCTGTACCTCAAACATGCCAGCCATGCTCCACCCTGGACCTCACACTGGCTATTCCCCTGCCTACAGTGCTTTCCTTTCAAATATAGAACTTGCAAGCTCAAGAAGCCCGAGTCTTTTCTACAATGTCACCTGCTTACCCCTTTCTCCTTTTCTTTCTCTGAAAGCTAATGCCTCCTCTTGATCCCAGCAAAGTACTTGGTGGCAACTTCATAAAAGCTGACATCTCATACAATCTTGACAGCAGGCTCTGGTAAGGGGTAGAATGAAATGGTAGAAACCTAGAATGCTCTTTGGCTATAGAAAAGCCGGGTATCTCCAAGTTCTAGGGAATCTGTCACATTAAAAATAGTTTTTATTTATAAAGTGCTACATATATCTACATATATCACCTAATTTAAATCCCATGTATTCATTTAAGAAATTCTTTCCAAGTGTTTGGTCTATGCCAAGCACTGTTTTAGGCATGGCTAACATGTCCAAGACATATTATTCCTTCTTAATGAATGACTTAACCCAGACTCAGAAAAATTACATGATTTTCCCAAACTCACCAAGTCATTTGATGGCAAACCAAGGACTCATAGGCAAGGGCTCCTGACTCATGGTCATCTGTCCTACTACACAATCTTTCTGCAAACTATACATATTTTTAACCAAAACTATTCGAGATAAATTGCTTTATTTGAAAATAAAAGTTTACCAAGTCTCTAGACTCTGAGCTACTGCTCTCTATACTTTATAGTATTGTTTTTAAAAATCAGGAAAATAAAAATAGCTACATGGCTCAACTCTAGTTAGTTGACATTATGCTTAGGAAGATGAAAAAAAATGCTTTCTTAATAAAAATAAGAGGGAGGAAACAAGATCCAGAGCAGAGGAACTGAGAAATCCAAGTGCCTTTGGCACCCTCAGAAAAGAAGTCTCACTTGCTTCCCCTCCCCATACAAAGATGAGGCTGGCAGTGACTTCTCAGGCAGCCTTCCCCTCTTCCTATCAAAGCATCCAATCTGCTTTATTTCACAAATGCTCATGATATACCAGGCACTGTTCTAAGTGCTTTACAAATATTACCTTAAGAAGTCACCAAATTGCTCAAGCATCATTTTAAACACATCGTCCTCCTCAGAAACCTGCAATGCTTCCAATTCCCTCTCAAACTGAAAGCTCCTCGTCAGGAGTCTTGAACAGGAGAATGCATGAGAAACTTATGGGCTAAGTATGAAATTCAATTTAAGGGGAAGTTTCAACTTCTTACTGGTTGATTTGACATTTCCCTCTACTCCAGAACACTTCTGTGTTCTAGACAAGTAAACACTCTTACTTTTTTTTTTTTCTTTTTACCAAATTTGTCTCCTCTAATCTTGATACTTTGATATATTCTAATATTTTCTAAAACTCTCCGGGCTCAGTAAATTTCAAAGATCCTTTCTATAAGAGGATCATAACACATTTGAGAAACTGGGGCTTTTGGAGGTCATCTAGCCCAACTCTTAAAGATAATGAAATGGGCCTAGGAAATTAAAACAATCTTTCCCATTAATTAAGGGAAGAACTGAAACTAGACACTGACTTCTAATCCTTGGCCATTTTAACAAAGAGGAAAATGAGCATATCCTGATGAACAAACAGCAAATCTAAACACAGAAGCATCTAGATAGCACAAGTTTTAATTTGGTCAAAATGGATTTGTTGACAAGTAAAAATCATTTTTTCCTTAAGACAATTTGTAATTTTCATTTTCTTTTTAAGAATTTCTACACTATGCTCTGTAGGAGTGTTGATTTATGTGCTGTACATTATATTGATCCAAAAGGACACTGCCGAGGTCTGCTTTAATCTATAATTAAAGAAGAAAGTCTCCAAAGCCATTTTCTGAGAAGTTAATTCCTGGTACCTCACGTGGTGCTCTTTCACAATCAAATACCTTACAATAGTTTAAGGAGATGCTTTACCCTTTTCACCGTTTCTACTAAAAGAGAAAAACTGTGTTTAAAATGAACATCTGGTTATTTGAAATAACCTTTCATGTTTATGTACCCTCAGGTTTTGCTTAAGAATGTGGCTGGTTTACAGGAAAAAGGCAAGTTCATTGTAAATCTTTCTCCTTATTCTCTCTTCTGTTAAGTGAGTCTTTCCTGAATTTTTTTTATAACAGCCAATTTAAATTCAGCAGTCGTGTTCCTTCCTGACACAAAGAGCAACAGTGATTACACATTAAGGAAAGACTGAGCAGAAACACAATCTAATGCTCATTAAAAACTGTACGGAATTTGATCAAATTCTATCACAGGAGCAGCACCTCCCACTTCCCTGGTCCATGAGCCCATTTCTGGCTACACGAGATCCCCGCCCTGGTCTGACTCTCATATTCAGCCCACTCTCCAATGGTTACCAGGCTGCCCGAACAACTCAGCACTGCCCTCCTTGTGCTCTTCGGATATGTTCCTTCCCAAACCACCAGCTCTCCCCTCCTCAAGGGCTTCTTCACATATCCTCTGTACCTCCCTCTCTGTTTCCAGCTCATTATCTCCTGCCATTTCCCTCCCTCTCATTTCTTCCCTTTCTCTCTCGTCACTTCCTTCTTAGAATCACGGCATCATAGAGTTGAAACCCAATTTAAGCTCTTTCCAGTCTTGGAATCCTTTCTACACTGTGCCCTCCAAATGACTGTCTAACCTCAAGCCCACAGGTATCTTTTTGAATTCTTTCACCTGTATCTTTCTGGGTCGACAGTTAACGAGTGGAAATCCCTCTTTACATGATAGCCCAGACCTCAGTCGCCTTTCTAGACTAAACATCCCAGTCATAGGGCTTCAAATATCTTCACTTCCCAGTTCCCCTGGAGAACATCCCCTTCACCAGAATCTGCACAAATCCACACAGATGTCAAAGCCAATTCTGCAGCTTCGTTGTAGGAATACATCCACTATTTAACCTTAATCACTTGTGCTCCTCTGAATTTCCACTCTTAGTGTCTGGGCCTTGTAATGTTGGACTTAAAATGATTTACAAGTCTCCAGTCTTATCATGTGTGCTAGGCATCTTCCCACAGCAAGATTACAAACTCCTTGAAGGCATAGACCATGATTTATTTCTCTTTTACGTCACCCAGAGCAAAGCCAGGCTTGCACAGGGAGCCTCGTACAATACTTTCTGCTGTCTCAAGAGCCAGCTGCAGGCACTGTTGGCTCAGGGTCTTTTTTTTTTTTTTTTTTTTTTTTTTGAGATGGAGTCTCGCTCTGTGGCCCAGGCGGGAGTGCAGTGGCGCAATCTCGGCTCACTGCAAGCGCCGCCTCCCGGGTTCACGCCATTCTCCTGCTTCAGCCTCCCGAGTAGCTGGGACTACAGGCGCCCGCCATCACGCCCGGCTAATTTTTTTGTATTTTTAGTAGAGACGGGGTTTCACCGTGTTAGCCAGGATGGTCTCGATCTGCTGACCTCGTGATCCGCCCGCCTCGGCCTCCCAAAGTGCTGGGATTACAGGCGTGAGCCACCGCGCCCGGCCGGCTCAGGGTCTTATACTCTGGCTCCTGGTGTGCATATTGTAAGAAAGAACAAGACTGTTTTTGCTCCGTGGCCGGGGTGGGGAAATCTGTTTCTCCCCAATTCTAGCCAGTAAGTATTATCTAGACCATAGGATGATACACCTGGCTGTGTGGCAGAACTATCAGGGGAAGGTTTAAAAAAAAAAAAAAACTGGATTATCTGGCCTTGACACTGACCTCCTGTATTAACCTCTCCAGGGGTGGAATCTGGGATGTGGTTTTTAAGGTACCCCTGCCCCATGTGATGCCCACACAACCTGTCTACTCAGCAATATTTAGAAACCTCCAGGTCATTTTGCCTCCAGTGACAAACCCCACTTGTGTTTTGAATCATTTCTTTATGGGAAATGACATTTCCCCAAGCATAATAATAATGATATTCCAGTGTGGGAGGTTTGTAGCAAGGGAGAAGATGGAAGCAGAACAGGTCAGAGACAGACAGAGAAGCTGAAGAAAGCCATGTTTTAAAAAAATAAATAAAAAAAAGACAAAAAACATTCAAGCAGGTTATCACAGCAGGAGGCCAGTGAAGGGCCCAGAGATTATTTTCTTTATCCAGGTCCTAAAATGAATTTTTTTTTGAGATGGGGTCTTACTCTGCAGCCCAGGCTAGAGTATGTAGCATGATCATAGCTCACTGCAGCCTTGAACTCCTGGGTTCAAGCAATCCTCCTACCTCAGCCTCCCAAGTACCTGGGACTACAGGCATGTACCACCATGCCTGGCTACTGTTTTTTGTTTTTGTTTTTTGTAGATACAGGGTCTCACTATAATTACCCTGGCTGTTCTCAAACTCCTCAACTCAAGTGGTCCTCCTACCTCGGCCTCCCAAAGTGCTGGGATTACAGGTGTGAGTCACTGCTGAGCCTCTAAGGTTATTCTGAACCTTGAAATGGAAGCAGCAGAGAAACAAAAAACATAGCTTTGCCGTGCATAGCAGGTTCCACAGAAGCATGTGGTAAACAGAGAGAGTAAGAGGAACTGTGTTCAAATCCCTGCTGTTCTTACCAGCCCTGTGGCTTGGCCAGGTTCATTTTTCTTGTCTATAAAACACATAAAATAGAGTCATGAGGATTAAACAAGAGGACGTCTGAAAGCACATAGGTGGTGTTTGATGGAAGTGATTTCTCTTCTACTCAGATCTAAGATGATCTCCTTCCTCTAGACCCCAGCGAAGTACAACTGTGTGTTTGTATATGCTATACTGGAAATGGTTTTCCAAGTAGCCAGACTTCAGAAGATATTAAAACAGATCACAGCAAAACAAAACATTAAGACCCAGCACACAGATTTCTTTACTTTTCTAACCCTAAGATTTAAAAATCGGACAAGTTAAAATTTGCAAATCACTTTGATTCATGACATTGAGTGGAAGACCGCTTATTCCATTTTATCAGCTGTCAGCATTCCGACTAAGGGCCTGCCTCGTGTCCCCACGAACTCGAGATTAGTGCTTCCAAGATGACAATAAAAGGCATTCACTTGCCATCTTTTTGCTACCTTTCAACAAAAAGCTTAGCAAAGACAACAGCTAACTGCATTACTTACCACACATGATTACTGACCAGCTCTTTCTACACATTATCTCACTCAACCCTCTTAACAACTCTGTAAGTTAGATGTTATTATTTTCCCCATTTTATAAATAAGGCAGCTGAGACTTGGGGGCATTAAATAACTGGCCCAGAGCAAGTAAAAGTAGCACCAGGACTCAAAGCCAGCTCAAAAGCCCAAACTTTTAATCAAAGTGTTCTACTGCCTTGTTCTCCTCTTCGTTCAGTCAACAAAACCCAATTAAATGCCTCTTACATGCTGAGCACTGTTTTAAGCAAATTAAAGGATATAAACATAAATCAGTCATGGCTCTTTCCTTAAAGGAATTTAAAATGTAGTGGGAAAAACATAAGAAGAAGAAGAACAATGGGACAATGACAATTACAGCAAACACATAAAGCGTTTATTATGCCAGGAACTATTCTAAGCACTCTAAATAGCAGTATCTTAAATTTACGTAATCCTCTCTGCAAGTCTGTGAACTACCGATTTTACAGATGTAGGTACCAATGTACCAATCAGTCTATGTACCGATTTTACAGATAAGCAAACTGAGGCATAGAAAAGCTAAGTAAGTTTCACAAGGTCACACAGCTAAACACTAGCAGAGTTAGGACTTGAACACAGGTAGTTGCACTCCACTGTCTGTGCACTATGTATACATATCAATGATCCAAGGGGAAACATGGTATATATGCTTAGACAGGCACAAGTGCAATTCTGTCACAATTAAAGAGAGAAAGACACTATTCTAGCTGGACAATCTGCAAAGTTCTCATGGAGGAAGAGACTCTTGACCTGGACCTTGAAGGATGAATTGGGGACTTTTTTTTATAGGCCAAAAGAAGGGCATTCTGGACAGAAGCTATGAACAATAGGACTTAAGAGGACAATCATGATGTGGATGGGGAACATAAAAAATCAGTGTGGTTACAGCATCAGGCATGCAGATAGTGGGAAATAGGTAGTAACGGTGGTTAAGGTTAGATTTCTTCTCCCTTTGCTTTGCCTTCTGGGAAAAATAGAACCTTACTCCCTAATCAGCCAAAGTTGAATTAATTTTTCTGTCCTGATCTCTCTAAAACAGGCAGGGAACATTTGCTTCCTATCTCTTTGGGTCTTCATTCCTGTAGCTGGAGCTGAGGATGGCTTCCTAACTGGCAGTATAACAAGTAGTTTAAGAGCGCAGATGTGAGAGCCAAATAGATTGGATTCAAATCTGGTCTCCACCACTTACTAGCTGTGTGATATTTGGTAAGTCACACATCCTCCCTGCCTCATTACTCTATAAAATGGGCATGATAAAATACTTTATAGTATTATTTTGAGGACTTAAGAAGATGCTACTTGTTAAAGCACCTAATACCTTGCTTGGCACATGGCTCTCAATAAATACTAGATACTAGTATTATTGTATTTGTCATTAATTTTTCCTTTTTCAGCTCGTTCTCTTCACAAGCCTAAGGTATATTTGTACATGCCTGGAAAATACTCAAAATATTTAACAATCAATGTAGCTTAGGCCCTGGCCAATCAGACACTGGCCATGATGGCATATATATACAGTGGTATACTGGCTGAAATATCAGCCCTGGCAATACAGAAATTTCTGAAAGTGACCATTGAGATGGTAAACACAACGAAGCACCAGCTTATTGGACAAATGCAAACTACACAGTCGGGGATAAGGGGAAATCAGAACTAACATGATTATTTTAAACATGGTTATTTTATCTACCAGGTCCTTTGAGAAAATATCCATGGACCCCAAGGGACGCAACAGGATAACTTAATTAGTTTTAAAGATATATCTGAAAGGGTTCCATGGCAAAGATTGTGTAAAACAACAATAACAACAACAAAATATACTATAAGTCCAGGCAGGATAGGGAAAGGAATATTCTTTAGTAGACTAAAAACTATATTGCAGCAATATGTTTTTAAAAAGACATGAAGAAAGAGACACTTCTCTTGGGAGAAAAATTACCAGTAGAGTTCCCACTGAACTTTATTATTCAGCATTTTTACAAGAGATCTAGAAAAGCAATAGAGCCAAATTTGTGGAACTTAAGTTTTTTCAGGTAGCGAATTTTTAAACCAATAGAAAAAATTAATGTGAGTGAGATGAAAATTGGCAAGTGAAATTCAATGTGGACCAGTATGAAAGACATCTGTTTAAAGAAAATGAACTCCAGTACACCTATAAGTTGATGAACTTCGAGTTGTGATTAGATACAAAACAAATCCAAGAATTATTATAGACTAAAACGATTTCTAAGACAGCAGTTCAACACCTTTGTCTTGACAAAAAGGCCAAGAAAATTTTGGAAAAAATTGGAAAAGTCTTGAAAATGATAAAGAATCATACTACCATCTGAATCCAGAATACCATGCACATTTCTGCATCTTATGAAGGACATAACAGCTCAAAAAAAAAGGTTTGGCCGGGCGCGGTGGCTCACACCTGTAATCCCAGCACTTTGGGGCGCCGAGGCGGGCGGATCACAAGCTCAGGAGATCGAGACCATCCTGGCTAACACGGTGAAACCCCGCCTCTACTAAAAATGCAAAAAGTTAGCCGGGCGTGGTGGCAGGCGTCTGTAGTCCCAGCCACTCGGGAGGCTGAGGCAGGAGAATGGCGTGCACCTGGGAGGCGGAGCTTGCAGTGAGCCGAGATCGCGCCACTGCAATCCAGCCTGGGGGACAGAGCGAGACTCTGTCTCAGATAAATAAATAAATAAATAAATAAATAAATAAATAAATAAATACAAAAATTAGCCGGGCATGGTGGCAGGCACCTATAATCCCAGCTACTCGGGAGGCTGAGGCAGGAGAATTGCTTGAACCGGGGAGGCGGAGGTTGCAGTGAACCGATTGCACCACTGTACTCCAGCCTGGGTGACAGAGCAAGACTCCATCTCAAAATAAATAAATAAATAAATAAAGGTTTAAAGTAGGAAACTTAACAAGCAACTGTATATAGTTAAAATTTTCTTATTTCTTAATTTTTGAACCTCGAGTGCAATGACGAGTTAAAAAGAATACTATGTTGTTACAATGGTTCTAAGTCACTTTTAATTCATTATGTTCTTTAATTCATGGCATTCTATCAACATTCTTGTCAAACCCTCTATTTTATTTTCCCCCTTTGTCCTCAATCTCCACCCCCACTCTGCTTAACACCTGGTTTATACACCTGGGTTTCTCAAATGTGACACAATTGACATTTTGGACCAGATAATTCTTTTCTTTGGGGGTTTCCTGTGCAAGGAAGAATGCTTTGCCACACCTCTGGCCTCTACCCCCTAGAAACCAGTAGTACCTATAGTGAGTTAAAGTGTGTCCCTCCCATAAGGTATGTTCAACTCCTAACCCTTAGTTCACATACTATGAATGTAACCTTATTTGGAAATAAGGTCTTTACTAATGTAATTAAGATGTAAGTTAAGATAAGGTCATTCTGAACAGGGAGGTAATGCAGCCAATAATCTCTTTGACTTCTTGATTTCATTTTCTTTGGATATATACCCAGAAGTGGGATTGTTGGACCATATGGTAGTTCTGTGTTTAATTTTATTGAGGAAACTCCATACTGTTCTCCATAAAGGCTGTACTAATTTACATTCCCATTAACAGTGTGCAAGGATTCCCTTTTCTCCATATCCTCACCAACACTTGTTATCTCTTGTTTGTTTGATAATAGCCATCCTAACAGGAATGAAATGGTAGCTCACGTGGTTTGGGCTTGCATTTCTCTGATGATTAGTGATATTGAGCAACTTCTCATATAGTTGTTGGCCATTTACATGTCTTCCTTGGAAAAATGTCTATTTTTGCCCATTTTTGAATCAGACCGTTTTTTCTGCTATTGAGTTGTGTGAGTTCCTTACATATTTTAGATATTAACCCCTTATCAGATATATGGTTTCCAAATATTTCCTGTCATTCTGTAGGTTGCCTTTTCATTCCTTTAATTCATATATCATAGCATTATTCACAATAGCCAAGATATGGAATCAACTTAAGTGTCTATCGACAGATAAATAGATAAAGAAAATCTGGGGAAAAATACACACACACACACACACACACACACACACACACACACATATATATATATGGCTGAATATCATTCACCACAAAAAGAAAGGAAACCCTGCCATTTGCAACATTGTAAATAAATCCGAAGGACAGTATCCTAAATAAAGTAAGCCAGACACAGAAAGACAAATAATCTATGATCTCACTTATATGTGGAATCTAAAAAATTGAACTCATAGACACAGACAATAGAATGGTGTTTACCAGGGGCTGAGGGGTGGGGGTAACAGGAAGATGTTGGTCAAAGGCTACAAACTTTCAGTTATAAGATGAACAAGTTCTGGGATCTAATGTACAGCATGGGCTGCAATGGATGTGTCAATTAGGTTGATTGTGATCATGACTACACAATGTACACATACATCAAATCATCACATTTTACAGCTCGAATAATATAAAGAGACATGTATAAAAGGTGGGGGAAAAAAGATGAGGTCATACTGGAATAGAATGGGCCCTTAATCCAATATGACTGGCATCCTTATAACAAGAGAAGGAGACACAGAGACAACACACAGAGAAGAGGCCACTGTGCAAAGACACAGACACATGCAGGAAATACAGCTGTGTGGCAATGGAGGCAGACACTGGAGTAAATCAGCTGCAAGCCGAGGAATGTCAAAGATTCCCAGCAACATCCAGACCCTAGGAGAGAGGGCAGAGCCCTGCTACAACCCTGACTTCCAATTTCCAGCCTCCAAAATTGTGAGAGAATAGATTGTTTTAAGTCACCCAGTTTGTGGTAGTTCATTACAGCACCCCTAGGAAATTAATATATACATCCCCAATTGCAACAACCAAAAATGCCTTCAGACATTGTCTAATGTCTCCTGGGGAGCAAAATTGCCCCCTGCTGAGAACCACTGGTGTGAGGGAAATGTCAGCTAATTTCTTTTATATTTTTAGGAACAGAATTTCTAGAACAAGGATATGTTGATTTTTAATGCTTGCCCATCTGATTGGTATAGTAGAGTAACTTTAAATCTTAATTTCTACATATCTTCATATACTTGGTAGAATTTGGGCTTCCTCATCTATAAATTTCCAATTCATAAGGTTTATCTACTTTACCATTGGATATTCTGCCTTTTTCCTTCTGGGTTTTCAAGAGTCCCCTGAACATTCTTGGAAGTCATCTTTTATCGGTTTCATATATTGCAAATATCTTCTCCTGGTTTTTCCCTCAATTGTTGACTGCATCAATTTTTCACCTTAAGGTTTAGGTTTAAGAGTACCAGATAAGAGGCACTTTCTATCCCAAAGATATTTGCCAACATTTAATTCCATTAGCTTTAAAATTTTTGACCTGTGTTTTTTAATTATCTGTAGTTTACCTTTGTGTATAGTAATTGTTGGAATTAAACTTTGTGTATAGTAATTGTTGAAATTACGCTTTATTCTTCTTTGTATAGGGAGCAGATTTTCTCAGTACCATCAACGAAGCAATCGATCACATCCCATTGCTTTGTGGTGCTGCCTTTATCCTAGATCAGGGTCCCATATACATAATTCTCTTCCTGTGTTCTTGACTGTTATTATTGATTTTACCGCCCATTAATGTGCCACACCACATTGTTTTATTGCTATTAGTTTGGAGTATATCTTCATATCTGATAAAATATGTTTCTCCTCCTTGCACATCTTTATTTCAAAATCAACTTAGCAATTCAAAACAGACTTAGTATTCTGACATATAAATTTAGAATAAGCTATTTGTGTTCTCAAAGTTCTTCCGGGATTTTAAGTTAGAATTGCATTTAATTTGTAGATTAATTTGTGGAAAAGTGACAAACTTACAATGTTAAGACAGTCAACCGTGAATATGGTATTTTTCCAATTATTCAGATCTTCTTGACACCCTTCGTCAGGGTAGAAATTTAAAAGGCAGAGTAAAATTTAAAAGGTAGGACGAGCATGGTGGGCCTACCATGGGCTGATGCCCATAATCCCAGCACTTTGGGAGGTTGAGGCAGGCAGATCACTTGAGGCCAGGAGTTTGAGACCAGCCTGGCCAATATCGCAAAACTTTCTCTCTACTAAAAATACAAAAAATTAGCTGGGCATGGTGGTGCATGCCTATAATCCCAGCTACTCGGAGGTGGAGGCACCTCCACCTTCTGGTTCTGCTTGAACCCAGAAGGCAGAATGAGATTGTGCCACTGCATTGTAGCCTGGGGAACAGAGCAAGACTGTCTCAAAAAAAAATGAATTGAAAAGGCACTACCTAAGTAACCAAAAAAAATGTGATTAAGAATACATTCCTATAAAATAATTTTTACTTGTCTAATAAAATAACAACACTCATTATCTCCAAGGAATAGTAATGTCTGGGCCCATAAATAAGTTAGGATGATCATCCAACAGCCAGTTAAAAGAAACTGACGGTGTGGCTGAGTACATGCTCTCTGAGGTTAGTGTCATGGACGGAAATCTCACCATCTGATATGCCCTCTGTTGTCAGTTGGCATTGTGGATTTCATATATAAGGATTTTGTGATCTGATTCAGTCAGACAAATATTATGCAAATGGAAGACTGCTCCAAGACCCTGGTTTCTCAAACCATATTCCCCTAAAGAAAGTTAGTTTGTGTAACTTTGGAAATAGAGATGAAAAAGAACTTGCTTCTTGCAAAGAAACAATAAATGTCACCTATTTCGTGGAGGGAGGAGAAAGGGGGCATTAAATGGGAGCCCTTCTCTGGTAAACACCTGTTCATTCTGTAGCTCATGTAGGGGAAGGTGAACTCACTTTCTGAAATGTTGTTTGGAATCCCAGAAGATACTGTGTAGTGGGAGAGATACATCTTTCTCTCCCTTCTTCTTTCCACCCACTCCAGTCTTGGTATCATAAACAATGCATAGTACTTTCCTCAAAGGCTTCCTGACAGTTATTTGCACCACTGACCAATATTTCCCCTATGCTGTCAACCCACCACGTACTTTCTGCCTTTGCTTAAGGTCTTCCATCTGTCTGGAAGGCTCTCCCCTCCCACTCCACCTCCTACCAACCAGGCAAACTCCTATTCATTCATCAAGGCCCAGCTCAAATGCTATCTCCTCTCTATAGCTTTTCCTCATCTTCTCATCGTCACAGACAGAATTAATCAATCCTTTATTTGTGCTTCCACAGAAGTTTATATATTTCCCTATTCATCTCACTGGATTTTCATTAATTGTTTAAATTAATTAATATATATAATGTTCTTAAAATAGTGCTGGGCTCATGGTAGGCATTATATAAGCATTAGATATTGTTAGCATTTTTAATATTATCATTATAATATTCCGTATATATGTCCAGCCTACTAGCACTTGGAGTTTCTCAAGGGCTGGGACTATGGCTCACACATTTTCATTTCCCCAGTGCCTGGCACAGGATGTGGCATACAATAGGAAATTGAAACTCTTCATTCTAGGCTGAACACAGTGGTTCATGCCTGTAATCCCAACACTTTGGGAAGCCAAGGAGGGTGGATTGCTTGAGCCCAGGAGTTCAAGACCAGCCTGGGCAACATAGTGAGACCCCCCATCTCTACAAAAAGTACAAAAATTAGCTGGGCATGGTGGCACATGCTTGTAATCACAGCTACTCGGGAGGCTGAGACAGGAAGATCACTTTAGCCTGGAAGGCAGAGGTTGCAGTGAGCCGCTCAGGCTGAAGTGCAGTGAGCCACTGCACTCTAGCCTAGGTAACAGAGCAAGACCCAGTCTCAAAAGAAAGAAGGAAGGGGAGAATGGGGGGGAGTGGGGAGAGTGGGGGAGCGAAGGAGGGAGGGAGGAAGGAAGGAAGGAAGGAAGGAAAGAGAGAGAAAGAGAGAAAGAAAAAAAATCATTCATTGAATTAAGTTCCCTCAAGGCAATGAGATTGACCTTTCCAAGCTTAATCATTTTGAGCTAAATCTTTGACTGCTCTACCCCTCAAACGCTGTGGTCAGTTGAGTGTTGCAGCCATTGCTAGTGAAATTATCTGGAACAATTCATATACACCGAAACTAAGGTGTACAAGGAAAGCATGCCAAACACCCTAACAGAGCTCATCTTCAATGGAAAAAGAAACCACCTATTTTCTACTGGTTTGCTGCCAGCAAGTCTGAAAAGTCTTTGCCATTAAAATGCAATAAAGTTTGGTGGCTTTATTTCTAGAAGGTAGATAGTTAGCTATTCATGGCTACTTCATCTTTTCCCCAAAATCAGTTGTGCTTGAGGCAATGAAAGAGGAAATGAATCACATGTACTAAACCAATATCCCCCAATGACTTTTTTTAATTTGGGAAGAATTAAATCTCTCTTCCCAAAACCAGGCATGTTTATAACCTAAGATGTCAATATATCATGCTTTTGACTGAGTCCATTTTCTGCTGAAATGAGTGTATTGCCCTTCTTTCTCAATTCAGCTCTGTGGAACTAGTCTTGATAAGTTGCTTTGGAAGAAAGAATATGTTTTAGACATAATATAAATAATATTTACATAAATTAGAATACAAATCATATTCTAGAATACAAATCATATTTAAATAAATTAAAAACCTGAGCCAGCTTACCAATCAGAAATGCAGTCTTACAGCTGCCCAAAGGGCAGAGTGCAGATCTTGATACTTGTCAATGAAGTTGCACATATACATTTTCATCCACCCTAAAAATAATCTGTTTTACTTCCTAATTGTGTCAGGAAGAAAGAAGAGCTACGGAGTGGTACAAGGTACCTGCTTTAACTTCAGAAACAGGTACTTTCCCAACCATACTGGGCTCCCACTGTCTACTCAAGGAGCATTTCTAGGCACTATGTTAGCCTATGTGTTTCCCAACAAGCCAACTTACCCAGAGACTACCAGGAAAACCTAGGACACGATGGTAAAAGGAGCTTTGATCCTCTCAGTTCTAGCTCTTGTTCCAATGCAGAAGCCAAATTGTTGTCAATAAGAACATCATCAGCCCTGCTGTGCCCTGTAGGATCTCATCTTTCATGAGCAGGAAGCCACTCAAGAAACTTGCATGATGTCAGTTGGCAATGGGGATTTCATATATAAAGATTGTGTGATCCGATTCCATCAGACAAATATTATGCAAATGGAAGACTGCACTATGATTATTACTTCAAACTATGCCAGACTTTTATTGTCCCCAAAATATTGAAGACTGTTAAGAAACATCCCCAACACATAGACATCAGAAATTATTCAAGTGTTCAAGAGGCTAAAGCTATCTCTGAGCATCCATTGAATTGATTGTATTTGAACTTTGGATTTAAAGTTTTCCAGCCTTTTTAGGTCCCTTCTCCATTACCCAGTGTCACTCTGTCCATTCAAGTTAAATGAAAGCTGTAGTGCATAGCCATCAGGAATGGGGAATATCACCTCTCTCTCTCCCTGAAGCTCACCCTGTTTCTACCATAAACCATACACCCTTTGGAAAGATACACAGTTCAAGGAATATATACATACATACACACATACACACACATACACATACACACACACACACGAGTGTTTCTTACTAACTAGATTGAAGCCCTTCTACTATGATTACAAGGGTTAAACCCTAAAACCGATTCAATTGTTTTTCAGATGAGTCTTTATAAGACTTGTCAAAGACTGATGATCAGAAGCAAGTGGATTTCCAGAGATGTGACACAAGCAGAATAGCCTGGGGGTTCTGGAGACAGTGTGGGCTGTGAGTGAGGGGTGGCTATTCACTTGACTTCTGTAAAGAACCTGACAACAATCTGGTACCCTGAGCACTGGTATTTTAGGGGGTATGAGGAGACAGATAACACCCTTGGAATGGACAAAGGTGGGTCCACAATGAGCACTGGCAGGATGGAGAGTGGCAAGGCTTTCTCAAGCACCTTTGCATGTGTGATCAGTAGACGGGGCTGGTTCCATCAGCTGGTTACAGCATTTGATGGGCTAGCTTTTATGCATAAGTGAGACTTATCTAGGATTCACAGAAATATCTGTAGGAACACTTTAAGAGACTAAATTAAAGTCAGGAAAGGTTTCAAAAATTATTTTGGTTTGGGCACGGTGGCTCACATCTGTAATCCCAAAGCTTTGGGAGGCAGAGGCAGGAGGATCACTTGAAGCCAGGAGTTTGAGACCAGCATGGGAGACATAGCAAGCAAATTTTCTCCACAAAAAAAAACTTTTTTTATGAGCTGGGTGTAGGTTTTTAGTATGCCATGACTACAGGCAGGTGGCACAAGTAGTTCTAACTACTTGGAGGCTGAGGAGGTGGGAGGATCACTTGAGCCAGGAGTTCAAGGCTGCAATGAGCTATGATTGTACCACTTTATTCCAGCCTGGGTAACAGAGTAAGACTTAGTCTCAAAAAAAAAATTTCATTTGAGAATAATACAAATGTATATATTAATTAAAAGTAATTATAATTATAAATTATATAATATATTATATATAATGCAAATATAAATATGAGCTAGTTTAGTCATTGAATGATAAGACAAGGAAACGTTAGAGCACACGTAAATTTTAGGCATCCCTTGGTGGTTTTTACCCATAAGGATAACAGAGGTCATCCTTTTCTACACTTAGCAAGGATTTAATCAGTTCAGGGATTTGGCCAGATAATTTGCCAGCTCTACATATCACAAATATGTCCCCAAATGTCTTTACTACCATGTGCATTTAGCCCCATATCACATGATATGATTATCTGATTATATGTCAGAACTTCTCAACACTGAAACAACTCATGATTTCAGAGTGGACACTTAAATTATTCCCAACTGTAATTAATCATGTGACAGACTCAAAGACGAGGCAATAATTCATGAACTCTATCTGAAGTGATGTCTTGGGGATTCTTTGGCACAAAGACCAGATCTATCCTATCTCAATCTATCACAGCTGAAAGATAACATGTCATGGGATTGTTTGCAGGGCTTAAATAATTCAAAAGGACAAGTCTCTTGGGATATGATGGAAGAATTAAGTTTAACTTTATTTTAAAACAAGTCATAATATCTGCTTTTGGATCTGCCAAGATGGATGAAAAATCCATTTAAAATCTAACGATCAATCCAATAGTTTTTATAGCTAACAAGTTGATCTAACTCTGACAGTCCCTACCAAAAAAAACTCCTAGCTATTTACTTTTGAGATGAAAGGTAGGTTAGAATAAGAGAAACTAGAATCAGGGAGACAAGAGAAATGGCTGTTTCTTTAATCACATGGGGTGATAAGGATGAACTAAATCCATTGACCAGAAGTCAGTTCAAGGGGCTGATATCAGCAGCACATCTTAAAAATAATAATAATAATGTTCTATCTTTCCATTTAACTGGTTGTTCCACTGTAGCATGTTTCACTGGTGTGATATAATGTTCTGATTTCACCTAACTTTCAGTGTTCAAATACATTTCTCCCTTGATTGTAAACTCCCTTGTTTACTAAGTGTCAGAGAAGTAAAATAGAAATGGATCTCATTAAACAGAAACGTATGGTCCTTTTGTGAAAAATACTCTTTGAATTCAAGTTCAAAGTGTCTGTTCCTAAGATACCAATAAGGACAATAGCAGTGCCAATAACAGGGTAAGGTAGTTGAAAATGAATCGAGAAAAAAGGATATAAGTGGAAGATAAAGGAGGGTTCCGTTTTAGTCATGCTTGGGGTGAGAGTTAGAAAGATAACCACAAGCAACTAGAGATATATGAATAGAGGTTGAGAAAGAGACTGGTGACAAAAGTCTCGATTTGAAAGTCCTCAGCACAGAGGCTAGGTGGCTAGGTGAAACCATAGGAATAGATCAGATTTCCTTTCCAGGGATGATAGAATAGAAAAAAATAGCATCGAAGGCTATCAATTGTGCCCTGGGAAATGTAAAGAGGAAGTGGAAGAAAGCAATAACATAGTGTCATTGATGCTGATGATGTAAAGACAATGTTTCTCATGACAAAAGAAGGCTATGCCATTCATATACTTAGTTTTTAAGGGCCAAGGAATCTACTTATATTGGCACCAGTCCCTGAGGAGTGCAAAGGAGTGGAGTCCCAGAATACTCACAGTCAGAAGTTAATGAAGTGTGAGGAAAAATATTATGAGACAGATAGGAACAAAGCTGAGCCAAAAAAATAAATAAATGAATAAACAGGAAAAGTTTGGGAGAGAAAAGAACAAATCAAAGTCTAAAGTCACAGGGAAAGATCATATGAGAAGTAAAGATGACCCTTTGAACAAAATCACAGATCCTAGGCAGACTGGGGCCATGACCACTGGAACCAAACACCATTTAGGGGTGTCATGAGATCTGCAGAGATGCTTTACACTCCAGGGGAGACAGCCCTTGTTTGAACACACTTCTGAACGCTTCACAGTACAGCAAACATAGTGGTTAAGAGCACCAGCTATAGCATCAGATGTACTTCAAGTCCTGCATCTGTCACTTACACCTCTGTACCTTTGAACTAATTACCTTATCTGAGTTTCCATTTCTTCATCTATAAAATGGAGAGGATAATAGTGTATATCATAGCATTTTAGTAAGAATTTGCTGAGATAAGCTGTGGGAAGCACTTAGTACTGCTCCTAGCTCATAGTAAATGCACAATAAAGCTACAAAACAGCCTAAACCTTACTTATTACATTTCCCCATATTGAGAACCGAATTTCTCAAGTCAGTTTGGGAGAAGCTATTGTAAATAAAGCTCTGCGAAGTGCTGAGCCATACTTTCATTTCCCTATACTCATGAAGTGGGGCACGTATCCACTGAGCCCTTTCGGGCTGAGGACAGCGTGTTTTGCCTGAGCTCACTCTAGTAAGCAAAGAACTGCTTGTGTCCTTTGATCTGGTAGGCAAGTGCTATAGTGGAAAACCTAGTGATAAGTAGGCACAGAATAAGTTATAAATTTTCCCAAAGATGTCATTACTGCCTTCCACAAAGTTTGAGGGTCTACATGAAAATCAGACAAGTCCATCTCCATCTTCAATCCCTTAT
Source organism: Homo sapiens (assembly GCF_000001405.40). Taxonomy (NCBI): domain Eukaryota; kingdom Metazoa; phylum Chordata; class Mammalia; order Primates; family Hominidae; genus Homo; species Homo sapiens. The sequence continues at coordinate 55,032,170 of NC_000015.10, forward strand.
AGGTGAGGAAAGTGAGGCTCGAAAGATAAGGCCATTTGTTACATAGATGGGAAATAATGGAGCTGGGATTTAAACTCCAATTGTTCTGGCTTCTAACCTTAAGCCCTTTCCATGCAACCTTTAATATCATCACTACTGGCCATAGAAAACAACTTTAAACTTTGAAAACAGCTCTTCCTGGCCTTGCCCAAAAGCAAAGCAGCTTCCCAAGCATGGAGGTACAATAGTCCTTCCTATGTCTACACCTCCAAGTCAAGCTTTCTCCCCTACCCTCAGCCCTCATTCTCACAGAGATGCAGAATCATACACTTGAGTTGGGAGGTTTTAGCAGCACGTAAGGCAACAGGGGAGAAGCCACGGTGACAATAAGATCTCCAAATTCCTTCACCTTAAATTCCTTGACTGCCAGTTTGTCTATCCACAGGCCATGGACTTACAAATAACTGAAAGATGGGCTGCTGTGCCTGATCCTAAATCCTAATGTGACCTTGGGACATAGCTTTTGCCTTATCCCAAGAATTCAAAGGCAGGTGGTAGAAGATACAGTGGAGGTAGAAGAGAGTCAGTTTCTTGTGGAACTATTGAGAAATTTCTGAGACATAAGGACTTTTGCCTTGGTCATGTATTCAATTGATCAAACTTTTCAAAAAGAGAAAGGAGATCCTCCTAGAAGTTAGGAGAGGGGTTTGTTTCACTAGGAGAGCAGGTTTATGTTTTCCTGAAAATTGGCGTCATGATACACATAAAACTGGTACAATCTGAGTCAGGTTGATGGACTGTATCAATATCAATTTCCTGGTTGTGATATTGTATGGTAGCTATGCAAGATGTTATTGTTGGGGGGAAATGGGGAAAGGGGATATAAGATATCTGTCTTATGTCTTACAACTGCATGCAAATGTATAATTATTTCAAAATAAGAAGTTTTTTAAAAAAGGAAAAAAAGAAAAAGAATATCACACATGTCATGGCCAGTCATTAGTTCCCAGAAGAATGTACTCCTGGACCCTGGGATTTTATTTGGATATAGCTTATTTGCATATATGCCAGCTTTGTGGAAGGCTGTAAGGAAGAATAACTATTCCATTCTACAGATGGAGGAAATGAGGATAGATGAGGTTACGTGATCTGCCCAAGGACACACAAACTAGTGGGTATTTGTGATGCTTTCTCAAGGCCCAGCACATTTTTAAACCCCTTGCTATGTTTGGAAAATCCTCCACGTCATACCTCTCCAAGGTGGAACCTAGAAAAATCACTACTCCAATGTCTTTTGAAGCTAACACATGAACATGTGCCCTGGACTCCATGTGAGACTAAGATTCAGAAGTGAGAAACTGAATAAAGGATGCTCTGTGAAGAACCCATTTTTTGTTTCCGTGGGTGAGAGTGAAGGTGTCCAGATTGGAGGTTGGGAACAATTGCAAGACCAAGTTTCTGGAGCATAAGTGGCATTGGTGCTCAGGAAAGCACCAATGACCCTACGGAGGTGTGGTTTTGCACATGGCTCCTATGAAGCTAACCTCAGCCCGGCTTCTCTGGTCAAGCCAATGACCCTGTGAATTTCCCAATAACCTATTAAAAACTCTTTTTCTGCTTAGTCAGCTACAGTCAGCTTCTAGAGCATGCTTTGAGAACCATGATTGAGTGAGTAAGAACTTGAACCTAGAAAAGTTATACTACTTTCAACATAGAGTTCATGTTGGGTAAATTTCAATGTCTAGTGTTTCTTCAAAAAGAGCTTACCTGCTTATGGTCTCAGTGATAACTCTTTGGTCACCAGAATATACCATTCCCCAACAATTCTGAACAAAGTAAGAATTTATTAAAATTTACTTTTTTGTTCGAAAGGCTAGCCTAGGACTGTGAGCAAATTGTGCCAAAGTAGCCAGCCTGTTTTGTCCCAAAATCAGTCAACTTGACAAGAAAAAAATATGTCAAAACAAGGTCAGTCGTTCCACAGTACATGGACAACAAATTCTCCTGATTAATTAAATTTTTCTTTTTCAACCAGTTGGAGCAGTAAGAAAAGACATACTCTTAAATATTATTTTCTCACTAAAAATATAATGCTCCTAGGATGTGAAAATGTACAGTTATGGACAATAACCTTTTCCCTGAGAAAGGGGAGTTGAAAACTGTCAATACCACGCTAGATGTCTGGACAAAATAAACAGCATCTCAGTGACTCCAGTTGAAAGCACTGAGAACTTTAACTCTACTCCATTACTATCTCCCCATATTTCTCAGCCATCTTCTCTAAAGAAAACAAACAAACAAAAAAGTAAAAACTTCACCTGACAGTTTTTAGAATTATTCAAGAATTTTGTAACATTACACCATCATCACATCCAGGAAGTCCAGAACACAGCCTGGAAGCCACACCCCTAGAGACTCCCTTCACCCATAGTGGGTCTATTCCTCTATTTAGCATGATCCGGGTGTCATCTGCCAAAATTTCCTTGGGCTGAAAATTGTTATGTTTGATTTGCCCCCACCAAAACCAGGGCCTCCTGACTGGCTTAGCAACACCCAATTTGTTCCGGACCCCCACACCGTCCCATTCCCCACACACATTAAGAACATGCTGAAAATTACCTTCTCCCTTACTAAAATGGGTTTGAAGACTTCCCAGAAAAACTCCGTGTCTTTTAAACATCGTTGAGCCTAATTTAAATATTATCTAAAATTCAAAATAGATCAAATATCATGTCTAAAACCAGATCACGACATGGGACAAAGTACTGCTTGGTTTTCAAACTATACACTGCTTCCACTCACACACAACATGCACATGCCCTCATTGAAATCATTAAACAACCAAAGAAGAGTAGTCTACCTGGATCCTACTAGATAATGACTTGGTGAAAGTTTTCTCATTGCTACAACTGGTTGAAAAGAAAAAAATACTTCTCTGGACTTTCTTTACGCAGTTGCAAAACACTGAAGCTAAGCTATGGTATCAAATATTTTGTTTCTATAGTATATTATTTACGCTAAAACCATATGTTTCACTTATATTTACCTTTATCCCAATCTAAGACAAATGGTTATATTCATTTCATAAAAAGAATAGGTATCCATTTCTGTGTATTCACAGATAAGTAGTTCAAGGGATCTAATTTTTAGGATTTTGTCCTATAATCCTATTCACGAAAAAGCAAGAACTGAAACCCACCATTTCTGGATCCCAAAGTAGAATCAAGGATCCCAGACTTTCTGATCTTTGACAATACCTTGGCCAAAAACAAGCATAACCAGATTACTGCCCTGAGTTTCCCAGAAGTAAGACAGTGTTTCACAATTATCCCAAGTAAAACTTCAGACTCTTTACCATTGGCTTCTCCATGAATACATCTGGGATTGCAGACAGCACAGGAGATAATGACATTCACTCCTCATATTGATCTGGCTACTGGAGCAGGAGGAATCGATAAGCATTACTGCAATGATTTGCTGAACTTTCGATTCGAGGAAATCAGATTCTATTTAGGCTGGGGAACCAAATATCTACCACTCTTCAAAAGAAGTTTGAGAGCTGGAGAGAATATCCAGGTGTCAGAGAAAGTCAACGTTGGGGAAATTAGGCTGAAAAATTCCTAAAAGTAGGATAATCAAGTATTTGAAAGGGTCAAGGCCTATTCCTTCTGCACTGGCAGACCCCTCACATGAAAATGATGACCCACATGGAAATGATGGTCTCTGGGGAGAAAACACAGCATAATACTGGCTGTCAATGGGATCTGCTTTTTCTCCCAAACCACCATGAGGTGACAGTATAGCACAAGCATCACCTTCATTTCCTCTGTTATTTCCAGACTTTACTCCCGCCCTCAGACAAAAGTCCCACAAATCATCTCATTCTCCCCCTAAGAAACATCGCTGTTTTAGTGCTGTGGTCTGAATGTTTGTGTACCCCCAAAATTCATACATTGAAAGTTAATCCTCAATGTGATGGTATTAAGAGGTGTGGTCTATGGGAGGTGATTAGGTCATAAGGGCAGAGCCCTATGTATGGGAACAGGAACCTCATAAAAGAGGCCTGAGGAAGCTTGTCAGCCCTTTTTGCTCTTCTGCTATGTGAGGACACAGAGAAGGTGCCACCTATCAATCAGAGAGCCCTCACTAGACACCAAATCCGCTGGCACCTTGATTTTGGACTCTCCAGCCTCCAGAATTATAAGCAATAAATTTCTGTTGTTTACAGGTTATCTAGTCTAAGGTATGCTGTTACAGCTACCCAAGTGAACTAGGATACCTAGTTACCCACCACCCTCCTGGTCAAAGCCTTATCTTCAATAAGAATTTTGACATCTGGCTCAGAGTTTTCCTCTCTACTCTGGGAGAAAAACAATGCACTGAGTTTCCCAGAAGTAAGAAAGGTTTTCACAATTATTCCAAGTAAAAGTTTGGAGAAAATTGGGAGAAAAAGCAGCTCTCATTTGAGAGCCTAATACTACTGTCATTCTTGTAGATCCCAATATTGACATGGACAACCTACATAGGTCTTGGTCACACAGTTCCCTGACTTCCTCAGTATCAGGGGCCATATCCTGGTTATCCTGGTTAGCATGCAGAATTGTTCTACCCCTGAAATGAGACTTCATTATCCTATTCTCTGATCAAAATCTCTACTCCACTTCAGATGTCTTACTACCATATTCCCCATTACATCTATTTTCTTGACTTTAACCACTATCTCTAGTACCTTGAGCCCTCTGATTTGTCCCAGCTAATCACTAACTCCTATTCACAGCCTATCCTACTCATGCTGGACTGTCATGGGCCTGGTCAATCCTGAGAATCAAACAGTTAACAGACTTTCTGCCTCACCAGAAAAGACCCTAAATCAATCTTCTCATCTGCTTTTACTCTCAAATATTCAGACACCTAATTCTAAAATGCAAAATTAAGAACTGTGCTTTCAGTTGCAACTACCAAAATTCATTGTTAAAGAAATCAAATTTTAAGATGGATTGGATATTACAAATAATCTACCACAAGTCCCCCTTAATTTACAGTTAAGGGAACAGAAACCAAAAGATGTGCAATAACTTGCAAATGTCACAGAGCTCATCAAGCAGCAACGTTAGAACCAGCTCCCAGGGCTCCTCACTTCCTGACTCCAAGCTTAATGTCCTTTTCTTTATGCCACATCACCTTCCCTGGCCAGTCACTGGTGATTGGCACACACAGCAGCTTAAATAAAAGACATTTATTCTCTGAGTTAGGGAATTTTACACCAAAGAAGCATCCCTTAAGACATTAGAACATGTTTTCTGTATTTTTTAAATAAAGAACTCTTTTGTCTAACTGGGAAAAATAACAAATGTCAACCACACAGAAATCATAAACAACCTCTTTAATGATTAATGAACCTACAAATGGGCACTGAATCCTGAGACTAATTTCCTATAGCAAAGGTTCTCAGTCCCAGTGGGCATCAGCATCACCAGGAGAGATTTTTAACAGAATTTAGGATGTTTGTACTCTTCTAGATCCAATATAAACAGTGAGATACATTGCATGTGCAAATTCTGATCTTAAAAATATCTCTTCAAATTAACAAAATATAATTTCTATTTATTTTTAGCGACACAGTGTTTCTACAGAAAGCTGGTTGATAATACAGAAAATATAGAAGAATTTGAATTCTTGTCTTGAAATTTGATAAAACCATTTTAAAATGCTAAGTGTTATTTAATCTGCATTTTCTATCTATTTATCTATCTATCTACATGTGTATTTAATTTTAATTATTTGGAGTTTTTTTAATTTTAAAGTTCAGGGGTACATGTGCAGGTATGTTTTACAGGTAAACTTGTGTCATGGGGGTTTGTTGTACAGATTATTTCATCACCCAGGTATTAAGCCTAGTAACCCTTAGATATTTTTCCTGATCCTCTCCCTCCTCCCATCCTCCATCCTCTGATAGGCTGAGTGTGTGTTGTTCCCCTCTATGTGTCCAGGTGTTCTCACATTTTAGTTCCCACTTATCAGTGAGAAAATGCAGTATTTGATTTTCTGTCCCTCAGTTAGTTTGCTCAGAATAATGACCTCCAGTTCCATCCCTGTTGCTGCAAAGGACATGATCTTGTTTTTATGGCCACATATTATTCCATGGTATACATGCACCACATTTGCTTTATACAAGCTACCATTGGTAGACATTTAGGTTGATTTCATGTCTTTGCTGTTCTGAATAGTTCTGCAATAAACATCCATGTGCATGTGTCTTTAGGGTACAACTATTTATATTCCTTTGCGTATGTACCCAGTAATGGGATTACTGGGTCGAATGGTAGTTCTGTTTTTAGGTCTTCTAGGAATTGTCACACTGTCTTCCACAATGGTTGAACTAATTTACACTCCAACCAACCGTGTATAAGCATTCCTTTTATTCCACAACCTCACCAGCATCTGTTATGACTTTTTAGTAATAACCATTCTGACTGGTGTGAGATGGTATCTCATTGTGGGTTTGATTTGCATTTCTCTAACAATCAGAGATGTTGAGCTTTTGTCCATGATTGTTGACTGTATGTATATCTTGTTTTGAAAAGTGTCTGTTCACATCCTTTGCCCACTTTTTAATGGGGTTGTTTTTATCTTGTACATTTAAGTTCTTTAGAGATGCTGGATATTAGACCTTTGTCAGATGCAAAGGTCTAACTTTGCAAAAGTTTTCTTCCATTCTGTAGGTTGTCTGTTCACTTGGTTGATAGTTTCTTTTGCAGTGCAGAAGCTCTTAAGTTTAATTAGATCCCATTAATCAATTTTTTGCTTTTGGTCCAATTGCTTTTCACATCTTCAACACAAAATCTTTGCCAGTTCCTATGTCCAGAATAGTATTGCCTAGATTAAAAGCTCCAATAGTGAAGGCAAGTTCTCCAGATACATATATAGATATATATATAGGTTATATATATATGCTTATATATATATAAGTATATAAGTATATATATATAAGTATATAAGTATATATATACATATATATAACTATATAAGTATATATATACTTATATATAACTATATAAGTATATATATACATATATATAACTATATAAGTATATATATACATATATATAACTATATAAGTATATATATACATATATATAACTATATAAGTATATATATACATATATATAACTATATAAGTATATATACATATATATAACTATATAAGTATATATATACATATATATAACTATATAAGTATATATATACATATATAACTATATAAGTATATATATACATATATAACTATATAAGTATATATATACATATATAACTATATAAGTATATATATACATATATAACTATATAAGTATATATATACATATATATATAAGTATATAAGTATATATATACATATGTAACTATATAAGTATATATATACATATATATATAAGTATATAAGTATATATATACATATATATATACTTCTTTTTTTTTAAGACAGAGTCTCACACTGTCACCCAGGCTGGAGTGCAGTGCCGTGATCTCTGCGCACCGCAACCTCTGCCTCCCGGATTCAAGCGATTCTCCTGCCTCAGCCTCCCGAGTAGCTGGGACTTGCATGCCACTACGGCCAGCTAATTTTTGTATTTTTAGTAGAGATGGGGTTTCACAGTGTTGGCCAGGATGGTCTCAATCTCTTGACTTTGTGATCTGCCCACCTCGGCCTCCCAAAGTGCTGGGATTACAGGTGTGAGCCACTGGCACCCAGCTGTTCTCCAGATATCTTTTAAACTTTTTAAGTAATTCTGATGCACTTCTATGTTGAGAAGCTTTACCTACTGTAGCTGCAGACCCTGAATGTGAGGGGTATATGCTCTTCTGGCATCCCACTTCTAAAAAACAACACAGTCCAGAGACTTCTTGGCAGCTGCTACTCTTGAGCTAAAGATTCCCAAACTGAGCATGTGTAGACATCAGCCCAGATCAAAAACTCATACCCACTAATACTCAGATGTATAATTCAGCCTTAGGGATAAGCTATCTAACCATACGTTTCGTGCCCATTAACATACCTCTCTTCACTCTTCACACACACACCTTCCCAGTCACTGGTAACTATCTACACTCTACTTACACGAGATCAGCTATTTTAGCTCCCACATCTGTATGAGAATATGTGATTTTTGTCTTTGTATGCCTAGCTTATTTCACTTAACATTATGACCTCCAGTTCTATCCCTGTTTCTGCAAATGACAAGATTTTATTCTCTCTCTCTTTTTTTTTTTTTTTTGGCCAAATAGTATTTTATTGTGTATATGTAACACATTTTATTTTCCATTCATCCATTGATGGACACTTAGGCTAATTCCATACCTGTATGTCTTCTTTTGATACTTAGCTCTTTTGCTCAGTTTTTAAGAAGATTTTTTGTTTCTGTTATTGAGTTGTTTGAGCTCCTTATATATTCTGGTTATTAATCCCTTGTCAAAAGGATAGTTTGCAAATATTTTCTCCCATTCTATGGGTTGTCTCTTTGTTTTGTTGATTGTTTTCTTTGTTGTGCAGGAGCTTCTTAGCTTGACATAGTCCCATTTGTCTATTTCTGTGTTGATTGCTTGTGTTTTATGGTTTTACACAAAAATGTTTTTGTCCAGACCAATGTCCTGGAGCATTTCCTCAATGTTTTCTCCTAGCAGTTTCATAATTTGAGGTCTTAGATTTAAGTCCTTAATCCATTTTGATTTGATTTTTGTATATGATAAGAGACAGGGGTCTAGTTTCATTCTTCTGCATAGGGATATCAAGTTTTCCCAGCACCACTTATTGAGGAGACTCTCCTTCATTGTTCTTGGTGACTTTGTCAAAGATGAATTGACTGCAAATGTGTGGATTTACACCAGGATCTCTATTCAGTCCCTTTGGTCTATGTGTCTGTTTTTATACCAATACCATGCTGTTTGGGCTAATATAACCTTATATTTTCAAGTCAGGTAGTGTGATGTGTCCAGCTTTCTTATTTTTGCTCAGGATTGCTTTGGCTACTTGGGCTCTTCTTTGGCTCCACACAAATTTTAAGGTTATTTTTCTATATCTATGGAAAATGTTATTGCACTTTGGTAGTTTCCTGTAGTGGTAACATTTGAGTACACTCTCTTCCTCGTTCGTGTGTCTGCTCTACCAATGGTTTATAATTTTTTGTGTTTTCATGGTAGTAGATATCATTCTTTTGCTTCTAGGTGTGGGGCTCCTTTAAGTGTTTTTTGTAGGACCGGTGTAGTGGTGATGAATTACCTCAGTTTTTGCTTGCCTCAGAAAGATTTTATTTCTACTTCATTTTTGAAGGGTAGCTTTGCTGGAAAGTATCTTTGATTGACAGTTTTTTTCTTTCAGCATTTTGAATATCATTCTCTCCTGGCTTGTATGATTTCTGCTGAGAAATTCACTGTTGGTCTGATGAAGTTTCCCTCCTACATGACTTGATACGTTTGCTGTTTTTAGAATTCTCTCTTTGTCTTTGACAGTTTGACTATAACGTGCCTTGGAGGAGACCTTTTTGAGCTATACCTATTTTAGCATCTTTGAGCTTCCTGAATCTAGATGTGTTAATCTATTGATGGACTCAGGAAGTTTTCAGCTACTATTTCATTCAATAGGTTTTCTATGGCTTTGCCTAACTCTTCTCCTTCTGGGACACTCAAAATTTGAATATTTGGTCATTTTATGGTATCTATGTGTTCCACAGGCTTTCTCTGTTTTTGCAGACAGGATCTTGCTCTGTCATCTAAGCTGGAGGGCAGTAGTGCAATCACAGCTCACTGCAGCCTTAACCCCCCAGGCTCAACCAATCCTCCCATCTCAGCCTCCCAGGTAACTGGAACTACAGGCATGTGCCGGCATGCCCAGCTAACTTTTTTTTTTTTTAGAGACAGGGTCTCACTGTGTTGCCCTGGCTAGTCTTAAACTCCTTAGCTGAAGTGATCCTGCCACCTCAGCCTCCCAAAGTTTTGGGATTATAGGCGTGAGCCACTTCATCTGGCCTCTTCATTCTTTTTTTTTTTTTTCTTTCTTTCTTTCTTTCCTTTTATTTGACTGGGTTGTTTCAAAAGACCTTTCTTCAAATTCTAAATTTAATTTTTGCTTGTTCTAGTCTATTGTTGATGTTCTCAATTATATTCGTTATTTCATTCTTGAATTCCTCAGTTCCAGGATTTCTGTTTGGTTCTTTCTTATGATACTTATTTCTGTGTTGAATTTCTCATTCATATCCTGAATGGTTTCTGATTTCTTTGTAATATTTATCAGTGTTCTCTTGTATCTCACTGAGCTTCTTTAATATCATGATTTTGATTTTTCATGCATTTTTTAGATTTCTTTTTAATTGGAATCTTTTGCTGGAGAATTACTGTGTTCCTTTGGAGGTGTAATGTTTTCTAGCTTTTTCACTTTTCTTCTATCTTACATTGATATTTGCACAACTGGTGTAACAGTTGTTTTTTACAATTTTTTGGATTTGCTTTTGTAGGGGAGAACTTTTTCCTGTAGATGCATCTATAGCATTGGGTGGGTGAGGCACTTGAGCTTGATTATAGGTATGTGGAGTAGTGTAGTCTTCATATGATTTTTCAGACTTTTCATTATTCTCCAATGCTGTCTGTGAAATTCTCAGTGGCTTAGGCTGCAGTTGTTAGTGAAGGGTGTGGTAAAGCTTTGCTGGGGACAGGTACGCCAAATGCACCAGTTCTTGGGCCCTACTGATGGCAAGAGCAGGCTGAGTATGCCTGTCCTCTGGCCCCTGGGAGGCATACATGAGCACCAGTGGTATTGAGTTCAGGCCAGCCAATTCATGGGCCTCCAGGCAGCTTGCTTGGGTGCCAGCAGTGGCAGTGGTGGGTGGGGCAGGAGGGTGGATCCTCAAGCCCCTGACAGCATGCATGGGCATGGGTAATGAAAGTAGCCATGACAGGACAACCCTCAGGTTCCCAGGCAGCATGCACTGGTGTTAATGGTGGTAGTGAAGAGCTGGGTGGGCCTGTCCCCAGGTGGCACATGCAGGTGGGTACCAGTGGTGGTGGTGGTGGCAGTGGCAGGCTGGGTGGGCCCATCCTCAGGCACCCAAGAGGAGTATGCAGATGCCAGCAGTGGTGGACAGAACAGGGTAATCTCTAGGCCTCCAGACAATGCACAGAAGTACTGATAGGAGAGCCATCAGGCAGTGCAGACATTGATGTTGCAGATAGGTGCAGGCTGTGGTGGGCATGGCAGGGCAATCCCGAGGACCGCAGGTCCTGTGGCAGGCAGGCTGGATATTTTCTCAGGCCTCCTGATGACATGTGCACATGCCCCAGGTGAAAGCTGGAATGGGGCTCTCTTTGTCCCAGGGGCTGCCTCCCTGGTGTGCTACACTGCCTGTTCCTCAGGTTATGGAATACCATGTGGGCTAGAATGCTGAGAACCCAGCTACACTGCTGAGTCCAATCAGTGTTGTGCTGCTGCAGCCCTCTGAGTAAACACAAGGGTTATGAGTGGGGTTCCAGGGATGTGGAGATCCAGGAACTGTTGGGCCACAGGACAGAATGTGGTCTGGTGGAGCGTGGTTCTCAGAACAGTGCCATGCTTCAGCAGCTTGGGGCTCAGGGGTGTACGGGAATCAGCTTGAGCTCCCTCTCTGGGACAATGCTTACATGTGATCTCCAGGCAGTTGCCTACACTAGTCTCAGAGCTAACAATCCTATGACTAGGATTGCAGGAGTCTATAATATGGAGCACTGTGAATCTCTCACTTACCCTTTCCCCACAGTGGGGAGCCTCCCCAGACTCCCAGCCAATCCAGCTGGGTTGGCTGTCTCCCTTCTAGCTCCCTCCAAGCCTTGGGTGTTTCCTGTCACTTCACTGAGTGTGTCTAAGACTCTCTCTTAGACACTCTATTCAAAGTGTGATTATCTACTCACTGTTTTGGTTCTTCTTTGCAGAAGAGGAAAGTGCTGAGTGCCTCTAGTCAGCCATCTTGAAGCCTCTATCTGAGAAACTGGATTTTGAATCAATAAGTTATAAATCTATGTTGTTTGTACAGAAACATAACCCTTTGACTCTTACAGAAACCCTTTCTTTTCAATTAAACAAACATACACATACAAGCAAATAGGCAATAGATACAGTCACTGAATGTTTCTGCTGGGTGGCGTGTCTTAGAGAATACCTATTCCACCTCCTTTATAGATGATGAAACAGGGTCAGAGTCTTGCCTAAGGTCACAAATCATTAGCTCTCTGCGAGCTACAACTCTGAGCTCTCTCCACTATTCATGCTGCCTCCCACAGGCATTACCAACTCATTTATAGCTATAAATGATTTTTAATACATTCATCAATTTTTTAGAAACACTGGTATAATCACATTACAAGATTTCTATGCCACAAAGCTATTTCTATGTAGGAGAAAACAGTTCAAAATTTTGCCACTTTGTCCTCCAAAGTCACATACAACCTAAGAGTATATGAATTTGTCAAGTGAATGTCTTTTTCTGGTGTCTCCCCACATACCAATTATTCTGCATGTGGGAAAAGCCTTGCTGTGTATTTTTGTGTCTGTTCTTTTGAAAGAGTTTAATCAGACTAAACTATACGCAGTTCTTGGTTCTTTTACATTAAAAAAAATCATTTGTCTTTTACTGGCTCCTCCTTCTCCTGAAATATTCAGATGAGGAGATATCCTGCTATAAATATCTTATAACATAAGACTAAAGAGAACTGAGTCTTGTGTCCAAGTGATGGTGCAGGGAGACATCCAATGCACAGAATCGATCCTCGTACTTGGCTATGTCCCATGCATATTGCCTACTCAAGAGCAGTTTTCTACAATTTATTCATTTAGCAAACATCCATTGGCTACCTACTACACAAAGTTAGGTGCTGGGAGCAGAGAGATAAACAAAGCAGAGGTCCTGTCTTCAAAGAGCTCTTAGTCTACTGAAGAAAATAAGTGTGCATAGACAATGCAATAGAATTTGATAAGTCCTATAATAAGGATAAATTCAGGATATATAGGCTCTTACAGAGGAGCATTTAACTATGCTTGGGGAGCAGACAAGTTTCCAAATGAAAATGAAATATAAGGTAGGATGAATAAGAATTATCTAAAAGGACAGGATGAAGAAGGAAATTTCAGGCAAAGGGAATAACATGTGCAAATGCCCAAAGTAGATGAAAATATAGAATATTTATGAAACTGAAATCAGTGGAAGTGGAGCTAAAAGATGGGCAGTGTGTCTATCATAAAGATCCTTTCATCTTTGGGTGCTGGGAAGCCTATTGACCTTTCCATTAATTGATAATGTGTATTCTCCCAAACATCCTCTCTATCTCAAAGTCCTACTAGCTTCTTGAACAAATATAACATCCAATGCACTAGCTTTCACTTTAGAGAATTACTCAGCTCCAATGACATCTATGCCCTTGCTTTACCTTTATATCAGAAGCAATCCTTCACTCTTCCTTTCTATCTCATAAAAAAGTTCTCTCTTCTTTTGTCCAACATCAGTCTTTCAACCTGTGCTTTGATCTCCTCCCTTCCCTGCACCTCTAAATTATTGCCCATAAATTACCCTCTCTGTGTTCATTTTCCACACCAACATATTAGTTTTAATACTTTGCTATGTATCCTCTCCGTTCATAATACATCAGTGTTTATTAGCAAACTCCACACTATGCATTAGAATCTCAAAAGATGAATAAAAAAGAGATACAATCCTCAAATACCTCAGTCCAGCAAAGAAAAGTGACACAAAAACAAATGTAATTAAATGTATTTAACTTAGTCTACATAGTTCAATAGAATCATCTTACATGTCTGCAGCTGGGTTAAGGATTTACTTGTGTTTTTCATGAACTGTCAAGAGGATCCATTTTTATCCTGAGCTCCAAGATGGAAGCAAGTCTGTGTACTGAACAACACTTATAATGATCCACTTATAGGCATTGAGAATACCGTTTGTGGCATTTCAAATCTTCTTATTCTCCATACTTCCCCAAATCAGTTAATCTTCAAACCATAAATCCAGGAGTTACCCTTGATACCTGCATCATTTCCTATATCTCACTCATTATTGAGTCTTAGTGACTTTACCTCCAAAATACATCTCAACTCCATCTGCCTCCAGCCATCTCTGTCATCACCAAGGTATCAGAAACCATCCTTATATATTGCCTAGACCACTGAAATTGCTTCCAAATTGGTCTTTGCACTGCCATTTACTTGTCTTCAAACCATTCTCAGCTCATCAACCAAAGCAATCTTTTTTATGTTGTAAATTTAAAAATATATAACAAATATAAATATAAAGAGCATTCTGCTATTTAAAACTCCCAGTGTTTCCTATATCTTTCAGAAACTAAAAAATCTTTAACATGGCCTAAAAATGCTGAGGGATCTTGCCTCGCCCTGCCAGTGAAACGTGAAACACACAACTCCTCCCTTACTCACCAGGCTCCGACCTGATTTCCCTCCTTGAGAGCAGCAAACCAGTCCACATTTCCGAGGCTTTACACAGGCAGTTCCATCTGCCTAGAATGTTCTTCTGCCCATTCTTCATCCAGTTAATTCCCACTTATCCTTCTGAGCTCAAGAAGGTCTCTTTTTCTTCATACTACAGACACAGTATGTAATCAGATATTTGTTTCTGTTGATATTTATTTAATACCTCTCTCCACCAATATACTATAAGCTCCACATGGGAAAAGCCTGTATCTATTTTCTTCACAACCGTACAACCAGGAATTAATGCAGTGCCTGATATACAGTAGGTGTGCAATAAACATTTGTGAATGAATTAATGGATGAATAAACAAAAAAGAAAAGCAGGAAGGAAGGACAAAATGAGAATTACATTGGCCATCGCATTAGAGATAGGTATCACATAGTTGTTCCAGAACCATTTTCAGTTCTCTTGGGTTCTCCTCACTGTCCCTTTGTTTTAAAACAGCTTTATTTATATACCATTTACATACTATAAAATTCACCCATTTAAAGTATGTATTTCAATAGCCTTTTGTGTATTCACAGAGCTGTGCCACCATTGCCACAATTTTAGAACATTTTCATCACTCTAGAAAGAAACCCCATATCCTACAGCAGTCACTCCCAAATTCTCTCTATAGATTTGCCTATTCTGAATATTTTACAAAAATGGAATCATACAGTATGTGGTCACATGTGACTGCCTCCTTTCACTTAGTACCATGTTTTCAAGGTTCATTCATTCTGTAGCATGCATCAGCATGTCATTTCTCTTTGCTGCCAAATATTAATAATATTCCATTACATGGATATACTACCTTTTATCTATCTGTTCATAACTTGATGGAAATTTGGGTTGTTTCACTTTTTGGCTATAATCAATAAAGCTGCTATAAACATTTGCATATAACATTTTGTACAGACACAAATTTTCATTTCTCTTCAGTACAAACCTAGGAGTGAAACTGCTGGGTCACATAGTAACTCTATGTTTAGCCTTTTGAGGACTTGCCAGACTGTTTCCAAAGTGACTGTTCCATATGACAATCCTACCAGCACTTTATGAAGGCTCCAATTTCTCTGTATCCTCACCAACATTTGTTATTTTCTTTTTTATTCTAACCCTCCTAGTGAGTGTGAATAATATCTCATTGGGGCCTTCACTTGCATTTCGCTGATGCTAGTGAAGCTAAGCATCTTTTCATGTGCTTATTGACCATTTGTATGTCTTCCTTTGCTTGTGAAAGCCCCCAGACCACGTTGAATGGACCATATTAAAGTGTACACACAGCTCTCATGGAAGATAATGTATATGTAACCATATAAGAGTTGCATTGCTATTGGCTAGCTGACAAAATGTTATATTTTACAAACATTAAATCAAACATATTAATTTCAATTTTGTGATTTTTTTCTTATGTTAAAATCAATAGGATACCTTTTCAGGTGTCCAACATGGCTGTGGTCAAACCTATGGTACTAATGGTCATTTCTAGTCAGTGATAGACCAGGTTGTTGATATTTTATGCAAGATAATAATAGACCAAAAGCAGTATGCTTGAAAAAGATTCTCAGAGCTTAGAGGAAGAATAATCAAGGCCAAACCAGAACTATTGGCTTGGTCTTCCTCTTCACAGTTTATTCCCATTTAGGGAGAATAGACTAAAAATTATTATCAGAACTCACTATATATTCATTTCAATGTGTTGAATATCTCTATGTATTGTAACTTTCATTAAGTTTTCATTTTAGAATATTAATTCACTTATTTTCAAAATATTATGTGTATTCCTGACAATCCCTATTTACAAAGCCCTTTCCAAACAATTAGGATTTTCTCAGTGCATCTACGTGCTCTGTGACACATCCGATAGTCATTACCTCATTGAATGTCACAGATGCCTGTACTTGATGCATAGTAATTCTAACTGGATAAAAGGCTGTTTTTCAGAGTTAACAAAGGCAAATAAATAATCAAATAAATCAATTAAGACCTACTTCAGGGACCAGCCACCATGGTGGCTCATGCCTGTAATCCCAGTGCTTGGGAGGCTAAAGCAGGTGGATAGATTGAGGCCAGAAGGTTTAGAACAGCCTGGACAACAAAGCAAGACCCCTTCCAACCCCCACCTCCCCTCTTTACAAAAAAAATATATATATATAAATTAGCCAGGCATGGTGGCCCACAACTGTAGTCCTAGCTGCTTGGGAGGCTGAAGTGAAAGGATCTCTTGAACTCAGGAGTTCAAGGCTGCAGTGAGCTATGATCACACCACTCCACTCCACCTAGGCAGTAGTGCAATCATAGAAATGGAGGGAGATCCTATCTCTAAAAAAAAAAAAAAAGAGACTTACTTCACAAGTTTTGACTCATTCGAACTTATCTGTTGGAGTGCCCAATGTGTGAAAGACAGCTAGAGAGACAGACATAGATATGGGAGAATGAATTATGCCCAGAAGGTCAGGAAATCCTTTTTTCTATGATGAAGGCCTCTAAGCCTAGGAGATTGAATTGCCAGGTATTTATGCTATTCTCCCAGTTCAGGAAAGATATTGAGTACCAGGAAGATTGACAAAGTATTTCATCAGTTAATTACAGGTAAAAGCAATCTGACTCACAGGTGTTCATGATTCAATCAATCACAAGGATTTGGTGAATCCACAGGTTTCTCAAAAAAGAAAAGTGGTCCCAGCAAATGAATTCTGATGCAGAGCACTAGTGCCCTAGGCCACCCAGCTGATATCCCAGGGTGGAGTGGATAAACCAACCATAAAACATCTTTATTCTCACATCAGCTTCAGCATTTTGCAGTAATTTCTTGAAATCAAATCTTGAACTCTAATACTATCCCATGGAAATCTATGAATAACTATGTCCAGCAGGTGCTTTTCCAAATTGTTTGTTTTTTCCAGTGGTAGTATGATATAAAAGATTTAGGCTCAAAGGCCTCCAAATTGTTTTGAGAGCTGACTCTTCCATACACCCCTGTGGGAACACAGGCAAATCATTTAATCTCTCTGAAGCCCAGTTGATAATATATTTCTCAAAGATTTCTTATGAAGATCAAAAGAACTAAGAGAGATAAAAATAAAACGTTTTGCATACAGCAAAACAACCACAAAGCCACTGTCAGTGGTAGACTAAGACAAAGTATTCTTCCAGGAAATCTTTTTCATATTCCTTCTGAAAACAAAATACCAATGTTGGCTTAGATGTTTAAAATCATTCTATCAGAAACCTTCATTTGGCCTTCAGGTCATCATTCTGATCTTCAGAGCACTGCAAGACTCAAGGAAGCCAACTGTCCTCCCAACTCCCTTGTGAACTCATTCTTGGTGCATCTCTAGCTTCCATACACTGTGGGCACAGGGAGTGGCACTCAGTAAATATCTGGTGTTTGGTCTGATCTGTAGATGGAGTTCATTCTTTTATCTTAGCTGCCATTAAGTGTTGCAGACACCTTGTAGGATCACAGCCAGCTGGCCACAGTTGAGGCACAGAGGAATAGGTGGTTGGGTATTGAAATTCTATTCTAAATTTTATGCTAGTTGGAATAAAATAAAATTATGCTGCTTTAAAACGAGACTGACTCATCAATACAGCCAATCATGCTTGTTGAGATACTCACAAGCACCAATCCTGTCATTATTAAAAAGGCTTATGGCAATTTAGACTGACTAATTTTATTTCCACTTTGATTTAGTGATGGCCTTGCAGACACAGCCTAAGTCATTTTAATTAGAAACATTTGTTTACATTGATATCACTTTGTGCCATTTATGAGACTCCTACCAAAAGAAAGGATTCATGTTCGCTTCAAATCTCCCTACTGGAGCTTATGCTTCTGAGGGTAAAGGGCAAAAAAAGAATCTCTGATTCTCCTCTTCATTCATTAATTTGCCAGTCAACTACTGTGTGCCAAGAACTGTACTGGGCAAAGATTCTAAAGAGAAATAAAAAGCAATCTCTCATGCCAGAAATCTCATTGTCTAGAAAAGATCAAACCCACAAACAATTACAATCCATGTAACAAAATAAGGGCTAATATAAAACTATATGTCATAGGAATACTAAGGCAGTAACTAACTGCATGGGAGATAGGATGAGGCTTCACAATTGATAGGACAGAAAGCACGTCTTGAAGAAAGAGATGGAAGTTTCTAGATAGAAAAAGCAAAGAGGGTACATAGGAGCCCACCATATTCCAGAAGTAGCAAGTCATTCAGTGGCATGAAACTAGATAAGGATGTCAGGGCCAACAGTGAGATCCAGAATTTTGGATTTTATCTGGCTGGCAATGGGGAGAATTTGTTACTTTTTAAACAAGGGAGTGTTAGATTAGATTTGAAATTGTATGATAGCTCTGGTAGTAGTGAAGACAATAGACAGGAGAAGGAAGATATTAAGTAGCAAAGTCAGTTAAGAGATGAGAATGAGCTATTCATTGGATATATGCTATATGGCATGCACTGTAGTAGGCCCTTTTGCACTATCTCAGTACTCTCACAGTATTACAAGACAGAGAAGAATAAAATGTCTCTCCAAACCATTTGTGATCGCATTCTTAGCTTTTCTTTGGATCCCCATACAAAAAGCACAGGAAGTAGCATTCTGTAAATATTTTTTGGTTTGACCTGATTTGCAAGTATTAGTCTATTTCTTCTTTTTGAGACATAGTCTCACTGTGTCACCCAGGCTGGAGTGCAGTGGCACAATCTCAACTCACTGCAACCTCCGCCTCCCGGGTTCAAGCGATTCTCCTGCCTCAACTTTCCAAGTAGCTGGGACTATAGGCGCCCGCCATCACACCCAGCTAATTTTTGTATTCTTAGTAGAGACAGGGTTTCGCCATATTGGCCAGGTTGGTCTCGAACTCCTGACCTCAGGTGATCCACCTGCCTTGGCCTCCCAAAGTGCTGGGATTACAGGCGTGAGCCACTGTGCTGGGCCATGTAAGTCTATTTCCTTACCTAGCTGTTGTCTGAGTGTTTTAACTGCCTTTTAGGATCCATGACATTCTTAACGTTTACTCAACTTCTATATCTAATTGGTCAGCAATTTTTCAAATTTTTTTTCCCTCAAAATCATCCCTACACTACTGTAATTGCTCTCATTTAAACCATAATTGCCATTTGCCTAGACTATTGCAATACTGTGATGTATCAGAAAAATAAACAAATTTTGCAGACAGTTTGCTTTTACCCTGCTATATTACCAGTGTGGTATTGGTTAAGTCATTAAAACTCTTTTGGACTTCAGGATACACCCACATAAAATGAACTTACTTTGCTGATATCTCTTGAAGCCTGTTACAGTGGCTATATGACACTGTTTTGATGAAGGAGACATGAACTGACATCTCTAAGGGGGTGGGGGAGAGAAAGGGATGGCTTTCTGGGGAGCTTTTTAAATCCTGATGACGCTGTTCTTTCTCTCTTCTTTCCTCAAATGTGAGTACATTGAGTGGCACATAAGCAGCTATTTTTAAACTATGAGAAAAGGCCAAGAAAATTGCAAAGAGGATATCTCTAACATGGTTGATTTGCTCAAACCAGCTCCAGTGACAAGCTCTCTAGATTTCTTCTTACATGGGAAAAATGACCTCCTCTTTGTTTAAGGCAATATTATCACAGTTTTCTTAAGGTTTTCTGTTACTTGCAGCAAAAATGCTTGCTCATGGCAAGGTCATTATCGACCTCCTCATTATTCAATCCAATAGTCAATTCTTAATATTCACCTTAATTGACCCCACAGCATCATGTAGCATAAACACTTCCTCTTCTTTTAAACACTCTTTTCACTTAGCTTCCAGGAAAAGACACTCCTGGTTTACCACCAACTCACTGGCTGCTCATTATTGGTCTCCTTTACTAGTTCCTTTTCAACTCCTTGACCTCTTAGTGCTAAAATGCCCCAGGGCTTCAATTCTCTATCTAGATTCACTCCCTTGGTAACACCCTTCCATTTATATCTCCAGCCTGTACCTCGCCAGTGAATTCCAGACTAATACCTCCAACAGTCCACCTAAGATCTCCACTCAGATGGCTAATCATTCAAATGCAGCACAGCCAAAAATGAATTCTGAGCTTCCCCTGACCCACAAAACCTAGGCTCAATTGAAGCCATTTTATCCTCTGGTTGCTCAGGCCAAAAACTTTGAATTTATCCTTTATTCTTAACTTTCTCTCATATCCCACACCTAATCTGTCAGCAAATTCTATTGGCTCTACCTTCAAGACAATTCCAGAATGAGCTGACTTCTCACCACCTCCCTTCTACTTCTGTGGTGTGAGCCACTGTGATCTCTTGCTTGGAGGCAGTCACCTCCTAACTGGGTTTGCTGCTTCCACCACTGACCACCTAAGGTGAGCTCTGAGGGCAGAAACCAGAATGATGCTTTTAAAGTCTACAGTCAAGTGACTCCTCACTGAAAACCTCCTAGTGGCTCCTCATCTCATTCAGTATTGAGGGAAGCAATGAAAAATTATATTTCTAAGTCCTGTGCTATTTAAATCGTAAGCTTTTACATTCTGCTGGTTGCTTCTCTTTTTTTCCTCAGCTTTTTATTTTGAAAAATGTTACACCTACAGAAAAGTGCCAAAAATATAATGAACATCCACATTTCCTTAATCTAGATTCACCCATTCTTAACATTTTGCCACATTTCCTTTATCTTTCTCGATATATATCTGTATATATATATACATATATATGCATATACATTTTCTGCTGATCCATTTGAAAGTTGCAGTCATCATGCTTTATCCAAAAATATTTCAGCACCTATATCCTATAAATAAGACATTCTCCTACATAACTAGAATGCGACAATTACACTTCAGATTTTTATATAAACACAATATGATTACTTAATATGCAATCCATATAAATTTCTTCAATTGTACCTATAATGTCACATAAACCCAGGATTCAATCAAGCATCACACACTACATTTAATGTTTCTTTAGTTCCCTTTATTATAAATCCTTCCTTTTTTTAGTTTTATGACATTGGTTTTTTTTTTTAAGAAGACAAGTTGTTTTTTTGTAGAATATCCCTAAATTTCTATTTGCTTGTTTCCTCATGCTTAGATTTTTGACAAGAGTACTAACTAGGTGATGTTTAGTTGCTCCCCTTTAAATGACATGTTTTTAAGTCAATAAAATAAAACAAGTAATACCACAATCCTATCTCCTCCATCTTAGAGACCCATCCTAGCATTTCATCATAGTCACTCAGTAAAATATTCTTCTCTTAGGGTCGGCTTTGAGCATGTGGTAGACCTTGATGAACTCTCCCTGGTTCAATGGAGCTCCAGAACCAGGAAATATAACTAGAAATGTTATTAGAGATAAAAATGCCTAAGTTGATAGACTTTTCTATTTTTAGACCACAAAGAGACTTCTGACATAGTATTTTACAGTGAATACCAGGCTACTGAGCTCCTCTGTCTACTGTCTAAATTATTTTTGTTTTTAATTGGAAAAATTAACACATACATATAAGAAAACAAGTAAAACAATCCAATGCATACAATAAAATTAAATCTTCATCTTAATCCAAATCCTCCCATTTCCACAACCCAGAGAACCAATGCTAGCGGTTTCTTGTGTATCTGTTAAAATACTGTTTACAAGCATGTTACATACAGCTCTCCATCTTGCTTGTTAATGGTAGAGATCTTTCTATGTTAGCACAAATATATTTACATCTTTCTCTTTAGCCAATATTCCATAGACTCAAACATATTCAAATCAGCCATATTGATTCAAATTATGAATCAACCATAATTTACTTAAATGATCTCCAATTGATAGACATTTTTTGCTATTGCTGTTAGAAACAAAGCTGGAGAAACATCTTTGTATATCACTTATTTAAACACTTCTCTTAGAATAAATTTCTAGGTGTGGAATTACTAGGTTAAAAGATGTGTGTACATTTTCAGTTTTGTTACATAGCATCCAACTGCCCTCTAAAATCATTATACCCATTTTTCTCTCATTCATAATATTTGACATTGGCAGTTTCTGTGCCCTTCACACTGGATATTATCAAATATCTAAATGTTGGTAACCTGATAAGTATCTCCTTGCTTGGATTTGCATGGTTTTTTGTTTTTTGTTTTTGTTTTTGCTGTAAGTAATGCTGAATATTTTTTATATTTGTATAATCCATTTATATTTATTTTCTGTGACCTATTTCTATTCTTTTGCCTGTTTTTCCACAGTTATTATTTTTCCCACATTAATAATCAACTAGTGCTCCTTCAGCTTGAAATGACTATTATGGAAAATAACATCTTTTCTTTGTCAAAGAAATATATGAACCACTTGAGATTTCAGCTGTTCCTCATGGACTTATAAAGCCTAGATTATTTTTTTAAGTCACATATTCTGTTTTTACCACTGTAAAAAACACTACAAAAGATATCTCATATTTTTACACTTATGGGGTTATCGTGTCAAATTTGATACACCTGACCAGAGTATGACAAAGCTTTCAGCCCATACCAAGTAAATATTTAATATTAGACTCCCTAGAATTTTTATTACCTCTTTATTTCCCTATTCTCTATTATTTTGGGAGGAAAAAATATCCTGCTTCTTCAAGTCTCTTGTAATTGCTCTCCTTTTTATTTTATCATTCTCTCATCAATTTTTGACCATCAGAGAGTTCTTAGCTTATGATAGACACTCCATAAATATTTAGGGGTTATTGGACTAAGGTATGGATGATACCAAGCCTCCTTCAGAATGCTTTTTCATTCATATGTCTGCTACTCTTGATTAGAACTTACAAGGACATCAAGTATGCACCCCCATTTCCTAATGATAAAATCATATGCTTGCTCCCACTTCACCCACATTGTGTACCATGCAGATGCTTCAATAGCATCTTCAATGTTTTAAAAGTGCCGCCTCCAAAATTCAGGTGTTACCAATATAACAGTATTAGAAGGTGGAGCCTTTAAGAAGCAATTAGGTCATGAGGCTCCTCTTCTTATGAATGAGATTAAGACCCTTACAAAAGAGGCTTCACACAGAGTTCAGATCATATGCCCTTCTGCCTTCCACCCTGTGAGGATACAACAAGAAGACCATCACCAGATGCTAGCTCCTTGATCTTGGACTTCCAAACCGCTAGAACTGTGAAAAAAAAAAAAAGTGTTCTTTCTTAAGTACCCAGTCTCAACTATTATGTAATAGCAGCACAAATAGATTATAACAGCATTGTGACATTTTGTTGTACTAATGCACTTAGTTCACATGATATTTACATATCTGTCTATCCTACTACACTAGAATCTCCCTGAAAACTAGACTGTGTCTAATTCATATCCATACTGAGGGCCCAGTACAGACTCTGGCACATGGTAATGCTTCAGTAAATATGTTGAATGAACAAAGAAATTAATAAACTTGTATGAGCTGTTCGCTTATTATCAATTAACACAAAACCTGAGGCAACCCTTCCCAGCTTACACCTCATTTTAGGAGCATTTCCCACAATAGACACTTTCTCCCAAAAGCAAGAAGAAAATCAGATCGTTCTGAAATAACCAGGAAAAGCTTTTGGAGACTTAACCATTGTCAGATCTCCCTCAGTGATTATTATAAACTAAATTACAGAAAATCCAGGCTGAAATTTTTCATAAAGCAATTTAAAATATTTAATCGGATGCTGAATGCTTCTCAGAAGAAAACTGATCTCTTTTCGCTGGTTAGATAATGTCCTCTTTTTCTTCAGCCCAAAAGAGGTAAATGAGTATATGAAATATAAATACAGAAATACATAACTAAAAGTGAAAGCTATTAGTAACTTGGAACCCTCAGAAGCCAAGCTACCTTGAATATATCTATGCTAGGATTACTATCTCCTTCCATCCTGAGATAGTGATAATTTTGCAGTATTAATATAGGGAAACCTTTAGCCAGAAAGGCAACAATGTATGACCCAGCATTGGAAGAGAAGCCTCCCAGGAATACAGGAACAGCCTTCATTCCCAGCTTGAATTGTTTCTTAATGGAATTCTACAATGCAAAAAACGTTTTTGCTGAATTCCGAACGGAAGCTTGTTACAACACAATGATTAGACTGACAGCTTGGCTTGAGATCCTAGGAGAAAAATAATTGACTAGGGGCTAAGAGACTTGAGGGGAACTAGCCCACTTCTGATGCTGCATGACTGAGAAGAAGTAGTATCATAGAATCATGGTACTTTAAAGCTGGAGAGAAACATCTCAAAAATAAGCAACCTGGACCAGGTAAGAAAACTAAATCCCAGAGAGGTGCCAGCTTTTCCTGTGTGGAATTGTGAATGAGAGCTGAGGAAATAAAGACAGTGAGTATTGAATCCGCTTTCCAAATTTGGTGGTGAAAGGAAAGAAGGCAACGGGAACTTCTTAAATGCTTTATGACTTGGCAAGGATTGGTGTTATAAGGGTCTCACTAAGTGAGAAACCATGAATGATCGGAGATTATTTTGAGAGTCACAGCTCAGGATACTGACAGATGAAAGGGTGATGATTTAAGTTGCAGGAAATCAACTAATATGAATAGCAAGAAAAATATGATCTGGGTTGCTTACTCTTTAGATATACAAATTCATTCAGCCTCTATATTTTGAGCCCTAAGATATTTCACTCCTATAGAATCTATAGAAGACAGAAAAATAGGCTCCCAAAGGTATTTACATCTCAATCCCCAAATCCTATGAGTATATTATCTTACGCGGCAAAAGGGACTTTGCAGATGTGATAAAATTAAGGACGTTGAGATATTATCCACATGTGCCCAATGTAATCTCAAGAATCATTATAGGAGGAAGGCAAGCAGGTCTGAGGGAGAGAAGGAGATGTGATAATAGAAGCAGAGCTCAGACCAAGGCAAAGAAGGGGTCAACCAGCCAAAGAATACAGGCCACCTATAGAACCTAGAAAAGGTAAAGAAATTGACTCTCCCCTAGAGCCTCTACAAGAAACACAGCCCTGCTGACACTTTGATTTCAGAACTTCTGACCTCCAGAACTACGAGATAAATTTGTGTTGTTTAAAGCCACTAAATTTGTGGTGGTTTGTTACAGCAGCAATAGGAAACTAATACAGAATTTAAATGAATTATGAAGAGAAAATTAATTTGCACATTTAGTAGACTTCAGTTCTGGACCAATGGGAATATTGGAAGTATTCACAAAGAGTTGTGCTCTGGCCACCACCATTTCCAAATTACGGTCTTTCACAACTTTATGGCATGTGCTCATTCTGTTTCCTTGCCCTATTATTTCCTTTCTTCCTTTTTCCACCTGTCATATTCCCACTCATCTTTCAAAGCAGCTCAGATAAAACCACCTTGTCTAGGATGATCTCTCGTATGCCTCCAGGAAGACTTAAGTTTTCCTTTTTTGTTCCCATTGGACTTTGTTTATACCACTGCTACACCCTTTACTATAGTCTGACTATCATTAAATTAACCTTTATGCCTCCCCTAACTCATCCCTGCCCTTGCCTGAATCTTCACAGGAGTAAATGTTTATCCAATCCCCAACTGGTAGACTACCAAGCAGTTCATTGACAAAATCTTTTCCCATTGTTTCTTTTTTTAGTTGTGGTAAAATATATGTAACATAAAATTTACCATTTAATCATTTTTAAATGTGCAGTTTAATAATACTAAGTATGTTGACATTGTTGTGCAACCAATCTCCACAACTCTATTTATCTTGTAAGACTAAAACTCTACATCCATAAAGAGCAATTCTTCACTTTTCCCTCATCCCAACCTCTGACAGCTCCCATTCTACTTTCTCTCCCTACAAATTTGACTACTCAAGATAGCTCATGTAAGTAGAATCACACAGCATTTGTCTTTCTGTGACTGGTATATTTCACTTAATATCTTCAAGGTTCAGCCATGTTGTACCAGGTCTCAGAATTTCTTTTCTTTGTAAGGCTGAATAATATTCTATTGCATGTATATACCATATTTTGTATATCTATTCATCCATCAACAGTCATTTGGGTTGCTTCCACTTTTTAATTTTTATGAATAATGCTGCTATGAACGTAGGTGTACAAATATCTCTGAGTTCCTGTTTTCAGTTCTTTTGGGTATACTCCCAGAAGTGGAATTGCTGGATAGTATGATAATTCTATTTTAAGTTTTTTAGGACCTGCCATAGTCTTTTCTATGGTGACTGCACTATTTTATATGCCCACTAACAGTAAACAAGTATTCCAATTTCTCCACATCTTTTCCAACGCTTCTTATTGTCTGTTTTGTTTTGTTGGTTTGGTTTGTAATAGTATTAGTATTAGTAGTAGTAGTAGTAGTAGTAGTAGTAGTAGTAGTAGCAGCAGCAGCAACAACTATCCTACAAGGTATGAAAAGGTATCTTGTTTTGGTTTCTATTTAGATTTTCCCTAATGATTAGGGCATTTTTATGTACTTGTTGACCATTTGTGTATCATCTTTGGAGAAATATATATTCAAGACCTTTGCCCATTTTTTAATTGGGTTGTTTGGTTTTTATTGTTGTTGAGTTGTAGCAGTTCTTTATATAGTTTAGATATTAACCCTTCATTAGATATGTGATTTGCAAATATTTTCTCTCATTTCATAGGTTGGTTTTTACTGTATTGATTGTGTCCTTTGATATACACAAGTTTTTTGTTTTGATGTAGTCTAATGTATATGCTTTTGGTGTCATATTAAAGATGTCATTACCAAATCTAATGTCATTAAACTTCTCCCCTATGTCTATAATTTCTTCTAAGAGTTTTATAGTTTTAACTCATGTTTAGGTCTTGAATCCATTTTGAGTTAATTTTTGTATATGGTGTACGGTAAGGATCCAACTTCATTCTTTTGCATGTGGATGTGCACTTTTCCCAAAATCATTTGTTGAACTTAAACGGATTTTTAACCTACGTAACCCAAATGACATTAAAATATAAAAAGAACCCTTAATGTGCATTAAAATCTATAACCACTACGAAATCATAATAATCCAGCTGTAAAACAAATGAGTTCCTTCTGGGGAGAAAAGGCTGTGGCCAGCCCAGGAGGCAAAAGTACTAAGCAGGATATGAAAACACAAAACAAAAGGTCAGTCTTTAAACAAAGGCAGTTTGAAAAGCCTTGTCAGGGCACAGCAGTCTCTCAAGATGATATATTTCATTTCTATACATTAAAGATACTATATATTTAATCCAAAAGGAGTGACTCCACCAGTCAAATACAGATAAGAAAACATACATCTTGATGTCTAATTACCTTGCAGGACCCCAGTGATCGTGGAACTCATTGTAACATTTCAGATTAATGTTGTGATAAAATGGTTTTACTTAAAATACTTACTGCCTTATTTCCATTCAACCACTACAATCTGTTGATTAAAAAGGAGATCTACTTACAACTTTTTTAAAAACTGCCATCAACTTTTACTCTAAGATTGCTTTAGAATTAAGTAAGATCCATTCTGCTTTTAGTCTCATTTGTTTTCACAATGTCAACTACACCTGTACTACAACTTATGTCTCTAACAGGAAAAGTTAAATCATGTTTATAATACTGTTCAATAAAATTGAACATCAATATCTAAAGATTTTTAAAGGTTTATTTTTAAGTTTTACAGTAAAACTTCTGCTACTCAAAAGATTAAAGGTTAAACTTCAATTCTCTTTTTTTTTTTTTTTTTTTTTTTTTTTGAGATGGAGTCTCGCTCTGTCCCGTCCCCCAGGCTGGAATGCAATGGCACAACTCGGCTCACTGCAACCTCCGCCTCCCAGGTTCAAGCGATTCTCCTGCCTCAGCGTCCTGAGTAGCTGGGATTACAGGCGCACACAACCACACCCAGCTAATTTTTTTTGTATTTTTTTTAGTAGAGATGGTGTTGGCCAGGCTGGTCTCGAACTCTTGACCTTGTGATCTGCCCAACTCGGCCTCCCAAAGTGCTGGGAATACAGGCGTGAGCCACTGTGCCCAGCTTAAACTTCAATTCTCTAAGCATTATATCATTCCTGAAGAATGCTGAATAAAGGAGGTTTAGAACAGGATGCAAACAGATATCATGGTTCATGATACCAGTGAACAGAAACTTGCGAGTCTGCTTAGCAGATTTGCAAGTTATTAGCTTGTAAAACATGCTAAATTTATTAAATTAAAATGAATACTCTCTGCAACCACAATGAGGTTTTGCACTCTTTCTTTAAGTTCTTCTAACGTAAATATATGACCAGTAGCACAGACAAATGTCAATCAAATAAGAAGAACTTAAGTGTAGAAAATACATGATCAACCCAGTTTCCTCCTTCCTGCACCACAGGGCATAGCTTTATGCCATCTGGTGATTATTAGGGGAGAAAGATGCCATCTGCCATTTCTGCTAATCCACGGGAGAGGGATAGCTCTCCCTTACCCTGTAAGCCTATGGGAAATCTCCTTGTGCCTGTTTACATGTCCCCAGGGCTCCAACTGAGTTAAAATTTCCTCTGAGAGAGAGAATGTGTGTAGAGTGTGTGTGTGTATGTCCCCACATATTCAACATCAAAGTGAGACATCCATTTCTATCCCTTTCATACAACCTCTTAAGTGTCACAGGAGTCTGTGTTAGTCCAGGTTAATAGCAAATCTCTTCCTATCCTGCCTAACTCAAAGCCAAGATACTATTAGATACAACCTAAACTAGAGGGACAAAATTGGATGACAGCCATAAAAATAGATTATAAAATAGACACAAATTGAATTCAAGGTGTGAAAATGACCTGCTATTCCTTTTGTTTTACATTCCCCCACAGAAAGGACAGAACCGAAATCATCCTCAAATAAGTGTTTTCATAGAATCTTATAGAAAAATTCTTAAGATGTCATAGCTTTCTTTATGCCAGTTGAAAGTATATTTTCTTACAACACTTAAAAAGAGAAAGAATGGGGTGCAAAATTTTTTCAAAGAGGCCTTAGCTGATATCTAAATTTGAACTATTTCTAGAGCTTAATGAGGTAGGAACTAGGAGAGAAAAACAAAGTATAAACAGAAAAATAGACATAAGTTTTTCCCCAACTATGTCAAGCCTACCAGTTTCTCAAATCACTGCATGTAAGAAGGGCTTCACATATATTATAAAATATATTATATACATATATATATTAAATACATATACATATATATACAGAGAGAGAGAGAGAGAGAGAGAGAGAATGGAATAAATCCCCTATCCCCATAGAATGGGATTGACCCCATTTAATGATTCAACTTTACTCACAGAAGTTTTATATTCTAACAAAGTAAAATATAAAGTTTTTTAAAATCCCTAAATGACCCAGAGCATGAGTCTATTTTTGAAACATCAATATGGCATCCTGTTATGACACAAGGATCACAACAACCTGATTCTGGGTTCCTAGGTCCTAGTCTCAATTATTAAAGTAACTGTAAATTTTTGAGCAAGTCACCTAGCCTCTCTTTGCCTCAGTCTCCTCATCTATCAAAGAATCACTCCGACTTACCCCAACCAGTCTCACAGGACTGTCAGGAAAATCTACAAAACACTGAATGTGAATGGAGCCATGTGCATGAACTTAAGTATTAAATGCTTATCAGTAAACAGTGTAAAGTAACTTGTTAAACAGGATAGGCTTTTACCAAGTGATATTCATACAATTTTTGCATCAAATTAAACAGAACTGCTTCCAGCCAAGATGGAATAACAAGAACTGAATTTACTCTATACCCTGGACAGCTAAAAACCTGGACAAAGTATATGAAGCAACTCTCAAGACATTGGATATCAGAAAGCAAAACACTGTAAATTCCAAAGAGACAGAAAACAAGTGTGGTCAGGCCTTCTATTACCCCAACTTACTACTTGGAGAACATTTCCAATCCATGGCACAGGGAGGGAGGGACTTACTCAGAGCTCACATTTCTCCCTAAATTGAAGAGCCAAATCTGGAAAATCTGGGGTAGTCAGAGAAAGTAGAGTTCATAAGACACAGTACCAGAGAAGAGAGAGTTGCACAGAAAAAGGATACCAGAAATATGCAGGGAATTTCCTTCAATACTTCACCTGAGTACTGATCAACACATACATGTAAGAAAACTACTGAGCAAAAATCAACCTAGAAAATAGGTAGCAGCAACTATGCTTGAAGTTCACAATGGAATGGAAATAGTGTCTGTCCCCAAAAGCCAGAGTGAAGACATTTCATAAACCACAAGGTATCATTCAGAGTACAAAAAAAGTCTCACTTCAATGAGGGAAAAATTAAACCTGGGCTAAATGCAGGTCTGGTCTCACCTAACAAAACCTTTTTAAAGTCTCAAGAATACACGCATCAAAACATCACATTATACTCCATAAATATATACAATTATTATTTCTCAATTAAAAATAAAACTTCTAAAAATAAAGTTTAAAAAAGTCTCAAGAAGATCAAACTATTTTCAAATAACTGAACCACATCTCAGGACAAAATGCAAGAATATTTATAGGAATACCAAAATATCCAGGACATAACAAGGTAAAATTCAAAATGTCTAGCATCCAATCAAAAATTACCAGTCATGCAAAGAAGTAGGAAAATACATCCCATAGTGAAGAGAAGACTCAATAAAAAACAAAAATGATACAGGTAATAGAATTATTAGACAAGCAAAATAAAACATTTGTTATAACTGCATTTTATACATTTAAGAAGCTGGAAAAAAGACTGAGCATGTTAAACGGAGATGTTAAAGATATAAAAGAGACCCAAAATGAACTTCTAGAGATAAAAACTATACTGTCTGAAATGAAAAATACACTGAATAGGATTAACAGCAGATTAATTTTTTCGTTCATAAAAAAGTAGTGAACTTAAAAGGACAGCAATAGAAACTACCTAAAATGAAAAACAGAGAATCAGAACAAGAATGAATGAGCAAGAGAGAGAAAGAAAACAAACTGAGAAAATTAACAAAACATCAATGAACTATGGGATACTTTTGATCAAATATTTGTCTAATTAGAATCAGCAAAGCAGAGAAGAGAGACAGAAAGAATATTTGAAAAAATTGTGACCAAAAGTTTCCAAATTTGGAAAAACCCACAGATCCAAAAACTTCAACAAACTCCAAGCAAAAATAACAAAGAAAACTACACCAGCTACAACATAATCAAAATTTTCTATACAAAGCAGCTAGCAGGAAAAAAGTTAGTACCTAATGGGCAAAGAAATTTGACAGCAAATTTCTCATTGCAATAAATGTAACCTAGAAGATAGTGGAACAACACTTTTTAAATAATTGAAAAAGAAAACCTAGAATTCTTTCCCAGCGAAAAAATTGTCTCTCAAAAATGAAGCTGAAGTGGGGAGGAGCAAAGATGGCCGAATAGGAAGAGCTCCGGTCTACAGCTCCCAGCGTGAGCGATGCAGAAGATGGGTGATTTCTGCATTTCCATCTGAGGTACTGGGTTCATCTCACTAGGGAGTGCCAGACAGTGGGCGCAGGTCAGTGGCTGCACGCACCGTTCGCGAGCTGAAGCAGGGTGAGGCATTGCCTCACTTGGGAAGCGCAAGGGGTCAGGGAGTTCCCTTTCCGAGTCAAAGAAAGGGGTGACGGACACACCTGGAAAATCGGGTCACTCCCACCTGAATATTGCGCTTTTCAGACCGGCTTAAAAAACAGCGCACCACGAGATTATATCCCGCACCTGGCTCTGAGGGTCCTACGCCCACGGAGTCTTGCTGATTGCTAGCACAGCAGTCTGAGATCAAACTGCAAGGTGGCAGCGAGGCTGGGGGAGGGGCACCCGCCATTGCCCAGGCTTGCTTAGGTAAACAAAGCAGCCGGGAAGCTCGAACTGGGTGGAGCCCACCACAGCTCAAGGAGGCCTGCCTGCCTATGTAGGCTCCACCTCTGGGGGCAGGGCACAGACAAACAAAAAGACAGCAGTAACTTCTGCAGACTTAAATGTCCGTGTCTGGCAGCTTTGAAAGAGCAGTGGTTCTCCCAGCACACAGCTGGAGATCCGAGAAGGGGCAGACTGCCTCCTCCAGTGGGTCCCTGACCCCTGACCCCCGAACAGCCTAACTGGGAGGCAACCCCCAGCAGGGGCACACTGACACCTCACACGGCAGGGTATTCCAACAGACCTGCAGCTGAGGGTCCTGTCTGTTAGAAGGAAAACTAACAAACAGAAAGGACATCCACACCAAAAACCCATCTGTTCATCACCATCATCGAAGACCAAAAGTAGATAAAACCACAAAGATGGGGAAAAAACAGAACAGAAAAACTGGAAACTCTAAAACGCAGAGCACCTCTCCTCCTCCAAAGGAACGCAGTTCCTCACCAGCAATGGAACAAAGCTGGATGGAGAATGACTTTGACGAGCTGAGAGAAGAAGGCTTCAGACTATCAAATTACTCTGAGCTACGGGAGGACATTCAAACCAAAGACAAAGAAGTTGAAAACTTTGAAAAAAATTTAGAAGAATGTATAACTAGAATAAGCAATACAGAGAAGTGCTTAAAGCAGCTGATGGAGCTGAAAACCAAGGTTCGAGAACTACGTGAAGAATGCAGAAGCCTCAGGAGCCGATGCGATCAACTGGAAGAAAAGGTATCAGTGATGGAAGATGAAATGAATGAAATGAAATGAGAAGGGAAGTTTAGAGAAAAAAGAATAAAAAGAAATGAGCAAAGCCTCCAAGAAATATGGGACTATGTGAAAAGACCAAATCTACGTCTGATTGGTGTACCTGAAAGTGATGGGGAGAATGGAACCAAGTTAGAAAACACCCTGCAGGATATTATCCAGGAGAACTTCCCCAATCTAGCAAGGCAGGCCAACATTCAGATTCAGGAAATACAGAGAATGCCACAAAGATACTCCTCAAGAAGAGCAACTCCAAGACACATAATTGTCAGATTCACCAAAGTTGAAATGAAGGAAAAAATGTTAAGGGCAGCCAGAGAGAAAGGTCGGGTTACCCTCAAAGGGAAGCCCATCAGACTAACAGCGGATCTCTCGGCAGAAACCCTACAAGCCAGAAGAGAGTGGGGGCCAATATTCAACATTCTTAAAGAAAAGAATTTTCAACCCAGAATTTCATATCCAGCCAAACTAAGCTTCATAAGTGAAGGAGAAATAAAATACTTTACAGACAAGCAAATGCTGAGAGATTTTGTCACCACCAGGCCTGCCCTAAAAGAGCTCCTGAAGGAAGCGCTAAACATGGAAAGGAACAACCAGTACCAGCCGCTGCAAAATCATGCCAAAATGTAAAAACCATCGAGACTAGGAAGAAACTGCATCAACTAACAAGCAAAATAACCAGCTAACATCATAATGACAGGATCAAATTCACACATAACAATATTAACTTTAAATGTAAATGGACTAAATGCTCCAATTAAAAGACACAGACTGGCAAATTGGATAAAGAGTCAAGACCCATCAGTGTGCTGTATTCAGGAAACCCATCTCATGTGCAGAGACACACAGAGGCTCAAAATAAAGGGATGGAGGAAGATCTACCAAGCAAATGGAAAACAAAAAAAGGCAGGGGTTGCAATCCTAGTCTCTGATAAAACAGACTTTAAACCAACAAAGATCAAAAGACACAACGAAGGCCATTACATAATGGTAAAGGGATCAATTCAACAAGAAGAGCTAACTATCCTAAATATATATGCACCCAATACAGGAGCACCAAGATTCATAAAGCAAGTCCTGAGTGACCTACAAAGAGACTTAGACTCCCACACATTAATAATGGGAGACTTTAACACCCCTCTGTCAACATTAGACAGATCAACAAGACAGAAAGCTAACAAGGATACCCAGGAATTGAACTCAGCTCTGCACCAAGCGGACCTAATAGACATCTACAGAACTCTCCACCCCAAATCAACAGAATATACATTTTTTTCAGCACCACACCACACCTATTCCAAAATTGACCACATAGTTGGAAGTAAAGCTCTCCTCAGCAAATGTAAAAGAACAGAAATTATAACAAACTATCTCTCAGACCACGGTGCAATCAAACTAGAACTCAGGATTAAGAATCTCACTCAAAACCACTCAACTACATGGAAACTGAACAACCTGCTCCTGAATGACTACTGGATACATAACGAAATGAAGGCAGAAATAAAGATGTTCTTTGAAACCAATGAGAACAAAGACACAACATACCAGAATCTCTGGGACGCATTCAAAGCAGTGTGTAGAGGGAAATTTATAGCACTAAATGCCCACAAGAGAAAGCAGGAAAGATCCAAAATTGACACCTTAACATCACAATTAAAAGAACTAGAAAAGCAAGAGCAAACACATTCAAAAGCTAGCAGAAGGCAAGAACTGAAGGAAATAGAGACACAAAAAACCCTTCAAAAAATTAATGAATCCAGGAGCTGGTTTTTTGAAAGGATCAACAAAATTGATAGACCACTAGCAAGACTAATAAAGAAAAAAAGAGAGAATCAAATAGACACAATAAAAAATGATAAAGGGCTATCCCCACCAATCCCACAGAAATACAAACTACCATCAGAGAATACTACAAACACCTCTATGCAAATAAACTAGAAAATCTAGAAGAAATGGATAAATTCCTCGACACATACACTCTCCCAAGACTAAACCAGGAAGAAGTTGAATCTCTGAATAGACCAATAACAGGAGCTGAAATTGTGGCAATAATCAATAGTTTACCAACCAAAAAGAGTCCAGGACCAGGTGGATTCACGGCCAAATTCTGTCAGAGGTACAAGGAGGAACTGGTACCATTCCTTCTGAAACTATTCCAATCAATAGAAAAAGAGGGAATCCTCCCTAACTCATTTTATGAGGCCAGCATCATTCTGATACCAAAGCCTGGCAGAGACACAACCAAAAAAGACAATTTTAGACCAATATCCTTGATGAACATTGATGCAAAAATCCTCAATAAAATACTGGCAAAATGAATCCAGCAGCACATCAAAAAGTTTATCCACCATGATCAAGTGGGCTCATCCCTGGGATGCAAGGCTGGTTCAATATACGCAAATCAATAAATGTAATCCAGCATATAAACAGAACCAAAGACAAAAACCACATGATTATCTCAATAGATGCAGAAAAAGCCTTTGACAAAATTCAACAACGCTTCATGCTAAAAACTCTCAATAAATTAGGTATTGATGGGACGTATTTCAAAATAATAAGAGCTATCTATGACAAACCCACAGCCAATATCATACTGAATGGGCAAAAACTGGAAGCATTCCCTTTGAAAAGTGGCACAAGACAGGGATGCCCTCTCTCACCACTCCTATTCAACATAGTGTTGGAAGTTCTGGCCAGGGCAATTAGGCAGGAGAAGGAAAAAAAGGGTATTCAATTAGGAAAAGAGGAAGTCAAATTGTCCCTGTTTGCAGACGACATGATTGTATATCTAGAAAACCCCATTGTCTCAGCCCAAAATCTCCTTAAGCTGATAAGCAACTTCAGCAAAGTCTCAGGATACAAAATCAATGTACAAAAATCACAAGCATTCTTATACACCAATAACAGACAGAGAGCCAAATCATGAGTGAACTCCCATTCACAATTGCTTCAAAGAGAACAAAATACCTAGGAATCCAACTTACAAGGGATGTGAAGGACCTCTTCAAGGAGAACTACAAACCACTGCTCAAGGAAATAAAAGAGGATACAAACAAATGGAAGAACATTCCATGCTCATGGGTAGGAAGAATCAATATTGTGAAAATGGCCATACTGCCCAAGGTAATTTACAGATTCAATGCCATCCCCATCAAGCTACCAATGACTTTCTTCACAGAATTGGAAAAAACTACTTTAAAGTTCATATGGAACCAAAAAAGAGCCCGCATCGCCAAGGCAATCCTAAGCCAAAAGAACAAAGCTGGAGGCATCACGCTACCTGACTTCAAACTATACTACAAGGCTACAGTAACCAAAACAGCATGGTACTGGTACCAAAACAGAGATATAGATCAATGGAACAGAACAGAGCCCTCAGAAATAACGCCGCATATCTACAACTATCTGATCTTTGACAAACCTGACAAAAACAAGAAATGGGGAAAGGATTCCCTATTTAATAAATGGTGCTGGGAAAACTGGCTAGCCATATGTAGAAAGCTGAAACTGGATCCCTTCCTTACACCTTATACAGAAATTAATTCAAGATGGATTAAAGACTTAAACGTTAGACCTAAAACCATAAAAACCCTAGAAGAAAACGTAGGCATCACCATTCAGGACATAGGCATGGGCAAGGACTTCATGTCCAAAACACCAAAAGCAATGGCAACAAAAGACAAAATTGACAAATGGGATCTAATTAAACTAAAGAGCTTCTGCACAGCAAAAGAAACTACCATCAGAGTGAGCAGACAACCTACAAAATGGGAGAAAATTTTCGCAACCTACTCATCTGACAAAGGGCTAATATCCAGAATCTACAATGAACTCAAACAAATTTACAAGAAAAAAACAAACAACCCCATCAAAAAGTGGGCGAAGGACATGAACAGACATTTCTCAAAAGAAGACATTTATGCAGCCAAAAAAACACATGAAAAAATGCTCATCATCACTGGCCATCAGAGAAATGCAAATCAAAACCATAATGAGATACCATCTCACACCAGTTAGAATGGCGATCATTAAAAAGTCAGGAAACAACAGGTGCTGGAGAGGATGTGGAGAAATAGGAACACTTTTACACTGTTGGTGGGACTGTAAACTAGTTCAACCATTGTGGAAGTCAGTGTGGCGATTCCTCAGGGATCTAGAATTAGAAATACCATTTGACCCAGCCATCCCATTACTGGGTATATACCCAAAGGACTATAAATCTTGCTGCTATAAAGACACATGCACACGTATGTTTATTGAGGCATTATTCACAATAGCAAAGACTTGGAACCAACCCAAATGTCCAACAATGATAGACTGGATTAAGAAAATGTGGCACCTATACACCATGGAATACTATGCAGCCATAAAAAATGATGAGTTCATGTCCTTTGTAGGGACATGGATGAAATTGGAAATCATCATTCTCAGTAAACTATCGCAAGAACAAAAAACCAAACACCGCATATTCTCACTCATAGGTGGGAATTGAACAATGAGATCACATGGACACAGGAAGGGGAATATCACACTCTGGGGACTGTTGTGGGGTGGGGGGAGGGGGGAGGGATAGCATTGGGAGATATACCTAATGCTAGATGACGAGTTAGTGGGTGCAGCGCACCAGCATGGCACATGTATACATATGTAACTAACCTGCACAATGTGCACATGTACCCTAAAACTTAAAGTACAATAAAAAAAAAATTTTTTTTTAAAAAAAGAAGCTGAAATAAAAATATTTTCAGACAAACAACAGCTAAAAGAATTTGTATTGTATAGCTGCAATACAATAAACCTTAAGGAGTCCTTTAAGCAGGACATCAGATGAAAATCTGGATCTACACAAAGGAATAAAAAGCAGCAGAAATCTTAAGAATGAGGTAAATACAAAAAACTTTTTATATTACTATATCTCTTTAAAAGATAATTAACTGTGTAAAGCAAAATAATAAAAATGTATTGTAGGGTTTATAAAATACATAGAAGTAAAATACATGATAACGTTGTATAAAAACTAGGCAGGAAACTGGATGTATATTTTGTAAGTTCTTATTCTATATATGAAATGGTAAAATGGTATGATATCACTTGATGGTAAACTGAAAAATTAAGTATATATTATAAATTATAAAGCAACTACTAAAATAACACAACATAAACTTTAATAAATGAAAAGGGAAGATAAATTGGAACTACAAAAAATCTGTTAATTCAAAAGAAGGAAGAAAAGTGAAAAGGGAACAAAGAATATGTGACATAAATAGAAATAAAATAGTGTGAGGATCAATTTAAACCCAACTATATCAATAATCACTTTAAATACAAATGGTTTAAATACCCTAAGTTTAAAACAGATATTGTCAAATTAGATTTTTTCCTTTTCCAAGTTATTGGTAAAGAAGTCAAATTAGACTTTAAAAAGAGAGAGCGAGAGACCCACTTTATGTTGTCTGCAAGAAATACACTTTAAATAGAAAGATACAAAAAAAAGTATATGAAAAGATGCATGATGCTAACACTACTTAAAATAAAACTGTAGCAGTTATACTGAATATCAAAGTCTATTTTAGTACAAAGAATATTAACAAGGATAAAGAGGACTATTACATAATGATAAATGGTCAAGTCATTTATGATAAATGTTATGATAATTGGTCAATTCATTAAGACCAGTGATAATTGACCAATTATCATTAAGACCAATTCATTAAGACCGGTGATAATTGACCAATTAACCAATTGGTCAATAACCAATTGACCATTAATGGTCGATTCATTAAGAGAACATGAATATTCTAAATGTTTATACAACTAATAATAGAGCTGCAAAATAAATGAACTAAAAGGAGAAATGGACAAACCCCTAATTATAGCCAGAGATTCAATACCTTACCCTCAATAATTTAACAAGCAGATAGAAAATCAGCAAGGATGTAGTAGACTTAAACACAATCAACTAAACTTGACCTGATTGGCATTTATGGAACACTCTCTACCCAACAACAGCAGAATACACCATCTTCTCAAGTGCACAGGAACATTTACCAAGATAAACCACAAGTTGGACCATAAAACAAAGCCCGATAAAGTTAAAAACATTTAAGTCATAGAATATATGTTATCTGAAATCACAGTGAACTTAAATTAAAAATCAAAAACGGAAAAATATCTGGGCCAGGCACAGTGGCTCACATCTGTAATAACAGCGCCTTGGGAGGCTGAGGGGGTGAACGGCTTGAGGCCAGGAGTTCCTGACCTGCCTGGGCAACTTAACAAGACCTGTTTCTACAAAAATAAAAATAAAAAATATAGCCAGGCATGGTAGCATTCACCTGTAGTCCCAGATACTCAGAAGGCTCCAGTGGGAAGACTGCTTGAACCCAGCAGTTGAAGGCTACAGTGAGCCATTATCATGCCACTCTACTGCAGCCTAGGTGACAAAGTAAGACCCTGTCTCAAAAAACAGAAAAGAAAAATATCTGGGAAATCCATATATATTTGGAAATTAAATAACACACTTCTAAATAACCCATCATAGGTCAAATAAATATTAAAAGTGAAATCAGAAAATATTTTTAACTAAATACAAATAAAAATACAACATATTAAAATCTGTGGGAGGCAGATAAAGCAATAGCTACTGGGAATTCTATAGCACTAAATACCAATGTTAGAAAAGAAGGAAGATCTAAATCAATTACTTCAGCTTTCACCTTAAAAAACTGGAAAGGAAAGAGTGAATTAAACTCTAATTAGGCAGAAAAATGAAATACTAAAGATCAGACCAGACAATATCATTAATCATCAGAGAAATGGAAATCAAAATCACTGTGAGATGCCATCTCACACCCATTAGGATGGCTATTACCAAAAAGACAAAACATAACAAACGTTAGCAAATGTATGAAGAAAAGGGAACTCTTATACACTGTTGGTGGAAATGTAGATTGGTACAGCTATGACGGAAAACAGTATGGAGGTTTCCTAAGGAAACTGAAAAGAGAACTACCATATGATGCAGCAATCCAACTTCTGGGTATATCCAAAGAAAATGAAATCACCTTGTAAAGATATTTGCACTCTCATGTTTACAGCAGCATTATTCACAATAGCTAAGATATGGAAACAACCTGTTTCTCAATAGATATATACACAATTTCTTTATTCATATATATATGCGAATATATATACACACACATACATACACACACACACATATATATATATCCTATATATATCCATATATCTATATATATATCCCTATAAAAGAACAAAATATTGCCCCACAGATGAGCTTGGAGGATGCTATGCTAAGTAAAATAAGCCAGACACAAAAAGAAAAATGTTGCATGATGTCACTTAGATATGGAGCCTAAAATTCTTTTTTCAAATATAAGGAGATAGAGAACAAAGCAGTGATTGCCAGAGGTGAGAGGGAAAGAGGGGCAATGGGGCTAAATGAAGAAATGCAGGTCAGAGGATATAAAGTAGCAGATATATAGGATAAACAAGATAGAAATCTAAGGTACAACATAAGAACTATAGGTAATAAAAGTGTACTGTATTTGGGATTCATGCTAAATGATCAGATTTTTAGCTGCTCTTGCCACAAAAATTAAAAATGTAACTATGTGAAATGATGGATATTTTTATTTGCTTCACCATAGTAACCTTTTTGTACTATCTATATGTGTCTCATAACATCATGTTGTATATCCTAAATTTATTTATAAGTTTATAAATAAAATTTTTTAAAGAAAGGCACAGCAGAAATCAGTGAAATACAAAGCAGAAACACAGTAGAGAAAAGTCAATGAAATCAAGGTTGATGCTTTGAGAAAATCAATAAAACAACAGGCGTCTAGCCAAAGTGATCAAAGAGAGAAAATAGAAATTACTAAGAGCAGAAATATAAGAGGTAACTACTACCAATTCTACAATAATTAAAAGGATAATAGGGGAGTTTTAAAATTTATGCCAATAAATTTGACCATGAAAATTAAATGGACAAATTCCTTGAAAGTCACAAACTACCACAGCTCACTCAAGAAGAAATATGTAACATGAATAGTCCTATAATAAAGAAATTGAAGTTTAAAACATTTCACAAAGAAAATCCAGCCTCTTATCTTTTCATTAGTGAATTTTACCAAAAGTTTAATAAATAAAAGATAACGATTCTATACAGACTCTTCCAGTAAACTGAATAGGAAGAAAAACTTCCCAGTTGATTTTTTTTCCTTCTGAATTTCAACTTTTATTTTTGATAGAGTGGGTACATGTGTAAGTTTGTTACATGGGTATATTGCACCAGATAGTAAGCATAGTAACCAATAGGTAGTTTTTCAGCCTACATGTCCTTAATGATTAGCGATATTACCCTAATACCAGGGTAATGCCATACACATTCTATACTAAAAAAAAAAGAAAGAAAGAAAACTACAGACCAATATTCCTGTAAGGTTAAAGAGTACAAGGTAAATATATAAAAATCCATTACATTTCTATATATCACCAACAAATTAGAAGTTGAAATATTAAAAACCAATGCCATTTAAAATAGCATCAAAAATATGAAATACTTAAGACAAATGCGACAAATCATGCATAAGACCTGTACACTAAAATTATAAAACTAGCTGAGAAAAATTAAAGACCAAAACAAATAGAAAAAAATACTGCGGTCAAGGATCAAAAAAACTATTATTATTAAGATGTCCTCCAATTTGGTTCTTTCTCAAAGTTGTTTTGCCTATGCTCAGTCTGTACATTCTAATAAAAATTTTAGAATCAGCTGTCAATTTCTAATGTAGAAAAATAATAAAGCTGAAGGGCTTCCATTACTTGCCTTCAAGACTTATTATAGAATTACCTATAATTCTACAATTACCAAGTCAGTATTGTATTGGTGGTGTGATTAACAATAAGGCCAGTGAAACGGAATGGAGAGTCTAAAAAATAGACCCACACATACATGGATGACTAATTTTTCACAAGCGCACAAAGGCAATGCAATGGGAAAAGGGGTCATTTCAAAAAATGGTGCTATAACAACTGGATAGCTATTTGCAAAAAAAATTAATAATAATAAACTTTGATCCACACCTTGAGTTAGGCAATGATTCTCAGATATGATACAACAGAAACATTTATTTAAAAATCATAGGCTCGGTGCAATATCTCATGCCTGTCATCCTAGCTCTTTGGGAGGCCAAGGCAAGCAGATGGACTGAGCCCAGGTGTTCTAGACCAGCCTGAGCAACATGGCAAAACCCTGTCTCTACAAAAAAGAGAAAAATGAGCCAGGCATGGTGGCACATGGCTGCAGTCCCAGCTACTTGGGAAGCTGAGGTGGGAGGATCGCTTGAGCCAGGAGCCGGAGGTTTCAGTGAGCTGAAATTGCGCCACTGCGCTCCAGCCTGAGCAAGAGGAGTGAAACCCTGTCTCAAAAAAAAGACAAGAAGTCAAACGGAAATACCTAAAAATTAAGAGTTTCTGTTCTTCAGAAGATATTTTCAAGAGAATGAAAAGACACATCAAAGACTTGAAGAAAATATTTTCAAAACAATACTTGCAAATTTTTTGTATCTAATCAAGAACTCGTATCTACAATGTATTTCAAAACCCAAAACTCAATAGTAAGAAAAAAATCTATTTAAATGGGCAAAAGATCTGAACAAACACTTCATAAAAATATATATATGGATGACAAGCACATAAAAATACGTTCAACATCATTAGTCATTAAGGAAATGCAAATTTAAAACTACAAGATACCATTACACATTTATTAGAATGTCTAAAATTAAGAATACTGATTGTGTCAAGTGTTGGCTAAGTTATGGAGCAGCTGGAATTCTCATACGCTACTAATGGGAAAACAAATGATACAACCACTTAGAAACACAGTTTCCTTAGAAGTTAAACATACACCTACCATAAAAGTTGTTCATTCCACTTTTAGGTTTTTTCCCAAGAGAAATAAAAGCATATGTCCATATAAAGACTTGTGTGAGATTGTTCATAGCAGCTATATTCACAAAAGCCATAAACTGTAAACAACTCAAATGTCAATCAACAAATGAATGGATAATAATTTTGTGGCATATCCATAAAATGGAATACTCTCAGCAATAAAAAGTGATAAACTATTATTATACAAAACGACATGGATAAATCTCAAAATAATTATGCTGAGTACAAGAAACCAGGCCAAAAAAAAAAAGAATACACACTCTGTAGTGTCATTTTTATAAAATTCTGGAAAATGCAAACTAGTGTATGGTAACAGAAAGCAGATCAATGTTTGTTGGGGGTATGGGGAAGTGGAGAGGAAAAACAAGAGGAAGGAATTAAAGGGATACAAGGAGATAGTTGGGGGTAATGGATGTATATGATATCTTCACTATGGTAATGCTTTCATGGGTGGATATATATATATATAGTCAAAACTTGTCAAGTGGTATTCTTTAAACATGTGCAATACCTCAAAAAAGATGGTTCCAAAAACAACATTCAGGACATAGGTTAGGGTTCAAAATAGAGTCCAATTATTTGTCTAGAAATCAGTAGAGTGGAGATATGCCAAAAGTAACAGCTGTAATCATTAGAAACCTTCATGCCACTAGACCTAGAGAGTACCTGGCTATAGGAATGCTTTCTTCAATATACTCTCAGACAGGCATTTTTAAAAAACTTTACGTGCTCTAAGTGTTGTCCTTTATCCATGTAATTTTGGTCTGTCTTTGAAAAATCTATCTCCATGCTTTCTCCCATTCTGATTAGAGGGTATGCTATTTTTCCCTTGAAATGTCTCAGGCTCCTGGGGCCTGCTGTCTAAGAAGAGGCCTTGTATTCACTCAGTTTTCCACACAGCCTATTTCAAATATCCCAGTTCATAACTACCTTCATTGTTACACATCAAACTCTTATTCAAACCATGTGGCTCCTGTTCTATAATGAGATGTTATAGGTCCAGGATCTAGAGATGCTGCTGCCAACTAGCCCTTGGAGTCAGAATGCTCCTCCTGAAATTTTTGTGTTATTTGGGCCTAGTTACCCTGTATTATCCATTCCCCATTGCCCAACACAATCTGAAAGAATACAAAATATAATTTCACAAATATAGTTCTGGTCACTATGCTAGGAGTTAAGTGGATACAGTGAAAAAAAGTTATTACCATCAGAAAGTGAAGGTGGCCACTTCCACTTCCCAAAAGATGCAGTAGATGCACATTTTCCTATTCCTTGCACTAAGTACAACAAAATACCAAGGATATTATATAAAAAAGAAGTATAAGCAGACCGAAAATTAGGGAAGATAGATAAGATAAGGACCTTGGAAGGCAAGGAATGATAGAGTGGTGGATTCCCTGGGTTTTTTTGGATCATATATATCCCAGAATTGGAGCTAAAGAATCTAGCCACCCAGAAATGTCAATGAGTACAGACCAAAAAAAAAAGAAAAAGAAAAAGAAAAAAAACTCCAAAAATAGCCTGCTCTCTGTAGC
Organism: Homo sapiens; assembly: GCF_000001405.40. Taxonomy (NCBI): domain Eukaryota; kingdom Metazoa; phylum Chordata; class Mammalia; order Primates; family Hominidae; genus Homo; species Homo sapiens. Next base: position 55,076,798 of record NC_000015.10, read on the forward strand.
CAAAGGAACAGGAGTCAGTTTAGTGACACAGAAAACTTTTAGACAATAATTGCTCTATTCCAACCATAGGGGGAAAAAAAGCTACGCTCCTGGAACTTTCTCCAAGGCAGGCCATATGATAGGCCATAAAAATGAGCCTCAGTAAATTTAAGAAAATTGAAATTATATCATGCACTCTCTCAGATCACAGTAGAATAAAACTGGAAATCAACTCCAAAAGGAACCTTCAAATCCATGTAAATACATGAAAAATAAATAAATAACCTGCTCTTAAATGAGCATTGGGTAAAAAATGAAATCGAGATGGAAATTTAAAAATTCTTCAAACTGAATGACAATAATGACACAACCTATCAAAACCTCTGGGATACAGCAAAGGCAGTTGCTAAGGGGAAAGTTCATAGCCCTAAATGCCTACCTACATCAAAAAGTCTGAAAGGGCATAAACAGCCAATCTAAGGTCAAACCTCAAGGAACTGGAGAAACAAAAAGAAACCAAACCCAAACACAGCAGAAGAAAGGAAATAACCAACATCAGAGCAGAACTAAATGAAACTGAAACAAAAAAAAAGTACAAAACATAAATGAAACAAAAGCTGGTTCTTTGAAAAGATACATAAAATTGATAGACCATTAGCAAGATGAACCAAGAAAAGCAGAGAGAAAATCCCAATAAAGTAAGAAACAAAACAGAACACAATGGTGCTGAGATAACTGGCAAACCACATGTAGGAAAATGAAACTGGATCCTAATCTCTCACCTAATACAAAAATCAACTCAAGATTGATTAAATATTACAGCTGACACCACTGAAATACAAAAGATCATTCGAGGCTACTATGAACACCTTTACGCACATAAACTAGAAAACCTAGAAGAGATGGATAAATTCCTGGAAAAATACAGCCCTCCTAGCTCAAATCAGGAAGAATTAGATACCCCGAATAGACCAATAACAAGTAGTGAGATTGAAATGCTAATTTAAAAATTACCAACAACAACAACAAAAAAGTTAAGGGCCAGATGGATTCACAGCAGAATTCTACCAGACATTCATAGAAAAATTGGTCCCAATCCTTTTGACACTATTCCACATGACAGAGAAAGAAGAAACCCTCCCTAGTTAATTCTATGAAGCCAGCATCACCCTAATACGAAAACCAGGAAAGGACACAACCAAAAAAGAAAACTACAGACCAGTATCCTTGATTAACATAGATGCTAAAATCCTTAACAAAATCTAGCTAACCAAATCCAACAACATATCAAAAAGATAATCTACCATGATCAAGTGGGTGTCATATCAGGGATGCAGGGATGGTTTAACACACACAAGTCAATAAATGTGATACACCACATTAACAAAATTAAACACAAAAATCATATGATCACCTCAATAGACGTAGAAAAGGCATTCAACAAAATCCAGCATCCCTTTATGATTAAAACCCTCAGCAAAATCGGCATACAACGGACATACCCTAATGTAATAAAAGCCATCTAGGACAAACCCACAGCCAACATAATACTGAATGGGCAAAACTTGAAAGCATTCCCTCTAAGAACTGGAACAAGACAAAGATACCCACTCTCCTCACTCCTCTTCATCGTAGTACTGGAAGTCCTAGCCACAGCAATCAGACAAGAGAAACAAATAAAGGGCATTCAAATTGGTAAAGAGGAAATCAAACTGTTGCTGTTTGCTGACAATGTGATCGTTTACCTTGAAAACCCTAAGGACTCCTCCAGAAAGCTCCTAGAACTGATAAAAGAATTCAGCAAACTTTCCAGATACAAGATTAATGTACACCAATCAGCTCTTCTACATAACAACAGTGACCAAGCAGAGAATTAAATCAAGATCTCAACCCTTTTAACAATAGCTGCAAAAAAAAATCAAAGACAGGAATGTACCTAACAAAAGAGTCAAAAGACCTCTACAAGAAAAACTACAAAACACTGCTGAAAGAAATGACAGATGACACAAACAAATGGAAACACATCCCATGCTAATGGATGGGCAATACTGCTAAAAACAATCTACAAATTCAATGCAATCTCCACCAAAATACCAACATCATTCTTCACAGAATTAGAAAAAACAATTCTAAAATTCATATTGAACCAAAAAAAAGTCCCCATAGCCAAAGCAAAAAGAAGAAATCTGGAGGCATTGCACTACTTGATTTCAAACTATACTATAAGGCCATAATCATCAAAACAGCATGGTACTGGTTTAAAAATAGGCACATAGACCAATGGAACAGAATAGAGAACCCAGAAATAAACCCAAATACCTACAGCAACTGATCTTCAACAAAGCAAACAAAAACATCAAATGGGGAAAGGACACCCTTTCAACAAATGGTGCTGGGATAATTGGCAAACCACATGTAGGAGAACGAATCTGGATCCTAATCTCTCAACCTAATACAAAAATCAACTCGAGATGGATTAAGGTCTTAAACCTAAGACCTGAAACTATAAAAATTCCAGAAGATAACATTGGAAAAACCATTCTAGACATTGGCTTAGGCAAGGATTTCATGACCAAGTACCCAAAAGCAAATGCAATTAAAAAAAAGATTAATAGCTGGGACCTAATTAAACTAAAGAGCTTTTACTTGGCAAAAGGAACAGTCAGCAGAGTAAACAGACAACTCACAGAATGGGAGAAAATTTTTACAATCTATACATCTGACAAAGGACTAATACTCAGAATCTACAACAAACTCAAACAAATCAGTAAGAAAAAAACCAACAATCCCATCAAAAAGTAGGCTAAGGACATGAATAGACAATTATCAAAAGAAGATATAGGGCGGGACTGTAAACTAGTTCAACCGTTGTGGAAGTCAGTGTGGCGATTCCTCAGGGATCTAGAACTAGAAATACCATTTGACCCAGGCATCCCATTACTGGGTATATACCCAAAGGACTATAAATCATGCTGCTATAAAGACACATGCACACAATATGTTTATTGAGGCACTATCCACAACAGCAAAGACTTGGAACCAACTCAAATGTCCAACAATGATAGACTGGATTAAGAAAATGTGGCACATATACACCATGGAATACTATGCAGCCATAAGAAATGATGAGTTCCTGTCCTTTGTAGGGACATGGATGAAATTGGAAATCATCATTCTCAGTAAACTATCGCAAGGACGAAAAACCAAACACCGCATGTTCTCACTCATAGGTGGGAATTGAACAATGAGAACACATGGACACAGGAAGGGGAACATCACACTCTGGGGACTGTTGTGGGGTGAGGGGAGTGGGGAGGGATAGTATTAGGAGATATACCTAATGCTAAATGACGAGTTAATGGGTGCAGCACACCAGCATGGCACATGTATACATATGTAACTAACCTGCACATTGTGCAATATACCCTAAAACTTAAAGTATAATAATAATAAAATAAAATAAAGAAGATATAGAAATGGCCAAAAAACATATGAAAAAATGCTCAACATCACTAATGATCAGGGAAATGCAAATCAAAACCACAATGTGATACCATCTTACTCCTGCAAGAATGGCCATACTCAAAAAAATCACAAAAAGGTAGATGTGGCATGGATGCAGTGAACATGGAACACCTCTACACTGCTGGTGGGAATGTAAACTAGTACAGCCACTCTGGAAAACAGTGTGGAGATTCCTCAAAGAACTAAAAGTAGAACTACCGTTTGATACAGCAATCCCACTACTGGGTATCTACTCAGAGGAAAAGAAGTCATTATTCAAAAAAGATATTTGTACTTGCATGTTTATAGCAGCACAATTCACAATTGCAAAATTGTGGAACCAACCCAAATGCCCATCAATCAACAAGTGGGTAAAGAAACTGTTATATATATATATGTATATACATCACAGCCATAAAAAGGAATGAATTAACAGCATTTGCAGTGACCTGGATGAGATTAGAGACTATTATTCTATGTCAAGTAACTCAGGAATGGAAAACCAAACATCGTATGTTCTCACCGATATGTGGGAGGTAAGCTATGAGGACGCAAAGGCATAAGAATGATACAATGGACTTTGGGAGACTTGAGGGGAAGAGTGGGAGGGGGTGAGGAATAAAAGACTACAAATATGGTACAGTGTATACTGCTCAGGTGATGGCTGCACCAAAATCTCACAATCACCACTAAAGAACTTACCCATGTAACCGAATACCACCTGTACCCCAAAAACTTATGGAAAATTTAAAAAAAAATTAAAAATAAAAGCTATGGTCCTACCCCACCCTGCTAGCACAGGCCAAGTAGGCAGCCTAGACTTCTAACCTCACAAGGCTGTAATAAGGTGTCCCAACATCTCTGACAGAGTGGTATCCAGCGAGGGAGCTGAGACTATCTTTCCTGACAGCTGGTAATGAGGCCTCCCCGCAATATTGGTGGAAATCATATGAGGAGCCTGGACTTCCAACTCACTCAGCAGCAAGGAAACATACTTCCCTTCCTGGTGGGGAGGTGTCAGAGGAGGCCTGGCAGAGAATCAAGACTTTCGCCAACACCCACCAGTAATGAGATCACCCTCACGAAGGTGTCAGTGCAGACCACATGGAGAGCTAGAACTCTCACTCCCGTCCAGCAGTTACAAAAAGTCCCCTACCTTGGGTGTCAACAGAGGCCAGGTGGGTTAGAAATTTTACCTGCACCTGATAGCAACAAGTTTTTGCCCTCCCCTTCCCCTGCTGGAGCAGCATCTGAGAAGCTAGTCACAACAGAAAGTTTTAATAAGATCCAGAATCTTGTGAAAGTATCTAGGTTTCAAGCAAAAATCATTTCTCAATGAACCAGGAATATCTCAAAATGACCATTCACTGGGAAAAGACAGCCTCTTCAACAAATGATGTTAGGAAAACTAGATAGCCACATGCAAAAAAAAAAAAAAGTGAAGTTGAATTCTTACCTTACACCACATATAAAAAGTTAACTCTAAATGGATCAAAGACCTAAATGTAAGAGCTAAAACTATAAAACTCTTAGAAAGAAAACAAACAGAAGGGGAAACTCATGTCATTGGATTTGGTGAAGTTTTCTTAAATATGTTACCAAAACCACAGACAACAAAAGTAAAAGTAGATAAACTGGACTACACCAAAATTTAAGATTTCTATGCATCAAGGAACATAATAGAGCAAAAAGGTAAGCTACAAAATAAAACAAAATATTTGCAAATAATATATCTGATAAAAGGTTAATATCCAGAATATATACAGCACTCTTACAATTCAATAACAATAAAATCAACCCAATTTTAAAATGAGCAAAGGTCTTAAATAGACATTTCTCCAAAGATGATATACAAAGGGCCAAAAAGCCCATGAAAAGATGCTCAACATCACGAATCATTAGGTTAATGCAAGTCAAAACCACAAAGAGATACCACCTCACACCCATTAAATGGCCACTAACAAAAGAACAAAAAATAATAAGTATTTTTTACTTATATTAATAATAAGGATGTGGAGAAACTGGAACCCTTGTGCATTGTTGGCAGAAATGTAAAATGGTGCAGCTGCTATGGAAAACAGTATGGCAGTTCCTCAAAAAATCATAAATAGAATGACCATATGACCTAGCAATTTCACCTCTAAGACTGGAAGAGATATTTGTATACCCACGTTCTTGGCAGCATTGTTGACAACAGCCAAGAGGTGGAAGCAACCCAAGTGTGCATCAACAGATGAACGGATAAACAAAATGTGTTATGTACATACAACGAAAGATTATCCTTAAAAAGGAAAGAAACTGACAAATGCTACAACGTGTCTGAACCTTGAGAACACTGTGCTAAGTGAAGTAAGCCCGGGATAAAAAGACAAATACTGTATAATTTCACTATATGAAGTATCCAAAGTAGTGAAATTCATGTAAACAACAAGAATGGAGTTTGCCAGGGGTTGGAGAAGAGGGGGAAATAGGGAATTGTTGTTTGATAGAGTTTCAGTTTTGTAGGATGAAACCCATAAAGATTGTTGCTCAACAATATGGCTATACTTAACACTACTGAACTACACACCAAAAAATGGTTAAGATCATAAATTTTATGCTGTATGAACTTTACCACAAATGAAAATTTAAAAACAAGTTTTAATCAATTGTTGCTATAAACATTCATATACAAATTTTTACGTGACTCTAAATTAAGTGTTTTGCACCATTTTACGTTCCTACCAATAATAAGTGATCCAGTTTCTACACATCTTCTCTAGCATTTTGGTGTTGACATTTTTTTTTTAATTTTAAGTTCCGGAATACATGTGCAGAACGTGCAGGTTTGTCACATAGGTATATATATGCCATGGGTGGTTTGCTGCACCTATCAACCCATCACCTAGGTTTTAAGCCCCGAATGCATTAGCTATTTGTCCCAATGCTCTCCCTCCCCTCACTCCTGACGGGCCCTGGTGTGTGTTGTTCCCCTCCACGTAGACACTGTTTTTTATATCAGCTATTCTGATAGCCGTGTAATGATATCTCATTGTAGTTTTAATTTGTATTTCCCCAATGGCTAATGATGTTGAACATCCTCCCACATGCTTATTTGCCAACTGCATATTCTTTTTGGTGAAATGTCTCTCTATATCTTTCACCTATTTTCTAATTGGATTTCATTTTTATTACCTAGTTTACAAACTCTGTAAAATTTGGAAGATTTTCAGAAACAATAGTGTCTACCTATGAAGAAAACAAACACATGAGTACAAATAAAATTTTAAAAGACATTTGATTAAACAAAAGAATAAACAATAACACTCTGCAGTTTCTCAGTAGTGACATATAACTAATACCTGTGGTGATAAATATATTAATGGTTCTCTGGCCCACTGAGTCACTTTGAAATAGACCCAATATCCTGGCTGTCATCCATGATGTGACAGCTTACAGTCCAGAGGCTCTGCAGGAATCGTTTCAGGGGTTGATCTCAGGGTCAGTCTCCACCAGTTCAGGAACCAACCATGTTCTCTAGTCAGACATGAGGTTGAAACAAGTCTGTTTAACTCAACTGAAAGAGAAGGTCTGTTTCTCCTAACTCCCTATTGCCTTCCTCAAGTTTACCAGCAGAACAATGGTAATCATAATTATAGTAATAGCTACTAGCATAAGCACAGTTTTTATAGTTTATAAAAGGTTTTCAAAATTGACTTCATCTTCTGTTGTCTTACCTAATTGAGTAAAATTAAAATGTTATTGCAGTTAAAAAATTAACTGATGTTTTACAATTCTCAGGAATGCTGCAAGTCTAGAAAATAATCATTAAAATTATACTTTATTCTGCTGAATCAATGAAATTTTTTGGAAACAACCTCAACCCCCACAAAAGCAGCTTAGCACTGCTTAAAGAAATCCAGAATTTTTCTCCAAACACATATTGGATTTTTTATTAGTTGACCTCCGCAGCTAGACCAAAGAGCTGAGATCAGACTAAAGACCAAAAACGTCTTTTTTCCCTATGAGTAGTACCCCTCTGGTTTTTTATCAAAACGCATTCCTCTTGAGTTACATATTGAATAACTATCTCACATTTCTCCTGAAGAATTGAATTCACCTTGTTTTCACATGTTGCTATGCTGAGGGCACAAAGGATTCAACACACTCTCACAATGCATTTACATCACTGGAATTTTTGTGGCCTATTCCAAAGTTTTTCCACTAAACAGCTATTGTCTGTGTCCTCCTTAGATTCAAATTATGTACTAGAACTCCCTCATCTTGATTCAACAACAAGCTTCTTCACTTTTAATTCCACTTTCTTGGTTTCCTGAAGCTTTTTTTCCCTCTCTAGTTTGTTTTCTTATCATAATCTGTATTTAACTATCTCTGTATTCTTCAAAAGTACCTTTTTTACTCCTCCTCTTGGAGAACCTCTGCTAAGGCAGTGCAGAAGGGAAATGTAGGGTTGTAGTCCCCACACAGAGCTTCCACTGGGGCACTGCCTAGTGGAACTGTGAGAAGAGGGCCACCGTCCTACAGACCCCAGAATGTTAGATCCACTGACAGCTTGAACCACGTGCCTGCAAAAGCCACAGACACCCAACACCAGCCTGTGAAAGCCGCCAGGATGTCTGTACCCTGCAAAGCCACAGAGGTAGAGCTGCCCAAGGCCATGGGAGCCCACCTCTTGCATCAGCAAGACTTGAGACATGGAGTCAAAGAAGATTATTTTGGAACTTTAAGGTTTAATGACTGCCCTATTGGATGCATGGGGTCTGTGGTCCCTTTGTTTGGGCCAATTTCTCTCATGTGGAATGAGTGTATTTGCCCAATGCCTGTACCCCCATTGTATCTAGGAAGTAACCAACTTGCTTTTGGTTTTACAGGCTCATAGGCAGAAGGAACTTGCCTTGTCTCAGATGAGACTTTGGACTGTCAAGTTTTGAGTTAATGCTGAAATGAGTTAAGACTTTGGGGGACTGTTGGGAAGGCATGATTGGTTTTGAAATGGGAGGACATGAGATTTGGGAGGGGCCAGGGGCAAAATGATTTTGTTTGGCTGTGTCTCCACCCAAATCTCATCTTGAATTGTAGCTCCCATAATTCCCACATGTCGTGGGAGGGACCCAGTGGGAGGTAACTGAATCATGAGGGCAGATCTTTCCCATGCTGTTCTTGTGATAGTGAATAAGTCTCACGAGATCTAATGGTTATATAAAGGGGAGTTCCCCTGCACCCGCTCTGTTGCCTGCTGCCATGTAAGATGTGCCTTTGCTCCTCATTCACCTTCAGTCATGATTGTGAGGTCTCCCCAGCCATGTGGAACTGTGATTCCATTAAACCTCTTTCCCTTATAAATTACCCAGTCTTGGGTATGTTTTTATTAGCAGTGTGAGAACAGACTAATACACTCCTTTAACACCAAATAACAAATCAACAGGCAATAAAGATTCTCATGCAAACCATTAGAAGCATGGAGATTCTTCAAAGTCATTATTTCTTATAATTTTAAGAAATCCAGAACATTTCCTCAGGGCTTTCATTTATCTATTGTGTACCAAGAACTGGAGATACAATGACTGACCCTTGAGAAGCTCACATTCGAGAGACAAATATGTAAACTAACAATTGCAGTAAAATGTGGTCGTTGCCATGATAAAGCTCTGGACAAAGGGCTTTGAAATCCTGGATAGCAAACTGGATAATTTAGAATGCAATATGAGTGTGAGCTTAGAAAGAAAGATAAATATAAAGTAAGCAACAAGCTAAGGAGATTCATACACACATGCTGTAAACTCTTATTGAGCTACCATCAGATGCATGACATTCTCCTAAGCACATGACACCATTAGAATGGACAGAGCAGGTCCACTTAAACATGTATCTTACACTCTTCTGGGGGAGATGGATAATTACCAAACACATTTTTTTAGCAGTAAGTATTACAATGAAAATCAAACAAGGTAACTGAGTGAGGAGTGCTTTGGGGGCTATTTAAGCTGGCTAGCCAGTAAGAGTCTATTTAATGCCAAAGAATGGGATTTCAGTACCCAGATTTTGTTTCTGGACAGGTCCATCATTTCAATACTGCTTACTAGAGATCTCTCACAAAGACTATAAAGAACATTTAGCAAAAGACTTCACAACCCGATTAAAAGCATTTGCTACTAAAAACCAAGAGGGTATCAGAAGAAAACCTAGGAATTAATGCAAAGCTATGAGAGCTGAGTCATAGAGATAAAAAGAAAAACCCATAATGGAAACTATGCCTAGTAATTCTCAGGAGAAAATGGAACAATTTCAGAAGAACTAATACTTTCTTTTTTCATTTTTATTTATTTTACTTTAAGTTACAGGATGCATGTGCAGAATGTGCAGGTTTGTGACATAGGTATACACGTGCCATGGTGGTTTGCTGCACCTATCAACCCATTATCTAGGTTTTTTTTTTAATGTTTAACTGTTTAATACTATAATGGTTTTAATTCTTTTTTTAATTTTATTATTATTACAGTTTAAGTTTTAGGGTACATGTGCACAATGTGCAGGTTTGTTACATATGTATACATGTGCCATGTTGGTGTGCTGCACCCATTAACTCGTCATTGAGCATTAGGCATATCTCCTAATGCTATCCCTCCCCCCTTCCCCCACCCCACAACAGTCCCCGGTGTGTGATGTTCCCCTTCCTGTGTCCATGTGTTCTCATTGTTCAATTCCCACCTATGAGTGAGAATATGTGGTGTTTGGTTTTTTGTCCTTGTGATAGTTTGCTGAGAATGATGGTTTCCAGTTTCATTCATGTCCCTACAAAGGACATGAACTCATCATTTTTTATGGCTGCATAGTATTCCATGGTGTATATGTGCCACGCTTTCTTAATCCAGTCTATCGTTGTTGGACATTTAGGTTGGTTCCAAGTCTTTCCTATTGTGAATAGTGCCACAATAAACATACGTGTGCATGTGTCTTTATACCAGCACATCATCTAGGTTTTAAGCCCCACATGCATTAGCTACTTGTCCTAATGCTCTCCTCCTCTCCTTCTCCGCCCCCCACTGACAGGCTCCAGTGTGCTTTGTTCCCCTCTCTGTGTCCATGGGTCAGAAGAACAAATACTTAATCCTTAATAAGTGAAAAGGCAATCACTGATGCAAGTTTCTTGTGAATTCTTCCAGAGGTATCCTATACATAGGATGCTTGTGAATCTTTTTTTTAGGGTTTTTTCTGGTTTGTGGCGGGGGGAGAACATATCCTAACTTGCTATAAAACTCTTCGGCACTAATTTTTCATATTTAAAGCATTTTAGAATTTATTCTATATCAGTACACAAAACTTTGTCTCTTTTTTAAAAGCTGCATATTGACCTATTATTTATTTAACCATTAATTTTGCAATATAAATGATAGACATTGAGGTTGTATGAGGAATTGGCCGCCTGTTCACCAAACTCATTTCTTTTTCCTCAGCACACAGCTGGGCCTTATTTCCCAGCTTCCCTCACGCTTTGGTGTGGCCCGGTAACCATGTCCTAGCCAATAAAATGTGAATAGAAATGATGGGTGCCATTTCCAGCCCTGACCCATGAACACCTGATCCTCCATGCTATTACCCCTTTCACCAATTTGATGCACATAAGCAAGAAGACCTTAGCAAGCTCATGCTGAAAATGATGGAACCACAGAATACAAGGATCCTGACTTTCTGAATCAATATTTGAAGGAGAACCACCAATCAATCAGGGATACCCATGCTGGACTTCGAATAAGTGAGAAATCAACTTCAAATGTGTTTGAACTATTTGAGGATTTGTTAGTTACAGTAAATAATATTATTATATAAAGTGGTTCCCATTTCTACTACTGTAGAAACTGTAGTGTTGAATTTTACCTGAGCCCTGTGCTCCTGGAAAACAGGGGTGATTAAAGACATCTCCCCACTCTTTTGTGTTCTCTTCTAAAGAGAAACATGCTTCCCCATGTGCCTTAGCCAGACACAGATACTCCAAATATCCAAATTTTGTCTTACACATGATTAGCTGAACTGTTTTTTTCCCTCTGAGCAATAGAAACAAAACATCTATTAACCAAATTTTGGTTAAATTTCTCTCCCTCCCCCAGGCTCACCCTCAGCCTGAGTCAGCATAAACTCCTCCTTAACTGTCCCTTCCAACAGTAAGCTGTCCTGAGAGTTAATCTATGTGATGAGCACAAGGTTGGTGTTAAACAAATGTTAGCTATTACTATGAATGGACTTAGTGGACTTCATCAGTTCACCAGGTTCCTGATGGGAGCCCCAAGGCTTCCTTCAATTCTCTTTTTCCTTTCCCTATCCCTTACCCTCTCCAGAGGGCCCGCACTACAGTCGTTCCTAAGAACCCTGGCTTGTGAGCCCCAATAGCAAAGGAAGGAGAGAGAAGCAGAAACAGGGGGAAAAAAGAGGGAGGAAAACCAACAATGAAAGCCAGCCCTCTGCTTTACTTACACTGATGTTGGAGCACAAGTGGAATGCTTAAAAAGGAAAATAAAACTGCCACAGCTTTAGAACACCTTCATGTAAATTAATAGTTTTAGCACAACCTAGAAAGACATGTCAAAATCAGAGTGAAACAGCTGGGAGCACTGGTTGAAGTCCTCAGACGACTTTGGCTGTGAACAACTTTGTGCCTTATTACAGCTCTACACTCTCTCCCCTGAGCTTGGCATGGGGCCTAGCACATAGTAGGCACTCAATAAAACACTCAAAGGATGAATGAAGGAATTGTCACACAGATTCTCCATTGAGAGAATGGAGGTTGGAGGTCATCTGGTCATAGATCTGGCCATTAATACCAGTCAAGGAGGCCCTTTAAGACTTTTTTTTCTTAGGTTCACAATCAAATCTCTACATAATTTTTGCAAGTGATTCAACAGGTAGAAAGGCAGAAGACCTTTTGATGAAGCCTTTGTAGTCCTCCATTTACTAGTCAGCTTTTGGGGGGTGATCTAGGCTTTTATGGATAATACTCACACATCATGGTTAAAACCCCAGGGAAGTCTTTTCCTCCCAACTTTTAATTTCCTTCTCAGTTTCTCTTAAGTTCTTGTCCTTTCTAATACCACTCTAAATCAGAAAAATACCTGTGAGCCTGTGAAGCAACTTGGGCCCCTTACAGGTGAGGAGAGGATGGTGGAGAGCTGAGGAGAGTGGGATACAGGAAGGCGTCATGCCACCTTCTAGCTTTCAGTGCAGTGGTCCTGAGGGAAAAGTCAGGCAGCTGTAAAAGATGAGGGTCAGGTGAGGGTTAGGCCAGAAAATCTCTATAAGCCTCTCAATTCTAACATTCTGTAAAACCGAGTATGCTACCTAACAGTATTGTAGTAAGGTCGAGTTTTTCATTGAATTTATAACTGGTTCTATGTGCTAGGCATGAACATATGTCCCCTAACTCAAATCCCCCTTCATGGAAGGACTTGGTGTCCAGCATGGAGACTGTGATCAGCAAGACAGCTTCCAGCTGTCAGCTGCTTCAGGGTCTAGTTTAGCTGTAGGGAGCTGTCTCACCCGAGGTCATGCCATTCCAGGACAGCCAGCTTCCAGTGACTAGGCAAGGAGGCTATACAGGCACAGCCATTTGGTCCAAAGCAAGGCACCCTAACAAGCAATACTTGCCCACAGCTGCCTGCCCCGGGTTGGCCGAAGCTTTGTCAGGCTGGCATCACAGTTTAACCTCTCCTTCTGCCCAATCCTGCTTCCTCTTCCCTTCATAGGTGTTGAGCCCTAATAATTCATCTGTTACCCCAAACTCTGCTGGAAGCATCTGCTTCCAGAAAACCCTACCTATGACATTTTATATGAGTCCAAAGGGTGAGTTTCTAAATTATTTGGAATAAATAAATGGCCTCCCAAGAGGACTATTTCAAAGAACAAGTTTCAATGGGAGAGGTGAGCTCTGTTACGTTGTTTTGCAGGGGGAAACTGATTGAACACTTAACACATTTTAGTCCTTTAAGGAAGAGATTGTGATCCTCTGTTATCGGCAAATACAGAATTTGTGGCTGAGAGGAAAGGTTTTGATTCAGAGACCTATGGGCTAAATTTGCCTTGAATTTGATGTCCATTTGATGCTGGAAAGCGACGGTATGTGGTGGGAGCAAAGAACAAGAAAAGCCAATGCAAGTCCAACGACTCATGCAGTTTGAAGGTGGATCTGTTTGTGTCACGTCTAGGAAAAAGGTGAAGCTGCCACTGCTAATGGGATGGAAGCTCAAGGAAACGGAAAGGCTGTTTCCAAGGCAATCTGAAGAGCCAGTGAGCAATCTTAGCTGCCTCTTTTCTGCAGGGAAATCAGCAATGAGAATAGGACAACCAAACAGAAATCTCTGTTTTTCAAAACCTACTAAGTTGTCCTAATTCCCCTGCAAAATAAAATTCTCCTCAGAGAGAACGTCTTATGAATACCATGACCTTAATGAAGGTGAACGCTGATTTATTACAGAAGAAATAAAGCAGGAATTAGAAAGAACTTTGTATGGCACACAATGACAGGCATCCTCTGAAAGACACATTTATGTGGTTACTTGGACATGTGGTTTAAACACGCTTTAGAAAGGTTTACTAAATATAGAGCTATCATTTTTAGTTAGTTAAATTCAATGTTTATGGCTCTTTTTATAAAATGTTGCTTAGGAAAATGACTCCATTTTAAACTAGAGCTATAATTTGTAGCAGACAATATTAGACACTTACCTGTACTCAAATACAGTCAGAAGTGCCTGCAAATTTACTTTCCTCTGAAGCAGCCCTTGACCAATTAGTGACAAATGTAGAGTATGAAGTTCCAGCTCCCTTGTCTGGGAGTAAGAGTAAGAGCTAGTGACAGTCACATCACCAGAATTAACTTAACTTCTATGGTTCCCAACAAGATCAAGTCGAAGCTTCCCCCTGTGGGACTTTGCATGAAATCATATCCTTTTTTTTTTTTTTTTTTTTTTTTTTTTTTGAGACGGAGTCTCGCTCTGTCGCCCAGGCCGGACTGCGGACTGCAGTGGCGCAATCTCGGCTCACTGCAAGCTCCGCTTCCCGGGTTCACGCCATTCTCCTGCCTCAGCCTCCCGAGTAGCTGGGACTACAGGCGCCCGCCACCGCGCCCGGCTAATTTTTTGTATTTTTAGTAGAGACGGGGTTTCACCTTGTTAGCCAGGATGCTCTCGATCTCCTGACCTCATGATCCACCCGCCTCGGCCTCCCAAAGTGCTGGGATTACAGGCGTGAGCCACCGTGCCCGGCCGAAATCATATCCTTAATTGGTTCCCATCCTTCCCTGTCCTTCTTTCCCCACTTCCCTGCCAGTGTCCCCTGGGAGAACTTGTACAATAAATTACTTGCACACAAACCCTGCCCCTGAGTCAGCTCCTAGAGAACCCTATCTAAGACCATTGTATCCCAAATGTCCTGGGCCTCACTAGCTTATAGATCATAAAATAAAATTACATTCTTTTTATACCACAAAAATTATAGCATATGCCTCCTTTTATTCTGTTATTCATTCAAAAGATAAACTGTGCTAAGAGCTGGGGATAGAAAGGTAAACATAATTTCTATCTTTGCAGAGATTAAACTCCAGGTCTGAGAGCCAGATAACAGCCCTCCTCAAGATAACCAGTCAAGTTTGGCACTGCAGGCCCTGAGCCATTTTGGTCCACCCTGCTTTGACCCCACCCCTTGTCCACATCAGCTCCTGTGAAGCCACCCCAGAAGAAAACCACTATTCGTTCACATTGGCTGATTGATGCTCCATACGTCCAAACCTTCCAGTCCTCAAGAAACAAGTATGGCTGAGTTCTGGGTAAAAGTGGAGAACATGACCCTCTCCTCACTCTGTGCCATGTTTTATATAAGAAATAAATTAAAAGTATATAAAAACACATGTGCATATGTTTACATATATGTATATATACATATATTAATGTTATATAAATACAATATATATCTCATTTTTACGAAAAGAAACTAACAAAAATAAGGGTAAGTTTGGAAGAGATAGAAATGAGAATATTTCTGACTATATTTTTATACGGTTTTTACTTTTGAAACATGTAAATGTTTTACATATTCAAAAAAATAAAATTAAAAAAGAAAAATGCACTCCCTTAAACAAAATACAAGTAGAAACAAATGATCCAAATTATATTTCAGTTTGATAAAATATCCACCCAGAGGAAATAGTTACTTTGAATAACATATAAATGCAATCAGTAGGTTTATTATTGCTAGTAGAAATACTGGAATTGTAATTTTAAAACTGTTTTAAATACATTTTAGGTAAAGAAAATAAGTGTGTATTAATGTTATTAGAAACCGAGATTTTCAACATTAAGACAATACATGATAATAAAAGAAATAAATAAAAATGCCATAATTTTAATTACAAACACTATGAATTCATTACTCTTTTTAAAAAAATCTTACCTCTGTCCACCAAAAAGAGTCAAAGAGCAATAACAGTCCTGAAGGAACAAGACATCTAGTCCCCAGATCTTGGTTTCTAATTCTCCACTAATATATATAATGGGGTTCCCTGGAAAAAAACAGCTGATTTTAGGAAATGTGCAAGATAAGCCAAGGACATCTTGTTATGTCAAAAAACAAAACAGTGCTCAAAGACTAACAGAGTCATGTTGAAAGGACCCAGAACCCAGCTTGCAGGAGCATCTACTGGCCTTTGAAACAAATGTGAGCAGCAAAAAATATATCTATGATGGTTATAATACTCTGAATAAACAAACATCCATGAATTCATAATGAAACTCAAGAAAGATCGGCAAAGGAGAAGAAGGAAAAAGAAATAAAGCTCTTACTTCATAATAAATGTAAAAGAAATAATGGAATTTCAGAAAACTACCACATTGCTATCCCTACTGTAAAAGTTGTCATAGGTAAGGATCTCTAACGAATGCTAAAACCATTGAGTGAAAAGTCTGTCTCCACAGATTACTTGTGAATTGCAAAGGGGTAAATGTGCTCTTATAACGGAGCAATCTAGTAGTCACCAACTTTACCAAGTGACCAAATCTGAGTTTCTAATAGTAGGACAACCGGACCTTGCATGTCTTATTATACAATGCAATAAGAAGTATACAATATGTATGAAATATTCTTGCCAGACAGATTTAACCTAAATCTAATCAAGCTTCTAGACCTAACTTCTGATGTATAGAGAAGGAAACAGCAGTGCAAGTTCAATAATACCATGAAGAAGCCAGCAGAAAAATCTAGAATTTGGGACATTTCACGTGACAACTGGCTGGGATTCTTTAAAAATCAATGTAAAAAAAGTCGATAAATATTCTAGATTAAGAGACACTAAATATCCATAACAACCAAATGCAATGTGTGAATGCTTATTAATCCCGATTTTAAAAATAAGTATATATATTACCTTTTTGAGACAATTGGGGAAAACTGAATATGGATTGGATATTAAATATTATAGAACTATTGTCATTTTAGATAACAATATTGTGTATGTACAGAACATTCTTATTTTTAAAGTGATCATGCTGGTACACATAGGAGTGATTTATGATAGCCGCAACCTACTTTCAAATGGTTCCACCAAATATTAGATGTAGAAAGGGATAAAGCAAATATGGCAAAATGTTAACAACTGTTCAATATAGGTGGACGGTATACAAATATTCACTGCACAATTTTTTTCATTTTTCTGGTGCCTAAAATTTTTCAAACTAAAGAGATCGGAATGAACAAGATCATGGGACCCCATGATGGGTATAGGCCCTCACCAAGGAGTAATATCAACAATTCCCAGATGCCCATTTATCATCCCTTTGTAGTTATTATAAATACAAGATACACCACTGATGACTAAAAGAACTTACATTTAGATGGATGTATGCTTCAGACCTTAATTATGAAGATTTTAGAAAAACATATCACTTTTCTCAAGTAGCTCCTAAAGTTATGTCACTCAAGAAATATATGGCTTTCTTTAAACTTGAGCCACTTCCAGATATTCCTTTGTTCATAAAATTGGCTTAAGCATTTGTGAAGGCTTGAGGCGTCATTTGCCTCTTGCCAGTATCAAATGAGGTATTGGATTGTGTCCGAACAATCTGCAGTTTCTATAAATACTTGATAAGATCTACT
This sequence comes from Homo sapiens, assembly GCF_000001405.40. Classification (NCBI taxonomy): domain Eukaryota; kingdom Metazoa; phylum Chordata; class Mammalia; order Primates; family Hominidae; genus Homo; species Homo sapiens. The sequence goes on from NC_000015.10 coordinate 55,094,414, forward strand.
TTCTCTATTTAAAATAGAAAATCATTTGGACTCTGCTAGAAGAGAAAATGTTCTTTTTATTCAAGTAAGAAACAAGTATCTTCCCTGCTTATTCAGTTTTCTACATTCTACTACTTTTAACATTAAAATGAACTCATATCATGCATAAGGACCCTGTGGATTCCAACGTCATCTTTTACAAATAAAGACACAGATCTGCAGAGCTTAAATGACTTGTAGGGGTCACATAGTGACCTAGATCCAAAGTTTTTGACCCTCAGTAAAAATATAAAAATTTCTACACAATATTGCTCTATCACTTACTTACTGTGTGATCTTGGACAAGCTGCTTAACCTCTCCAAGCCTTGGAGGTAATAATACTATGGCAGCTGCCTCACATATCCAGCATCACAACCCCTCAACCCACTTCCGATTTCAGATGCAGCTGTGATGAACACTTCTGTGAGAGTTCACTCTGTGGAAGTTCACTTCTGTGGGAGTTCAAGGTCACCTTATGCTAACAGCTCTCCACCTCAAGCATTCACTGCCTGTCCCTTCCATCCATTCCCCCTCCCTCTTCATCTTCTTCATCTGAAGGGAAAAGGAGGGGCTCTCAGAAGTCAAGCAAGAGCTGGTCACTTACCTCCTTGAGGTTTATTATAAAATGAAGAAATTCTAAAGCAAGTTACAAAAATGATCATACATAAAGAGTTTATATTAAACAAATTAGTGACAAAAATGCAGTTCATAACATATTTACAGAATTTATTTTTTAAGGTCATTTCATAGTATACAATACAAAGTGTGGTCCTGGGGATAAACAACTCATTTCAATTCTGTCCAAGGGTAACTAAGTGAATAATTTATTTGAAAATAACATCAGAGGTCTAAATGTGAAGCCCTTTGGGCATGTGAGGTTGAGGCTGCAAATTCCACCTCACTCAAAGATCTGAGACCAGGGTTCTGTTAAGGAACATTGAAACTGGAATGACTCCAACGTCTGTAGACTAGTGGATGATAATTTTTGGAACATCATACAATAGAATACTACTCACCAATAAAAAGAATTCACTACTGATAAATTCAAAAACTTAGATGAATATTCAGAGCATTATGGTAGAGAAAGAATCCCAACACACACAAAAAGGCATGCTCTATGATTCCATTTATTTAAAATTCTTAAAAAAAGCAAAACTTTGGGGACATAAAGGAATACCTGTGGTGGGTAATTTATAAAGGCATTCCTTTATAGCAACACAAATGGACTAAGCCACTACTGTATCAAAAAGTTTTCTCTTGCCGCCTTGCAGTCAAGCCTCTCCCAGTCCCTGTCAACAACGGATCTGATTTATGGAGGTTGATTTGGCTCACGTTTCTGCAGGCTGTAGAGGAAGAATGGCACCAGCATCTGCTTCTGCTCAGAACCTCAGGTTGCTTCCACTCATGGTGGAAGGCAAAGGGGAACTGGCATGTGAGGATCACATGATGAAAGAGAAAGCAAAAGAGAGGAGAGGTGCCAGACTCTTTTTAACAACCAGCTCTTGCAGGAACTAACAGAGCAAGAACTTATTACCTCGAGGATGGCACCAAGGCATTCTTGAGGGATCCACTCCAATAACCCCAACACCTCCCATTAAGCCCCACCTCCAACATTGGGGATCAAATTTCAACGTGCACTTTGGGGGACAAACATCCAAACTACAGCAAGTGGAAACGTTCTGTAAATTGATCATGGTGATTATTACATGACAATATAAATTTGTTAAAACTCATTGAAATGTACATTAGACATAGTAATACGTGTTGCATGTACATTATACCTCAATAATCCTAAAATGAAAGTGAACCTGCAGTTCCTATTTCTCCACATCCTCTCCAGCACCTGTTGTTTCCTGACTTTTTAATGATCGCCATTCTAACTGGTGTGAGATGATATCTCATTGTGGTTTTGATTTGCATTTCTCTGATGGCCAGTGATGATGAGCATTTTTTCATGTGTCTGTTGGCTGCATAAATGTCTTCTTTTGAGAAGTGTCTGTTCATATCCTTCGTCCACTTTTTGATGGGGTTGTTTGTTTGTTTCTTGTAAACTTGTCTGAGTTCTTTGTAGATTCTGGATATTAGCTCTTTGTCAGATGAGTAGATTGCAAAAATTTTCTCCCATTCTGTAGGTTGCCTGTTCACTCTGATGGTAGTTTCTTTTGCTGTGCAGAAGCTCTTTAGTTTAATTAGATCCTATTTGCCAATTTTGGCTTTTGTTGCCATTGCTTTTGATGTTTTAGACATGAAGTCCTTGCCCATGCCTATGTCCTGAATGGTTTTGCCTAGGTTTTCTTCTAGGGTTTTTATGGTTTTAGGTCTAACATTTAAGTCTTTAATCCATCTTGAATTAATTTTTGTATAAGGTGTAAGGAAGGGATCCAGTTTCAGCTTTCTACATATGGCTAGCCAGTTTTCCCAGCACAATTTATTAAATAGGGAATCCTTTCCCCATTTCTTGTTTTTGTCAGGTTTGTCAAAGATCAGATAGCTGTAGATGGGTGATATTATTTCTGAGGGTTCTGTTCTGTTCCATTGGTCTATATCTCTTTTGGTACCAGTACCATGCTGTTTTGGTTACTGTAGCCTTGTAGTGTAGTTTGAAGTCAGGTGGCATGATGCCTCCAGCTTAGTTCTTTTGGCTTAGGATTGACTTGGCAATGCGGGCTCTTTTTTGGTTCCATATGAACTTTAAAGTAGTTTTTTCCAATTCTGTGAAGAAAGTCATTGGTAGCTTGATGGGGATGGCATTGAATCTATAAATTACCTTGGGCAGTGTGGCCATTTTCACGATATTGATTTTTCCTATCCATGAGCATGGAATGTTCTTCCATTTGTTTGTGTCCTCTTTTATTTCGTTGAGCAGTGGTTTGTAGTTCTCCTTGAAGAGGTCCATCACATCCCTTGTAAGTTGGATTCCTAGGTATTTTATTCTCTTTGAAGCAATTGTGAATGGGAGTTCACTCATGATTTGGCTCTCTGTTTGTCTTTTATTGGTGTATAAGAATGGTTGTGATTTTTGCACATTGATTTTGCATCCTGAGACTTTGCTGAAGTTGCTAGTGGGACTGTAAACTAGTTCAACCATTGTGGAAGTCAGTGTGGCGATTCCTCAGGGATCTAGAGCTAGAAATAGCATTTGACCCAGCCATCCCATTGCTGGGTATATACCCAAAGGATTATAAATCATGCTGCTATAAAGACACATGCACACATATGTTTATTGTGGCACTACTCACAATAGCAAAGACTTGGAACCAACCCAAATGTCCAACAATGATAGACTGGATTAAGAAAATGTGGCACATATACACCATGGAATACTATGCAGCCATAAAAAAGGATGAGTTCATGTCCTTTGTAGGGACATGGATGAAATTGGAAACCATCATTCTCAGCAAACTATCACAAGGACAAAAAACCAAACACCACATTTTCTCACTCATAGGTGGGAATTGAACAATGAGAACACTTGGACACAGGAAGGGGGAACATCACACACCGGGGCCTGTTGTGGGGTGCGGGGAGGAGGGAGGGATAGCATTAGGAGATATACCTAATGTAAATAATGAGTTAATGGGTGCAGCACACCAACATGGCACAAGTATACACGTGTAACAAACCTGCACATTGTGCACATGTACCCTAGAACTTAAAGTATAATAAATATATATATATAAAGAAAGTGAACCTGCAGTAAATAAGCATACAAATTATACTCAAAAATGTATTAACATAAATTTATGTTTTCTCATAAAAGGAAACAGAAATGTCCCTACAGAAAACTTTGCACCTTGCCCGTCTTCTAATGTGCCCTCCACTTCTGCTTTTCTCTATATTATGAGGAGCAAAAATATATAATTTTCACATAAATCAAGAAGGAAAAGTGATGGACAGAAAGAGTCGAACATATGTGTCCACAAGTGAATCAAATTTAGTGCCTTTCTAAGATGTTTTTCTCCAAAATTCTTTCCTATCTTAACCACAACAACAAAAGTTGCAACATTGTTTTCTTGCTGTTTTTTTCAGAAATCTGGGTTCTGGAATACTATTGTAGTTTATACAATTCTAAGAAAGAAGTTCTAGAATTATATGCCAGTGCATTTCAACAATAACAAAATAGTTCTAGCGGCTGAAACCTAGAGAAGTGGGAGAACCGAGAAAGGTTTCAGATACCGTATTTATTCAGACTCAAGAATGCACAGTTGAGACCAGGCGCAGTGGCTCATGCCTGTAATCCCAGCACTTTGAGAAGCCAAAGACAGCAGATCACCTGAGGTAAGAGTTCAAGACCAGCCTGACCAACATGGCGAAACCCTGTCTCTACTAAAAATACAAAAATTAGCTGGGCATGGAGGCACGCACCTGAAATCCCAGCTATTCGTGGGGCTGAGGCAGGAGAATTGCTTGAACCCGGGAGGCGGAGATTGCAGTGAGCCGAGATCGCGCCACTGCACTCCAGCCTGGTGACAGAGCAAGGTTCCGTCTCAAAAAAAAAAAAAAAGAATACACAGTTGAAGACAGGAAAATGAGACAAGCGTTTCAGAGTGACAAACAAGAAACGAGAGAGTTTAGAATCCCCAGTCTGTGACCTCTTAAATATTTAATTAATATAGACAGAGAGAGAGAGAGAGAGAGAGAGAGAGAGAGAGGAGGGGACTGAAAAAGAGAGAAGTGAGACCAGGCAGCTAAATCATCCTTACCTGATTTTCAAATGCAATTCATAAGTAATATAGGCCTATAATTACCTTTCCTTGTGCCATCTTTATCTAGCTTTTAATGTGTGCACGTGAACATAGAAAGTGGAAAAATAGACACGGGAGACTCAGAAACGTGGCGGGGAGGGGAGCAGGGGTGAGGGATGAGAAATTACCTGACTGGTACAATGTACACTATTCAGGTGATGGTTACACTAAATGCCCAGATTTCACCACTATGTAATGTAAGAATGTAACAAAACTGTACTTGTACCCCCTAAGTCCATTAGAAAAAAGAAATTGAATGAGTTGGGAAGTTTACCCTCCTTGTTTCTAAAACCTATATATAAAACAGTAATTTTCTTTCCTTGAAAATTTGTTAGAACTCTCGCATAAAGCCTCCTTTGTCTAGGATTTTTGGGGACTTGGGATGGGGATGAGAGTCTTTGATTACCATTTCAAAAACAAATGTTCTCTTTCTTCTTGTACTAATTTTGTGAATTTTATATTTTTCAAGAAACCTAGAACATCTAAATTTTAAAAAATATTTATTAATAGTCATTTTTAAATTATTTTGTGAAAGAAGATTCTAGGTTACAGCCCTCCAGAGAACTTCAGAAGCCCTCTGATATCACAGTCTATGCCCTTCTTGGCACCAATCTTGCTCAAGTCCTGATTCTCTCCATTCTAGTACCTAACCTTCAAGACAGAGAAGGTGTTCTTGGCTAGTAAGCATTGAAATCAAAGAGCGTTGTAAAAAGCAATTATCTCCCTGCTCAGTCTTATGTAAGTTTTCCTTCTGTTGATAGATCGTCGGGGTTTTCCACAGCTTGAAAAGCAGAGAAATTGAGTAGGACATTCAAAGGTAGCAAATGTGCACTCAGGATTATGGAAAGAAATAATAGCATAGAACACCTTCATTTCCAGGGTCCCCATAGCAAAGACCCACTTCTGTGAAAGACCCTCCTGAGATACAGGCAAATAAGATAATTCTTGACTAAAGACAGTTTTAATCCCATCTATTAAAAGGAAGAGCCACTTAGTGCTGCACTCCAAATGTTCCCTTCCCCTTCATGTTCAACTCTGGAGTTTCAGCTTTCATCCTCACTTCTAAAGTTCTGGTTCTCCAACATCCTAATGAAAATGTATAATAGTTTTAAAAATATACGTAATCCAGATATCAGCTGGCATTGACCTATTTCTTAGTATCTAGATAAAGATAGATTAAAATGTTCACATTATGGATGGTAAAAAAAAAAAAATACAATCTTAAGCAGCATCCTAAGCATTTCTGCCCATTTCTGGGGCAGGGGTGGGGTGAGGTGGGGGCTCTCGGATGGCTGCTTCTACCTCTGCCTCTGCTGAGTGAGTAGTGGAGACCAGGGATCCACTCACCATCTACTCCCAACTAATTCAACCCTGCTCTGCCCTGGGCTGTACTTTTCTTTAATTTCTACCCAACACACCCTCCAATCAAGGCATTTGAAGTGAATAGAAAATATTATTGAAGGTTTTAGAAAAATCTACATTGTACAACATAAATGTAAAAATCAATAATAAATATTTGTATTGCTAAAGGTCCCTTGGCCATTTCTTCTTTGATGTGGGTACCAGCCTCCCTTCATGTTGTTGCTTCTCTGCTCTTCTTTCTGCTTCCATTTTGCTTCCCCCTCCACCTTCAGCCCCATTTAAATTCCTGTTCGTTCCCAGGGCATACTACATCATTAAAACGAGTTTGCTTTGGCTCCTGCAAACCCCACATACCACCTTATGATCTCACCTTTGCTTCAAGTAGCTTATCCAGGTATTTTTGCTCTTCTAAATATATCTGTAGCTATATTTCAAGACATCACCATTGGATCAACTTTAAGATTTGGGTACATCTGCTCTGTGAAATTAAGTGATACCTTTTTTCTTTCCTTTTTTTCATCCTTTTCCCCATCCCATACTCCTTCCATTTTTACCTCTCCTTTTAGTGTCCTATGTCACCTCCTTGCCATCATCCCATTTAAAAGAGAAAAGTATTAAATGTTTCATTTTCGTAGTGACTTGTTTGCACCATCTCTAGCTAACAGCCAAATGTGAGCTAATGCTATGATGTTTCCTTTTTCTCTGGGGTATTTGCATTCTAGTAAAAGAGCTAGAATGTTGCCAAGCCAACCAAAGCGAGTAAATATGGGGACATCCCGAAATTGAGCATTGGGCACAGTTACCTAAAAATAAGAGCACTCCCATTGGCCAACATTGGGTAAGACCAACAGGTTAGTCTTCCTCTAAACAAGAGATGTGATTTAGAGGAGTCCAAAACTAAGGAAAAAGTAGACAGATGTTGTGACCTGTCTCCATATCTATTAGAATCTCAGCATCTTAACCAAAGGGCACCTAGATTATGGTGTGCAGCCCAATTACTCATAACCAAGGGGCCTGTTCACTCTGCAGAAGAGGGCCTGGGGGAAAAGTCTTTGCTATGAGGTGTCAGAGTGTGTATTACCCCCAGTAAGGGGAGCTTGCTCTTCCCAGGTCTCTGCCCCCAGCAGAGTCATCTTTCCTTCCCCTGAACTCACCCAGGGGTGCTTCATCTACACCTCCCTCATGCTCTTACCCTCCTTCTACCTTGTCACATTGCCTTTGCACCTTTGCTCCCTGTTAGAAGTGAGTTTCCTGAGGGCCTTGGTACTTGCTCTCCTCTCAGATAAATGTGTGTCTGCTCAAATGACATCTCAGAAAGGCCTTTCCTAACCAGCCTATGTAAAAACAATACATTCTCTATCCCTATCATCTGTCTTCCCATTTCCTGTTTTATTTATATTTATGTTCTTACCACTAATTGCCATATGATCTACTTATTTGTTTGGGCTTTCTTCTTGTCTGTCTCCCAAATGCACTCCCTGGAATACAAATCCCTGAGAAAAGAGACTTTATTGTGTACCCTGCTCTGTTTCAAGCTTGCAAAATAGAGCCTGATACACAGTAGGTACTGAATATTCATTAAATGGATGAACAAATCAATCATATTTATTCATCCATCTATGTATCCCCCACAATACTTAATTCAGGGCTTAGCATTTCTTGAGAACCTAGTAATTGTTGAAGGGAGGAAAGGGGAAAAGGTGGTAGTGAATAAAAAGGGAGAGAAAGATGGGTGAGAAGGAAGGGAGAGGGAAGGAGAGAGGAAGGAGGGAAGACAGAAGGACTAAATGGCTGAATAAGTGAATAAATGAATAGTTTCTACATAAGCAACATGTCACCTTGGGAAATTATGAGAAAGAATGCAAGTGTCATTAAAAACAACTGGTGCAAGAAAGAAGAGGCCCAGATAGTTGCTCATTTCCTCGGTAGAGTGATTTACTGCTGAGAGTCAAGATGCAAGGAAAATTACTGTAGGAAAACTCCATCCTACAGTCTGGCCAAGTGAAATATTAGACAATGTTAGGCATTAGCACTGCTTGGCCAAGAGCCACGGAACTAATTGTTACTGGTTGTTTGAGCCTCTTAAGATTATACCATTAAAACCTTGCATTTTTAATAAAATGAATACAAGTCTAAGAGCCCCATAATTAGAGATGGTCTAGCAAATTAAGAAAATTACCTTTTTAGAAAAGAATAAATGAAGAAATTGAACCAGTCCAGGAAACTATTCAACTGCCCCTGTATAGGATCAATTCATATTTTCTCTCTGCCTTTTAAAATATCTTTTGGCCATAAAGCCATTCCTCTTCAGCCCCATGTAAGTCTTATCAGCCAAGCCATGCTGATTAGCCTTCATGTTCCAGCTGTTCTACCATTAGGTCCATGTGAAGATGCTGATGAACAACAGAAAGACACTGAAGGTATCCATGAGATAGTAAACCACAGTGCCTAAGAGTTCGGGATCTGCAATCAGATCCCTGGATTCATACCCTGGATCTGTCTTTTAAATGCTGTGTGACTTTGGGCAAGCTATTTGATCTCTTAAGTCTCAGTTTTTAACAGTAAAGTGTGGATAATAACATCTAGGTCATAGGGTTGTAATCAATATAGTATATTCAAGTACTTAATATAGCTCCTAGCAAATAATGTGTCCAGTGAATGTTAGCTGTGTTCTGATTTATTTGTATTTATCCTTTTTTCTCCTTTGACAAGATAAATTCCTTGGAGACATAGCCATGTCTTCTCTTTCCTTGATAATGATTCATTCTAGCCAATGAAATATCCTGAAAAAAAGTGTGTACTCACTTCAGGTGACTCCATCCCCAATCAGTAATCTCCACTTATGTTTTCCTAAGGAGAGCATCCAGTTGTGAAACTATTAGAAAGACCATGGTTTTGCAGGCGGTTAGTATGCGTCTGCAACTTATTTTCAGGTGATATTCTGATCCCCATAATTTCTTTTTCAATTTTTCTCTTTCTCTCCGTATTGCTGTCATCTTTGACTTCAATTCCCTTACTTCAAAAACTTACATTAAATATTTGCAACCATACTGTTTCCACTGGTTCATGTGTACTCTCCTATGAAATTCAAATCACATTTTCCCATAAAACACAAATGCCTAATTGATGAAGGATAATGTGACTTCCCAAGATAGGAGCCCTGATCTCTCCACCCCTCCCACTTCCTGAAGAGTCAAAATGCTACTCCTTTCTCAGAAGGGATGCAAACAAGCAGGGTCGACACCTTGCCCTAGAATACTTCAGCCTGAAGGTGAGATAGCCGTGCTGACCGCCTTGACCCTGTCTGCAGTCCTGCTGAGTGATCTTTCCAGGCCAAATGTTCTCTCTTGCCCTTGTTGAAGCTGTAAGAAACCATTCTATCAGCTACACCAACTTCAGCCCATTAATTTTGCCTGCTTTCATGCCCCAGATCCAACAAGAGAGGGATCATACTGCAGAAGCAAAAAGGAATCTGCCACCCATTATGGTGCCCATGTGCACTGTGGCAATGGGAAGACTTCTATAGGAGGAGAATCAAGAAATATTGAGATTAAAAAAAAAAAAGGCTAATTTAAGCCTGCACATGCCCAGAAAAAGGCTCCCAGGTAATAGTTTGACAAACACAATGCATTGGGAAAAAAATGATAAACTTGAGGATTCAGAAAAACAAGGGCACAGTTAGTTTCTAAAGAACAAAGTCACATTTGGAGGTTGCTGAGATAATTCCAGTTGCAATGCATTCCCTGTGGAGGGAAAATCTGGGTTCAAGCAGAAATGCTCCCTACATCTTGAGTATCTAAAAACTTGGATTTACTCGAACTTTTAGGCTAACCATCTGCCAGAAGTTTAAGCCTGTTTTCTTATATAATCAAAACCTGGGTACAGCTGGTATTAACAATACATCTGTATTACCCATAATTGCTTCAAGCTTCATTTTGGCACGATTAAGGACAATCATAATCCTTTGAAAAGTCCATAGTTTATTCTGTTTAAAGCTACTGTTAGAGTTAAAACATTTTCATTTTTCTCCATTCAATTAATCTGAAATCAAACATGCATTTCTTTTGATTGTGTCAACTTTTATCTTTCATTTCATATACCAAAGTAGTAAGTTTGAGTATTCAGCAGATAGAAATAGATTTATATATTTTGGTTGCTAAATACCTTAAAAATCCTTAAAATATGCAAAATAGTATCACACTTATGCAAAGGTCATATGTAAAGTGGCTTCAGCCATCTGGGTGGAAGCTAAGAACTCACAAATAATTGAAGGTCAGAGTCTCTGGCATAAAAAATAGAGGTTGATTATTGCAACTATAGCTGCCCAGTGGGCTTCTGTTGTTTCTTTACTGCCAACTGGTCACAGCTGTGAGCAGACAAAACCAGACAGTCTGCCAAAGGGTAGGGGTTATCACTGCCAGTACCCTCCAAAGACAGTCATCACTCTATTTTCAGGCATTTTCTCACACTCCTAGTTTCACATATTTCACTATCATTCTGCCACTCATGACTTCTTTGGAAATAATGAGAACCCCCTCAACAAGACTCACTCTTTCCCACCTTTAGCAGAAGAACTGACTCTACTCATCTCTTGGTGCACTTTCAAGGTATACCTTCTGCATCCTTGAGGAGGAGGAAAAGGCCAAAGAATGATGTTAGTGTTACTGCCTTTCCTTTCCCTACATACAGCTGCAAAAATGCCAATCTATGACCCAGCCCTCCAGTGCTCAGCTTTCTTAAAAGGACTATAGTAAACTCTAACTCACCTGCATACCATACTTCCAAAACCAAAGCATCTTTTATATCCTTCAAATCGTTCAAGCTTCCACCAAGAGGGAAGTCTTCTCTTTCTGATATATGCAATCAGCATCCCTTTACCTGTGTGCTACAACCACTCTTCTCAGTATCCCAGTCTTCCCAAGAAAATATGCAGATTATCTGAGGCCACTTAGCCAGAGGCTGACTTTTCCTTCTCCTAGGTTGAAACAAAATGCTTTGCCAAGTGGCTCTAGCATACTTGATCGCCCTCTTTATCACTGAACCATGCACATCCTAAGACATAGCTCTTGTCATGGGCCAACTGTGTTCAGGGCAATGATCCTCCCATGCTATCTATAAGATACTAACACCTGCAACAACCATACCTGTATTAGTCCGTTCTCATGCTGCTAATAAAGACATACCCGAGACTGGGTATTTTATAAAGGAAAGAGGTTTAATTGACTCACAGTTCAGCATGGCTGGGGAGGCCTCAGGAAACCATCAATCATGGCAGAAAGGGAAGCAAACACACCCTTTTTCACATGGTGGCAGCAAGGAGAAGTGCAGAGTGAAGCGGGAGGAAAGCCCCTTATAAAACCATCAGATCTCATGAGAACCCATTCCCATGATTCAATTACCTCCCACAGGGTCCCTCCATGGGGATTATGGGAACTATAGTTCAAGATGAGATTTGGGTGGGGAAACAGCCAAACCATATTAATGCCGGAGACAGGCTTAGGGGTCCTGTTGATAATGCCACTGGGAGGTTGCTGAGGCTCCCCTGTCTTACAGCAATAGACTCAAGTCAGAACAAGGCTTTCTATGGCTGTCCTCCTACTACATGGGCCAGACCATACATCAAACTGACACAACTGGCACATGGTGATTATTAGTAAAAGATGAGTCCAAAATGGTATTCTATTGAGAATAAGGAGTGATATAGTTTGGATGTTTGTCCCCAACCAAATCTCATGTTGAATTGTAATCTCCAATGCTGGAGGTGGGGCCTGATGGGAGGCGTTTGGGTCATGAGGGCAGATGATTCATGGCTTGGTGCTGTCTTCACGATAGTGAGTTTTGCAACATCTGGTCATTTAAATGTGTGACACCTCCCCCCTCACTCTCTCTTTCTTCTGTTCTTACCACTTTATGTGCTTGCTCCCCTTTTGCCTTCTGCCATAATTGGAAGCTTCCTGAGGCCTCTTCAGAAGCAGATGCTGCTATGCTTCCTATACAGCCTGCAGAACCGTGAGCCAATTAAACCTCTTTTCTCACAAATTACCCAGTCTCTGGTATTTCTTTATAGCAGTGCCTGAACAGCCTAATACAGAAAATTCTTACCAAGGATTGGGGCATTGCTATAAAGATACCCGAAAATGTGAAAGCACCTTTAGAACAGGCAACAAGAAGAGGTTGGAAGAGTTTGAGTGCTCAGAAGACAGAAAAATTAGGGAAAGTTTGCGACTTCTTAGAGACTGGTTAAATGGTTGTGACCAAAATGCTGATAGTGATATGGATAGTGAAGGCCAGGCTGACAAGGTCTCAGATGGAAATGTGAAACTTATTGGAAACTAGAGCAAAGGTCATGCACTTTATGCCTTAGCAAAGAACTTGGCTGCATTGTGCCCCTGCCCTAGGTCTCTGTGGAAGTTTGAACTTCAGAGTGAAGATTTAGGGTATTTTGTGGAAGAAATTTCTAAGTAGCAAAGCATTTACAATGTGGCCTGGCTGCCTCTAACAACCTATGCTCGGAGGCATGAGCAAAGAGCTAACTTAAAGCTGGAAGTATATTTAAAGGGGAAGCAGAGCATAAAAATTTGGAAAGTTTGCTGCCTAGGCATGTGGTACAGAAAACAAAAGCATTTTAAGGAGAGGAATTCAAGCAGGCTGTGAAGCAACCACTTGCTACAGATATTTGCTTAACTAAAACGGAGCCAAGGGCTAATATGTAAGACAATTAGGAAAAGGCCTCAAAGGCACTTCAGAGAACTTCATGGCAGCCCTTCCCATCACAGGCCGAGAGTCCTCTAAGAGGAAAGGATGGTTTTGTGGACCAGGACTCCAGCCTGGGTAATGAAGCAAGACCCTGTCTCTAAAAATAAATAAATAAATAATAAAATAAATAAAAGCACTACTTTGTTTTCTTTATCTATTTCTTCCTTGGGAGAAAGGAGCAATTGTTATCTTTTTTTTTTTTTGGCCCTTCATATTTATTTACATGTTCCATAAATTATTTTTCTTATAATTATTTTGTAGGTATGCTCTAAGATAAGTTCTCTAAAACAAATAAATCTCACTCTACATCTCTTCTTTGCTTTTCCCTATCCTCATTCCTTTTGTTGCTGGATCCTCAAAGGCCTCATTCACCTTTTCACACATTCTCCTTTACAGATACTCTCTGCCTCTGTTTCAGCTGACTTGCCTGGCCGGCATATCTGCTGCTAGTTTCACATGAATACATTCTCTTACAACCTTCTTGTTCTAACACATATGACTCTTTTCAAAATCACAGATACATTATTATCCTAAAAGAACTCAAGCCCAAGAATCCACTGAAGTCGTAATTTGAGTGAGAGTTTAGGCATTTTTTAATTGCCTCAAAACAGGTGAGTTTGGCTTATTTTTTTCAAGTGCAGATGAATTCAGAAGGAAGAGCTTAAGCATGCCCTGCTTAAGAGCACTTTTATATTGCTATAACAAATTTACAAGTCCTGACATAATTACTTGTTTTTGCTTTTCTTAGATAATGTATCTGTAAGTTGTTTTTTTTACGAGATGCTTTAGACCCATGGCAGTGAAAATCACCTACTTACCCAACCAGCTGTAACAGTCATACATTACCCAAAGAGATAAATCTGAAACAAATACCAGAGGACTGGAAACCTATTGAGGAGAGGTGTAGAGAATAAAGAGTGAGTGAGTTCCAGGGCTAGAATACAGAAGCATACAGTTCGGCCATATGCCTAAAGCAGTTGTGGGAGCTGAGAGGAGCCCATGTGACCAGAAAGCTGCTGAAGATGTCTTCCAAACTCAGTCAATCCCCACTGCACCAGCTTCCTCCCTCTCCCACCTTCCCCTAACCATTCCAACAGATCTCTGGGGAGAGGAGTGGAAATAAGACAGGGGACAAAAGGCAAGCCTCGTATCCAAAGATACCGAGGAAAGGAATAGCAGAGCATAAATTAACCCTAAAGGGTAAGTCTTCAGTTCCCCCAAAGACTGTAGAAACAGGGCCCACTTCAACCTCTGAAGGAAAATAGAAAGTAAGAAACTGAGGAAGCTAGGGAGAGAAAGAATCAGAATTCCAGCGGGGGAAGCAAAATGTTCACTCAAAACTAGATATTGTATCATCAGCATTTCTTTTATTCCAAAGTCTTCCACAAAGTTAAGTCATATTACTTTCCAAAGCCGGCCTTTGGGTAATTTAAGTACTTCCACCATCGCCACTGGGCAAACTGAAATGTATCAGGGAAACAGAGAGTGCATGCACATTAGGTGGTGTCAGCCCTTTGTAACTGATCAGCAGCCAGCGTTGAAAACTTTCTTTGCGTAGAATTCAGACCTAAGAGATAGCTGATGAATTTTTTCATTTCCATGTTTTTTTTATTCCATTGTGTCTCAGAATTAGTGAGGTTTTTTTTTTTTTGTTTTTTTTTGTTTTTAAAAGCTGTGTTCTGCTTTTTTTTTCATCTGAAGGCTGGTAAACAGGCTGCTCCGGCCTCTGGAAATTTATCACAAATAGCCCAGCGCCCTCTATCGGCCCCCCTGCCACACTGCCTCTTGATGGCCTCTGCAGCTACCTCGGTTGTTTTAAACATTCTGCAACCACGGCTCTGCCACAAGTGATAAATTAGTGGCTTCAGAAAAGTACTGTTCGGGTTGAACACAAATCATTTGATAAACAAAATCAGAAATAAGTAATGGACTCTAAAATCAAGCAGTAAAATTATTTATGGTAGGGTCAATTATGTCATTTTCCTCTTTTGAAAACATTTACTTTGATTTTTCTTAAAAAACGGCTTTGTTACATGGCCGAATTGCCAATAACTGTGGCTTGACACAACTTGCTTCAGAAGCAGACAGTGAACTGACTCAAATCTAACCAAAGTGACTCAGCAAACAGCACGTGATAAGAAACTGACATGCTAGCCCATAAGAGAAAAAAAAATAGAACAAATTTTCTCCAGGTTCACATCACCTTAAGACTGATAGGGAAATGGGTTTAGGACTGTCATCAAGTGAGAGGAAGAAGCTCCTTAGGGAGGACAAGTGGACATTTCAGAGATTAACCTCTTCAAACTCCTAAATAATCATTTCTTGGCATGTACCTTTAACCCTATAGTCCTTGACCCTTGAGTTGTTTTTTAAAATGGCATAGGAAGGCCCTTGTTTGTTGTTTGTTTCCATAGAAGACTTTGTCCTCTATACAAGGTTCATTTTACCCCCATACGTGAAGAAATTAGGACTTCTAATTTTTCTGCAAAAAAAAAATAATAAGAGTAATTTCAATCTGGGACCAGTTAAGTCTCCATATAAAACGGAGAAAGGACATCACCTCCCCACCTCCCTTTCTGATTGATCTGTTCCTAGGGCTTGAGACCTCCTAAGTGAGATTTCCTTGCAACACAATACAGATATCGGGAAATGACTTCTTCTGCCACTAAAATAGTGGATTGTGGTTGTGCCTCAGCAATGTTGAATCGTTTATGTGCTAGGCATTGGACAGGGGTTGGAGGAACAAAAATAAATAAAACACAGTCCCTACCCACAAGGATCTCACTCATCTAGGATACAAAGACAAGTGAACATAATTAGAATATAACACTAAACTCAATGATAAAAATACACAGAGAGTGGGAGCAGAAAAGGTTCAAGCAAGACTCATGATTTCAAAGCAGTAATTTGTACTGCACCCCCAAATTCCTCACTTTCATTCAGTGAGGATCTGGAGACTGCCTGGAGTCCTCTAATTCACCGAGGAAAGAGCTGGGGATAAATATGTTAACTGAAGTATGATTTTCTCATAGTCAGAAACGCATCAGACATAAAAAGCAAGCTATTCAGAAACACAGGAGAGGAGTTTCAAGGAGAGGATGATAGGACATGTCAGATGGAGACGAGGTCAAGAAAAATTCAGACTGAAAGGATTGCTGCATTTGGCAGTAAAAAGGTCATTGCTGAGTTCAAGACAGTCACTTCAGTAGAGTGATGAATACAAGATGCCAGGTTCAAAGAAGATGTATGTAACAAGGAAATAAACACAGCAGGCACAGATGCTATTGTAGGTCGCTAATACAGAGGCATTCACCGTAAGTGAGTGCCACAGGAGGCAGCACAGGGGAATGTTTTCCTTGGGGACAGTAGCCCTTCCTGTGGGGCAGAGGCTGAGCATGTGGGCTCTCCAGTCACAAGCACCTGGGTTCAGGTTCCAGCTGTGCCACATAGGTAATCTAGCCACAGCAGGCCTCTGTCAAACGGGATCATCACAGCACATACCTCATAGAAAAAAATACCTAGGATAGAGTAAATCCTCAGTGTAGAAACTGGAAAGGAGTCAGAGAAGCCACCATATGCCTTCAGTTCTAAAACTCCTATTTTAACATTTCTGAAATCAGGATACATTACAGTTTGTCAGCATTTTCCCCTCTTAGCAGAACATAAAATAATGACTCATGTAACCATCAATGACATCTTAGGTTTAATGGAAGAGTTAGTCCCTAACCCTGAAGCAGTTAAGTAATTGGCCTAGCTTTATGCAAACTGGCTCATAAAGAAATGTTAAAGTGAACATTTTGCTTAAATTCATGAGGGTTTTTAGAAGTCTTCTGGGTCCTGGCCAGGCACGGTGGCTCACGCCTGTAATCCCAGCACTTTGGGAGGCCAAGGCGGATGGATCACCTGAGGTCAGGAGTTCCAGACCAGCCTGGCCAACATGGTGAAACCCCATCTCTATTAAAAATACAAAAAAAAATTGCTGGGCATGGTGGTGGGTGCCTGTAATCCCAGCTACTCGGGAGACTGAGGCAAGAGAATCTCTTGAACCCGGGAGGCAGAGGTAGCAGTGAGCAGAGATCACGCACTGCACTCCAGCCTGGGCAAGAGAGTGAGACTCCATCTCAAAAAAAAAAAAAAAAAGTCTTCTGGATCCTTGCTATTCATAGTATGCTCAACAAGCCAGCAACATCAGCATCATCTGGGAGCTCCTTAGAAATGCAGAATGCCAGGTCCTATCCCATACCTATGGAATAAGAATCCTCATTTTAACAAGGCCTCCAGGCCAGGCATGGTGGCTCATGCTTGTAATCCTGGCACTTTGGGAGGCTAAGTTATGGGGATTTCTTGGGCTAGGAGTTTGAGACCAGCCTCGGCAACATAGTGAGAGACCCCATCTCTACTAAAAAAATTTTTTAATTTTCTGGGCATGGTGGTGGTACGTACCTTGTAGTCCCAGCTACTGGGGAGGCTGAGGTAGGAGGATTGCTTGAGCCCAGGGGTTTAAGGCTCTAGTGAGCTGTGATTATGCCACTGCACTTTAACTTGGGTAACAGAACAAGACCCCATCTCCATAAAAAAAAAAATTAATAAAATTAAAAGGCCCTAGGTTATTTTTGTGTACAATCAAGTTTCAGAAGCATTCTAGCCTTTTTGTTTAGTATTACAGATATTGGTGTAATTAGACATTTCGATTTGTTCCCTTAACTACTCACCAAAATTTTTTTATTTCATTAGAAATATAATGGAAAATTGAAGTTGATACCTTGAAATCTCTTAAGATTTACAGTGTATTTGGGGATTATTAGAACTGGACATGGAAATTAAAATCTCTGAAAAATCACAGGTAACAGTAACACCAAAGTTGGGGAGACAGAGAAGAGTTTCAATTAAAAAAAAAAAGTTTTTTTCTGTGACATTGCTGAATTTGGTTTTCATATGATGTTCCAAATAAACACAACATTTGTACTGTTGACTAAACAGAGTCCCAACCAGACTGAACACTTATTGTGCACAAGGACGGAACATTTTAGGGCTCCAATTAATCTAACTTGACCAACTAGATAAATAACAGGCTACTAAATATTTGATTTAATATCATATAATTAGAAATATGGAATTGTTATGAAATATGCTGTTTGGTGTTATCTACTGTAGAAAACATAAATCACTAATATGAAATTTTGTGATACCCTCATTGAGGATAATAGCACAATCACGGCCAGAGGTAGCACAGCTTTGATTATCCTATTATCCTCTATGGTGGATTCAATCAAAAGAGAATGTAAAATTAGGAAGCATAACTCTGAAATGGAATAGTGAATCCTCCACATAAGAACCTAGATTGGCTGCCAGATGCAAATAGCTGGAGTGATGAATGTGAAAAGATTAGTGGTCCAGATAAACCCCTGGACGCTGTTACTTTATAGTGCAAATAAATTAGGTTTTCTATAATTAATGTAAGTAGAAGGAATTGGATTTGGCCTCTTTAAAATCTTCTTGGCTTTATTCCACTGAGAAGTCATATGTGCTTCCTTCAACAGCTCCCAGGAACCTGGGGCCCATCCCTAGCTTCTTGCAGTAGGGGTCCCTTTGCCAGCTGGACAGGACCCAGCCAAGCCCACCAGACTTTCTCTCACCCATGGCCTACCTCTGCTCCATGGAAAACACATACCTTCTCTCCCTCACCACCAACAAACTCCAGGATGCAGGCCAATTGCTAGGCAGTAACCCCTTTGCTGCCTCCATCAGCCAAGCAATCTATCTCTGTCCTCTCAGATTCCCTGGGCAGGGTCACCTCCCTGTCTCCTATGCCTGGCAGCAGCAGAGAGCACACAGCAAGTGCTCCAAGTAGTGCTGTTAAATCCCTGCATTAGCTGCTTCCCTTAGAAGCAGACACCGAGACAGTGACTCAAGGGCAAGTGTATTTAGAAGATGACCTCAGAAAATGCTGGTGGAGAGGTCGGAAGCCTAGGTGTGGCAGGTGCTGTGATGCAATGGCCAGGCCCCTCAGGGAGGAAGGCTGGAGTGGTACCAGAGGAGCCCCAGCTGTAGACCCGCTTTGCAGATTACCTTGGCTGAAGAAAACTGTCTTTCCCGAGATCAGGCCCTCTTCCAGGTACAGTCTGCACCCAATGGCTATTCATTGGGGTTATAAACGCCCATCTCTCACCCCAACTTGGGTCATTCTGAAGAGCCATTCCAGCCCTAGAGCTCCCCAAGAGGTCGGCTTAGGCCTCTATTTGGACTGCATTACAGCCCAATTTTTTCCCTCTGCCCCCTGCTGCCTCCCCCTCCCTTCCACAGGTGTTGATCCCAAAAGAAGGCCCCAGTAATCATCCTGCATGCTGCTTCCTGGTGAGCCCAACCTGTGACTACAGGACAGAGAAGGAAGCTGATACAGAGTATGTTATCAAGCAAATTCCACTATGGGTATCTGGAGCTCTATCCCACCAGAAAACTTTGAGAAACAGCACAGAACAAGTGCCTCAGAGTTATCCCATCCAAGGCATGAAGGGGTAGAGGTATTCACTAGCTGAGGACATAATTCCTTTACACAACTGGCTGGCTCACCCCATGCACAGACAGAGCAGGCTGCAGCTGCCACAGAAAGCCTCAGGCAAAAAGTCACTGGTTGGGTGGGAGTCGGGCTGGAGTGCATGGAAACAAGAGATGCCAATGGATCTGGGCAGGCCCTTATCGAGTCAGCTTCCAGCCACCTGCTCCAATTTAGGCCTGAGAGGAATCATCCTCCCAAACGAATGATGCCATGGGCCCAGAAGGAAGGGGGGACCAGAAATGAGAGAGTCTAAGAAATACCTACCACAGTAGAAGAGATCTGGGCTTGGAACACAAAGATTGGTCACACAGCAAGCATTTATTGAGTGAATAATACCTGCCAGACACTCTACTAAGCTATTCTCCCTCATGAACTCATTTAATCACAATTCTAATTCTATGGGTTATTTCTATGTAACAGAAGAGAAACTGAACCTTAAATGGGGGAACCTTCTGCCAGTTAGTAACTTAATCCCAAATCCAACACCAAAACCATATCCCAAAAAAAGGGATTTTTTTTAAGTAAATTTTTTTTCTTCAACTTTTAAGTTCAGGGGTACATGTGCAGGATGTGCAGGTTTGTTACATAGGTCAACATGTGCCATGGTGGTTTTATGCACAGATCAACAACACCTAGGTATTAAGCCCAGCATCCATTAGCTATTCTTCTTGATGCTCTCCCTACCCACCACCCCCACAGCAGGCCCTAGTGTGTATCGTTCCCCCTCACTATGTCCATGTGTTCTCATCATTCAGCTCCCAATTATAAGTGAGAATATGTGGTGCTTGGTTTTCTGTTCCTGCGTTAGTTTGCTGAGGATAACAGCTTACAGCTCCATCCATGTCCCTGCAAAGGACATGATCTCATTCCTTTTTATGGTTGCATAGTAGTCCATGGTGTACATGTACCACATTTTCTTTATCCAATCTGTTATTCATGGGCATTTGGGTTGATTCCATGTCTTTGCAGTTGTGAATAGTGCTTCAGTGAACATACACGTGCATGTGTCTTTACAATAGAATGATTTCTATTCCTTTGGTTATATACCCAATAATGAGACTGCTGGGTCAAATGATATTTCTGCTTCTAGATCTTTGAGGAAATTGCCTTTCCTTTTTCTCTGCAACCTCAACAGCATCTGTTGTTTCTTGACTTTTTAATAATTGCCATTCTGACTGGCATGAGATGGCTGTGCTGAAACCGTATTCTTAACCAGACTACAACTATCACATCTCTCTAGGAGCAAGAGATAGATTTCTCCAAAAAGGAATGTCTTTAGTGAGTCTTAGGAGCAAAAGGCACTATCCACAAAGCTAAGCATCATCCATGATTTCGGAGCTGGGCGTTCATTGCTCAGTTTATTCATTTGTTTTGTTTTTAATCTTCTCTATTACAAAAGTTGGAGTATGCCTGTGTATACTTCAAAACATCCAGCCATCTGGGAATACTTACATATTTGACATTAATTAATGCAATTAGTCTAACAAGCAAAAACTTTGGGAACTGGTCCATTTACAATCCCCAGTCTTTCCCAAGCTATTTGTAATCAGAGTTTAACATTTACATTTCTAAAGAAGCACCAAAACGCAACAGATACTAAATGCCAAAGAGAAGGTCACACCAAAAGGCAGATTTTTTAAGGAAAATGGAAGAAAGACAATTGAAAGTTCTAAAATCCACAAGGAGAATATAAAAATATAGGAAGAATCAAAAGTAAAGATTTGATGAAGACAATTTTCTTCAGCAAATGGTTCTATGAAACCCTTCCCTCCACCCTGGGGAGCGAGGGTGTTACTGGCTAGCTACCCCCAAGCCTGTTAAAGCAGGTTTAACAGGGCCACTTGAAGAGCTGCATTGTGTCACCTGCTGGTGCCCAGTAGAATAAGAGAGGTCTGACTCCTGCCAGGGAAGTCTAATGAGTGATGTTTCTTTGCTAATGAAATTTGCACAAAAAATAAATGACTTTCTCATGAGCCAGGGGTGATCTGTAGATGAGGGAAAGCCCAGATAGCCCCATCGTGGGTCATGGCTGACAGGGCCACAGAGTGATGAAGGAAACTGCGCAGGCAGAAGCTGTGCATGCACAGTGGCCTCTTGGGGGCTGTGGAAGCAGGCTCATGTACCCTCCTACTAGAGTTGTGCTGGCAGGGTCCAGGAGGCTGAAGACAAAGACAGGCTGAGTCCAGTGACAGGTGCCTTTAAATAACCCACAGGTTAAACACCTGCCACCCAAGAGCTCCACCTGAGATGACAGCATATCCTGAGTCTCTTCCCTCTAATCCTCTCACCACCCAACCTCCGGATCCCATCCAGGAGGGAGCAGAAACTTTGCTTAACAAACTGAGGTTAGGAGTAATGCAAAGCAGAAGAAAAGTAAAGAGCTATGTCTCCATTTCCCCTTGCAAGTAGCCAGCTTGGAAGGTGGGGAGAGAAAATGTCATACCATAATAAGCATGTATTGCCACTAGTTCAAATTATTTTATTTTATTTTTTTAAAGAGACAAGGTCTTGCTCTGTCACCCAGGCTGCAGTGCAGTGGCACAATCATAGCCCACTGCAGCCTCAAACTTGTGGGCTCAAATGTTCCTCCCCCTCAGCCTCCATAGTATCTAGGACTACAGGAGTACACCACCATGACTGGCTAATTTTTTTTTTAATTTTTTGTAGAGATGGGGTCTATGTGCCCAGGCTGGTTTTGAACTCTTGGCCTCAAGAGTGAACTCTAGTGCCTCAGCCTCCCACAGCACTAGGATTACAGGGGTTAACCACCACCGCACCTGACCTATTTTTACATTTTAAATTGTCAGAGTTGTTATTTATTCCCTAGCACTAAGCACTCTAACTGCCGAATTCTGATTGTGTTGGCAACTTAAAGCAACTGTGACATTGTTATTTCCTGAGACTAACCAAAGAGTCAAGGGTCAGCCAGAGTTTTCATGCAGTGGCAGGCAAAGATGACTCCCACTCAATAAATGTCATGAGGATGTGGGACAACAAGGTTGTGTCCCAATCACAGGCCACCTCCCACAGGTTAGGCTCAACTTACCAGCTCCATTCCAGCCTACAACATTCTCACTGGCAGTCTCCCCAGCTTCTAAGAACTATAGGAAAAACTGCTATAAAATATTTATGAACGGTAGCTGGTTTTCACTTCCAAATCTTTCTTGTTGACTTTAAAAAGAAATGTAAGCCGCTACATGTCTAAACTGATGGTGCTCTCAACCACCTACCTTCAAGAGCTAAAAAAAATGAACACAAGAGGGAGTGACAGAAGACCAAATCAAGCTACAGACTGAGAATGGCAGGCCAAGGTAAAGGAATGTATTCTTCTCCCCTGGCCAAGATCCCCAGGCTTTAGGAGATGTGTCAGGCTCTACCAAAAGCCCTGGGGAAGAACCTGTTCCTTTCTTCCTCCTCTGACATCAGGATTGAGAAAATTCTTAAATGTTCTTTTCTGGTAAACCATCAAGAGTTAGAACATCTTCCCAGGACTGGGGTTTCAGGCTCAAAAAAAAAAAAAAGAAAGAGAGAAAGAAAAAAGTCAAGGAAACATTTATTTACACAGGGCCACAAAACCAGAGAAAAAAACCGAAAGGGTGAAAATACAAGAGTTAAGAGAGCAGAAGTAGGGATCTAGAACTAGAAATACCATTTGACCCAGCCATCCCATTACTGGGTATATACCCAAAGGACTATAAATCATGCTGCTATAAAGACACATGCACACGTATGTTTATGGCGGCACTATTCACAATAGCAAAGACTTGGAACCAACCCAAATGTCCAACAATGATAGACTGGATTAAGAAAATGTGGCATATATACACCATGGAATACTATGCAGCCATAAAAAATGATGAGTTCATGTCCTTTGTAGGGACATGGATGAAATTGGAAATCATCATTCTCAGTAAACTATCACAAGAACAAAAAACCAAACACCGCATATTCTCACTCATAGGTGGGAACTGAACAATGAGATCACATGGACACAAGAAGGGGAACATCACACTCTGGGGACTGTTGTGGGGTGGGGGGAGGGGGGAGGGATAGCTTTAGGAGATATACCTAATGCTAAATGACGAGTTAATGGGTGCAGCGCACCAGCATGACACATGTATACATATGTAACTAACCTGCACATTGTGCACATGTACCCTAAAACTTAAAGTATAATAATAATAAAATAAAAATAAAAAAGAGCAGAAGTAAATAAAGTATCAGCTTACTTTCAGGGTTTTAAGTGGAAGGAGAGGAAAATAAGATCTATATAAAAGAGATTTTTAAAAAGAAGTAGACGGTAAATTCTAAAATATAAGCAAACTACTGTGATGCTCTGAGATTCTGAATGCTTATCATTTCTTATTGAAATCCTAATTAACTGATAAATCACAATTCAGAGCTTATCAGCTGTTCTTTATCTGTTAAAAGTAATCCATGAGGAAATGTTAGCTCATGACTATGTACAGGGTCCAAACAAGTGACATTTCAGAGGCTAATCAACATGGAAGGGGGGTGGGGGACATGTGCCCAATTCCACTACAGAAAAATCGCTAAGCTTATGACCCCAATAATTGTTTTGCAAATCATGGAGTGGTTCTTTGTTATAGTGATGGGTAAAACCTCACTATCTACATCTAGATCTGGGACATCTGGCTACCCTAACTAACCTTGTCCATTAGGCAGAGCATAAATCACAGGCCAGGGAGCTATGAGCAGTGAAAGGCACAAAGTTATGAAAATTTATGGCCTTCCAAACATAAGCAAGGGACTACTTCCATGTATACTGTTTTATTTTTAGATCATCTCCCAGCCACTTCTCCATTATGGTTTGAAATTAGGGAACAGCAAGTTTGACACATTTGGTTACTGATAGCTAAAGCTCATCTTTAAAACAACATTCAAAAAAGGAGACAAAATCCTCGCTTCTGCTAATAACAAATATCATTTATCAAAGAAATGGTTTACTATTAAAACCATTCTAGGAATTGGTCCTTGACCCAGCTGATTGGCCTATACATAAAAAGACCCAGAGCAAACGGTCACAGGAAATAGTAATAGGTAATATTATTTTAAACTGTCAAAAATAATAAATTATCAAAAGAAAAAACAGATTATGAATATTGAGTGGGAAAGCAAATTGCAAAATTGAATATATAGTGTGATTACCATTTTTTTTTTTTTTTTTTCTTCCTTTGAGACGGAGTCGCGCTCTGTAGCCCAGGCCGGAGTGCAGTGGCACGATCTTGGCTCACTGCCACCTCTGCCTCCCAGGTTCAAGCGATTTTTGTGCCTCAGCCTCTGGAGTAGCTGGGATTACAGGCACCCACCACCTTGCCTGGCTAATCTTTGTATTTTTAGTAGAGATAGAGTTTCACCCTATCACCCATGTTGGCCAGGCTGGTTTCCAACTTATGACCTCAGGTGATCCACCTGCCTTGGCCTCCCAAAGTGCTGGGATTACAGGTGTGAGCCACTGCACCCAGCCTGATTACCCTTTTTAATGAGATTATATATATATATATACACACACACACACACACACACACTATACACACACACACATATATGTATACAAGTGAGAAAAAGAGACTGATAATTGCCTGGAATACTTAATAAAGGTCACCTCTACAGTGTGTACTCCTGAATGCTTGGGTTTTACGCCTTTTTTATATATATATATAAGCAGTCATTTATTTCTTAATTTTTTTAACTAATGAAAATACTTTTTAAAATATGCTTCCTGAGCCTTGCTAGCATGCAAGCTTTGACAGTTTTCTCCCCAGCCATGATAAGAGGACATACACATAGTTTATGAAGAAAATTAGACAATTTATTTAAAGCACCTAACTCCACGTGTCGAATAGCAGATGTTGTATCATCAGAGGCTACTAGTTTTATCGGCTTACAATATTTTCTAAAACAAAGGATTCAAATTGAAATAATATTGCAGATTGTCATTTACTTTCATGTCTATATGAAATCCTTTACAAATAAAAATAAGAATCTTGGCTGGGTGCAGTGGCTCACGCTGTAATCCCAGAACTTTGGGAGGCAAAGGCAGGAGGATCGCTTGGGCCCAGGAGTTTGATACCAGCCTGGGCAACATAGGGAGACCCAGTTTCTACAAAAAATAAAAGTAAAATATTAGTTGAGTGTTGTGGCGCACACCTGTAGTCACAGCTACTCGGGAGACTGAGGTGGGAGGATTGCTCGAGCCCAGGAGTTTGAGGCTGCAGTGAGCTGTGGTCACACCACTGCACTCCATCCTGGGCAACAGAAGGAGACCCTGTCTGAAAAAAATAAAAAATAATGAGGATCTTGAGAAAAACGTGTTTAATAAAACAATCTATATAATGAATCTCATGAATAATAATGGAGTGTTACAACATTCTGTTCCTTTTGATATTTATTGACTTTTTACAAGATCATTGTACAAAGTAAAATTTTAGAAACACTATTTCCTAAATCATAATCCCAACTCCAAGTTCTCCTTCCCCTTACCTCCTTCAAGAGCTAAAAAGAAAAAAAAAACACACATCTTCTTCAGTCATGCAACCCTCTCAACCTACCTCCCTATAGCTCTTCCCTATCACTGCCAACTTTCTTAAGCAAATTAGATTATCTCTACTTTCTTATGCCAATTGACTCCTGAACTCACCACAGTAAGACTTCAAACACCCCATCCCCAACACTCCAGCATTACCTAACAAAGTCATTGGTGACCTCCATCATCAAATTCAATGTACACCCTTGACCTTGCTAGGATTTTGGACCTCTCTGCTGTATATGACACCACCAGCTGCCTCATTCTCCTGGCAACTCTTATTTCTTGACTCCCCTATGGCAGCTTTCTCCTTTCATCTTCCTCCTTGCTCCCTCTGTTTCATTTGTTGACTCAACTCCCCTGCCTCTGAGTGCTCTCAGATGTTGACACTCTCTCGGTTCTGTCATTCCAGATGATAATGTCAGTAATACAGCAGATCACTTTGCTGCTTCATTAAACACTCCCAACAACCTGCTCCTGCTTCTCTTTGACAGAATAAACAGTCCAGCCCCTTGGCTTCAATTGGGATATCTCTGAAGCGGGACGTACACTGTCTCCAGAGCACCCCTTGGGCTTGAGGCAAAGTCGACCTCCGTGGAACTTTGCTTAACATTGCATTCCTTGCTTGACTTCCTTCCTTTTCCTGGCCCATTTTCTTCTTCCCTACTTGTCTTGCTAATTAAATCACTTTTGCACGAATCCTCATCTCTAGGACTGCCCCTGAGGAACCCAACCTAAAGCAGACATTGGAAATCTCCTCTCATATGGCTCACTTTCTCTGGGTGATTATATTTATGTACACAACTTCATCTCCTCCCTATATGCTGCCGTCTTCTAAATAGTCATATTAAGCCCTATTCTCTTTCCTGAGCTTAGACCTGTAAACTGAGCTGTCTAATGGGAGACCTCAAACCTGATGGCCTCCAGACAACTTAAACCCAGCACACGTTTGAAATTGAGCTCATCACCCAGCATGAATGGCCTCTTTTTGTATCCTCCTCTTATGACAAAGTCACACAAACATCCTCCCACCAGGACCAGCCAGGAACCTAGGACTGACCTCAAATCTCTTTCTCCCCCATCCCCCCACATCTAACTGGGATCAAGTCCTGTGAGTTCTAATTCTTTAATACCTGTCCTATTAGTCCCCTTATCTCTGTCTCAACTGCCATTGCCTTGGTCAGGTCCCACGAGCTGTTTCCTAGTCTCCCGCAATGGAGAGATAGCATAGTGCTTTGTTGTGAGGGATAGCTCAGGCTCTCAAGCCACACTGGAGGGTTCAAATCCTGCCTCCCTCACATACTACCTGTGGAGTGTTAGGCAAGTCACTTATCCTTTTTGTGCCTCAATTTTCCTGTCTGTAAAGAATGAAATAATTGGCTGGGCACAGTGGCTCACACCTATAATCCCAGCACTTTGGGAAGCCGAGGTGGGCGAATCACGAGGTCAGGAGATTGAGACCATCCTGGCTAACATGGTGAAACCCCATCTCTACTAAAAATACAAAAAAAAAAATTAGCCGGGCATGGTGGTGGGCGCCTGTAGTCCCAACTACTTGGGAAGCTGAGGCAGAATGGCGTGAACCCGGGAGGCCGAGCTTGCAGTGAGCCGAGATTGCGCCACTGCACTCCAGCCTGGGAAACAGACTGAGACTCTGTCTCAAAAACAAAAACAAAAACAAAAAAAAAATGACATAATTATCTATCCCCATAGAGTTCTTGTTTAGTTTAAAATGTAAATTAATAAAGGTAAAGTGCTTACAAGAATGTCTGGTACTAAAAATAGTCACAAAGACCAATGGAACAGAATAGACAGCCCAGAGATAAGGCTGCACACCTACAACCATCTGATCTTTGACAAAGCTGACAAAAACAAGCAATAAGGAAAGAATTCCCTATTCAATAAATGGTGCTGGGATAACTGGCTAGCCATGTGCAGATTAAAACTGGACCCCTTCCTTACACCATACACAAAAATGAACTCAAGATGGATTAAAGACTTAAATGTAAAATCTAAAACTACAAAAACCCTCAAGGTAACCTAGGAAATACCATTCTGGACATAAGAACCGGCAAAGATTTCATGATGAAGATGCCAAAAGCAATCGCAACAAAAGCAAAAATTGATAAACATGACCTAATTAAATTAAAGAGCTTCTGCACAGCAACATAAATTATCAAGAGAAAAAAT
Source organism: Homo sapiens (assembly GCF_000001405.40). Taxonomy (NCBI): domain Eukaryota; kingdom Metazoa; phylum Chordata; class Mammalia; order Primates; family Hominidae; genus Homo; species Homo sapiens. The sequence continues at coordinate 55,122,589 of NC_000015.10, forward strand.
AGACAACCTACAGAATGGGTGAAAATATTTGCAAACTATGCATATGGCAAAGGCCTAATATCAAGACTCTGTAAGGAGGGCCAGGTACAGTGACTCACACCTGTAATCCCAGCACTTCAGGAGGCTAAGGCAGGTGGATCACTCGAGACCAGGAGTTCGAGACCAGCCTGGCCAACATGGTGAAACTCCATCTGTACTAAAAAATACAAAAATTAGCCGGGTGTGGTGGTGCGTCTGTGATCCCAGCTACTTGGGAGGCTGAGGCACAAGAATCACTTGGACCCAGGAGGCAGAGGGTGCAGTGAGCCAAGATCGCACCACTGCAATCCAGCCTGGGCGACAGAATGAGACCCTGTCTCAAAAAAGACTCTATAAGGAACTTAAACAAATTTACAAGAGAAAAACAAACAACCCCTTTAAAAAGTGGGCAAAGGAAATGAATAGACGCTTTTCAAAAAACGATATATATGCGGTCAACTATCATATGAAAAAATGTTCAGTATCACTGATCATTAGAGAAATGCAAATCAAAACCACAATGAGTTACCATCTCACACTAGTCAGAATGGCTATTACTAAAAAGCCAAAAAATAAGACATGTTGGCGAGGTTGTGGAGCAAACGGAACGTTCATACACTGTTGGTGGGAGTGTAAATTAGTTCAACCATTGTGGAAAGCAGTGTGGCGATTCCTCAAAGAGCTAAAAACAGAACTACCATTTGGCCCAGCAATCTCATTACTGGGTATGTGCCAGAGGAATAGAAATTATTCTACCATAAAGACATATGCATATGTATGTTCACTGCAGCACTGTTCACAATAGCAAAGACATGGTACCAACCTTAATGCCCATCAATGGCATACTGGATAAAGAAAGTGTCATGCATATACACCATGGAACACTGTGCAGCCATAAGAAAGAAGATCATATCCTTTGCAGGAACACAGTTGGAGCTGGAGGCCATTATCCTTAGCAAACTAACTCAGGAACAAAAAAACAAATACCACATGTTCTCACTTATAAGTGGGAGCTAAATGATGATAACACATGGACACAAAGAGGGGAACAGCAGACACTGGGGCCTACTTGAGGGTGGAGGGTGGAAGGAGGGAAAGGATCAGAAATAATAACTATTGGATACTAGGCTTAATATCTGGGTGATGAAATAATCTTTACAATAAACTGCAGTGACACAAGTTTACCTAAATAACCAACTGGCACACATACTGCTGAACCTGAAATAAAAGCTTTAAAAAGAAGAAGAATCACTGGTACTTTGTGTTAAAAATACGAATATTTCTATTATTGTTGTTTTATTGTCTTCTAGTTTATGGCAGCAGCTAATATTGGGGATGAGGGTCTCAGGGCATTACATGCCAATTCAGGAGAGGCCAAAGATCTGGTCTGCCTGAGGCACAAAAGCAGGACCTCAGTGACTCAAACACACAGAGATCAGCGATAGCTCCAGTTTAATTCTTCAGGAAGAGCAGAAGGTTCTTAGGAACCATAGGGAATTGCCATTTCATATACGAAAAACAGGTGAATTACTGCAATTTCACCTGGTTCAATCTGATACTTTAATATAATACATAGAAATGAGATGTGTTTTACACAAGAAAAATACTATCTTTAAACCTATTTTGTTAAGGAACTTTAAAAAGTGGCCCCTCTTTATTAAAGAATGTTAAGATTTTTCAAAGCCGTGTTCCTGTAGCTATCTGTCATATTCCATCTTCGTCAAGATTAAGACACTCAGTCATCAGCCTCATCGGAGTCTTCAGGCAAACTCGAGTCTAAGCTTCTGCTTCTCCAGTCTTCACTGGACAGGTTTCCTTGGGTCTCTGCCATGATACTTGTAACCACCAACTGCTTAATTTTAACCCCTACATTGCAGAGTTTCTAGCTTCTAAACTTAACTTGGGCATTAAAATTTTAAAGGAGACGCTTCTCCCTGCAGATATTCTTTTAAAAAGCTGATGACAGTGTCCATTTTCACCCACACAGCCGTATCAGCAGGTTTTCTGGTCTATTTTGATGATGTATGGCAACAACAGTGGCAACAGTTGGTGCAAAAACATCTCTTTCTCACACACAAAAAAACAGACTGATAAAAAAAAGAGAGAGAGAGCTTCTAGCTGGGATGCAGAAGATGCAGGGTGTTCAAACAACCAGATGTTCCAATTGTGAGACAACTTGGTTTTCATTATCATATCTTGTGTGCTCCCACTCCAAGCGAGGGAGAGAATCAAAAAGTTCAAACTCAGTTCATGGCTTCCGGTTGACTGTCAGGAAAGGGGAACATTTTCAAATGATTTCCCTGTGTGGCATCATTCATATTTCTAATCCAGAACACCAGGCACTTTTGGCGGATTCAACAATAAATGGCATTTTAGGAAACTGAAAATGTAAGTCAAACGCGAGTAATAGGTCTAAGGACTACACAGACACATTAAGAGGTAGAGCAAGGCTCTTAGTTTGGGAGACGTTAAATAAAGAGTTGGGGTGAGGAATATTTCCTCTCCTATCTTAAGGCACTGATGAGTTGGACTGAAAAGACAGCCGGGATAGAAGGAGTAACATTAATATTTAGTGGCCCAACTCCAGTGTCCAAGCTAACAACAAGGAGATTGGTTGGCAGCAATCCCAAAAGGTTTGGCCTGGTCAGCTCACATCATCAGAAAAGATGGCAGCAGTAGAATCCTTGTTGTCCCACCATGACACCAGGGCAATAGGCATCACAGAGGGCATGTGAGCTACCCTTTGAGCCAAGGGAAAAGAGGTAGGCAATCCAGAGGCCAGATATTCCATGGGGAATACAGAATAAAGACTATTTGTATTTGTTATTTTAAAATTTATTTTTGGTGTTGGTTCTTTTTTTTTTTTAAGAGACAGATTCTTGCTCTATCATCCAGGCTAGAGTGCAGTGGCGCAATCACAGCTCACTGTAACTTTGAGCTCCTGGGCTCAAGTGATCCTCCTGCCTCAGCCTCCCAAGTATCTGGGACTACAGGCACATACCATTACACCTCACTAATTTTTTAAAATTTTTGTAGAGACAGGGTCTCACTATGTTGCCCAGACTCGTCTCAAACCCCTGGCCTCAAGCAATCCTTCCCTCTCCACCTCCCAAAGGGATAGGATTACAGCATGAGTCCATTGCACCTGGCTCTTAAGACTATTTTTATCCCTGTTTTTTTTTGTTTTACTAACTTCTTCCCCTTCTGATCAAAGGGGCTTCTGACCACTATGGTCCCAAAGTGTGTGCCACAACAACACACTGATGTGCCACAAATAAGGTACATGGATGCCAGTGTATTGATCCTTTCAGCCCTCAGTGTCTGAGTAGAGCCCAGGGCCACCAGAGCCCTCAGGCCAGTCACCTCTGGCTAGAGTAAACAGCTATCTTGGTTTGCCTGGGACCTTCAGTTTTAAAGTCAGAAATGTCCCAGGCAAACCAGGACCAGTTTGTCACCCTATCTAACTCTGGTCATGAGTACCTTGACACCCTAGTGACCTTGGTACCACGTTGTGCCAAACAAATACTATCTACATGTGCCAGGACAAGGAAAAGATTGGAGAGGCCTTAATCTAGTTTGTAAGAAGACATGCAGCCTATTAACTTTAAGGCAAAAAAAAAAAAAAGCAAAAACTAGACACAAATTAGGATCACTTAAAACCCAGAGCCTCTCATTCTGCAAGTAAAACCACTTCCGGGGCTGCCGTGAAGAGTATGGCAGCTTGTATGTTCCAATTGCATGCACACTGTAATGTCACTTTTAGGGCAGCAGAGAAACCAGAACCAATAGACTCCCTCCCAGGACAAGCATCAAGCACTGAGGAAAAAGTTCTCCCTGGTAAAGTACATGAACAACCTCACAAAACAGGATCTTCACCCCTCCCTTTACTGTCCTCTCTCCACCCCCTACACTGAACTGTAAGCTCCACCAAAGCAGGTGATAAATGGCTTCAAGGCTGTGGCCACCAGACCCACTCACCCACTTTCTCATGGTATGTGGCATATTTTGAGCATCCAACAACGTGCCTGCAAACCCCAGCCCAAGAAGATAACTTCAGCAAACACTGTACAAGCCTGAATGTTAAAATTATCTTCATTCTCATCCAAGTAGCTGACCCTTCCCATCAACACAGCAAAAGGAATAAGACAGCATGGTATCAAGTTAATAAACTCAGCACTAGGTTTTGAAGATCCCACACTTCCTTTACCTATCGGTGGAGCTGGTTCCTATCAGAAAAAATATAACAGAAATAACCCAATCTGTTGCCTGGTAATAAACAGAGCTATTAAAAAATGTTTTATGCCAATATACAGTTACTCGTAATAACCTACCTTGAGGATATTCAGAGAAATCAGATACCACACCACCAACCCCCAGCAGTTCAAAAATGCTTTCTGTCTGAATTATTAGAATTCCTTATTATTAATACTGGTTTGCAATCAGGGGCAATTTTGTTCCCCAGGGGACATCTTGGCAAAGTCTGAAGGCATTTTTGGTTATCAAGCTAGGAGTAGGGGATGTTACTGGCATCCAGTCAGTAGACGCCAGAGACAATGCTAAACATCCTACAATGCACAAGACACCCCCACAACAAAAAATTAACCAGCCCAAAATGTCAATAGCATTGAGGCTGAGAACCCCTGTCTTATCACTAATCTCAAGTCTTGATAGCCTCTGTCTTCTGCAGTCTTTATTTATTAATGTCACAAAATGGAGAGGTTTTTGCTCACCAGAATGTCTCTTGGGGAGAGTACAATATGTGTTGGAAGAAAATGCTTTGATCATCCGGGATGAAAGTAAGACCTCAAATAGCACATTCAAATAATCAAAAATGCTGGCTAAATCTCTTACTAAGAAGCATGTAGTTGTTCTCACTCTTAAGTGGGAGTTGAACAATGAAAACACATGGACACAGGGAGGAGAATATCATACCCCGGGGCCTATTAGGAGGTGGGGGGCAAGGGGAGGGATAGCATTAGGAGAAATACCTAAAGTAGATGACGGGTTGATGGGTGCAGCAAACAACCATGGTACGTGTATACCTATGTAACAAACCTGCACATTCTGCACATGTTTCCCAGAACTTAAAGTATAATTAAAAAAAAAAAAAAGAAGAAGAAGAAGCATGGGGTCTGTTTGCTAGAGAATCTTTTGTTTTACTGGACATTGGAATTAGCTGTGGAAGAAAAGAAGCCCAATGCTGCTCAGAAAAGGAAAATGAGAAATAAACCTACAAGGGCAAAGCAACTGAGAAAGGGCTTTGGAGGAGAGCACATCTGTCTAAAGGGATCTTTTAAAAGTTGTTTGTGATGGGGTATACGATATAAATCCCCTCTTCCATCTTTCTCATGTTTTCTACCTCAGTCACTGATTATTTCATACAATCAGAAAGATTTTTGTTTGTTTGTTTCTACTGACCCAAAAGAGACTCTGACTTTGGCATTTTTCTTAGCCCAGAGTCTGATCATGGAAATGTTTAACCTGTGCTACAGTGAACATCTGGGCAGTTAATTTCTTCAGCATTCACAAAAGTCTCCCTAAATCCTGAACCTCTCCTGTCACTTCAGAAGGGACTCTATTGGGCCAGGAATTATCTGAACTGTGAAAACACTCAGAGATTTCTTACAAAGCAAAACTTGCTCCTACATTACATGTCTACAACTGTCTCAAACACAAGGCCAACAAAGAATGATACTCTGAGTTGTAATAAATAATGTATGTTTTCATTTATAAGCAAAATAAAAGGTAAAGGCAGCCCAAGGTGATACACTGAATGAAATAATGTTGCAGTTACAGCATAGCAAAGTTGAACAAAAGGTAAATGTTGGATGGCTACATCACCCAAGAGAGCCGGCAGAAAATTTAGCCTCTAACACAGCAGGGCTATGGAAGAGGCAACAAGATCTCAATGCAAGGAGGCTGGAGCTCCATCTGAAGTTCCTGGTGCCTGTCTACCTTCCTGGGATCAACACTGCCAGTCATTCCAAGGGTTGCCCTGAATGACTGTGGTCTGAAAAGAAGCAGGAATGGCATCTAAAAGAAGCCAAGCAGATTAGATAGATTTTTACATTTTGATATAATTTCACACAATTGCATTTGTAAAAACTGAGTGGATTCAGCTAAAATAAATGAGATATAGTACTCAACTATTTACAAAGCACTTCCAAAGCAACCCTTGGAGACAGACATTATCTGGCTGATCTCACAGTAAGCTGGTCTCTCAGCAAAATCAGTAAGATGAGTAAGAGGTTGGAGAGTAGAAGGCAGTGGTGGCAGCTCCTGGAATCAGGTGTCAATGAGGCAGAGAAAATAGCTGCAGTCTGAGCCTTCCAGAATGCCAACACAACCCCACCAAGCTGGTAGACCTGCGAAAGGAGAAACCCTCCCAGGATGCAGGGATTGACTTGCAGGGAACTGCATGAGAACAGAGGATAAGTGAGAACCATAGAAAGAGACTATTGAATTCTCCTTGGAAGCTGGGATTCATACAACTCAACCACTGACATCTCCCAGTAGATCTGGGGAGGGGTAAAAGACTCTTTGATATGTAATTGACTTCCCAAGCCAACTGAGCTCTCAGAGCTGTTTCTTCAAACTCAGACAGGAACTGGGGAAAATATCCTAACTAAATATGTAAATAAAAACCCTGAGGCATGAGGGACACCCAGTTGTCAACTCCTAGTTGTCAGGCCTAAAAAGACAAGTACACATGTTCTATAGTTCCTAACCTGAGACATCTATTGGTCTGGCTAGCTCTACCTTCTGAACTTGAGACAGATGAGAGACCTTCCCCATGGAAGTTTAGAACTTTCTCTCGGGGACAAGTCATGCTTAGTCTCGACAGCTGGCTGCCTCTGTGTTAGGGGGAGAATGGCAGGAAGCCATTTCCTCAGCTCAGCCAAGTCTGCATCCTTACAGGAAGCCTAAGAGGTGTGTGTTCAGGAACCTAGCTTCAACCCCAAGGGAGATCCCAGAGAAACCTGACATGTAAGTGAGGGTTTAAAAAAAAATTATATATATATATAAATATATACATATATATAAATATATATATATATATGTATAGCAACCTGTCTCAGTGCTAATCATTCTGTTTTAAGCATGAATGCTCCAGTCCTACAGCTCTTTGTTCATATGGAATAAGACAAGCAAAGTTTGTTGATCATTAAAACTTAAAAGCTCCCAAGAGAGAAATTTAAAAGGACCTCTGATGTTGGCTGCCTCTGAACAAAATCTGACTGGGGTCATGTCAGGAAATTTGGGTGCTACCTCTATGTCTGCCTCCAACTCTATGTGGCTACCAGACCCTGACTTCCTCACCTGTGAAATGAGGCTGAATGGTAAATATTGTACTTCATCTCTTATGCAAACTCTGATTGACTGGTAGTGGCTTCCTGGATGGTTGCTTGTGACTATTCTGAGGCCAAGACTGGGTTGAAAGGGAAAGAGAATTGTGATGGACTACTGATGTCTGCAATGTACCGAGGATTAGCAAGTATTAACACATAATTGACTATATCTGGAAGTTCCCTTCTGGAGCTCCAGATTTATAAGGCTCTCATTTATGTGCTTTAGCATTACTGAATTAGGACAACTTCTTTCTTTTGGTTGGTTGGTTGGTTGCTTGGTTGTTTGTTTTGGGTCTCGCTGTGTTGCCCAGGCTGGAGTGCAGTTATGCAATATCCGCTCACTGCAACCTCTACCTCCCAGGTTCAAGCTATTCTTCTGCCTCAGCCTCACAGGGAGCTTGGATTACAGGCACACCGGCTAATTTTTGTATTTTTAGTAGAGACAAGGTTTTGCTATGTTGGCCAGGCTGGTCTCGAACTCCTGACCTCAAGTGATCTGCCTGCCTTGGCCTCCCAAAGTGCTGGGATTACAGGCGTGAGCCATGGCGCCTGGCCAGGCTTCTATTGCTTCTGATGATACATAAGCTGTTAATCTTATTGATGTTCCATTGTATATAATAAAGCATTTTTCTCTCAATGCTTTCATAATTTTCTCTTTTTCTTCCAGCTTTATTAATGGACAAAATTGTATATATTTAAGTTAGACAATGTGATGATTTGATATGCACACACATTGTGAAATGATTATCACAATCAAGCTAATATATTCATCACCTCACACAATTACTATTGTGTATGTGTGTGTATGTGTGTGTGTGTGTGGTGGGAACAAACTTAAGATCTACTTTCTTAGCAAATTTCAAGTATTCAATACAGCATTGTTAACTAAAGTCACCATACTGTACATTAGATCTCCAGAACTTATTCAATCATGCAAATGTATGCCAATTGAGCAACATCTTTTCATTTCCTTCACACTCCCTCTCCCCAGCCCCTGGCAATCATCAGTCTACATTGATTGACATTTTTAGATTCCACATGTAAGTGAGATTATGCAGTATTTGTCTTTCTCTGTCTGACTTATTTCACATAGCATAAATCCCCTCAAGTTTCATTCTTGTTGTAGCAAATGGCAGAGTTCTTTCTTTTTAATGCTGAATAATATTCCATTGTATATATGTACATCACATTTTCTTTATCCATTCATCTATCTACAGACACATAGGTTGTGTCCATAACTTACTGTGATATTATATATATGTATATGTGTAGATATGTATGTATATTGGTTTGTGTACACAGTTCTTGGCTCATAGCTCCCACAGCCCTTGTTATTTCTCCCCAAGGCAGGCCGTAGAAACTAAAAATACACTCTTATCTTCCGTCAGTCACCTTTCTGTCTTGGAGTGAGCAATAGAGAAATTCTCTGACTTACCTTGTCTGTTTGTAGGTCATAAGACCTCCATTTCGGAAAAAGTCTTGCCCCATACCCTGGAAAAAAAAAAGTGATGTGCAGAGAGGCCAAGAATAATCTGGAGAGGTCACACTTGGTTTCCTCCTTCAGTCTATTAATACAAGGTCATTCTCTGCTGGCCTTGTGTTTGAGGTCATGTTTTCATGTTTTCTTGTCCAATCGCATTTCTACCCAAGTGTCAATAATGCCTATCCAATGAAGTCTCCATAAAAGGCCCAAAAGAAAGGGTATGGAGAGCTTCCAGAGAGCTGAACATGTGGAGGTTCCTGGAGAGTGGCAAACTCCGAGCACAGAAGCTCCACACCCCTTCCCATACCTACGCTATGCATCTCTTCATCTATATTCTTTGCAGTATTCTTTAAAATAAAACAAACAAACAAACAAAGCAAGTGTTTTCCTAAGTTATGTGTGCTACTCTAGCAAACTAACAAAACCCAAAGAGGAAATCGTGGGATCTCCAATTTACAACTATCAGTCAGATGCACAGGTAAAACGAGCTGAAGCTTGAGATTGGCATTGGAAGTGAGGTACAGTCTTGTGGGTCTGAGCCCTCAATCTGTAGGATGTAAAAATATTCCCAAGTGAATAGTGTTGGAGCTGAATTAGAAGACACCCAGCTGGTATCCACTGAAGAACTGATTGCATGTTTGCTCATGGAGAGAAATCTTCACATATTTCGTGGTCACACAAGTTTTCTGTGTTAATCGTTGTTGAGAGAACAGAAAAAAAATACTTTCATTTTTTTCCTCTCAGAGTTGGCTATTGTGAATAACACTTCCCTGAATATGCGAGTGCAAATATCTCTAACATACTGATTTCATTTTCTTTGAATATATACTCAGAAGTGAGATTGCTAGATCATATGGTAGTTCTATTTTTAATTTTTTGAAAACACTCCATAGTGTTTTCCACAATGGTTGTACCAATTTACATTTTCACCAGCAGTACAAGAGCTCCCTTTTTTCCTGATCCTCCCTAACACTTGTTATCTCTTATATCAACATTCTCTTCAGTCTTTGGCTTTCAGCATTTTTATTTTAATGTGTATGAGTGTGGATATCTTAGACTGTATCCTACTTGAAGTTTGTTGAGCTTCTTGAATGTGCAGATTGGTGATTTTCATCAAATCTGGGGAATTTTTAACTATATTTCTTCAAATTTTTTAAGTCTACAGAGTCTACTATTAAGCCTGCAGAAGTTAGCTTTCTATATGCATATGTATGTATCACGTATATCTCTTTATATTAAACCGATATAGAAACATAGCTTCTTTTCCTCTTTGTTTCTTTTAGTACTCTCATTACACATATATGGGTGTGATTATTGGTATCCCATATTCCCCAGAGGTTCTCTTCTTTTTTTTTTAATTATTTTTTCTCTCTGTTCTTCAAATCCTATAATCTCTAACAATCTATCTTCAAGTTTACGAATTCTCCTGTCAGTTCAAATCTACTGTTGAGCCCCTCTAATGAATTTTTCATTTCAATTACTATACTTTTTAACTCTAAAATTTTCATTTGGTTATTTTTGTAATTTCTATCTTATGATTGATATTCTTTATTTGTTGAGATATTGTTATCACACCTTTTTGTACTTTTTTAAACATGGCTTTTTCCTTTAGTTTTTTGGACATACTTATGATAGTTTTGAAATTATTTTTAAATCTGACAGCTGGGTCCTCTCACAAACGGTTGTTGTTGCCTGATTTTTTTTTTCCGCCCTGTGGAGGGGACACATTTTCCTATTTCTCTGCATGACTTATATTTTTTTGTCAAAAACTGGATTTTTTTGGTAACATATTGTCACAATTCTAGATACTCATTCCCATCCTCCCCTGTCTGTACTTGTTTTTATATGTTTTGCTTGTTTGTTTAGAAACTTAAATAGGCTATTTTAGTTAAGTCTATTTCACTAACAGAGATGAAGCCTTTGAAATGACAATGATTTTAGCAGGGTTCTCCTTGACTGTTCCTTTATCTAATTTCTGTTAAAATATCTGCCTCATTTCATATCACACTCGGTTGTTAGGATCCACTAATTACCAGCTGATGGCTCTATTGTTTTTGACAATGTCCTTGGACATAAATTGCTCCACAGTCTAAATTAAATTTGGACAGTGATAGTTTTTCAGACCAGTCTCAGAGATTTGTTGTCACCTGAGGAGGACTCTTATCTGTCTCTCTCCAGTTCTTACTGGTAAACTAGCTGTCCTTGGATTAGCTTGTTACTCTTAATTTAGAGGAGCTACCAGCCTCCTCTTATTTGCTTACCACCAAAATTTCCATTGGTTTTGACAGCACCCTTGAGCCTAAACTTCCCCGTAATGTTTTAGATAAAGTCAGTCCCTTTGGGGAAGTTTCCGAGCTCTACTTTTGTATGGACTACCTCCCCCTTGGATAAAATCTCTGAGCCACTACCCAAAGTACTGGGCAGGTATGGAGATTTCTAGTCTCTTGACTTCCCATTCCTGGCTTGGAACATCTGCCTTATGAGTGAAATGCAGTAAGGGTTATTGGCGCCCCAGTATTCTCATCCTGCCACACCTAGGGTAGATCCTCTGCCCTATGAGTAGCAGATCCTATGCCCTATGAGTGGGAGCTGAATGAAGAAAGGGAGCTTCCCCCACCCAGCCACTGCACCACCAGATTACTGGTGTCTCCCGTCACCAGTAATGTAACCTCTTCAAGTCAGGATTTGAAGGAACAAGAAATTTTGAAAGCCTGCCCCTCCTGGTGAAATACTATCTCTTGATCAGGACCTTGAGAGGGAACCTGATCTTCTTGGCCACACTGACCTGAAGCAGAGCTTCTGTCAAGCTGAACTGCGAGCAGGAAGGAAGAAACTGGTTATGATTAAAATGCCACAGAATCTTGCTGTTCTTACCAAGTTTTAGCAGATTTACTCTTAAGTAATTTTTAAGTAATTGTTTTTTCAGTTGCTGTATGTCCTTAGGACAATTTCCAGACTTTAAACCACTGGGCTTTTTTTTATAGTTTTTAGAAGTTATGCTTATTTCATTAAGGAGTGGGTTCATGGTGCTATCCCAGAAGTAGCACCTGATAGCTGCCTCCTTATCTTAAAAAGCAAACTTACATTTGCTGTAGTTGCATCTATACTTAAACTTGTCACCTCTATCTTTCTTCAGTGAATATCTGATCAGTTACCTGCTGTAATGCAGTTCAAGTTGACAAGTGGGTAAGTACAGATCTATCTTTACTTACCACTCTGTAGAAAGAAATCTTTGTTACTGGAGTCTCTTAATCATTGTTGAACTATATTCTGACAGAACAAAGGAATTCAAACAAGAACACTTTATTACATACCAACCACCTCAGCTTTTGTAAGATTTTGCCACTGAAGGTAACTCCCAGGTTTGGCTGTTTCCAAACGATTAACAGGTTTAGCATCAAGACAAATCCCAGTGAGGCAATCATGGTTTCTTCTACTTTGTTTACTCATAAATGTTGATTTTTAAAAAAATAAATTGCAAAAGTAAAGCTATTTTTCTTACTTTCCTCACTGATTTTGACTCTGAACTACCATGAGGCCAAAATGTTCTGTGAATGCATACAGATTAACTACCACAAGGCCGAAGTTAAATGGCATTAACCATTCCGATAGAAGTATTCAAAAAAATTAAGGACAACAACGAGGCCAAGAATTGTTATAAAACCAGCCTGTGGTAAATTCTATGGTTTTATCAGAGAAACACTCCATATGACCATAAAAAATATACTTGCACTATTTCTAAAGGACTTCCAAAATAAGTTTAGATCGCCACCAAATTTACATTAGAAGTGGTAAGAGGGTCCTGGCTGGCCCGATGGCCAAATAGGAACAGCTCCAGTCTGCAGCTCCCAGCAAGACCACCCAGAAGGCAGGTGATTTCTACATTTCCAACTGAGTAGTACCTGGAATGCCAAGACAGAACCGTTCACTCCCCTAGAAAGGTGGCTGAAGCCAGGGCGCCAAGTGGTCTTGCTCAGCCGATCCCACCCCCATGGAGCCCAGCAAGCTAAGATCCACTGACTTGAAATTCTCAGTGCCAACACAGCAGTCTGAAGTCGACCTGGGATGCTCAAGCTTGGTGGAGGGAGGGGCATCCCCCATTACTGAGGCTTGAGTAGGCGGTTTTTCCCTCGCAGTATAAACAAAGCCAAGGGGAAGCTTGGACTGGGCGGAGCCCACCACAGCGCAGCAAAGCTGCTATAGCCAGACTGCCTCTATAGATTCCTCCTCTCTGAGCAGGGTGTCTCTGAAAGAAAGGCAGCAGCCCCAGTCAGTGACTTATAGATAAAGCTCCCATCTCCCTGGGACAGAGCATCTTAGGGAAGGGACAGCTGTGGGCACAGCTTCAGCAGACTTAAACATTCCTGCGTGCCAGCTCTGAAGACAGCGGCAGATCTCCCCACACAGCACTCAAACTCTGCTAAGGGACAGACTGCCTCCTCAAGTGGGTCCCTGACCCCTATGCCTCCTGACTGGGAGATAGCTCCCAGCAGGGATCGACAGACACCTCATACAGGAGATCTCCAGCTGGCATCCTGGCAGGTACCCCTCTGGGATGAAGCTTCCAGAGGAAGGTGCAGGCAGCAATCTTTACTGTTCTGCAGTCTCCGCTGGTGATACTCAGGCAAAGAGGGTCTGGAGTGGACCTCCAGCAAACTCCAGCAGACCTGCAGAAGAGGGGCCTGATTGTTAGAAGGAAAACAAAGAAACAGAAAGCAATAACCTCAATAAAAAGGAGGCCCATGCAAAAACCCCAACCAAAGGTCATCAGCATCAAAGATCAAAGGTAGATAAATCTGGGAAGATGAGGAAAAACAAGCGCAAAAAGGATGAAAATTCCAAAAACCAGAATGCCTCTTATCCTCCAAAGGATCACAACTCCTTGCAGCAAGGGAACAAAACTGGATGGAGAATGAGTTTGACGAATTGACAGAAGTAGACTTCAGAAGGTGGGTAATAACAAACTCCTCCAAGCTAAAGGAGCATGTTTTAACCCAATGCAAGCAAGCTAAGAACCTTGATAAAAGGTTACAGGAACTGCTAACTAGAATAGTTTAGAGAAGAACATAAATGACCTGATGGAGCTGAAAAACACAGCACAAGGACTTTGTGAAACATACACAAGTATCAATAGCCGAATCGACCAAGCAGAAGAAAAGGATATCAGAGACTGAAGATCAACTTAATGAAATAAAGCATGAAGACAAGATTAGAGAAAAAAGAAAGCAAAGGAACTAACGAAGCCTACATAAATATGGGACTATGTGAAACGACCAAAACCTACCTTTAATTGGTGTACCTGAAAGTGACAGAGAGAATGAAACCAAGCTGGAAAACATACTTCAGGATATTATCCCAGAGAACTTCCCCAACCTAGCAAGATAGACCAATATTCAAATTCAGGAAATAGAGAGAACACCATAAAGATGCTCCTCGAGAAGAGCAACCCCAAGACACATAATCGTCAGACTCACCAAAGTTGAAATGAAGGAAAAAATGTTAAGGGCAGCCAGAGAGAAAGGTCAGGGTACCCACAAAGGGAAGCCCATCAGACAAACAGCAGGTCTCTCTGCAGAAACCCTACAAGCCAGAAGAGAGTGTGGGCAAATACTCAACATTCTTAAAGAAAAGAATTTAACCCAGAATTTCATAGCCAGCCAAACTAAGTTTCATAAGCAAAGGAGAAATAAAATCCTTTACAGACAAGCAAATGCTGAGGGATTTTGTCACCACCAGGCCCTCCTTACAAAAGCTCCGGAAGGAAGCACTAAATAAGGAAAGGAAAAACCAGTACCAGCCACTGCAAAAACATACCAAATTGTAAAGACCATTGACACTATGAAGAAACTGCATCAACTAATGGGCAAAATAACCAGCTAGCATCATAATGACAGGATCAAATTCACACATAACAATATTAACCTTAAATGTAAACAGGCTAAATGCCACAGTTGAAAGACACAGACTGGCTAACTGGATAAAAGTCAAGACCCATCGGTGTGCTGTATTCAGGAGACCCATCTCACGTGCAAAGACACACAGAGGCTCAAAATAAAGGGAAAGAGGATTTACCAAGCACATGGAAAGCAAAATAGAGCAGAGGTTGCAATCCTAGTCTCTGATAAAACACACTTTTAACCAACAAAGATCAAAATAGACAAAGAAGGGCATTACATAATGGTAAAGGGATCAATACCACAAGAAGAGCTAACTATCCTAAATATATATTCCCCCAATACAGGAGCACCCATATTCGTAAAGCAAGTTCTTTTTTTTTTTTTTTTTTGAGACGGAGTCTCGCTCTGTCGCCCAGGCCGGACTGCGGACTGCAGTGGCGCGATCTTGGCTCACTGCAAGCTCCGCTTCCTGGGTTCACGCCATTCTCCTGCCTCAGCCTCCCGAGTAGCTGGGACTACAGGCGCCCGCCACCGCGCCCGGCTAATTTTTTTTTGTATTTTTAGTAGAGATGGGGTTTCACCTTGTTAGCCAGGATGGTCTCGATCTCCTGACCTCGTGATCCACCCGCCTCGGCCTCCCAAAGTGCTGGGATTACAGGCGTGAGCCACCGCGCCCGGCCTAAAGCAAGTTCTTAGAGACCTACAAAGAGACTTAGACTCCCACACAATAATAGTGGGAGACTAACACCCCACTGTCAATATTAGGCAGATCAACAAGACAGAAAATTAACAAGGATATTCAGGACTTGAACTCAGCTCTGGACCAAGTGGACCTAATAGACATCTACAGAACTCTCCATGCCAGATCAACAGAATATACATTCTTCTCAGGACTACATTGCACATATTCTAAAATTGACCACATAATTGGAAGTAAAACACTCTTCAGCAAATACAAAAGAAAGGAAATCATAACAGTCTCTCAGACCAGAGTGCAATCAAATTAGAACTCAAAATTAAGAAACTCACTTAAAACTGCACAACTACACGAAAACTGAACAACCTGCTCCTGAATGACTACTAGGTACATAACGAAATTAAGGCAGAAATAAATAAGTTCTTTGAAACCAATGAGAACAAAGACACAATGTACCAGAATCTCTGGGACACAGCTAAAGCAGTGTTTAAAGGGAAATTTATAGCACTAAATACCCACAGGAGAAAGCAGGAAAGATCTAAAATCAACACCCTAACATCACAATTAAAAGAACTAGAGAAGCAAGAGCAAACAAATTCAAAAGCTAGCAGAAGACAAGAAATAACTAAGATCACAGCAGAACTGAAGGAGTTAGAGACATGAAAAACCCTACAAAAAAAATCAATGAATCCAGGAGCTGGTTTTTTGAAAAGATTAACAAAACAGATGGAGTGCTAGCTAGACTAACAAAGAAGAAAAGAGAAAAGAATCAAATAGATGCAATAAAAAATGATAAAGGGGATATCACCACCAATCCCACAGAAATACAAACTACCATCAGAGAATACTATAAACACCTCTATGCAAATAAACTAGAAAATCTAGAAGAAATGAATAAATTTCTGGACACCTACACCCTCCCAAGACTAAACAAGGAAGAAGTCGAATCCCTGAATAGGCCAATAACAAATTCTGAAATTGAGGCAGTAATTAACAGCCTACCAACCAAGAAAAGCCCAGGACCACATAGATTCACAGCCGAATTCTACCAGAGCTACAAAAAGAAGCTGGTATCATTCCTTCGGAAACTATTCCAAACAAAAGAAAAAGAGGGACCCCTCCCTAACTCATTTTATGAGGCCAGCATCATCCTGATACCAAAACCTGGCAGAGACACAACAAAAAAAGAAAATTTTAGACCAATATCCCTGATGAACATCAATGCAAAAATCCTCAACAAAATACTGGCAAACTGAATCCAGCAGCACACCAAAAAGCTTATCCACCATGATCAAGTCAGCTTCATCCCTGGGATGCAAGGCTAGTTCAACATATGCAAATCAATAAATGCAATCCATCACATAAACAGAACCAATGCCAAAAACCACGATGTAGAAAAGGCCTTTGATAAAATTCAACACCCCTTCATGCTAAAAACTCTCAATAAACTAGGTATTGATGGAATGTATCTCAAAATAACAAGAGCTATTTATGACAAACCCACAGCCAGTATCATATTGAATGGGCAAAAACTGGAAACATTCCCTTTGAAAACCAGCACAAGATAAGGATGCCCTCTCTCACCACTCCTATTCAACATAGTATTGGAAGTTCTGGCCAGGGCAATCAGGTAAGAGAAAGCAATAAAGGGTATTCAATTAGGAAAAGAGGAAGTCAAGTTGTCCCTGTTTGCAGATGACATGATTGTATATTTAGAAAACCCCATTGTCTCAGCCCAAAATCTCCTTAAGCTGATAAGCAACTTCAGCAAAGTCTCAGGATACAAAATCAATGTGCAAAAATCACAAGCATTCCTATACACCAATAACAGACAAACAGAGAGCCAAATCATGAGTGAACTCCCATTCACAATTGCTTCAAAGACAATAAAATACCTAGGAATCCAACTTACAAGGGATGTGAAGGATGTCTTCAAGGAGAACTACAAACCACTGCTCAACGAAATAGGAGAGGACACAAACAAATGGAAAAACATACCATGCTCATGGAAAGGAAGAATCAATATCATGAAAATGGCCATACTGCCCAAATTAATTTATAGATTCAATCCTATCCCCATCAAGCTACCATTGACTTTCTTCGCAGAATTAGAAAAAACTAAATTTCATATGGAACCAAAAGAGAGCCCATACAGCCAAGACAATCGAAAGCAAAAAGAACAAAGCTGGAGGTATCATGCTACCTGACCTCAAACTATACTACAAGGCTACAGTAATGAAAACAGCATAGTACTGGTACCAACACAGATATATAGACCAATGGAACAGAACAGAGGCCCCAGAAATAACGCCACACATCTACTACAACCAACTGATCTTCGACAAACCTGACAAAAACAAGCAATGGGGAAAGGATTCCCTATTTAATAAATGTTGTTGGGAAAACTGGCTAGCCATATGCAGAAAACAGAAACTGGACCCCTTCCCTACACCTTATACAAAAATTAACTCAAGATGGATTAAAGACTTGAATGTAAGACCTAAAACCATGACAACACTGTAAGAAAACCTAGGCAATACCATTCAGGACATATCCCTTTGCATGCGCAAAGACTTCATGACTAAAACACCAAAAGCAATGGCAACTAGGGCCAAAATTGACAAACGGGATCTAATTAAACTAAAGAGCTTCTGCACAGCAAAAGAAACTATCAGAGTGAACAGGCAACATACAAAATGGGAGAAAATTTTTGGAATCTATCCATCTGACAAAAGGCTAATATCCAGAGTCTACAAGGAACTTAAACAAATTTACAAGAAAAAAAAACAACCCCATCAAAAAGCGGGCAAAGGACATTAACAGACACTTCTCAAAAGATGACATTTATGCGGCCAACAAACATATGAAAAAAAACAGCTCATCTTCACTGGTAATTAGAGAAATGCAAATCAAAACCACAATGGGATACCATCTCATGCCAGTTAGAATGGAAATCATTAAAAAGTCAGGAAACAGGCTGGGCATGGTGGCTTATGCCTGTATCCCAGCACTTTAGGAGGCCAAGGTGTGAGGATCATGAGGTCAGGAGTTCTAGACTAGCCTGACCAACATGGTGAAACCCCATCTCTACTAAAAATACAAAAATTAGCCAGGCGTAGTGGCATGCGCCTGTAATCCCAGCTACTCAGGAGGCTGAGAAAGGAGAATCATTTGAACCCAGGAGGCAGAGGTTGCAGTGAGGTGAGATCATGCCACTACACTCCAGCCTGGGTGACAGAGCAAGACTCCGTCTCAAAAAAAAAAAAAAAGTCAGGAAACAACAGATGCTGGAGAGGATGCGGAGAAATTGGAATGCTTTTACACTGTTGGTGGAAGTATAAATTAGTTCAACAATTGTGAAAGACAGTGTGGTGATTCCTCAAGGATCTAGAACCAGATCCGATTGGTGCAGCAATCCCATTACTGGGTATATACCCAAAGGATTATAAATCATTCTACTATAAAGACACATGCACATGTTGTTTATTGCAGCACTATTCACAATAGCAAAGACTTGGAACCAACTTAAAATGCCATCAGTGATAGATTCAATAAAGAAAATATGGTACATATACACCAAGGAATACTATGCAGCCATAAAAAAGAAAGAGTTCATGTCCTTTACAGGACATGAAGCTGGAAACCGTCACTCTCAGCAAACTAACACAAGAACAGAAAACCAAACACCACATGTTCTCACTCATAAGCGGGAGGTGAACAAAGAGAACACATGGACACAGGGAGGGGAACATCACACACCAGGTCCTGTCAGGGGAGTGGAAGTCAAGGGGAGGGATAGCATTAGAAGAAATACCTAATGTAGATGACAGATTGATGGGTTCAGCAAACCACCATGGTACATGTATACCTATGTAACAAACCTGCACGTTCTGCACATGTACCCCAGAACTTAAAGTACAATAAAAAAAAAAAGTGGTAAGAGAATCATTGAAATCTAATGACAAACCTGCAACTGTGACAAAGTCACTGTCCATGTACACCACATCTATAGTCCATTCAGGTCTGTGAACAGTAGGTTGGGTTAGTTTGCACCATCAGTAAAATAATCTGGCAGAAACAATGACCCAGGAATAACTGACAAAAGATAGTAAACACACACTATAAAGAAACTGTTTTATCCTATTTATATGATCTCATATGCTATAGGCTGAATATCTGTGTCCCCCCAAAAGTCTTATGTGGAAACCTAAGCCCCAGTGTGATGGCATTAGGAAACTGGGTCCTTGAGAGGTGGTTAGGTCATAAAGGTGGAACTCTGGTGAATGGATTATTGCCTTTATAAAGGAGACCCCTAAGAGCTCCCTTTCCCCTTCAGATATGTGAAACAGAGCAAGAAAATAGCTGTCTATGCAGAAAGAAGCAGGTGCTCACCAGGCACTGAATTTGCTGGCACCTTGATCTTGGACTTCCCATCCTCCAGAACTGTGAGAAATGATTTCTTTTGTTTATAAACCACACTGTCTTTTATTGTATTTTTGCTTTAGCAGTCCAAATAGACGAAGACATCATGTCTATTTCATTAAATATATTTGAAAAGAAAGGAGCCATTCGGTGTTTCACTGGCTTATCTGATCACTGAAAATCACTACAAATAGCAATCCTATGTCTGAAAGGATTACACAACAGCATCATCACACAGTAATCCTGCTCGCTGCTTGTAGGGCTATTATCTCTCCTAGTTTCTACTGAACCAATCAACTTGAACCTGTTTTTAAGCCAAAGAAAGAAAATGAAAACCAGCCAGCAAAATAGAATCCTACAATCCCCTGCAGAAATAATCCTGGAAGTCAACGTTTTCCCCATCAACAATAAAAAGCCTGGTACTAATTTAAACCTTCATTGCCACACACCATTTTCAGCTCTCCACAGGACACTGAAGTGGGACCTCTGCTCCTTTAGGAGGCCTGTGTATGATCCTGGCTGACAAATATGGGTGTAAATTCTCCTGAATAGCAATTCCTGGAAGAAGGGGATGTGTAAGGTGACATATCCTCAATTATTCCTTCACATCTTTGCATGTCCTCACTCTAACAGATACTAAGCTAGACCTTAAAATGCAACAGTAAATTAGATACAGGCCTTGCCCTTGAAGAGCTCCCAATCTGAGGATAAAAATCAAATAATTGGGCAGCTCCAAGATGGCCAAATAGGAAGAGCTCCAGTCTACAGCTCCCAGCTTGAGCGACACAGAAGACAGGTGATTTCTGAATTTCTAACTGAGGTACTAGGTTCATCTCATTGGGGCTTGTCGGACACTGGCGTCAGGACAGTGGGTGCAGCCCACTGAGCAAGCATGAGCCAAAGCAGGGCGAGGCATCGCCTCACCCGGGAAGTGCAAGGGGTCAAGGAATTCCCTTTCCTAGCCAAGGGAATTGGTGATGGATAGCACCTGGAAAATCGAGTCACTCCCACCCTAATACTGAGCTTTTCCAACAGTCTTAGCAAATGGCACACCAGGAGATTATATCCAGCGCCTGGCTCAGAGGGTCCCACGCCCATGGAACCTCGCTCATTGCTAGCACAGCAGTCTGAGATCCATCCGCAAGGTGGCAGCGAGGCTGGGGGAGGGCGCCCACCATTGCTGAGGCTTGAGGAGGTAAACAAAAGAGCCAGGAAGCTCGAACTGGGTGGAGCCCACCACAGCTCAAGGAGGCCTGCCTGCCTCTGTAGACTCCACCTCTAGGGGCAGGACATAACTGAACAAAAGGCAGCAGAAACCTCTGCAGACTTAAATGTCCCTGTCTGACAGCTTTGAAGTGAGTAGTGGTTTTCCCAGCATGGAGTTTGAGATCTGAGAATGGACAGACTGCCCCCTCAAGTGGGTCCCTGACCCCCGAGTAGCCTAACTGGCAGGCACCCTCCAGTAGGGGCAGACTGACGCCTCACACGGCCAGGTACCCCTCTGAGACAAAGCTTCCAGAGGAACGATCAGGCAGCAACATTTGCTGTTCAGCAATATTCGCTGTTCTGCAGCCTCTGCTGCTGATATCCAGGCAAACAGGGTCTGGAGTGGACCTCCAGCAAACTCCAACAGACCTGCAGCTGAGGGTCCTGACTGTTAGAAGGAATACTAACAAACAGAAAGGACATGCACACCAAAACCCCACCTGTATGTCACCATCACCAAAGACCAAAAGTAGATAAAACCACAACGATGGGGAAAAAACAGAGCAGAAAACCTGAAAATTCTAAATATCAGAGTGCCTGTCCCCCTCCAAAGGAACGCAGCTCCTCGCCAGCAACGGAACAAAGCTGGATGGAGAATGACTTTGACGAGTTAAGAGAAGGCTTCAGACGATCAAACTACTCCAAGCTAAAGGAGGAAGTTCAAACCCATTGCAAAGAAGCTAAAAACCTTGAAAAAAGATTAGACGAATGGATAACTAGAATAACCAATGTAGAGAAGTCCTTAAATGACCTGATGGAGCTAAAAAACATGGCAAAAGAACTACGTGATGAACGCACAAGCTTCAGTAGCGAATTCAATCAACTGGAAGAAAGGGTATCAGTGATTGAAAATCAAATGAACGAAATGAAGCGAGAAGAGAAGTTTAGAGAAAAAAGAGTAAAAAGAAATGAACAAAGCCTCCAAGAAATATGGGACTATGTGAAAAGACCAGATGAGA
The DNA here is from genome assembly GCF_000001405.40 of Homo sapiens. Lineage (NCBI taxonomy): Eukaryota > Metazoa > Chordata > Mammalia > Primates > Hominidae > Homo > Homo sapiens. The sequence goes on from NC_000015.10 coordinate 55,144,680, forward strand.
TCTACATCTGATTGGTGTACCTGAAAGTGACAGAGAGAATGGAACCAAGTTGGAAAACACTCTGCAGGAATTATCCAGGAGAACTTCCCCAACCTAGCAAGGCAGGCCAACATTCAAATTCAGGAGATACAGAGAATGCCACAAAGATATTCCTCGAGAAGAGCAACTCCAAGACACATAATTGTCAGATTCACCAAAGTTGAAATGAAGGAAAAAACGTTAAGGGCAGCCAGAGAGAAAGGTCGGGTTACCCACAAAGGGAAGCCCATCAGACTAACAGCGGATCTCTTGGCAGAAACTCTACAAGCCAGAAGAGAGTAGGGGCAAATATTCAACATTCTTAAAGAAAAGAATTTTCAACCCAGAATTTCATATCCAACTAAGCTTCATAAGTGAAGGAGAAATAAAATCCTTTATAGACAAGCAAATGCTGAGAGATTTTGTCACCACCAGGCCTGCCCTACAAGAGCTCCTGAAGGAAGCACTAAACATGGAAAGGAACAACCGGTACCAGCCACTGCAAAAACATGCCAAATTGTAAAGAACATCGAGGCTAGGAAGAAACTGCATCAACTAAAGAGCAAAATAACCAGCTAACATCAAAGTGACAGGATCAAATTCACACATAACAATATTAACCTTAAATGTAAATGGGCTAAATACTCCAATTAAAAGATACAGACTGTCAAATGGGATAAAGAGTCGAGACCCATCAGTGTGCTGTATTCAGGAGACCCATCTCACGTGCAGAGACTCACATAGGCTCAAAATAAAAGGATGGAGGAAGATCTACCAAGCAAATGGAAAACAAAAAAGGCAGGGATTGCAATCCTAGTCTCTGATAAAACAGACTTTAAACCAACAAGGATCAAAAGAGACAAAGAAGGCCATTACATAATGGTAAAGGGATCAATTCAACAAGAAGAGCTAACTATCCTACACATATATGCACCCAATACAGGAGCACCTAGCTTCATAAAGCAAGTCCTTGGAGACCTACAAAGAGACTTAGACTCCCATACAATAATAATGGGAGACTTTAACACCACAATGTCAACATTAGACAGATCAACAAGACAGAAAGTTAACAAGGATATCCAGGAATTGAACTCAGCTCTGCACCCAGTGGACCTAATAGACATCTACAGAACTCTCCATCCCAAATTAACAGAATATACATTCTTCTCAGCACCACATCACACTTATTCCAAAATTGACCACATCGTTGGAAGTAAAGCACTCCTCAGCAAATGTAAAAGAATAGAAATTATAACAAACTGTCTCTCAGACCACAGTGCAATCAAACTAGAACTCAGGATTAAGAAACTCACTCAAATCCACTCATCTATGTGGAAACTGAACAACCTGCTCCTGAATGACTACTGGGTACATAACGAAATGAAGGCAGAACTAAAGATGTTCTTTGAAACCAATGAGAACAAAGACACAACATACCAGAATGTCTGGGACACATTTAAAGCACTCTGTAGAGGGAAATTTATAGCACTAAATGCCCACAAGAGAAAGCAGGAAAGATCTAAAATTGACACCCTAACATCACAATTAAAAGAACTAGAGAACCAAGAGCAAACACATTCAAAAGCTAGCAGAAGACAAGAAATAACTAAGAGCAGAGCAGAACTGAAGGAGATAGAGACACAAAAAACCCTTCAAAAAAAATCAATGAATCCAGGAGCTGGTTTTTTTGAAAAGATCAAAAAATTAATAGACCACTAGCAAGACTAATAAAGAAGAAAAGAGAGAAGAATCATATAGATGCCATAAAACATGAGAAAGGGGATATCACCACTGATCCCACAGAAATACAAACTACCATCAGAGAATACTATAAACACCTCTACGCAAATAAACTAGAAAATCTAGAAGAAATGGATACATTCCTGGACACATACACCATCCCAAGACTAAACCAGGATGAAGTTGAATCCCTGAACAGACCAATAACAGGCTCTCAAATTGAGGCAATAATTAATAGCCTACCAACCAAAAAAAGTCCAGGACCAGAGAGACTCACAGCTGAATTCTACCAGATGTACAAGGAGGAGCTGGTACCATTCCTTCTGAAACTATTCCAATCAATAGAAAAGAGGGAATCCTCCCTAATTCATTTTATGAGACCAGCATCATCCTGATACCAAAGCCTGGCAGACACAACAAAAAAAGAGAATTTTAGGCCAATATCCCTGATGAATATTGATGCAAAAATCTTCAATAAAATACTGGCAAACAGAATCCAGCAGCACATCAAAAAGCTTATCCACCATGATCAAGTGGGCTTCATCCCTGGGATGCAAGGCTGGTTCAATGTATGCAAATCAATAAACGTAATCCAGCATATAAAAAGAACCAAAGACAAAAGCCACATGATTATCTCAATAGATGCAGAAAAGGCCTTTGACAAACGTCAACAGCCCTTCATGCTAAAAATTTTCAATAAATTAGGTATTGATGGGATGTATTGCAAAATAATAAGAGCTATTTTTGACAAACCCACAGCCAATATCATGCTGAAGGGGCAAAAACTGGAAGCATTCCCTTTGAAAACCAGCACAAGACAGGGATGCCTTCTCTCACCACTCCTATTCAACATAGTGTTGGAAGTTCTGGCAAGCGCAATCAGGCAGGAAAAAGAAATAAAGGGTATTCAATTAGGAAAAGAGGAAGTCAAATTGTCCCTGTTTGCAGATGACATGATTGTATATTTAGAAAACCCCATCGTCTCAGTCTAAAATCTCCTTAAGCTGATAAGCAACTTCAGCAAAGTCTCAGAATACAAAATCAATGTGCAAAAATCACAACCATTCTTATACACCAATAACAGACAAACAGAGAGCCAAATCATGAGTGAACTCACAATTGCTGCAAAGATAACAGAATACCTAGGAATCCAACTTAGGTATGTGAAGGACCTCTTCAAAGAGAACTACAAACCACTGCTCAATGAAATAAAAGAGGACACAAACAAATGGAAGAACGTTCCATGCTCACGGGTAGGAAGAATCAACATTGTGAAAATGGCCATACTGCCCAAGGTAATTTATAGATTCAATGCCATCCCCATCAAGCTACCAATGACTTTCTTCACAGAATTGGAAAAAAACTACTTTAAAGTTCATATGGAACCAAAAAAGGGCCCGCATTGCCAAGACAATCCTAAGCCCAAAGAACAAAGCTGGAGGCATCACACTACCTGACTTCAAACTATACTACAAGGCTGTAGTAACCAAAACAGCATGGTACTGGTACCAAAACAGAGATATAGACCAATGGAAAAGAACAGAGCCCTCAGAAATAATACCATACATCAACCATCTGATCTTTGACAAACCTGACAAAAACAAGAAATGGGGAAAGGATTCCCTATTTAATAAATGGTGCTGGGAAAACTGGCTAGCCATACGGAGAAAGCTGAAACTGGATCCCTTCCTTACACCTTATACAAAAATTAATTCAAGATGGATGAAAGACTTAAATGTTAGACCTAAAACCATAAAAACCCTAGAAGAAAACCTAGGCAATACCATTCAGGACATAGGCATGGGCAAGGACTTCACATCTAAAACACCAAAAGCAATGGCAACAGAAGCCAAAATTGACAAATGGGATCTAATTAAACTAAAGAGCTTCTGCACAGCAAAAGAAACTACCATCAGAGTGAACAGGTAACCTACAGAATGGGAGAAAATTTTTGCAATCTACTCATCTGACAAAGGGCTAATATTCAGAATCTACAAAGAACTCAAACAAACTTACAAGAAAAAAACAAACAACCCCATCAAAAAGTGGGCAAAGGACATGAACAGACACTTCTCAAAAGAAGACATTTATGCACCCAACAGACACATGAAAAAATGCTCATCATCACTGGCCATCAGAGAAATGCAAATCAAAACCACAATGAGATACCATCTCACACCAGTTAGAATGGCGATCATTAAAAAGTCAAGAAACAACAGGTGCTGGAGAGGATGTGGAGAAATAGGAACACTTTTACACTGTTGGTGGGACTGTAAACTAGTTCAACCATTGTGGAAGACAGTGTGGCGACTCCTCAAGAGTCTAGACCTAGAAATACCATTTGACCCAGCCATCCCATTACTGGGTATATACCCAAAGGATTATAAATCATGCTGCTATAAAGACACATTCACACGTATGCTTATTGCGGCACTATTCACAATAGCAAAGACTTGGAACCAACCCAAATGTCCATCAATGATAGACTGGATTAAGAAAATGTGGCACATATATACCATCGAATACTATGCAGCCATAAAAAAGGATGAGTTCATGTCCTTTGTAGGGACATGGATGAAGCTGGAAACCATCATTCTCCGCAAACTATCACAAGGACAAAAAACCAAACACCGCATGTTCTCACTCATAGGTGGGAATTGAACAATGAGAACACTTGGACACAGAAGGGGGTACACCACACACCGGGGCCTGTCATGGGGTGGGGGGAGGGGGGAGGGTTAGCATTAGGAGATAAACCTAATGTAAATGATGAGTTAATGGGTGCAGCACACCAACATGGCACATGTATACATATGTAACAAACCTGCATGTTGTGCACATGTACCCTAGAACTTAAAGTATAATAAAAATAAAAAAATTTTAAAAAATGATCTTGAGACTACAGTTTTGCAATAAATAAAACATATATATGTATTCACATACATATACATATATATAGTAAAAGCTTAGAAAATTATCTGAAAATACCCACAAGAAGGACATTTTATAGATCAGCAGAAATAGTTTCTATTTTAATGTATGAAAGGCTTTGTTTCTCTGTATATAATTCTATGTTTAACTTCCAAGCCTTAGAATAATGCTAAGATTCAACTGTATCTATAAGCTGATGGTCACACCTTGCATTACAGATACTGCACAAGATCAGACTACAATTTACTTGCACTGTAATTCCAGATGGACTTCAGAACCTTAAGATATTAACAACAGACATCATCTTTGGCTAGAGAATAAAGAATTTTGGCAAGAATAAAGAATTTTGGCAAGAAAAAAATCAAATAGTTACAGCCTCGTGTTATAAGAGCTGAAAATGAGGCATACATACATGGTACAGTTAGAACTAAGAAGGATGTTAAAATCTCTGATTGAGCAGAGAGGAAAAGGCATCTTCATAGAGTAGAAATTATCAAGCCAAGTTCAAAATATTTCATATCTATTGATTCCTGTCCCTCCCTATCCTCATGTCAGTTACCTTCAATAACTATTCAGCTGCCCACAAGCTGTTACTCACCTCAAAAAAAATCAATGGGTGCCTAGTCCGGGAGGCCAGCAGATGGTCTCCCTCCACTATTAGATGGGGTTAAGAGATTGTTTGCCATTGTTTTAACTCTACGGGGCTAAAACAGCAGAACTCAAAGTCCTTGCAACACTGTCAAACTCACCTTCCCAAATACGCCCTACCAAATGGCAGTATAAAGTCTATTTACATATTGGTCTCCATTTAATCATTTTATCAGATTAATCATCTCTGTCTATTCTCTCCATAAAACAAACCAATAGAGGCACCGTGCATACTGAACAGTCCCAGTATGTCAGCTAGTCAGCCACTCCTGGTACCCCTATACACTTCTGTTTCCCCTGATAAGTGAGTTCCATGTTTACCAAGAGTCACTTGTGTTTGTTCCCAAACCTGTTTGTGCCTGTTGTACTTTGTGATCTGAATGGGGATTGTGATAGGCAGAAACATGCCTCCCAAAGATGTTCATATCCTAATACCCAGAATTTGTGAATACATTACCTTACATGGCAACGAGGACTTTGCAAATGTGGTTGAGGTTAAGGACCTTGAGATGGGAGATTTGCCTGGATTGTCCAGGTGGCCCAATCTAGGCACATGAATCCTTGAAAGTGAAAAGTCCTGTCCAGCTGTAGTCAGTCAGAGAGAAATGTGATGTGAATGGTTCAGAGAGTTTCTGGCTTTCAAGACATAGCAAGGGGGCCAGGAACCAAGGGATGTGGACAGTCTCTAGAAGGTGAAAAAGGCAAGGAAACCACCTCTCCTCTAGAGCTGCCAGAAAGGAATGCAAGAGCCCTGCTGACACCTTGATATTAGCCCGGTCAGACCCATGTCAGACTTCTGACCTGCAGGCTGTGAAGTAATAAATTTATGTTGTTTTAAGCCACCATATATTTGTGGCAATTTGTTACAGCAACAACAGAAAATGAATTCAGGGATTAAATACCTCATGCTCTCCATGCACACACATCCTCACCTCGGCCTTGCTGCAGCTGCTGTGGTTTTCTACGGGCGTTGAAGGAGAGCCTGTACACAGGTGGTCTGTCATGCTGTCCCCAGGGCCATGACAAGGATGCCCAAATCCTGCATGGTCAGAACTCAGTATGCAAGCAAGCGGGAATGCCAGTCTCCTGACAGCGTTTCAACAACAGATTTGCTAGGTCAAAGCCTACATACGTTTCTAAGGTGGGGAAGAACAGGGCTGAGAATGAAGTTACAAAGAATCGAAAGCATAAAAATAAGAGTCATCTTTTTAATTCCCCATACTTAGTGCCTATAAATGTGCAAAGAATTTGGGGGAGGCATGTGAGATAGTGAAGCAAGCACAATCTCCATAAATGGTCAGGACTGAGTTTAATTCCTTCCTTGAACAAATCACTTAACTTGATCGGCAAATGGGAATAAAAATGCCAGTTTCCGGAGCTGTCAAGATTATCAATAATTCATGCAGTTCTCCAGGCACATAGGCATTCAGTACATCAGTCACTATTACTGTTACCCATCGCTTGCACCGTACGCTGCTTCTTAATTTTTGTTTCTTGGCCTCTAACACTACATTAGGCCTTACTCAGAAGGATAACACCTGCCACATTCAGGGCTTCAGTTTTTCATTCATGTATGTTGCCTATTTGATTTTTACAATACCCTGAGAGGTAGCAGAGTAAACTTTATTGTTTTATAGAGGTGGAAATTGAGGTGTGGGGTGGGTTAGACAGAGTGATTTGCAGGCTGATATTAAGTGGCAAAGAAAAAAAAAATCGAGAAGGCAAACCCTGACTCCTCCTCTAGTACTCGTTCTGCTGTCTCCCCACCTGCTGCCTATTGGTCCTGTCTCTGGTTTCCATATGCAACATGATTCTATTTGTGCAGCTGCTCAGCAAGCTCCTCAGTGCTATTTTATCT